>NC_000012.12:13334650-13959650 GCF_000001405.40 Homo sapiens | reverse complement strand
CACTGGCCCCCTCTCCAAAATCCCCCACTTCCACTCCATGCCAATGTCAGCCGGTTCTCCCTCCGCATGGTTTCCTTGGATCCTCATTTTCCATTTCCATGGCTACTGCTTAGTGCAGGACTCTAGCTGGCATCCCCCGCCTGGACCTCGCCTCCTCTCCTCCACCCTCCACACAGCTGCTGGAATTGTCTTCATTAAACACTGTTTTCTCTACTCACCAATCCACGGTGGCTCTCCATTACTGCTTATTAGCAAAAGGAAATTCCCCAGGAAGCCCTCTGCAGCCTGACCTCCCTCTCCCTGCGGGCCCCACCCTGGCGGCTGCCTGCCTTTGTGTTACTCCCTCCCAGTCTCTGGGCGTTCACCTATTGGAACTCCTCCCTGTCTGTCTCTACACCTTAGAGTGTTATAATTCCCCTTCCTGGAAAGCCTCCTTCTCTCCTTTTGCCAAACTCTGTCTGTCACCTCCTTTAAAATCTGGCTCAATTTTGAACTCCCCTAAGAAACTTTCCTGAATAACCCACCAGATTCTCTGTGTCCTATTACTCCGTCTCTCATTTTGGTCACAAGTATTTATTAGACTTGGCCTACATTAATTTACACTTGCTGATGTGTATGAAGAATCCCTTAGTATTTTTAGAGAATATCCAAATGTGTATGTTTCTTTCCCCCTCCACCCCCTTTTTTTTTCTTTTAAGCTAATTCCCGCGGTCCAAATCAAGTGCTCTGGATAGAGGAGGACTTCAATAAATGACGTCTCTATAACGTCTTTTTTCCCCTCTCTCAAAGCCAAGGCGGGACTTCAAGGGCATATTTTATGGGTGACTTTAAAATAACCTTCTCGTCTTTTTGTGGTTGTATTGGTAGTGGGTGGGAAGAAGAGGAGGAGGATGAGGAGTAGGAGAAGGAGAAAGAGGAGAAGGAGAACATGGAGGAGGAAGAGTGGAGGGAGGAGGAGGAAGCAAATCTGGGCTTGCCAAACACAGGCAACAAAATGCCTCCGTCAGAGGTTGCCCACGGGATGAGACATGTGGTATGAGAAAAAGGTACCAGTGCCATGTCCTGGGCATCTGCTAATGAGAACCTCCCTAGGGAAAAAGGAGACAGAAACATATTGTGTACTAACCTATGGGGGTACACCCAGCTTTTGTTTAGCATTTGGCAGCAAGCTGGACACTTTTAAGTATATTTTAAATCTATGACCTCATTTGGCAAATGAGATAGATGATGATGTTCCATTATGCAGCTGAGGAAGTGAAGGCTAGGGCAGCTCATGTGACTTGCTCCTGGGCATCAGGACTGTGCTGGCGTTTGGACTCAGTTCTTGTGAATTCCGGGGTCCCATGCTTTCCATTGAACCCTGTTGCCTTATCTTACTCTGTAAGGTAAAGCTTTAGTCCACTTCAGTGCCATTATTTTTACAGATTGTGTTGCCATTATTAGTCCACTATTAGTAAAACTCAGCCTAGAATTAATCCTAATTAGTGCTCTTTTCACTTTATCACAAACACTACATTTTATTCCTAATCCAAGGTGCAAATAGACCTCTTCCCAAGAGACTTGAGACCAGCGCTGTCCAATAAAACTTTCTACCGTGACGGAAATGTTGTCTAACTTTACTGTCCAATGTGATAGCCACTAGCCACCTGTGACTAGTGAGAATGGAGAATTTCAGTTAATTTAAGTGCCAACAGTCATATGCAGCCTGTGGTTTCCTCCTTGGACATGTCAGCTCCAGATTCGTTATGTCCTTATATTTGTCAGGGTTAGTAATTTGCCTAATCTGGGTTTTCACATCTCCCTTCCCTTTTCATCCTCTGGGAGGTTACAGTAAACCACGAAGATTCAGAATGTGGGAGCTCACCCAAGATGGGCCTCCGCAGAGCCTGCATCGTCATCAAGGGAGGCAAGAGAGATGAGGGAGCCGACTGCTGTGCTGGGGAGTCGGCACTGGGTGGGAGGCATTTGTGGAGGAGAAACCGCCAGCTCCTGGGTGGGTCTCTTCCCTTCTAGTAGCCTTATAGGAGCTCAGCACTCGTTCCTGTGTGGTTCTCGCCTCTTCCCACAGGAGACAGGTCATGGGAGGAAGCTGAACTGCTTCTCAGAGATTGGGGTGGAGGGGGCTCTAATATATTATAGCATTAGCCTTCTCCATCTGGCCCAGTGGAAGGTTACCAATGAGATGAAGATGAGTTCATTGGGTGCTTCTGTCTTTAATTTCCACGGAGAGATACCTCAGTAGTGCTTTATGGTAGAAGCCTCTCTTTGCAGTCCTCTCTCTCTCTGTCTCAAGCTTGTGTGTGTACCCATACACATGTATATGGTATACACACCAAATGCCCTAAGTACCTTTCTTCCCATATCCTGCATTACATCAAAAATACTAGTTACTATATTTACTGAGGCCGACCTCCCAGGAGAGGCTCCCAATGGCAGACTTGTTGCAGCTGAGCCGAGTCCAGTGGAAGCAACAGAAAATGACAGATCCCCAAGAGAACAGCTAATGGAAGCAATAGGTTGATGGTATGGCATGGTGTGGCCTGACCCTGTCTTTGCTGGTTTCTTTCTCTTTTCTTGTTCACTATTCTGCTCCACTTGAATTTTAATCTAATTTATTTTTTATGCCTATAAGAAAATAACCTGAACTCTCTTTAACCTGTGGGACATACAGCATTGGAATTCTCGCCCTAGATAAATTGAGTCTGTTTATACACAGAAATTAAGGGTAGAGGACGAAAAAGAACTTTCCTTAGAAATTCAGAGTCTTTAATTGCAGGACTAGAGGGAGGATCTGAACTCTGACTCTCTTGAGTCTAGAGAAATCGTGGAAGAAGTTAACCTCAGAGTTAACTGTTTAAGGGACATGGATGCTATTCATCCACGTAAAAATGTTCCGTCGTGCGCTTCATTGCCGTGAATATGTTTACAGGGAAATGGAAGTTTTGTTCTGTGGCTCACGGGCTTACTGGTGAGTCCCCAGAAGACCCTCCAGGTATGCTCGTGATGATGCGGCTCGTTGCTGGGCAGACAGATGTGAGCCCACACAGGGCACCCAGAGTCCATACGGAACGAACAGTTGGAGGAAACGACTTGGAGAAAAAGGCGCTTGTTTTCACACAGAGGCTTATAGAACAGAATGAGGGTAGGAGAATTCAGGGCAGCTGTGACAGAGAGAAAGAGTTACTGCCCTGATAAGAGATTTTTGCAAAATTTTCTCTGAGGAATGTAGATTTTAAGAACATAACTCAAATTGCCACGAGTTGTCATTTAAATCAGAGATCTAATCATATCTGCCTCCTCGGAAGCCTTTAATGGCTCATTATTGCGTGCAGAATGAAGTCCTTGTTTTCCTCCGCAGCGTGCCTGGGCGTCCGTGGTTCATCTCTCACGGCCTTTGTCGCCTCCTGCCCACTGCATTGCTTCCTCCTCTTTCTGCTCCAGCTCATTCGTGCACTTAGTGCACACTTGACACACTTAGTGCCCTTGACACATTTCTTTGGCTTTGCTCAGGCCGTTCCTGCCTTTGGTCAGACATATCCCCTACTCCATCCCAGCACTGTCAAAGTTCTGCAAGTAAGTTCTTCAAGGTGTCGCTGCAACCTCACCTCCTCTAGGAAGCCTTCCCATATCCTTCAAACAGGGGACGCATTTTTCTCTCCTGCATTCTTACGTATCACTCTGTATTCGCAACAGCCCTTGTCACCCTTGTCTTATTTGCAAGTTATTAATATACGCGTCTGGTGCCACCATGCAGCTGGGGCCCCCTGGAGAGCCAGGCTGCATCTTCTTGATCTTCACACTGCACGTACTCTAGAAAAGTGCATTGCATACAGCAGGCACATTAAATGGGATGGCTCTTTGTGTCTTAATTGAAACCACTGGCTGCTTACCTTTATCTCTTCATTTGCCTTTTCTACTTGTTTTGTAGTTTCAAAGTATTGTATGCCATATATAGGCCCAAAGGTGGAATTGAGTTAAGTGAAGAAGCCGGCTCCAGTGTACATGATGAATTCTGCTCATTTCATCTCAAAATTATTTGGATGCATAACTGACTTTAGCTGAGTAGAATAAGGACATTTTGCTTCAGTTAGAACCGGTTCAGCTGTTTCTTGCTCCTTGAAATCATCGAAGTAAAGTTTTGAATTTGAATGCCTCACAGGTTCTACCCTGTTCAAATAGAGCCAACATAATGATTTAGGCAAGATTCTATGTCTGCTGCAGACGTGTGGTGAGTCTTCTGTCCTTTCTGTTAATCTTTCAGCATCTTTGATATTACTTTCAGATTTTGGTTTTGGATTTGCATTTTGCCAGCTTGTGTTTCTGAATAGTACTTAGGTTTATCTATAGGTCAGATCCTGCTACAAGAAATAGCATGAAAATCTCTCTGCTAACAAGGAATGCTAGGTCTAAATAAATATGTAACCCATTTGCCTCAAATAATATCCAATCAAATAGAATATTTGACCTTAAAATATGTGGTCACATTTGTTTATAGTTTATTATAATATTTTATTTACTTCAAATATCTTAAAAGATGTTTTGTTAAATGCATGATCAATTTTGTCAAATCTTCTTCTCCTGGAATAGAAAAGAGACAAAGGATGGGTACATTGGGGAAGGCTCATTTATGTGCCTAAAAAAGGGCAACCACATGACTTTGTCCCTGTTTCTATCAGTTCTATAATGAAAGCATTTCTCTAAAGCTATTCCTTGTGATGGTATAATTGGAGGTCTCAGTTGCACAATTTTTCTTCCCTTTTGCAACAAATTATGTTCCTTTTGTGTCATAAGATTTTTTTTGTCCCTTCAAAGAAGAAAAAGTTTTTTTTTTTTTTTTTTCCTGAGACGGAGTCTCACTCTGTCACCCAGGCTAGAGTATAGTGGCAAGATCTCGGCTCACAGCAACCTCCACCTCCCAGGTTCAAGTGATTCTGCTTCAGCCTCCAGAGTAGCTGCGATTACAGGTGTGCACCATCGCACCCAGGTAATTTTTTTATATTTATGGTAGAGATGGTGTTTCACCATGTTGGCCAGGCTAGCCTTGAACTCCTGACCTCAAGTGATCCACCCGCCTCGGCCTCCCAAAGTGCTGGGATTACAGTACTTTCATATGAATGTCACCCAGTGGTTCCCCTGAACTTGGATGTGACTCAGTCTGCAGATGGCCAGATTTACTTGTAAGAGCCTGATGACCAATGCTGTCTTGCTTTTATCTAAAGCTGAGGAGGTAGAAGTGCTCTGAGCTCCCACATTAACCGGATGTGCTGGCTCCATCTGTCCCATTTCAACCTCAGGTGAAATGTCAGGGGCCAGTTGTTGCAGTGGAGATGGCTCTAGTATCTCTAACCTGGCCAGCACCCTTTGTTGAATCATGTAGCAAATTACGTTTGTTTGTGCTGAGATATTTTTTAGTGCTGAGGTGAGACGTTCAGAATCAATGCCATTGTGGGTTAGGCCCAGACCTAGTAGGCAGATTATATCTGAAAGATAGAATCACAGAATGTTAGCACCAAAGAGGACAACTCATTGTGTGGCTGAGGACACTAAGGCCGATGGGCTAAGCAAATACCAAAGTACGTAGCTATGCCTGGTCCAGGGCCAGAACTCAGGCAGCCTGACTCCCATTCCAAGGTTTTGAAACTATGTCAATAGTCTACATGCTTTTCAAATCCCACATTTTGATGAGTAAAACATTTGGGGGTTTTTATCCCTAGTCTGTGTATATTATTATTCAGTGAAGAAAACAGCCCATACTAGGTAATTCAAAAGGGAGAATTTAATGCTGGGAATCAGGGACAAAGGGATAAGAAGAGCTGAAAGCTAAATGGGGCATGGCCAACCCCATGTGCAACCCCAGATCAGCAAAGCAGGAAGCCAGTGTGAACCTTTGGGTCACAGGGAACAAGGTAGAACTTGTCCACTGAGAATGGAACAAGTGGTGGCTGCCTGGCAGAGAATGTCAGTCAGGGAGGAGATACAGCTCCTGGGAAGATGCTGACCAAAGCAGAGAGAAAGGGGGAGATATATTGTAGCTTCTCCTCTCTCCAGCACCCCCACCATCTCTTGGCAGTATCTCCATTGGTAAATCCTAGCCAGAATCTATTTGGCACGGGAGGCTTGGAAATGTGGTCTGCAAGGTTTTTGCTCTCTGCAATAAAGAGCAGTAAAGAGAAGGGATGGGGGACAGATCTCAGAGTGAATAAGCAAATTGGTGTAGATTATTTTCCAAAGGTAACTACAACAATCTCTCCCATCCCACATTCTCCTCTGCAATGTGACCTGGTCATTACTGCACATCATGGTGTGGAGGGTCCAGCCCCCTCCCCTTGTATCTGGGCAGCTTCATAATTGCATTGACTAATTGAGTATGAAGAGCATGGCTCTACGTGACTTCTGAGGCCAGGTCAGAAAAGGCCATGCAGCGTCTATCTGGTTCCCTCGGTTCATTTGTCCTTTGGACATCCCTGCTGCCATGCTGTGAGAAGCCACACAGACAGGTCATGTGTAGGTACTCTGGTCAGTGGTCCTGGCTGAGCCCAGGTGTCAGCCATGTAAGTTGAGAAGTTTCAGATGATTCTAGCATGCATCCCTGGAGTCACTTCCCAGATGCTTGGGTCTTCTCAACTGAGGCTCCAAAAGTCATGGAAATGAATCAAACAATCACAGCTGTGCCCTACCCAAACTCCTAACCCTCAGAATTTGTGAGCGTAATACACTGGTTGTTATTTTATGCTACCAAGTTTTGGGGTGGTTTGTTATGCAGCCCTACAGAACTGGAATGCCAATGACCAGCATGTTTATTTAGTACATAATTATATGTGTATACTGTCTAATATGTTGTGTTCATTATAAAGCACGCAAAAAAACAGAAATTAAAAGTGGGTGAGATAAAAATAAATATAAATAGAAGTTCTAACATTTTATTTTCATGCCCAGCTCCTGGGGGATTGGAAACCTCATGCTATTATATACCTTAAATACATGGCCAGAAGAAGACAGACTTTGATATTCAGGATCTTTTAAATAGTTTTCAACAATCTATGAAAAAGAAAGACGGGGGCAAGTGATAGAGAGGGGAAGTACAGATAGGGAGGTTCTCACCGGAGGAATGCAGGAAGGAGAGAGGAAACACAGGAGGAGAGGTTCCATGGGATAGAACACAGGGCTCCTAAACAGGGTGGAGATTTTCCTGAAGCAGTATTAGGCTTTCAGAGTATTTTAGTTTCATTTCTGTAATGCCATTCAGGAGGACCGTTGCTAACTATATCCTAATTTGTGGATTCCTGCGGACACTGTATAAAGGTGAGTGGGTAAGATGAGTTACAGTTTCATTAACACAACGGGGACTGTTATTGAGAACTGATTCTAGAATCGAGTGCTTCAGAGATCTGAATATTTTTAGAAAGAGAATTGGGTTGAGTCTTTTTTCTAATATCTCTCACTTCCTTTACGGAAGCTCTAACACATTCCGTGTGGGCACCTGACATGCACATATAGACACATCCTTAAGGTCCTTATATACATTTTTATTTTTATATCACCATATACACGTTGACTTCTTTCTTCACACCCCCAACCAAAAAAAAACCCAATAAAAATCTTTAATAATTTTCTCTCTTACTGCTATATATACACAGATCCACTTTTGATATATCAATTGTGCTTAGGTATAAGACCTGTACAGATAAATGTATTAATCTATTGCAAGCAATTAATAAGGATAGCTTTCTTTTTCTTTCTTTTTCTCCCCTCTTCTCTTTCTTATTACCAATAAAGTCTATTTATCCCCTTCTTCCTGTGAATTCCCTTACAGAAGCCACACAGGTTAACCAGCTATATAGTATGGTGGCCATTTGCTATTAGGGCTGTGGTTTCACAGATAAATTAGACCTTGTCTCCACTCTTGAGAAGCTCACAGTCTAGAGAGAGAGATGAACAGATAAATTGGTAATCATATTTTGTGTGGTGAGTGCTGTGATGGAAGCAAATACAGTGTGTGTGGGAGCCTGTGGTATGGACGCTAAGTGTCCATGAAGTCTTCCTAGATTTTTGACAAATGGGTGCAATTATACAGCTCTACCAACCATGAATTGCATGTGCTTGGCTTTTGGATGCAGTAAGCTTTCTACAAACAGACTGGATCATTTGACTTGAATATCCTGTTAACAAGACAAGCTAATTTGCCCGAGGGGACTTCTTCACCCTTACATTTAGGCTAAATGGTTTTTACGTTGGATTTTCTTATTCAGGCTGCAGGGTTCCTATCCTTCCCTGGAATGAATGCTCTCTAGCTTGTCTACCAGGCAGAGACTGCTCAGGGATCACTCTGGGTTTTTTCAGTGTTTCTATTTCATTTCTGGCCTCAGTCAGTCTGCATACAGGAGGTTCCCTGTACTATATCTAGGGTTGTCAGATTTAGTGAATTAGAACACTCAATTAAATTTGAATTTCAAATAAACAATAATTTTTTAGTAGAAGTATGTTTCAAATATTGTAATATTTGCATACTTATACTAAAAGTATTTGATATTTATCATTGAAGTTCAAATTCAATTGGGTGTCCTGTATTTTATCTGGCAGGCCATATCACTACTCTCTCTTGGCCTTGCTCTTCTTGGAATGTTCACAAGGGAGTGGGAGGTGTAAGAAATTTTTATCTCTAGAAGCACCACTTCTGGATTGGAGATTTTGTCCTTCATTTTTCTCTTCCCTGGTCAAACTTAGCTTTTTTCTATGTTGTAGGTGGCTAGGCCTGTCATTCCATGTTGAATTTATTTCTGATAGGGATTCTGGAGGTATTAAAATTCTGGCCCTTGGTTGAACTGCTTTACCAAAGTAATATTTTACCTAAAACTTATTTTTCTCCATAAGCTTGAAGTGGAAACTCTTTTTAAGGAATTGTGCCCAAAGCATGAGTCAGAGGCATGAGAGTAGGCTCAGAGAGCAAAGGGCATTTACTGTCGTGCAGGAATCTGAGGCATCTCAGCACTCCTTTTGTTTATTTCTTCATTGTTCATTGTGATCTGGCAAATGAGAAACCTAGGCCAGTAATTTTTAGATAGGCAAGGAGTCAAATATAAGAAACAATAATAGCAAGAATTTATTGAGCACATCCTAGCAAGCTAAATGCTTTTCCATGTATGTTCTCACTTAATCCTCATAATAATTTAATGAGATAAGTACTCTTATCATCCTTATTTTCCAAATAAGGAATAAACTTAAAGAGATGAAATAACTTGCCTTAGGTTGTGTAGCCCATAAGTGACCAAACTGGGATTTGAAGGCATGTAAATCTGACTACAGAGCTCCCACTTACAACCCCAATGCTACAGTCCTTTGGGGCTGAGCCTGGGCTGGGGTCTCAGTAAACACTCTTGGGTTGATTCATCTACTCTGTTTAAATGATTTCCAACAAGGAAGAATACTTTATAACCTCTTTTGTAACTTCTAGTGTGTGGTCCCCTATTTTGACTGGCTATTCTTCCATAGATTAATACGATGATTTTCCCTCTGCGTATAAAACCATTCCTTAGCCTCAGTAGAAATAGCAAATTGATCAATATCTTCCCCTTAAAGTGGTAACTTTTCTTTTTCCTCTGGTTGTCTCTTATTTTTTCTTCTTAGGTTCTGTAATCGACATCATGATCAAAGGTAATTTAAGTGCCTGTTCTATAATGTTTACTACTTTTTGTTGCTCTCTTTTGAGTTCCTCCTTAATGAATTTAGTATATTTTGGAGAATCACAGTGCTTACGTGCATAAAGTTCATAATAAACATAAATTTGATTGGTTTGGTTCTTGCAGGCTTCTGTACTGCAAACACAGTACAGCCTGGTACATATCTAAAAGTGAGTATTTTGCTGATTCCCTTTAGGCTGTATCCATCTCTGTCTCATGGCCCATCAATATACACTACATTGAATGCAACTTCTTGGCATCGTGGTTTGTGATCTTCCTCTGTAATACTAGAACATGTATGTAAATGAAATCGTTTGTTAACGATGCTATGTCCACCACATGGTACCTGACACCCTCCTGTAGAGGCTAATGGCAGTGTAGATGTTATATTGATCATGAGGCCATAGAGTCCCTCACAGTTGAAGCACCTTATGTCGGTGGCTTTGAGCTGATTGCCGAATGCCACGGCAGCTTCCACACTTAAAGGATTCCAGGAGGCCCTGTGGTCCCTCTGGTTGAGTGTTCAGATTAAGGGTCCTGGAAACCTGTAGCAACCCTGGAGAGAAGAGGCAGGAAGAGGGAGAGGAAAGTTTCTGCCTTTGATCTCAGAGGGTCTGGAGGATGTGGGAGGGCCTAGGAGTTGGAAAGATTGGAAACTCTGTTTGAGACGTCTCTGTAGCAACCAGAATCTTCTGAGATTTCTCTAATAACTCTCTTACCTAGCTGAGGTTTGCTTGCTGTCCAGGCTGAAATGCAAACCAGCATCTCCCTTCTCCCCTCATTTCTGTCCAGGAACTATGGGTTCTTCAGGCAGTGGATTCAGCCCTGATTTGGATCTCTGGGCACTCTTAGGGTTGAAGCAATGGTCCCTCCAAAGTCCGGCAACCACACAGATAATTCTGCTATCACCTGCTGCAGGGACTAATAGCCTGCCCCTGCTGAGGACTTGTGATACAGGGAAAGTAGTAGAACCTCTGGGAACACTCTCTTAAGACTGCTTTCCCTCCTTTCCCAAGAACTTAGTTCTTTCAGAGAAAAAGCGGTCTGCAGTAGTCTGGTGAGTTTGTGGTTCCTGGGTTTTCTGAGTGGCTGCCCATCAGTTTAGAGGGACCACAATGCCAGTGACTCTAAATGGCCCATCTGTCCATGGAATTCCCATTAGTCACCAGTTACCTTCCTTACATTCCGGGTGTCGCAGCACCACAACTTTTGAGTCTTTACTCAAAAGTAAATCAAGACACACCATCCTTGGCATGCTGATGAGATTAATGTAACCTACATTTAGGGGAATTTCAGAAATTTTGTAATTAGAGGTACCGTTGCTCCTTGCAGAATCCAGGTCTCTTCTCTTCAGAAATGTGGCTTTTGAGTGAATAGTCTTTGTTAAGTCACCAGTGTTGGCTCTGCCACCACCAACCGTGTTGAAATCTTTGGCATCAGAGCAGAACCGGATGACTCTGGCAAAAATGAATTTGAGAGGATATATATAAAAAAATCTAAGACCCAAATCTGTGAGACTGTGCTTTATCTCTAGCAAAGAAAAATAGGACTTCCTTGCTATTTACAGTGCTCTTTCAGCAAGGAACACATCTCAGCATCTTTAGTCCCCCCAGAGGGCTAACAAAGGTTTGTTGTTCTTTCATCGCAGCCCATTTTTGAATTTAGCATTTAAACATATGGGGCAGGGTTGGATTGATCCTTATGAAAAGAAAGCATTTACCCCAAGGATCCCCCCTGGCAGAGACTTTCTTTAGGCTTTTTCTGTGAGGCAATGTGGTTATATTTGCCCCAGAACCTTCTTTCTTGTAGCTATTAGACAACAAGTTGACATTTTGTATCATATTTATGCATGTGCTACTTTTAGATACCATCTTATCCTTCCCCAATGGCACTTCTACAATTAACTGCAACATTGTTGGGTTTTGAGTGAGTAAATACCATACTTTCAGGGCCTAGGTGGCCATATGGTCACCTTTGCCATTGTTTTCTTATGGAGAGGTCCTGAGGAGAGTGAAAGAACAATTTCAGTTTAAAAATGGGGGGCTGCTTCTCTGGTTC
The DNA here is from genome assembly GCF_000001405.40 of Homo sapiens. NCBI lineage: Eukaryota > Metazoa > Chordata > Mammalia > Primates > Hominidae > Homo > Homo sapiens. The sequence goes on along the minus strand of NC_000012.12, from coordinate 13,947,915 downwards.
TGGGACAGGACAGTAAACCCAGAGGGTAGTAGGTTAAAGCCTACAGCGTGGTTTAACGTTATGGAAGTGAGTTGGAGAACAACTCATGCCTCATCCTCAGCTTTGCACTGTGTGTCAGTGATGGTTGCCATGGTGATAGCTTCGTGTCATCACTGGAAGATTTGGACTGCAGCTGGAAAATGAGCCACAGCCAAAGGTGGGGTCCTATCAGATCAACAGCCACTTTTGATGCTAGGGTTTCAAGTTGAAAAGGAGAGGATGGAACAGATTATTGAAAATCTAAGAATACATACAATGTAGAACACCCATGGGGATGTTGAAACATTCTGTTGCAGGATGTGGATAGGATTGCTACTGGATGTATGGGAAAACCACGTATATGGGCTTGTGATTGTCTTTTTTTCCCTTTATGGGCCACATTTCTCCAGTGAGGTGAAGCGTGACTGTCTGAGCTATGTTACAACTGCCCTGGCAAAGGCTGGTTCATGGGTTTTGCTGCTTGCTGGACCAAGCTGCTGACTCATCCCTATGGGAAGATAATGAGGAGAAGAAAGCAACATGCAGCCTACATTGCTATAATCCAAGGACAATTCACATGGCGAGCCTCAGTTTTTTCCTATCAATGGTGTTGTAGACAGTGAGGGGATACATACGTGCAACCTCATGGTTTATTAGCTACACTGACCAGTCAGTGGGAAAAGCAACAGGTCTAAAGTGTTTGAGAAGTTCTGCAACACAGCAACAAACTGGAGAACAGATACTTTTGTGAGTACATGAAGACTTTCAAAGCAGTATGAAGGCATGGATCATTTTAAAGGACTTAATGTTCAGATTATCAGTTTCCTACTATAGTCTTTCCTAAAATCCATCTGCTAGAGAAAGTGTCACCTCTCCTTTCATGGTTGCTCTTTTCTCTCCTTACCAAAGAAAATCACACCTCTCACTTACCCAAATTTTACTATATGCATCGCTCAAAGGTGAAAACACTTCTAAGGGTCACATAAAGGGATAATTGGAAATATTTGTGTTAGGAGAAGCATCCTTTCATCAAGAACCATAGACTATCTCTGTCTCCAGCTTATTAAAAGATAACAGTCCTAATAATACATTTTTATATATTTTAAACTGTGGTAAAATACACATATTTTAAACTGTGGTAAAATACACATATCATAAAATGTAATAAGATTTTACCATTTATGTTTAATATTTGTCTGTCAAAATTAATGTGGTTATTTTATTTTCACCAAATGTTTACAAATAATTATTGTAACACTATCTCAATCCAGAAAACAACACTTAAACACCTATGATTACAGGAAATAAAAAATAATTATAAACTGAAACTTTTATATATATATATTTTGGTTGCAAAGAAGTATAATAGTGACCAGTAAAATACTTTCAAGCATCATGTATATAATGTAACCTATATATTACATTACAATAAAATTTTGTGGGGGAGATGGAAGAGGAATTCAATGTCAGGGAAAAGAAGGAATGATATCAAATGTATAACTTAAAAAAAGGGTTAATCTTACATTTTAAAAATGGATGGTGGTAGATATAAAGTTACTATGGTCTTTATATTCCATGGAATAATTTGGAAGAGTGGTGAAGTAATTTTATTTTAAAATGTTAGTATTTATTATATGCCAGAAATTATATACTTTGTAACTATTTAGATTATGATGAATGAAATTAGGTATCAGCTTAAAACAAATTTTTAAGAATCCTTTTAGTGGGTAACTGAGCAAACAAGTTTGAAGACATTATTTACCCCCTCCACACACAGAATTTACATATTTATACTAACTTCAACACTGGACTGTCCTTGTTTCCTCTTTTGACCCATCAATATTTTCACTCATTATCTCTCCATGGGGTTGTCTAACATCATACTCTGGAATTTCCCACAGAGCTGCTACTTCTGTTCCCAAATGAGGCTTGTTCTTCCATTTTCTTGCATTGTTATAATATGCACTGTTGTTATAATATGAGCAGTGGCTTGGCATCCTAGGCTGCCCTGTTTGGCATCTGTAGTCATTCCTTGGAATTAAATGTAGTAATAGATGGTTTACTTCCAAGTATGACTGCATCAGACTCTATTGCCTCTGAAATCAATCAGGTGAAGAACTAGTTGTTTATGTTCCCATGTCTCACAGACTTCAGCTGGGGTTAGACTGACCTGCTTTAGTGACTGCCTTTGTACTGTTGCTTCTGAAGCCAAGAGATCACCCCTCATTGACTCTTAATACAGCCCATCTCACTGTAGGATTTGTACACACAGGTAGGTACTGGTGCTGCCCACTGTGCTCTATGAAAAGGCTAGCTCTGGAGAGGAAACAGTGGAAGTGGTCTATAGAAAATCTGCTGCCATTGTATTCACAGGAACTTATCACTGTTCTGCCAGGTAAGACCAAGGTTCTCGTATCAACAGCGGTAGGTAGCTCCTAAATAATCTTTCTCCAGGATCACACAGGCAGAGCCAGACTCAAGCAGTAACACCCTGCAGTGTGACAGGGATCTGGAGTGATACGGAAAACAAAGCCTTCAGAAGGAGGTGTAGGTTAGTTAAAACATTGTAACACCTCATAAAAATGCTTACCACCCTGCCACTTCTCACTCTTTCTAATGTCATAACAATGATACCTTCAATGGATTAAGAATCTGGAACAAGAAGAGTAGCAGGTGCTTAGTTGCATTTTGCTTTGTGGGCCTGTGTGTTTGCTTTGTGTTTTTCGTTTTTGGCCTGCCACAATTTGTTTAGACCCTGAACTTTTAGCCCCTATTTATGATTAGTGTCAACTTAGGAACTTCTATTGAACCACTCTATTCTTAAAAAGCACATCACCCTAGAAAAGTAATTTATTTTTCTAGCTGTAGCCATCTGAGAAGTGATTTATGATAAACAACTCATGGTTTACTGGAATCATACAAATTAACTTAACCAACAGTCCAGAACTTAAAAAATTAAAGCCGTAAGCATGTAAGAAAATAGATAACTGAATCAATGGCCCATAGCTCTCCCTCTCAGCTGGGAACTTCCACATTTCTTCTGTATTCTAGATTACCTGTCATGGTCTGAGACATATAGTCAATTGATGAAAAATACTTGATTTATTAGGTGAAAGCCTTTATATTTCTATGTTAAAACTATAAGAAATGTTTCTTTTTTGGACTCAAGTCAGTTATGGGTTCACGTCCCTGCCCCTAACTAACTTCATGGCCTTGGGCAAGTTGTTGCACTTTTCTGATGCTCATTTTAATTGTTTGTAAAATGAGAAGTAGGAAGCCTACCATGCAGAGTTGGGAGGACTAGAGGAAGTAGATGTAAAATACAAAGATGCTGAATAACTGGAGCTGCTGTTACCATTTTTCTCAAAGGCATCTCAGTAAGTGTCTCTCTGTATGTGGAGCTTTGCAAGAACCTGGCTACAGAGCAAGAGGTGGACAGCAGGCCAGCCAGCTGGGAGAAGCGTCTCAAGTAGACGTACACACAGCTCTGCTTCTGTTGGGAAGCTACCTTGGGGCATGGACAAGGATTCTATCTGTAGCAACACATAGGAGTCATTTGGTGATTTAGACTTGTGTGAAGTGTTGTGAAATGTTGGGTTGTATGACTGAGATAGTGGCTTTGGAATATTACCTCTCCTCAACAGTATGTGGTTAAAGAAGGGTTTTAGGAAATCATGGAAGGCACTTATAGGAAGGAAATGGTGGCAGTTCAAAACAGGGTGTTTCAGATTTGGAGAATGATATAAGACCTAGACAGAAATGGATGAAATTAGATAAATTGGGTAATGAATAGGCCCATCCATATAAATTTGAGATTGTCTTTTCTAGATTTGTTTTACAAATGAAACTTAAAGTACCCAAATCTGGATATATTGATAAAGGGATTTATGCTCATTTATTTATTCATTAATTCAGTAGATACTTATTGAGCGTCTACTATGTGCCATGAACTGTTCTAGTGCCTGGGATACATCAGTGAGCAGGCGAGACCAGGTCACTGCCTCCTGAAGCTTTCATCGTAATGGGAAAGACAATAAACGAAGAGATGCAAATATGATCATAGACGAGAGTGATGAGTACTGTGAATAAAATGGACTATAGGTGAGGGGCTAGACAGTGACGGAAATTTCTGTTTTAGGTAGAGGGGCCAGGAAAGGCCTTTTGGATAAGGTGACATTGAGCAGAGAGGCATAAATGAACTGAAGAGGTAGGAATGTAGTTCTTTGGGATGAGAGCGTCCCAGGCTGAGGAAACAACAAATACAAAGACCTTGGAGTAGAAATGTACATGTTTGTTAAAGAAAAACAAGGAGGCCATGCTTAGGGCTTAGTGAATGGAGCAGAAGTGGGAGAGATGAGATCACGGAGGTAGTCAAGGGCCAGTTCACGTAGGGCTTTGAAGGCCATGGCAAAAGCTTGGATTTTATTCTAAATTCAATGGGGGAGTCAGGGGAGAATCTTGAGTAGGAGTGTGACATCATCTGACTTCAGGATCCTTTACATAAACAAATTATTGTCAGGAAAATAGCAAGCCTGATGGGTTGATTCCATTTCAGATGTGAAGTTATGACTCAGACAGCCTTGCATTTGAATCCTGACTCTATTTCTTAAGGTTTTGTAACTGGGCAAAATGCTTAAATTTTGTACACTTCTCCTTTTTCATCCTTAAAATGGTGGAGTAATAAGAAGATCCACCTATGGGGCTGTTGTGAGGATTAAGTGAACTTTTCCTGAAGTGCTGTTGCACAGGCAGGCACATCTACTGAGAAGTGCCTGGGGGTGTGCTCTTATCAGACGGGAGCAGTGGCTGCTCTAAGGCTAGAAGTCAGGTCCCCTAATTCCCTGTGGCATCCCTTGCTCCACCCCCACCCCATACCACCTGCTGCTAAAGAGATGCTTTTCTCCATGAACCGGGATGGGAGGGCCTCTGAGGGACCAGAGGGGTCAAGGATGTGATCAAAATGCCAGCCAAGCAAGATAACTCCGACAGTGGCTTTCAGGATTTTCTGCAATTTATCCTCACAGGGAGAGATGATAATGAGATTGTGCTGTGTCTCTCCCATATAGTGCTGTGTACCCAGCAGGCTCTGGATAAATATTTGTTGAGGATGAGAATCCTTCAAAGTGATTATTGTCTCTACTGAAAGATACTGTATTCTAAACTCCCACTAATTTGAATTATTTTAATTTATATACATTAGTAGTTTGTATGAATGAAGAGTTGGAAATAAGTAACTTACTTGGGAACTTTATAGAAAATAGATGATTATCTAACTTAGGCCTATTAGGATATCATTAATTAATTTGCCTCATTTTATTTTACTTGTTCATATGTATCTTCTGTTAAAATGTTATTTGTACAGCAACTAAAAGTCGTGAAATAATTATTTCCAAATGAATTGAGTTTTCATTAATTTTGAGAAGACATTCTAGCCCTTAACATTTGGAATGAATTACATTTAATTACATTATTCAGTTGTACAACTTAGCTTCCCAAATAGTGCCTGTGCCTGAGGCTGAAGTATAGACATAGTATGTAGTGGGATGAAGATTGTAGGAGGGTTTTTTCTCAGACCCAGAATTGCCTAGAACAGTTGCAGGGCAATAAACAGAAAAAGGGGGTTCTTGCTTAAAGAGTAGATCAGCTCTGAAGTTCTGGGCTGTCCTCCCCACCCCTGTCATATCAGCTCTTCTGGCAAATGATGCTAATCCCTTTCCCACAATTACTTATGACCCCCGATGAAGTCTGTGATCTCAGAAGCCCTTGGTTCCAATGGAAAAAGTAACATGGTGGTGGTCATGGAGAGAGGTTTGCACGTGGAAGACGGTAAAAGCAGACCTTTTTTCAAAGGCTTGTAAAAGAGTGGATTAAAGATTAACTGCTATGGGGCACACAAACTTGAACAAGTTGTGACTCAAACATTTGTACCGACTTTGACCTTTTGCCCAGGAGAGGGCAGTAACATGCTAACATTTAAGCTTTTCCAGTTGTCCTTAGCAGACACTGCGCTGCGGGAGCCAGCATAGAATTAGTCACAGTTGGGCCTCATTTTCATTCTCACCTGATCAGCTTTCAATCTTATGTTTAGTTGTTTTCAGCCTTCGGCTACCATGGTTTGCACACACGTAGATCTAGAAGTGACACTTTTCATTTGTCCTTAGGACGCTAACAGACTGGAAATCTGCAGTGATGGTCCCCTGGGTTTGATGCTGTGAATGCTGCATGCCTCGGCCACCACTTCCCTGTGGGTCCAGTTTAAGGGCAGTTTATGCCGATCTACCTCAGCCACTGAGGTGGCTGTCCTGTCCCCAACTTCTCTAGACTATCAAGTCATGCTCCCCACAGTTTATATCCTCCATCCTACCCCACAGAATTTTACACCTCAGACTCAGAAACAAAAGGTCACACCCAATCCCGTTCCTCACCTGGCTTTGAAATCAGAGCATCATTGTGATTTTTTTCTTGTCCCTTTGTCCATCTTCACAGCAGGAGGGTTTGGCAACCTGCCTCAGCCTTATCATGCATATGACTGGAGTTGTCAGCTTTTCTTCTGGGACAACTTTCTGGCTGCAAGGTTTGTGGGGAGCTGTGTGCTAGTTACAGGCATTTTTAGCTTTTGACCAGGTTCAATGTGGGAACATAAAGGAGTATCAAAATACTAAAAATAGAAGGCAATGAAATATAAGCTAATTCTCAATATCTAGCAGTACTGTTTTGGTCATTCTTGGTAACTGGCCCAGCTCTATCCAACGGCCACAGAGAGTGTGAATCCCCTGTCTACCCACCCTCCTATCTACCTCCTACCTACTGTGTGTGTGTGTGTGTGTGTGAACATATGTGTGTCTGCTTTCCCTGGGGAAGCTAGTGGGGCACTAGCATAAATAATAATGGTTAGTGAAAGAAAATGTGGGAAATGAAGGGAAATTGGAGAGAGGGTTAATGTGAATTGGAGCCCCAAAGTCCCTGTAAGGTGTGTGGAGAGTCCCCTAGTTTCAATCATCATGTTGGAAGGTGTGTGGAGAGCATGGGTGATTGTGGGGTATATGTCAGGGTGGGGCAGGGAGGGAGAGAGATAATACAGAGATGGAACACTCATCCGTTACAGAATGGCTTATTTAGCAAAGTGGTTCTAGGATTTTAGTGAAATGTAAATTTCACCCCTGCTCCCTTTTTTTCTACCAGCCAGGCCACCTGTTATTTCCCATGGTTGAGTGTTTAATGATTTCCAGCCATAGGGCTTCCCTGGCTTCTCCTGGGAGCTTGCTTCACACTCTGTTGAGTTGAAATGTTTCTTGATATTCAGCCTACACTTCCCTTTGCTCAATTTCACCCCATTATCTCCTAGTTACACCCCTTGTATTACCCTCATAAATCAATCTTTTCTCCCACTTCGTCATTTTGGTAGTTTGGAGACTTATCTGTTTGCATGTGTACGTGTGTGTGCGTGTGTGTGTGTGTGCGCCAAGGAGATGAGTTGGAGGACAAACGGCAAGGTAAGAAATAAAAACCGCTGGGGAATAATGCCTTCAGGCTGAGCTATGTGGAATTCTTTAAAGGTGAGAAGGTTTCCTTATTCTGCTTTTCCATAAATCATAAAGCAGTCTGAGGTAAAGCCCATCAAAATGGATCTAAGTAACTGTAAATTGTATTGTTTTCCCAGATGCTGTGGGTGTAAGTGGCATCAGGGCACTGAGGGGTGAATGGGATGGAACAGACTCAAAAGGCAGGCCCTATTGCAAAATATTTAAGTCTTGGTTTCACTTATAATGGTGAAACTGTAAATATCTCAGTGGACTGGTAAAAATTAGCAATAGAATCTACAGATTGCAAACTCTTTTCTCCACATATTCATAAGCTTGCAATACAAATACCACTGGACCATGGACCTGCACTTACAGGTTTACAGGTCACTGTGGTTACTTCCCAGCTCCTGCCTTGATGCCGTACCTAATGCACAGGCACACTCAACCCTTTCTAGTTTTGTATTCTGTGTACTTTCTGTGGGCTGGATATGTTTCTTGGATTAAAAACTGTATCAGTCCATTTTGTGTTGTTATAAACGACCTGAGACTGGGTAATTTATAAAGAAAATTTGGCTCATGGTTCTGCAGGCTGTACAAGAAGCATTTTAACCAGCCTGGGCAACATGGTGAAACCCCACCTCTACTAAAAATGATACAAAAATTAACTGGGCATGGTGGTGTGCACCCAGCTACTCAGGAGGCTGAACTGGGAGGATTACTTGAGCCTAGGAGGAAGAGGTTGCAGTGAGCCAAAATTGCACTACTGCACTCTAGCCTGGGTGACAGACTAAGACCTTGTCTCAAAAAGGAAAAAAAAAAAAAAAAAAAAAAGCACGGTGCAGGCATCTGTCTTTCTGGTGAGAGCCTCATGAAACCTTCAATCATAGTAGAAGGTGAAGGGGAAACAGGCGTGTTATGTGGCAACAGAAGGAGCAAGGGAGAGGGAGGGGAGGCATGCCATGCTCTTTTAAACAACCAGATCTCCTGTGAACCACAGCAGGGAGAACTCACTCATTACCTGGGGAAAGGCACCAAACCATTCATGAAAGATTCAGCCCCCTGACCCAAACACCTCACATCAAGCCCCACCTCCAACACTGGGGATCACATTTCTATGAGATTTGGAAGGGATAAACATCCAAACCATATCAAGAATGTATTTTGTGTTTTTGAACTTCCCTGATCCACAGCAGAATTTTAAAAACTAGATTTTTATAGATAACTAAACGCTACTGAAGATCAACAAAGTTGATTAGTAACAATAATAATGATATTGGATGGTAATTCAAAGACTACATTCAGAATAGACAAGGAGTAGGGAACAGTTAAAGTCTTTCGAGGTGAGCTCCTATTTTGTTCTAATTCTCCATTTCTCTTTTCTTTCTTTCCTGAATGAGCGTAAGTTGAAGTTTGATGTAATGGCAAAAAGAGAAGAGAAGCATTTAATTGTCTTTATTTTTTAAGAAATTAAATCAACTTTATTGAAGTAAAATTGCCACAAAAATTTACGTATTTTAAGTGTACAGGTCCATGACTTTTGACAAACATAAGCAACTGTAATAGCTAGCAACTCTGATCAAGAAGTAGAACATTTCCATCATCGAAGGAAGTTCTCTTGTGCCCTTTTGCAGTCAGTTTTACTCACCAGTTCCCTACCCAAGACAACTATCACTCTTATCTGTATCCCCACAAATTAGCTTTGCTCTAGAATTTCATATAAATGGAATTACACACTATGTAATCTTTTGAATCTAGCTTTTTTTGCTTAGCAAACTGAGATTTGCCTATTTTATTGCACATATCAGTAGTTTGTTCCTTTTTATTGAGTATTGAATTTATGAATATACCACAATTTGTTTACTATTTATGGACAAGTGGATCATTTCCAGTTTTTGATTATTACGAATAAACCTACAAAGGACATTTACATTCAAATATTATTATGAACATATGTCAAAAAGTAGAATTGCTGGATCATGTAGTTGCAGGGTACAGCTTTTTCTATCCTTTTACTTTAACCCATATATTCCTTTATATTTAAAATGCTTTTCTTATAAATAACATATAGTTGGGTCTTGCTTTTTTTTCAGCATGACAATCTCTGCCCTTTAAGTGGAGAGTTGGTATATTTATATTTAATGTAATTATTGAAGTGATTAGGCTAATGTCTATGTCTTGCTATTTGGATTTCATTTGTGATTTCTGATTTTCATTGCTTCTCTGTTTCTTCTTTCCCGCCTTCTTTGGGGTAAATAAAATATATTTCATATTTTCTATTTTATTTCCTCTGTTGTCTTCTTACTTATACCTCTACTTAGTATCTTTTTAGTGGTTGCTCTAGGGCTAAAAAATGCATTCTTAATTATGTTAGTCTATTTAGAGTCAACATTGTATCTCTTCACACGTAAGGTATGACATTGCATACTTCCTGTTTCTCACTTCCTACCCATCACCTCCCAATTTTTATTTCCTGTTTCTTGATTCTCACTTCCCACTTCAGAAGTGTAATAACTTCGCAGGAGGATAATTTCATATGACTGTCCACCTTGTCTTTAGTATGATTGTTGTCCTATCTTTTACTTCTATGTATACTATAAACCTCACCTTATAATCATTTTTGTCTTAATAAACAGTGTTATCTTCTGTAAATTATAGAAAGAATGATAACATAACCTTTTATATTTAGTCATTTATTTTCCATTTTCAGTACATCTTATTTCTTCTTGTAGATCTGGGTTTTCATCTTGTGTTGTTTCCCTTCAGCCCGAAGGCTGTTCTGTCACTTAGCTTTTGTTTATCTTAAAATGCTTTTACTTTTCTCTCATTATTGGAGAATATAATTCTGGGTTGACAGTTTTTTCTCTTTTTTTTTCTTTTTTTGGCACTTTAGAGATATTATTCCATTGTCTTCTGGTCAGCAGTCATTTTTATCCTTGTTTCCCTGTACTTAATTTATTTTTCTTTCTTACTGGCTACTTTCAAGATCGTCTCTTTAGCCAGGTCTTCAGAAGTTCATGATGTAATTAGGTTTGATTCCCTTTATTTATCCTTCTTGGGTTTGCTGAGCTTCTTGGACCTGTAAGTCAGTGAAAATCAAATTGGCATTCGGGAAATTTTTGGCTGCTATTTCTTCACATGCTTTTTTCTGCTTCAATCTCATTTAAAAAAAAATCTTTTGGGACTCCTCCAGTTATATATATATATATGTTAGATTATTTAATATTGTGTCAAATATTAACATGCAGCTCTTTCATTTTTCTTCAATCTTCCCCCCCCCCTTTTTTTTTTTTATTTCTGTGCTGTTTGAACTCTAGCTCTTTACTGCAGTCAGGAAATTGTCTCTAGGCAGACAGCCAAGGTGAAAAAAATAAAAGAATAAGAATAGATCAATGATATTATTAATCTGTCTTCAAGTTCACCAACTCTCTGCCATCTCCAATTTGCTGTTAAGCCCATACAATGATTTTTTTTTTCATTTCAGTTAGTGTACTTTCTAGTTATAGAACTTTTATTTGCATCTTTTTTTTGTAATTTTCTGCTTTTCCACTGAGATTTCCTATCTGTTCACTCATTAGGGCCATATTTACCTTTAATTATTTGAGCATATTTTCTGTACTTTTTAAGACATATTTATAATAGCTGCCTTAAAGTTTCACATGCCAAGTCCAAAATCTGTGTCACATTTTCCATTTTCTTTGTATGTATAAATGGTTTTTTAATTAAATACTGGGCATTTTGGATAATATGTTTTAGAGACACTAGATTCTGTTGTTTCCCTTAGAAAAGTATTAATTCTTGCAGCTTAAATACTGGCTGATCACCTTGAACTTTTGCAGGCTTGGTTTTATGCTTTGTTATTACATATCTGTGGAAAACTCATGGCATTTTCCAAGTCCCTCTAACTTGGTAAGACTCAATCTTTAAACTGTTCCCTTGAGGATTTTGTTGTAGTTTGAATGTAGTCTTTATTAGGGTGAGACTATAGTAGGTCTTATTTTGGGGTACAGATCTTACTCCTACAGAGGGGCATTTCTGGAATCTCAGATTGATGCCACAGATGTTTTAACATTTAAAGAAGGCTGTTCTACTCTGGCAGGACTGGAACTCCAATCAGCTCCAGCACTTCTCTTTCCCCACCAGTGCTCAACCTCTAGTAACTGCGTTTTACCTTTAACACTGTAATGGGTGCTGTCTAGAAAATCTTGGAAGTCTTTCCCTGCGCATGTATAACTCAGCCCTCAGCCATGAATTCATAGAGGACCTCATCTTGGACTCATGGGGCCCTCTTTGCACATGTGTCTCTAATAATCCACCCTGCAGATTCTAGCCTTTTTAGCTGCCACAAACTATGACCTCTGCCTCCTCAGCACAGTGCAGCCACTGTGTTATGCTTTGACTCTAGCTCTCTGTCAGGAAATTGTCTCTAGGCCAAAAAGCCAGGATGATTATGGGCTCATCTCATAAAGTTTTCATTTTCTGAGGAAACAAAGTCTTATGCCGCTTATTGTCCACTGCCTGGAAATAGTTGCCTCACATCTTTTGTCCAGCTTTATAGCTGTTTCCAGTAGGAAACTGGCCTGAAATCAGGTATTTTATCATGGCAAAAAGCAGAAGGCTTCCACTTATCTTTGTCTTTAATAATAGTTAGCATTTATTGAATATTTACTTTCTGCAGGGTACTCTTCCATTTACTTTATATGTATGATTTAGTTTAATTCCCACAATAATGCCATCAAATAGGTACTATTTTTTATCACAGTTTTATAAGCGAGGAAACAGATGCATAAGGGGCTAAGTAACTCATGGCAGGAAATCCAACTAGTAAGTATCATAGTCTGAATTCAAACCCAGGCAGTTTGAATCAAGTTAATGCTTTTAAATCATATATTCCCTGACTTGACAATAGTCAGCGCTCTGGGAGGATCATTCAGTGTATTGTTACTATGGAGAAAATGCTTTTCTCCTCTAAGGATGAGACGAAATGCTTCATAAATGCACATATGATTATTGCTATGGGAATCCCAAAAGAAGGTGTGGTCATGTTATGTTCTGAGGTTGGTGTGAAGTAGTTTATTGAGTCCTGTTTTAGCATAGCAGTTACTAACTATGGCTTATAGTCAAGATTTGTATGATACAGAGGGCTTATAATTTTTTACTGGTCACATATGCTAGCCTTTTGAATAGCTATGACAGGGTCAAGCTTACTTAGCTATGGCTCTTTAAAACCCTAAGTTAATCTTACGTTTCCACATACTTTTCTCATCTATGGACCAATTGTTCCTTCTATCTCTCTATCTTACAGTCCCAGGAGTTCCTGGCTATCTATTCTCAGAAAACTTGGGTCTTCTTTTAGAGGGAAATGGAAACAAGCATCTTATCCATTCAGGTGAACCAGGAACAGGAGAAATAAGACAACAAGCTGCTGATTGTGATCGGATTTTTTAGCTGGAGACCTAGAAGAGTACCAGAGCAGAGTGTTTTCTGGCTGCTGGTCATATCTGCCTTGACAGATGATCAGAGGCTGAGGATGTATGAGCACACATGGCTTTGCTGACATCAGAACTTGGAGCCATGCTTTCCATATAGAGTGTTGGTGAGCATCACTCCTGAGGAGTGAGTGCAACAGCAAGTGGAAGCCAGGCGTCAGGACTCAGCATGTGGATTGGGGTCTTGGCTTCCTGCCAGTGATGAAGTTGTACGTGATGGCCAGATGCCCTGTTATGGGCATCTGTCTGTGATGTTACACCCACTTGGTAGCCTGTGGAGGAAAGAGGGTATCAACCTGGGGTAGGAAGAGAGACGTGCTAACGGAGAAGCACTGTGGAATAGCGGGCACAGACCTGGATTCTAATCTGAGTTAAAATCACTTACAAGCCCTGCAGTCTTGTGTAAGTTACTTAACCTTTCTGAGCCTTGGTTTCATTAATTCTAAAGTGGAAGTCACAATGCCTGTCACATCCCACCATTAACGAATTTTGTGAAGAAAAGGAAATAATGTATATGTAAACTATAGTATCTAACCCTGTTTCCAAATAGTTTCCTAAGGACAAGAGTCAATGGCATGCAACTTCTGGAAATTTAGTTATTGTGTAATTTTTGATTTTTGAATAAAACATACATGGAAACAGTTGGCTGGAGAGATTTGGACACAGAGGAAGAGCATGGGTAGGCATGGGTTGTCAAGGAGTATTAGGATTTGAGTCTGTGAGAGTCACTGAAAAATCAGCTGCCAAGATTAGCTAGTGAATTAATAAACATTTTCTGAAGTCCTCTTGGTACTTAGCACTAGGCTAAATGCTACAGAAAACAGCAGAAATAGAAGGCAGAATTCATGCCTCTATGTGCATATAGTCTCCTCAAGTGGTAGGACTTGGTGGTGGTAACAGATATTTTAGGAGAATCAGCAATTTGAGTAGGTTGGTGGTGAGCAGAAGATATTGAAGGGTAAGAGGAAGGCTTGAGGAGGAGGAAAATATTCACTCTTACCGCTTCTAGCCCTGCTCACCTTCAGGCAGGGTGAACCTCATTCTGTTAGCTTAGACCTGTCCCCATCCCAAACCAGGCTTTACCACAGCAAGTAGCTCCACACCCTACCATCTATAGTGTCTGGCAACTTGGCCATGCACCTGCAGCCATCCCTTCAGTTCTTACAATCTAGTTCCACCATGGGCCTCTACTTTACTTTCCTGGTTTCCTTTCCAATTGCTCTGCAGGGCCACATGCTCATCTTTGAGTCTTAGCTGCTTTGGCTGATACCTGATACCCTTCTTGCAGAGGTACCAGCAGCATCAGAGGCATCCTAGGGAATGGCTAGTGGGTTGCATTTGGGAAGGCAGGGTTAAGTGGAGAGTAAAAATAGAACAGAACTGTAAGTGTAAGGATATTCAGGTAGGACCGTATCAAGGAGATGTCTGGGGGAATGGTGATTCAATGGCTTATTAGCTAGAAACAGAGATTGTTGTTAAATTAATCTACCAGTCTTGGAGTTCAGGTAGTGACCAAAACGGAGATATATAGCAGCCACATTAAATTGATTGGATAGAAGATGCTGCCCCAGGGAAGGGTTTCATCTTTTGGGTCCTACCTGTGTTTCAGTCGGGGTGCTGGCAGGGAGACAATGGCATACTCAAAGGGTTTAATTGAAGAGAGTTTGTTAAAGGTACTATTTGCAGAGGTGGTGGGAAGAAATAAGAGACTTAGCATGAGCTGATGACTAACAGGCTGGAGACTAGCAACAGCTGGAAGCTGTGATCACCCCTGGTTGAATGGGCAAGGGGAAAGGAAACATGCCTCAGGGGTCTGGTGAGAGCTGTAAGCTGTAGCTATGGAAGAGAAGCTGCCCAACAGTAGCTGTGGCCATTCACACAAACACACACACACGCACACGCACACACACACACACACACACACACACACACACACGACAAAGCCCTTTTCAGTGCAAACAACAGTTTACCATTATTTTGGAATACCAATGAAGAAATACCAATAGTTTTAGATGAAGTCTTTCTACTTACCTTATCTGGGAAGAGAACAGTGTAGAAATTAGGCTTTTGTGGTTAAGGGTTGGCTGCTTCCTACTTCATCCTGATTTCTGAGAAGTCTAAAATCAAGATTCTCCCAACCTTTTGGTTCTTGACTGAACATTTCTCTGGATCCTTCCCATTTCTGGAAATCTCTCTCACTTAGTCTTAGTCTTTCCAGTACAAGCTTTAGGGTAGGCATCATAGAAAGGCCTCTCTGTGTTCTCTCTCTCAGGACTTCTCCTTCATGTTCCCATCCATTTTTTGAATGCTTAATACATCTGAAATAAAGACTTTTGACTGGGTGTGATGGCTACCTGTAATGCACAGATTAGTAGGCAGACATTTATTACTGCCAATTAAGTGGTAGGCATTGCTGTAGCCACTGGGAATGTAGTGATGAAGAAGATGGACAAAAGCCCTGTTGTAGAACTGACTTGCTAGTGGAGGACATAAATATTAATCATGTAAAACATGATATAAATTTAGACAATGTTAAATTCCTCAACAAATATAGAGAGTTTAGGGTTCTTTTGGGTAATGTAGTCATGGAAGATCTATTGGAGCAGGTGGCATTTGTGCAGATACCTGATAGATCAAAGAGAGTGGGCCACTAGAGAACCAACAACCAGGACATATGCCCCAGGACATGAGCGAGTTTGGTATGTTTGAGCAGTAGCTAGACAGTCAATGTGATTGGAATGTAGTGAGCATAAGTGTATTAAAAAAAGGAATTGGAAAGATAGATAGGAACTGAATCATGAGGGCCTTTCAGGCTACAGCAAGAGGTTTGGATTTTTATTCTATAATGGAAAGTCATTTTATTCTAAGTGTGATGGAAAGAGGATGATTGGAGGATGTTGTCTTTTTATGTTTTAATCTAGCTAGAGAGTGAATAGTTTGTAAGGGAGAGAGACACTTAGGTGGCTGTTTCATCATTTAGGTGAGAAATGATGGGGATTAAGGTCGCAGTTATGGAGGTGGTGGACAGTGTTAGATTCTAGATATATATTCATTGTACAGCTGACTTAACTTGCGGAGGTTGCATATGGAGGGATGAAGGAAAGAGAGGAATTGTGGATGACTATGCAGTTGCATAAATGGTGTTGGTATTAACTGAGATACGGAAGACTTAGGGAGAGGCAACGTTGGTGCAAGAAAACAGGAAGTGTTTTTGTCTGAATTAGTTTAAGGTATTTCTGATTTAGAAATCCATTTGAATCTTGAGGTTTGAAGAAGTCAGAACTAGACATATCAGCTTGGGAGCTGTCAGCATAGAGATGGTATTTAACGCCATGGATATGGATGCAGTCATTTAGGGAGTGAGCCTAGTTAGATGGAAAAAATGTCAGGTATCAATCCCTGGAGCATTCTACTTTTAGAGGGTGAGAAAAGGAGGAGAGACAGAGAGAGACAGAAAAGACTGACCACTGAAGTAGGAAGAAACCAGGATACTGAAGTGTTATTGAACCTAGAAAAGGAATCATTTCACAAATAAGAGGGTAGTCAACATTGTTGAATGCAGATGACAGAGGAAGATGAGAGATCAAATTGACCATTGCATTTGGTGATATGGGGATTACTGGTGACGTCTATGCAAGCAATTTCAGTAGAGGATTAAAGGGAGAATAGAGTGTGAGTAAATGATGTTCTGCAAGTATTAGGAAATAAATGCCACTGGGTCTTTCAACTAGTATAATTTAAAATTTTTAGATTAAATATTTTTTCTGTTCAAACCACCTCTATACGACCTCAAGTGCTTCTAGGTAATGCCTAGAACTGAACTAGTAGTCCATATGTGATCTGTCCCACGTAGAACATACCAGGAAAACATTTTTCTTCATTCTGAATATTCTATGTTTACAGTTGTAGCCTAAGAGAGGTTGCATTGCTTTTTTTTGACAATCACATTGAACTTCTGATTGATATTATCATCTAAGCTTTAAATCTTGAACACACATGCTATTTCAAAGCAAATTCTCCACCCTGTTATTATATAGATGGGTTTTTTTTTGTTGGGGGGCTGTGGTTTGGACTGAAGTGCTGGACCTGGTGGTTGTCACTGTTGCACTTCATCTTGTTTGATTTGGCTTGCCAAGGTCTATTTTACATCCAAATTCTGTCACTCGGGGATTGATGTCATCCTTTTATAAGCAGCTCCCTCTGCCTTTATCCAAATCATGAATAAACAGGTTACCTGCTTCATACATTCTGTGGAAGTAGCTGGGTATAAATTATAAATTACCGATACATTAATTCAAATGTAGACAAACCAAAGGCCATTTTTAAACACAGATTAATGGTGGGAAGGCCCCACAACATCAGAGGGTCTGGTTTTTACCGGCTCAAGATCAGGGGCAGGTGGATGCTGCTGTTGCGTGGGTGAATTTGGATCAGTTCACAAAGGCTCCTTCTAAGATGCATTCCCCTCATCTAGCTGTGAGCCTCCTTGATTGCACCATGAATCTGCCCACCATTCTCTCTTATAGTCTCAAAGATCTCATAGGAAACTTGGCCAAATGCCCCCATTGAAATCAAGATCCCATGTATTTATATTTCTCTGAATCACCAGTCTAATAATCCTATCAGCAAAGGTTATAATAAGATTCTATTAAAAAATAAGGTTAATAACTTGTATTATTTATTTATTTATTTATCTATTTATTGTGAGACAGAGTCTGGCTCTGTTGCCCAGGCTGGAGTGCAATGGCACAGTCTCAACTCACTGCAGCTTCCACCTCCCCGGTTCAAGCGATTCTCCTGCCTCAGCCTCCCAAGTAGCTGGGACTGCAGGTGCGTGCCACCATGCCCAGCTAATTTTTGTGTTGTTAGTAGAGATGGGGTTTCACCATTTTGGCCAGGATGGTTTCAGTCTCTAGACCTCGTGATCCGCCCGCCTCAGCCTCCCAAAGTGCTGAGATTACAGGTTTGAGCCACTGCGCCCAGCCAATAATTATTTATTTAGCATATTGTGGTGTTTGGAGTGCTTTAATATGTATCTCACTTAACCATTGCAGTGAACCATCACAGTAACCCGGTGTTACTGGGTTCTAGGGTGCTTTATTTTGCAGATGAAGAAATTATCAAGGAAGTGAAGTAGTTTACCCTAAGTTTCATGACTGCTTGTAAATGGTAAAGCTCAGATTCAAACCACTGACATGGAGTTTGGAAATTGGACCTAGGCAGCTCATTATGGCAGGCTGTTGTTCACAGGTGACAGGATAGAGGAAAGCTGGATGCTCCATTAGACACTCAGGGCTTTGTTCAGGCCTAGCGTAGTAACAGCAGGTATACAGCAGAAGACAGTTTGCAGATATCCAGCACTAATGGAAATCTTCTTTAGCATAACGTAAGACCTGCCTTTCCCAAACTCAGGATTGGATCTGGGCTGAGACTATGTTGTTAGGGTTATTATTACTGGCAGCTGGGCAGGGCTAGTGCAGAAATGGACTGGTAATGAATCTATGCTGATTCCTGGTGATCACATACTGTATTTTTTTTAAAGCAACAGCACTATTTGCTTAACGGTTTGGTTTAGAGCTTTTCTGTGAATCTATGCAAGTTAGAACTGGTCATATTTTATGGATTTCACTGTTTTTTTGTTTGTCTTAAAAATAACAACCCATGCCGGTCTCCCATTTAGGTATCTTTTTATTCTGCATAATTTCTTAAGGATTATTGATAATGATTCTTGAACAAATCTTCAGGTTATTTAAGTATCTATAAAAGCAAGACTTATGTGCTAGACACACTGAATTCAGGACCTAGCTCTATACTTACTAACTGGGAATTTGAACATGTTTCTTAATATTTTAGTTATTCATCCATAAAATGGGAAAAATCATAATACATACTACATAATATTGTTGTGGGGACTAAATTAGTTAATGCTTATTAAGTATTTAGCACAATGCCTGGCATCTCTTAAGAACTCAGTAAACACTAGCCATTGTTGTTAAGTTATTGTCATTGTCCTGGGACAGTACCTGATGTGTATGTTTAAGTGACTGACTACTTTTTAACTATTCCTTTTCCCATATAGGGTTTCAGTTTTATCTTAAACCATGTTTGCCTTACCCTTTGCAGTTTGAAGATCATTTTCCTTTGTGGAAGATATAAAAAGCAAGATAAAAGTTGAATACCTCTGCCTTCTCTTTGTCATTGTGTAACCTTCCATCATCACACAAAACTGTTTCTATCACTTCCTGGATCACTTTCTTTTGAACATAGCTTTAACAAGTCTTTTACCATTTTTTCTAAGCTTTAGCCACTTTTCTTACAAGTTTATCCTTATACTTTTATAACTGTTCTGTTTTTATATATTATGAGTGCATCCTCATCTTCTGTATATTTTGTTACATAATCTGATTTCATCACAGAACTTTTTAGGTAACCATATTATCTCCTTTAAATATCTTCTGAATTAGAATTGTTATCTATTATACAGCCAGAATGAAATAATTTAAAGCAGTGAATCTCTTTTAAATCACATTGCCCTTTTAGATGTGTCCATAGACTCAAATTCATTATTTCTTTTTTTTTTTTTTTTGAGATGAAGTCTTGCTCTGTCACCCAGGCTGGAGTGTAATGGCGCAATCTCAGCTCATCACAACCTCTACCTCCTGGGTTCAACCTGCCTCAGCCTCCCAAGTAGCTGGGATTGCAGGTGCGTGCCACCACGCCTGGCAAATTTTTCTATTTTTAGTAGGGACAGGGTTTCACCATGTTGGCCAGGCTGGTCTCAAACTCCTGACCTCAAGTGATCCACCCGCCTCAGCCTCCCAAAGTACCGGGATTACAGGTTGTGCCACTGCGCCTGGCCTCCAACTTTTTATTTTCTTTATCATCCTTTCCACAGCATACCCCCCCTTTTTTTTTTTTTTTTGAGACAGGGTCTTGCTCTGTTTCCCAGGCTGGAGTGCAGTGGTGGGATCACAGCTCACTGCAGCCTTGGCTTCCCGGGCTCAAGTGATCCTCCCACCTCAGCCTCCTGAATAGCTGGGGCTACAGGCATGTACCACAACACCCAGCTAATTTTTTTTTTAATTTTTATTTTTTTTGTAGAGATGGGGGTCTCATTATGTAGCCCAGGCTGGTCTTGTACTCCTGGGCTCAAGCGATCCTCCCACCTCAGCCTCCCAAATTGCTGGGATTACAGGTGTGAGCCACTGCATATGGCTGCACCCTCTCTGTTAGCTAATATAAACACTGGTAGGGTGTGGTCATTTTCTCACTGGGACATCGTTAGTTCCATATAACCATCTAGGGCAGGGGTTGGCAAACTACAGTCTGTAGGCCAAATCTGGTCTGCTATTTGTTTTTATAAATAAAGTTTTATTGGAACACAGCCACATCTGCTTGTTTAGTAGTGTCTATGGCTGCTTTTGCACTACAAGGGCAAAGTCGAATAGCTATGACAGAGGCAGAGACCATATGGCCCACAAAGTGTAAAATATTTACTATCTGTCACTTTACAGAAAAAAACATTTCTAGCCTGTTACTAAGGCTTCCTTGAGGTGGAAAATTAAACCCCCGATAGCAGCTCTTCTCAAAGATTTCTTAACCTCCAGGGAAATACTGCTGTTAGAAGGAAAAATCAGATGCCCTGTTTTAAAAGAATTAAACTTCTAGCATGTCTAAATACTTGAAATCTTGTATCGCTATCATATCTTGCCTTTCTGCCAGTTTTGTGATTTCTTTCAGTAAATATTTTCAATATCCTCTTTCAGGCTGAGATGTTGGGTGGTCTCTGCTCTTACAGTGATATTATTATCTGTCTTATTTTATCTTTCACTCAAATGCTCTCAGCCATGTATCCTGGTTCCTGAATTTCCATACACATTTACATCCCCTTAAATGCCTTCCATACAAATTTGTCTTTTTTTTTTTTTCTTTTTTTTGAGACGGAGTCGCGCTCTGTCCCCAGGCTGGAGTGCAGTGGTGTGATCTTGGCTCACTGCAAGCTCCACCTCCTGGGTTCACGCCATTCTCCTGCCTCAGCCTCCTAAGTAGCTGGGACTACAGGCGCCTGCCACCATACCCGGCTAATTTTTTGTATTTTTAGTAGAGCTTGGGTTTCACCGTGTTAGCCAGGATGGTCTCGATCTCCTCTCCTCGTGATCCGCCCGTCTCGGCCTCCCGAAGTGCTGGGGTTACAGGCATGAGCCACCACACCCGGCCACAAATTTGTCTTTTTAAAAATGCAGGCAGAGCCAGGCAGGTGGTAAAGTCCTTGACTTTGCTCATTTGTAGACTCACTCTGCTCCTTCTATAATTGTTGGACATCCTTCTCAGCTCTCATCCAGGTTCCATCCATGGGGCAGGATGATGCTGGAGAAACTGGGGAAGGAGGGTTATCGTACAAGGTGGTCTCTGAGCACATGCTGTCAACTGGAGAAGGATAAAACCAATCAGGAGAGTAGCTGCTTCTGCTCCCGGGAGGAAAGCAATGCACATTGTTTAGGTGTGGATGGGCTTAAGGATACACACCAGGCAAGGGTCGATAGCCCCGAGATTCAATAAGGTACAGAACAAGAGCAGTGAACCTGGAAGTGACGAACGGGGGATAGATGTTGCTTTTTGTCATTGGGTGTGTGTTGCTGAAGCTGGAGTGGCTTTTTAAAGATTCTGGATTCTAGTAGTTCCCTGGCCTGGTCATTCTGTCCATCTCCGACACCTTCTCATTTTCTGCCTTCTCAATTTGCACCATTTCCCTTTCTTCTCCTTGGTCTAAGTGTGCCCCAGATGGATTTATTCCCTCTCTAACCCACAGTTTCATACACACAGGACTTGGCCTTTACTTCAGATCTGGCATATTCTTGCCCCGTTCCATTGCCTCCTCTGATTGTCAGTTGCTAAAACGTATTCTTTCTGTGTACTTTAGTTTTCTTTATCTATGAACTCTTCAAATTGAACGGAGGAAAATAGTTTAGTCTGGAAAGAATGACGAGAAAAGAAGAGTTAATGGATTAATGTAAAAGCCCGTCACTCTGTATTTTAACAATAGGTCATTCGCAGTACTTATTGTAAAAACCATTAAAATCATCAACAGGTCATTAGTGCTGACTTTGAACTAGCTCATCAAAATTGCACTATTAATAGCTTCAATAGCTTTGAAATGCTTGAATTTTAATAGCCAGGAATGAAAGGTGGAGTAAGGTGACTATTGGGCTTGGTTAGTTTTAAGGCTGTTAGGGAAGTGCGGGGTGTTTCGGGGGTCCTTCCTTAAGTGTGAGGCTAATGCCATAGGTGATGGTGAATTCAGCTTGATCATAAAGCATCTGGTGCCACTGTCCAGGGAGAGATAAAGTGTAAGAAGTGCTGGTCTGACCTGCTGAGCCATAAACATGTTTCTTTTCAAAATGGTGGAAATCAGAAAAAGAAGCTGTGCTTTGAAGATTCTGTCAGTAAACATCTCAAAAATGACAGCTGTCCTACTTTCTTTTGCAGTCCTTTTGTGACATAACAGCTCTCCTTTTGTTGGAGTCTCTTCTAACATCACATTCCTAAATTACTCCTTAATTTCTTCCTGTTATTCCTGCTCTGTTATGCTTCGTAAAATAGGATTTTGCAGAAACCAGGGTCGTGGGTCAAGTTTTTATAGGAAGCCTTGGACTTTGCCTATAGTCAAAGACTGGGAGCTGCTGAGGGCTGTTTCTAAGGTGAAGTCAGGCTAAGTGGAGGTCAGTGCCATAGTCAAAGGCAACACTGGCGCTTCAGCCATTGTTTTTCATTGTCCTCTTAGTGTAGGTTTTCGTTTCAGGTGTGCATTAAATGATACCTGGATTCTGGTTTTTATGTATTGTTAAAGCACAGATTTTCTTTGTCCTTTGAGGTTTTGGAGGACAGTTAGCATTTCTACCATTGCCTTCATTTTTATTTCATGATTATAGCCTTAAGGAAGGTTTTGTCCATGTCTGTGACTGGGCATGGATAGTGGGAAATAGGAAAATACCACTTTTGCACCCTATGCTCTAGGGTGTAAAACTGTGAAATTTAAATAAAATGCAGATTACCATTTAGAGAGGATAAGGAGATCTCACACAGAAATAGAAGGGTTAAAAAATTACACACTTTGGAGGAATACGTGAAAAGTTGCCATGGTGTGAGAAATATAGATATAGATATCAGTGAAGATACAGATATTCCTCTTTTTGCTCTTCTAGATCCTCTTCCCATTCTTCTCACTCTGCTTTGACCGTGATGAGACTGAACCCTGTAGACAGGATCAGTGGATTTCCTAAGGATCTGGTTAGCATTGGCCAGGAGAGAGCAGTCAGGAGGGTGAGGTTAGATGGCCCTTTCCCCAGCTCCCTCTATCCCTGCTGTGCTGTGGGTTGAGAATCCCTGCCTTCTTCTCCCAAAAGCCAGAGCTCCTGTAGGGTGGCCACTCATACACGTCCAGCTCCTGCTGGGTTCTATTAGCAGCTCCCTCACCTTTCTTCTTTGGGGGAGCAGGGATGATAATAGCTCTCACAGTTGTCAGAGCCTGGGCATTTCACCAGTCCTTGTTGGTTCCCTTAGACTCTGCCCACACCTTTTAAAATAGTCCCTTCATTAAACTCTCCTCTATCTTCCCATTTGGAGTTGCCATCTGTTTTATGTTGGGACCCTGACTGATACTATCCTAGATATCTTATCCATATACAATATACCTATTACTGTGTACCGCTTTTACATGCTGTGTGCAGTGTATGCCTCGGGTCTTTTTAAAGCACCAACCAGAATGTGGCACTGACTAGTCCCCCCAGAGGCACAGGTTATAGATTCTGGGAAGAAAGAACAATAAGAGTAAGATTCTCTGTTTTTTATAGGGTAAGAAATGAATCTTCATTCTCTCCAAAACTGAGAAGAAAATATTCATCCTTCCTTTTCAAATTCTCCTTACAAGAGAGTGGCCTTGTTAGTTATTGTTGGAGTAGCTTTCTTATTCTGGCCCAAAAGCAATGTAGGTGAGTTGTCATGGAGACAGTGTAGGGTGTTTGTTCAATGGTAGAAACATCCATTTGGGCTGAGGGTAGACTGGCTTCACCCTTAGACTTTATTTCCTCTTTTGGTCCACAGTGGCTAAATTTTCTGTAATCAGCAAATATGGCCCTTAAACAAGGAGCTTCTTTTAGCCCCAAGCAAAGATGGCGGCATCCCTCCATGCTTTCTACCCAAGAGAGCAGGGCTGTTGGAAAACAGCAAGTGTATTGTGAACATTCATCCCTTTACCCTGGATAACCTGATTCACTTTTAGTAAACGTCTCTAAACTCCCTTGGATTTATTCTCTGCCTACTCTCTCTCTTTAAAGAAAATATGTACTTAATAACTCAGACAATGTACCATAGAGGTCACTTACCATGGATGTATTTTGCTAATGTCTGATGTGTTGTACTTTATGCAATATAGAACTTTAATGGTATTTAAAAGTGCCTCATCTCATTGCAATTTCATGTCTGATTCTCTGCCTTCACCTTAGTTCTAAGGTTAGGTGATTTGTTCCGTTATGTGTGAATATTAGAATACATTTCTTTTTTTCCAGAAAAAATGTCAGTGTGAATTGTTTCCAAGTTGAATCTAAACAATGTGATTTTAAAATAGACTGCTTTATCTATTGTGGTGTTTCTTACACTAATGTCTGAAAAATATTTTGAGAATTGCTGAACGATCAGATAAACAGAATGCATACCCTAGATTTAGTAGAAGCTGTATCTCCATTATTTGGGCCTTTTTTGCAGCTCATATAAAATAACATTGCCTAATTTCAGGAAAAAAAAAGAAGTATATTAGATTTAAAGAAAAAGGAAAGGAAAAATGCCAGGTGCTTCCAAGGATGTAGGTAGCAGGAATTAATAGTTTTTTATTTTTTTTCCTCAGAGATATGCTACTGGAATAAGTGATGCTAGATGGTTTAATGTCTTTGTATCAAAAAGTCTTTGTGATATTGTGCTTAAGATTAGAATTCCAGGAAGAGAGCATCCTTTTGGCCCAGCATAGGTCACTTGCCCATCTTTTAGAAGGGAGGTTGGGGCATGTTGTTTGACAATTCCATGGAGATTTTATCCACTGGAGGAGGCGTTGTTTCCCAAAGCACAGTTTTGGTGCTGTTACCACCAGTAGGAGATCAGGTGCCCAGCAGGCAAAGCCAACAGATATCCACTTCATCATCTCTCTTTAGTTTTTTGTTTGTCTCTTTTCCAGATCATTAACTAAGATGTTAAATAAAACCGGACTTACCACGGGTGCCACAGGCTCCCCACCAGGCATTCCTCTGCCTGTGTACATTATCGTTGATAATTATTCATTTGCCTTTAGTCAGACTTTAGCCTCTGTGATGAGTTTTACAGTCTTGCCCATTTGAAATTTCATGCGCTGCTGTATCAGTCTCTTTTCTGGAGTCAAAATGTATTATTTCATTGACTGTGTGCTCCTCTCTACTAATCTTGTAATCCTAACCCAAATAACAATTCAGTTTGGAAGACTGCCATGTGGCCAAAACATGAGCTAGTTTTTTTCTCTCCACCTTCCATTGTGGAAGCGGGGGTTTGAGCTCAGACACCCAGGGCACCCTGCTATCTGCCACTCTGGCTAATGAACTGGAGACACCATGTCTCAAATGATCTGCTGAAGCACTTTAGTGCTCTCTGAACCATTGAGGAAAGATTGAATTAGATTCAGTCTACTTGTTTAACCTAAGCATATTTTACACTACTCAAATCCAGTAAAAATTGATAATGATAAATATTATATAGGAGAGCTTACTGTGTGCTAGACACCTTACTAGGTACTTTGCTTGTGCCACCTCTCAAACCTTCGTTCCAACCCTAACAATCCTGAGAAATAGGTATAATAACACTCATTTTCCTGATACAGAACCTAAGGCTTAGAGGCAAAATAACTTGGTCAAGGTTGCATATTTAACAATATATATTTCTTATCATTTAACCTCTGTTGCCACTTGTGCTTGGTACATACTTATCTGCCTATCCATCTATCCACTGATTCTTCAATTCAGGGAATAATATATCTATCGCATGCCTACTGTGGGCCAGGGACTGTTGGAGATGCACAGTGCTGGGCACAAAGCTCATTAGACATGGTGTCTTCCCTGCCACCAAGGATCTGGCATCCCAGTAGGCTAAGAAAAGATTTATATGGAAACTCTGACTTCATTGAACCTGACTTGCTGTTCACAGAGAATGTACAGACTTTCAACCTCCCCAATACTGCTGTACCATCTGAAATCCCTTCTTAGGGAACACAAGAGAAACTTAGATAGACATATAGAGAGAAAGATGTGCAGTGTGTTGCAAACTCTTCCATCAAGATACTCGAAATTACAGAGGAGGGTGGAAGCTCATCCTTCAGGTTGAGACTGCAAGGTAAAGTAGCCTTCTGCAAGAGTTATTTTCTCTTAGCTTTTATATTTTGTCCTGAAACTTTTTTATTTGATTTTACTTTTGAGATATAGTCTTGCTCCTGTCACCCAGGCTGGAGTATAGTGGCAGTGGCACAATCTAGGTTCATTGCAACTTCTGCCTCCCGGGTTCAAGCGATTCTCATGCCTCAGCCTCCCAAGCAGCTGGGACTACAGGTCTGCACCACCACAGCTGGCTAATGTGTTGTATTTTTAGTAGAGATGGGGTTTCACCATATTGGCCAGGCTGATCTTGAACTCCTGGCCTCAAATTATCTGCCTGCCTTGGCCTCCCAAAGTGCTGGGATTACAGGTGTGAGCTACCATGCCTGGTTCCTAAAACTTTATTTTAATATGCCCTTTCCCTATGATGTTTCAGTGATTATTTCAATATAAAAATAAATTTCCAAAATTACCTACTATTGAGTAAAATGGCTCAAGAATACGTACTGTGCTTTGTTAGGGTTTTACATATCCTTGGTGCCGTTAGGATTGGTACAAATCCTGCAACTTGAGAACCATGGGGCAGACTAATGTATTAGTCAGGATTCACAGAAGCCACCTTGGGTATTTTGAAGAGGAAATTTAATACAGGGAATTCAAGGTTTACACAATCTTTAGAAGGCTGGAGGAGTGAAGAACAGGAAAGCTTCATTTGGGAAAAATGTAAGCGAAGGGCTACAGTGAGGCAAGTGGGTGATTCTCAGGAGATGCCTGATGTCACCGGCAAAACTGTACCTTTGCCACAGGCCAACATCAAAGTGACGTCTTCCAGGTGCACCTGGAGCATAGCAGCTTCTTTTTCTCTTCCACCTTCCCCACCTCAGTCTGGAGCCTCTCACTGCTGGGATCTAACCAGGAACTTGTTAGCAAAAACATCCAGGAAAGGAAGGAAGTTTCTAGGCTTCATAAACCTGGAATGCAAAAGAGAGCTTAGAGATGTGAGAATGGTGCTAAGGATCAACAAACAATATCCTGCACAGTTACAAAATGATGTTTTTGCCTAGGATAAAGCAGTCTTATCCCATCTTTTCCCTACTTCCATTCTATTCCTTTGAATTTTTTCCTTGAGAAGTTAAAGTACCAATGAATGATGCTTCTGTGAGAAGCGTAAGTGAGTTGGGGAAATTTAATTCTGTTGACTCTCATTTTTTCACTTCACCTCCTACTCTCCACCCTCCTAGTTCTCCCAATCCCCGTTTTTTTTTTTTTTTCTTGAGATAGGGTCTTGCTATGTTACCCAGGCTGGCCTCAAACTCCTGGGCTCAAGCGATCCTCCTGCCTCAGCCTCCTGAGTAGTTGGGATTACAGGTGTAAGCCACCACACCCAGC
Organism: Homo sapiens; assembly: GCF_000001405.40. Lineage (NCBI taxonomy): Eukaryota > Metazoa > Chordata > Mammalia > Primates > Hominidae > Homo > Homo sapiens. Next base: position 13,920,117 of record NC_000012.12, on the reverse strand, counting down.
TCTAATTCCTTTTTTTCAGTGAGGAGGCGGGCTCTTAGTCCCAGGATTGTGACTGAATTCCTCTGAGGGCTTTTTACCACCCTAGGCCTCTTCAGAGATAAGCTCTTTAGGGAAGACAGAAGGGAGAAAATCTGAATTGATGGCAAGGCTTTGTGGTGTATTCCTCTGCAGGAATGTGATCTTCCTCCTGTGGTAAAGGGCGTCAAATGCTCCAGCCAGTTCATCTGCATCGTTGTTGCTCTCATTTTCAAGGTGATTCTGATATGACCCCAAGAATGTCTGCTTTTTTTTTGAGTTCCTGAGCTCCCACATTCCCATCAGTGTTCAGAATGGAGGGCCATGGACCCTTTCCAGGGAGACGATCCCCGCATCAGCTTCCAATTTTCAAGCAAGATCTTGGCCAACAGCTTTATAGGGTTCATTTGGATGCTTCCCTACCTTCTTATAAATGGATACTGTCATTTTCCACTAGTAAACCCAAAGACTTAGTTTAAGTTGATGCACGGTCTTAAAAGACTGCATCACGTGGCATTTGTTATTTTTAGAGATATTATTAAGCCCTTAAGAAAAAAACAAAAAGCCATATTGTCTCTACCTGGAATCTTTCATGTCATACAGGCCACTATTTCTAGAACGTTGAGGTCATTCCAAAAGTACATATTAGGGAATGTTAGTTTAGAAAAGAGTTTGAATTTTAGAAAAGTTGTGAGAGAAACAAATGATTCAATTTATGTGGGTGTTTCACTGGAATCATTATAATAGAATATTTGAAGAATAGGAGTTTTTAATCCCTAACTTGACTTTTTTGGCTTTTTACGTACATGATATATGGGGACTCCTAGAACCATAAAGTATAAACTAGATTCAGAAGGTCTCTAAGAACCAAACTTTGAACATACACACTCTAACTCAGAAGACTGGAGGTTAAAGGAGGTTAGGTCCGTGTGCATATTTGTGGGAAGGTTTGGTTATATGCACGCTAACTATTGAAATCAGGCAGATAAATGTAGAGCTTTTGGAATTTGCATGTGGAGGAAAAGAAACTCAGGCCCACTGTGGGAATTTCCCAGAAAGGGGTGTGAATCTCTATTCTTAGCTGGAGTTAGAAGTCTCTATTTTTTTCTTTTTGAGAACAAGATAGGTATTAAATACATGAAGTAAATGAAAATAAGTTAGTTGAACTGCTAATAGTTTTGAGTGGGTGGAAGGATTGAGAAGGATCCTAGACAAAGAAAGCTGACTTTCAAGCTAATTGTTCCAAAAAGACATCACAGAAGGGAGGGACTAAGAAATCCATTTTCAGCTTTGTTTTGATAAAGCCATTCATTTTTGAAACTACAACTACTGTATAAAAAAGAGACCTCAACTTCATAATGTGTAGTTTATGAATCAATCATCCACAGGATTTTAGGAGAGGAAGCAAATAACCATCCCTTTAATACATTTTCTTTTCTCCTAACCAATGTCTAATTGCAGAGCGTGCATTGAAAATGAAAGGGAACTGGGGTTGGTTGCTGCTATTTGTGACTGATAATTAGGCAAGGGGTCAGAAAAAAGGGATTTTCAATTGCCATGTGGCCATTTTTTTAACATGTCCAGATTTCAGAACATCAAACTCTTATTAATGCATAAATGCATGGTATTTGGTTGTCAAATTCAATTGAACTAAGATTTGTTGAGTACTGACTATTTTCCGTATCCTTTTCTTTTTTTGAGACAGGGTCTTGCTATGTGATCCAGGCTGGAGTACAGTGGTGCAGTCATAGCTTGCTACAGCCTCAAATTCCTGGGCCCAAGTTATCCTCCTGCCTCAGTCTCCTGAGTATTTAGGACTGCAGGCATGTGCCACAAGTCTGGCTAACTTTCACTCACATCATTATGTTAATCTTTGCAGAAATCTTGTGAGGTATTACTATTCCCATTTTACAGGTTAGAAAATTAAGGTCCAGAGGAGTTAAGAGATTTGTATCTTTAAATGCACTTAGGGAGAAAAGGGTGGAACTGGTACTGAAAGCTAAATCTGATGGATGTCTGATGCCAAGTCCAGGGCTTTTTTCACAGTGCTGCCCTACTTGGTTCCAGTTTCTGGGGACCTGAATTCTATCATTGATATTGCCAGCTGACCACTGTGATGCCTTTATTTGAGAAAATCCACCCAATATGTCCAAAGAGCCTGGTGAGGTGACCTAATTTATCAGAGGATTAAAAACAAAAACAAAAACAAAAACTCTACCAAAAATCTGATATTTTTCTAGCATATAGTATAATAAAAAAGAAAAAAAGAACACTGTTGCATATTTTGAAATTGCCACTTAAAGTGAGATATTCCCACAATAATGGAACAAATGTTTTTCATCCAAAAATTATAGGCTGGTTTTGACTTTATACCTATCAGTGATATTATATCGTTTTCTGTGAATGTTCTAACTTCCTTCTGTACTTTGGGGTAAGTGTACTCCTTAAAACTTGGTCTCCTTAAGCATGGCGTAGAAGATCAATCTTAAGAATCCAATGGCATGCCAGGAAATTTTCCAGCTAGTCCACATTTACCCTGGTCACTGCTGTCCTCTTTTTCCTTCTTGTGCGTCACTCTATTGGACTGTACTTTATGGCTGCTTTTAGCCTCCTGACATTTCTCTCTGTACATTAACTGTCATTTAGTGCCTCTTATTTAAGTACCACAGCACTTCGCAATACAGCCGGCCCACCCAGAGGGTCTCCAGCTCCCACTGGAAGTTTTGCGTCACCATCGTATGGATAGTTGGCTATCTGCAGCAGCAGTGCGTGGTCTTTTCCAGGAAACAGCAAACACTATTCCCATATATTGTGGGTTGCTGGGGCTTGTAAAATAAGCAGTTTTGATTAGCAGGGTTATGGGGTTTTATTAGTGGGACCCCATTTGGAGCCTTGTTTTAATGGGATGTGACCCAGAGGGACATGATGTGCTTGGACTGGTTGCCTAAATTTGGAAGAGGCTCAAGGGAGCCAGGAAGGACTGGCAGGTCTGACAGGCTTGAAAATAAAAATGGGGCCAGTATTCAGGCTTGCCCCTTAGTGTGGAATGCCCCTTTCTTCCTTTGTGCTTTCCTTTCTTCCCGTGTTCCTTTCCTGAAATGTAGCTTTCTCTTCCCCATCTTTGCCTGGCATATTTCTATTTGTTCTTTAAGTTGCAACTCAAAGGTTACCTCTTCGTAAAGCCTTTCTTGACTTTTCCCCACGCCAGGTATTGCTGCATTCTCTGTGTTCCCAGATGTCTTGTGTGCACCATGTACCATATATAATAATAATTTGCTATAGCATTGTTACTAACTGAACTTTGAGCCCATTGTCATCCTGGCGTACATTGAGGATTAAAATACACACACACACACACACACACAAATGTGTGTGTGTGTGTGTGTGTGTATATGTATATGTATGGAGAGAGAGAGAGATAGAGATGGGGTCTTGCTTTGCTGCCCAGGCTGGTCTCGAATCCTGGCTTCAAGAGATCCTCCTATCTTGGCTTCCCAAAGAGCTGGAATTATAGGCGTGAGCCACCACGCCTGGCCGATAGATATTTATCAAATGAGTAGATCAGTTTTCCTTTCCATTCCCAACTTTTTCTTACTTGGACCAAGATTTTTGTTTTGTTTTTGTCTAGAGCAACTAGTTTAGAACCATTCACACAACACATTTAATGTTATGGAATGAAGATCATGAAACCACACAAGACTCATGCCTTCCAAATGAGAGAATGAATCTGTTCTCTCTTAGGGCCAATCTCAGTTTGGCAAAGATGATAATTTGTTTATGATCTCAAACCTAACAAACTTCCTGATTTAAAATGAAAGTTAACTTAATATTCTTTATTGCTTCTTGGAATCTGATCTTGGCAAGATTAATGCAAAAAATATTGTTAAGTAAGGTATTCTTGTGGAATTTTTGACTGAGTGAAATGGAAATGTCAAAGATCTCATTTTCAAAAAGTCCCCCAGCCTCTTGCCCCTAATCTGCAGTCAGTGCACAGGCTTTTATTTCCTGGCCTCAAAGCTCTGGTTTTTGCTTAGGTGCCCCACAGCTCTATAGAGTTATCCCACTGCAGGAGGACCCTTCAGAGACCATTACAAGCATAGGTCCAATTTATGTACACTCCCCAAATACAGTGAACCAAGGGGAGATGTTGATTTTACCTGCATTTTAAAAAACAAATCATCTAGTTGCCTAGTGATTGAAGGGCACTGGAAATAGCCATTGAGTGATCTCATTTTCCTGCCTCATCACGCCAGCCTTGATGGAAGTAGTAGCAAAATCCAAGTAAAGATGCCAGCCAGGTGCTTGGAAGTTTCAGATGTCTTGTCTGGAAGAGTGGCTTCAGATGGACTTTGGCAACAACTGGAGGTGGTCCTAAGGCTGTGCTAGCCAATGCAGTGGCCACTGGTCTTATGTGGCTATTTACCTGTAAATTAATGAAAATTAAATAAAATAAAAATTCAGTTTCTCAGTTGCTAAGCCACATTTCAAGTGTCCAGTGGCTGCATGGGGCAGCTATAATGGACACTGTGGATATAAATTTCCATCACTGCAGACAGTCCTGTTTGAGCAGTGTTGTTACAAGGGGCCTGGAGCCTATAACATTGTATCTTCTGCAAGATCCTGACTTCCTGAATGGCCAGGAGCAGACCCAGGAGGCACAGCTTAAAATAGAGAGTGAGGTCAGCAAATGGTTTTGGCCTGCCTGTGGCCAGGGGTTGGGTGATGCCCATGGGTACAACTAGCAGGTTCGAAACATAGCTAGTGAAGAGGAAGGAAATGGAGTGGTTTAGACTCCAATCGGTGTCTAAGTACAGTGTGACTAACGTATGCCAGGAACTATGTTGTTTGCTTTTGGCTTTGTTACCTTATTTCAACCTCTAAGATAAGATAATGGCCTGCTAAAAAAATGGGTACACAATAGATGTACATATTTTGGGGGTATATGTGATATTTTGATACATTCATATAATGCATAAAGATAAAATCCGAGTAAGTGGGATAGCCGTCACCTCTAATATTTATCTTTTCTTTATGCTGGCAACTTTTGGATTCTTCTCTTCTAGTTATTTGAAAATATACAATAGATTATTGCTAACTGTGGAAACCCTACTGAACTGCTGAGCACTAGGTAGGTATTTTTTTGTACCCATTAATTAACCTCTCTTTATCCCCTCTTTCCTCTACCCTTCCTGGCCTCTGGTAATAGATAATTCTCTATTTTCAAGAGATTTACTCTTTTATCTCTCATATATGAGAGTGAGAACATGCAATATTTGTCTTTCTGTGCCTGGCTTATTTCACTCAACATAGTGATCTCCAATTCCATCCATGTTGCTGCAAATGACAGGACTTCATTTTTTATGATTGAATAGTATTCCATTGTATACATTATACCACATTTCCTTTATCTGTTCATCCATTGAAGGGCATTTAGGTTGATTCCAGATTTTGACTATTGTGAATCATGCTACAATGACTACAGGAGTGCAGACATCTCTTTGATATGTTGATTTCCTTTCTTTGGGATGTATACCCACTAGTGGGATTCCTGGGTCATGTGGTAGTTCTGTATCTAGTTTTTCTGAGAAACTCAATATTGTTTTCCATAGTGACTGTATTGATTTACATTCTCACCCACAGTGTGTGAGGGTTCCCATTTCTCCACATCCTCACTAGCATCCGTTATTCCCTACTTTTTTGATAAAAGCCATTTTAACTGGGGTGAGACGATATCTCCTTGTGTTGTGGTCTGCTTTTTACAGATGAAAAAGCTGAGACTAAGAGGCATTAAGTACCATGGAAAAGGGTGCAAGCTGGAACCTGATGCTTCTAACTCTTGAGTTCAGTGCTTTTTTGGCTTTAGGGGTGGGGAGGAGTGGGGAGGAGGTAGGCAGGGGACCAGTAGTGAAAAGGTGAGACAATTGATTTGAAGAAATTGACCTGGTTGCCCCAGTTCATTCATTCATCCCATAGAGCCTGGATCGTGCTCAACCACTTTCTCAAAGTCTGTTGTTAAAAGCTGATGCTGAAGTAAATTTTTCTTCTATGGTAAGCTTAATGAATGGAATGAGGATCTGCTGAATCTAAGATCAAAGATGAAAATATAATTAATAATAATGATGATGTAGCAGGTGCTGTTGTACGTGCCAGACACTGCACTAAGCATTTTTCATAAATTAACTTATTTAATCCTCTCAGCTACTCTATGAGGTAGATACTACTGTTACGTCTATTTTATAGATGAGGAAACTGAGGTTTGGAGAGAGAAAGTAAGTTGTCTAAGGTCACACAGCAAGAAAGTGGTCCCTGAGAAACCATTATCTCCACTAAGCATTTACAGTGGAGATGGCCTTGGGGCAAGGTAGATGATGTAAATGCTAGAAGTCCCTGAGTGTGGGGCAATAGGGAGAGTTGGAGTATGTGCCTCGTCTAGTGTTTCATATTCACACTACACAACACAACAATTCAGCAACATCTCAATGAAGCCCAGACAAAACTCACCTGCAGGTGGCATATTGCAGACAAGCAGACAGTTTGTAACTATTCAATTTTCAGAGGTTGAACCAGAGGCCCAGAGGGATGAAGTGACTCACTCAGTGCCTCACAGACAGCAGCGCCAGCAGTTCAGTGCCCTTTAGGATTCCTTCCCTGCCTCCAGCACCAGTTTTAACCCCTCTTGGCATAGTTGGTTCTCAAAGGGGGCACTGTTAGAGCCTTCTGGAGGCTCCAAAAAAACTCTCTTCTGTCACCTGTTTCCCTGTCAGCCATTCCACAAGTGTCTTTGGTTGTGTGCGAGTAGGGTGAGTACAGGAAGGGCATCAGGGGTGTTGAATGGAAGATTCTGGCCTCTAAAACCATACTTGAATGTTGTGCTTTCATGAGACTTTTGTTTTAGGAAAGAAAAGGAAACATGGTAAGCGTGGCTCCAACAGTACTAAAGATCTATGTGGGATCCTCCATCCAGGCCATGTGGACTCTGGGCATTGAGTTTCTATCCTTTTCACATGGGACAGTAGCTTTCCACTGCCACTGTTACTCTCGACTCAGGTGGAAGGCTGGGGGGCATGCTTGGGGAGCTCAGTCATTTCTTTCTGATGGGAGGACTAAGGAGTGACATGAGGAGTTACCAAACCCACTGAGGTATGGGACTACAATTCTAGCCTGTAGGACCAGGAGCCTGCCTACTTCGTTTTCTAAGCAGAGACATTGAGGAGGGGGGACCCAGGGATTTTTTATGTGCATCCTGACCCCTCTTACCTTCCTGCCTCTGGTTTTTCCCATTGGGAGGCGCCAAAAGTGCACTTTACAAAATACACATGCATTCACTCCCCCGAAGAACTCCATGAAGAACATTCATCCTCATTTTACAGATGAGGAAACTGAGACTCTTAAAGGTCTAGTCATACTGAAAAAAAAGTCGTTTGAACCAGCACCTCCAAATATTAAGGGCACACTCCTTCCATACTGCAGTGGCCTTGACTCTTGTGCATGGGACACTTCAGGTTCAGACAGAGCAAGGCTACATCCGCACCCTGTGCCCACAAGTACGGAGCTCCGAGCAGGAGGCTCAAGTGAGCCCATTGCTCTCTTAGACCGGCCATACTCCCTGAAACCCTAATGGCGGTTTAGTGTAGGTCATGTTCAATACGTAACTTCAATAGGAGTATTAATTCCTTTCAGCGTTGTTCACCCATCATTTCCTTTAAATGCTAAACCTTTGGAAAGTGATTCACTTTCCCCTCTCACTTTATGTTTCACTTACTTTCTCCTTTCTTCTTCATTAACATCTGCTTGTTTCTCCTCTCTTTTGCTTCTCTCTCTCTGCTGATTCTCTGTGAGTGGCAAGAGACCCCAGTTGGTTATTATTCACTGCACAGAGTTTTTAGATTGCACCCAGAGTGAATGTCAGCCTGTGACAGAAGAGCTACGGCATCAGCTCCATCTTAATGAGCGCCCCATGCTTCCTGGGGTGGGAAGCACTAAGGAACCGTCTACAGCAGAGTGCCCTTTCAGGGTAGCAGCTCCTCCCTGTGTAAGGTGCAGTTGCTGAGGGAAGAGGCAGTAGGCGAGTTCTGAGGGGCTTGGTTAATTTGTGCGCACTAGTCACTCATTCCCTGGCCCCGAGTGTGGCTGCTTTCATCTCTGTCTCTCCGCACTGCACGCACAGTACGGCAAAGCTTTGCTGCACTGATGGCAGAGGCAATCAAGCCTGCCGTTTTCTTGCTAAATGCTTTCTTCGTAGAAGAAATAGTGTGAGGGGTTGGAAAAAAACAGAGAAGGCAGAGAATGAAAGAGACCGAAGTGAGCAGGTATTTGAATACCTTCCCCTATGTGTCTGCGGTCATCCACCTTCTGCGAGGGCTGGACCACAGCACCCCTGTGGAATCTTTCATGCCGCCTGGTCATTTTGAGGGTGCGTGTGTACGTACTAGGCTGGAGGGAGACCCCGAGGTCTAGATCATGATTCGTGGAAAAGGGAGGGAGAAGAAATCTTTTTCCTTCAAAGCCATAGAAGAAAAGGGACCCACCAGAAAGACAGAAGACATGATTTTGATTTATTGCCTGGGGTAAACAGGTAGCCAAGGAGAAGTATGTGAAGAATAATGAGTATTGACACAAACTGCAGAGGCTGGGGGTTGTTCCTGTTTGCCAAGTGGTGAGCTCAGAGCAGACTTCTGAGGCTCACTTGCTTTCGTTGACGAGGCCTTCTTGTTGCTTACTTCTCCAGACCTCCACATCCTTGCCCCTGACTTCTAGCAAGGCTTGATGTGCACAGATCTGACATCTGATCCTTCTGTACAGTCCCCTCTGGCTGAAGCACCTATGTCATCATTCGTTCATTTCTTATTCAAAACTATCATCTTATTCTGCTTGGCTCATTATCCTTTATTTTTTTTTCTTGTAAATTCTGTGCTAAATGTTCGAGATACAAAAATGAATTAGGTACAGTCTTTTTTCCAAAGGAGTTCATGTCTAGTTGAGGAGATGATAAGACTCACTATGGTAGTAGGTGCGACAGTAGAGGTATCTAGGGGGTCTATAGGAGAAGAGAAAGGGCCTGGTCCAGGGAGATGCAGAAAGGGTTGGAAAATATCTTTTACGTAAGGGTGATGTGTAAACTGAAGTTTGATGGCTAGACAAGGAGAGAAGGAAAGGATATTCCAGACACCCATCAGTGTGAAAGCGGGGGTATGGAGATGCAAACAAGCATGACAGATTTGGAAACCTTGAAGTAAAGGGCAATTGGTTTGGTATAAATGGGTTCCTGAGAGATGCCATGAGATGAAAGTAAAAATCTATGAAAGATGCAAACCACAATGATCATTTTCAGTCATGCTAAAGGATTAATTTGAACTATATCCTCAGAGCTGCAGGAATCCACTGAAGAATCTTTAAACAGAGGAATGACACAGTGAGGTTTATATTTTATAACAAAAAATTTCCTTGGGAAATGGTGTGCGGCAGTGTTGCTTAGAGCAATGTGAATTGGTGGCAGAGCTCATTTAGAGACCTTTGCAATAATCCTGGCCAGAAAAGATGAAGACCTTAGCCAAAGCAGTGGCAAAGAGAGGAAGAGGAAGGAGGACTTGCGTCAAAGGATTAGCTATGGACAGGAGGGGCTGCACCTTCTTTGAAACCAGAGAGAAAGCAAGAGAAGGCTGCCTATTGCTAGCATAATCTTGTCCATGTGTTTTGCCCATTTCATCAGGCAAGTGTGGGTCCATTTTCATCCAGGAACCTAACACCAAGGCATTTTAGAGACATAGATTCTTGCAAATACTCTAAATATCCCCTGGAAGAAATTTGGGGGTGTTTATGTGTGTGTCCTATCAGTTTTATAAGACTCTATGCTCTTCGAGGGAGGGCGCACACAACATATTCATCCATCTGTAATGTGCATCATTCAGCACACCAGGGATACTTAATAAGTATTTAATAGTAATAAGATCTGAGCCCCAGGAACATTATTATATTTGTCAGTAATGAAATAACCAGGTTTGGAAGCAATTTGGCTAAGATTAAATTTTATAAGAAAATCTTAATTATTTGAACTTTTGAACATAGTCAAGCCCATTCCTGAAATATCTAAGTGGCTTCTGCTCTTAGTTTGTCTAGGTAAATATTTTAGTTGGCTTAATTGGAGATTGTTTCTAAAACTGTAGGAGGTAGTATTTCTTTGTTGTTCCATAATCTCTGATGACCTGTCTTTAGAAACAAGAACTTTTACAATGATGCTTAATATTTTCTAATTCAGGTCCCTCCTCTCTTTCCTGATACTTGCATAAGTCGGGACAGCCACCACTCATTTGTCTGTGATTTACAGCACCCTTTTCTCTCTATTTACTTCCTCGTCACATTTACCTTTATTGCTGCTAGATATTCCTTCACACCTTAAGGCACTTTCTTATCCTTTTTCTTCCCGAGTCTTTCTAGTCTTTGTCCCATTTTAAGGACAAGTGAAGTGTCAGCCGTCAGGCCGCTGGATGCAATCTGCTTTCACAGTGCATTAGTGCTGGGCACCAGACCATGTGGTACCTGTGTCTGTTATGATACACCCAGTTGATATTTTTCCCTGAGATTTTAATAAGCCTGATCAGAAAGTTTCACTGGATTTAAGAACAGTGCTCATTATTTCCTGCCCTCCCGTACATTCAGGTTCTACGTCACTAGGACACACGGCCCTATCCCGAGGTACTAACCTGAAGGTGCTGTTATTACTGACCATTCAACATAAACAATAGACTTTTAAACACCCTGGGATGAATCCAGGTAGTCCTTACCAAAGACAAGCTCTCATGAATGGTAGTGTTCATCTTTCTTTGCTGCGGTTATTCTCACAACCAGTCCTGGCTTAGCATATGATCTTCTATACATGTAAGCAGTAGTAAGTCAACTTTAAATGAAGCCCTCTGTAACATGGCCTGCCTGAGCTGTGGAATTTGGAGCTCCAAAATTTTGCCCTTTGTGCTGTCCGAGGATCATTGGCTTTGATGAGCTTGTGGAAGGCAGAAGGAGAGAAGAAAGTATATTCATGTCATTTTTTTGGAGCCTGCGTTTGTTACAGAGTACGAGCCAGCAGCCATTTATAGTGAGCATGGTGGACACACAATCCCAGGACTCCTTCTTCGGGTCACTCCACTCTTTACCAAACATTTCTAGATTCCATGATAGTGGCTCTTCCCTTCTGGAGCAGTGCAGCAGTGTGCTTCGTGTTATGCACTTATCAGACCACTTTGAAATATACTTTCTTCAATACCATGCAATCACTGAATATACTGGTGTGTGTTTTGTGAGATGTCTCAAGCAAGGGGAGATGACTTGAAACGAGTTGTAGAAAAACCTGTTGAAGGAAGTAGTGTTATTTAACTTGAGTAGAGAGGTTCAGGGCAGGGCATGACAGTTGCCTTCATGTATTTGAAATGTTGTAGGGAAGGAGATTAACATTGTTCTATGTCTCCTCAAAGATCAGGTGCAAGGTAGAGGGAGACAGAGTTCAACTCATTATAAGGAAGAACTTTCGGGTGTGATAGTTAAGAATTTTGCTCTGAGATCAGGCTTCCTGAATTTAAATCCATCATCTGCTAGTTACTAGCCATATCAACTTGGGTACATTTTTAAAAACTCTTTTAATCTTTAGTTTCCTCATCTGTAATATGGGACAATATTAGTATTTAACTCATGAATTGTTATGGTTAGCTGATGCCATACATCAGCTAACCATGCTCTTAGCATGATGCTCACAGGGATAATGCTGGCAACTATTAACAGTCTCAATTGTCTCAAGATAGTATACATGTTTAACAACAGTTTCCAGGATTTCCCATTATAACTGAGCACTATATGTTCTTTTCTGTTTTTTTTTTCAAATATGTAGTTCATTGAAATATATATGTGTGATTTTCTCAGTTTTTTCTTGGATGATAGAGATGGTTGGAGGACTGAGAAGGCTTAGCTTTCAGAATAACTTGAATGGCATAGATATTCCTGTGATGTTTAGGAAAAAGTATACAGTGCAGAGCGTCATGAGTTCAAAATAACTGGGGTATGGTGTAGGATGGGTGAGGATGCCATTCTGCCCTGCTGAAAAGTTGAATTAGGACTTTTTAAAATAAAAAAATGCAGTTTTAGGATTTTAAAATACTGTATGCATTTCCAATTAAGGCACTTAGGGTAGTAGTAAGTAAAATGCCATTCATGGACACTCTTTTAAAGAAAAAGATGAATTATTTTATCCTGAATTTTAAGAAACATTGAAATAATTAAATCTGTAATTTGCCATGTCTTGAGCTCTTGTTCATATACTTTTTTTTAAAAAAATTGAGGTATAACATACACACAGCAAACTTCACTCATCTCAAATATACAGCTTGATGAATTTTTTCATATGTATAACATCCATATAACCACTAAACAGATAAAAATATAAAACATTTCCAACAAATCAGTTTCTTCATGCCCATTTCCAGTCAATACCATTCCCTGTTATGTTATAACCACTATTCAGACTTCTGTCAACCTGAGATAAATTTTGCCTGTTCTTGAACGTGATAATAAAGGGAATCAAGCAATAGTACTCTTGTGTCTGGAGGACTTTTTTTTTTTTTTTTCCTGAGACAGAGTCTCACTCTGTTGCCTAGGCTGAGGTGCAGTGGAGTGATCTCAGCTCACTGCAGGCTCTCTGCCTCACGGTCTCAAGCAATTCTCGTGTCTCAGCCTCCAGAGTAGCTGGGACTACAGGTGTGTGCCACCACGCCCTGCTAATTTTTGTATTGTTAGTAGAGACAGGTTTCACCATGTTGGCCAGACTGGTCTCGAACTGTGGACCTCAAGTGATCCATCCATCTTGGACTCCCAAAGTATGGGGATTACAGGCATGAGCCACCACGCCCGGCCCTCTGGAGGCTTTTTCTTAGCATCTTACCTATGAGATTCTTTCATATTGTTGTATATAATGAGTTTATGCAAAGACTTTTTTTATCTAGATTGCTTTACATTTAGAATGAATTATTTTACTACAAATAAATTTTTGGAAATTGTGAGGCTGGGAGGAATCTTACAAAGCTTCATGTCCATATCATTTGATTTATGTGAAACATCTGACACCAGAAGATATTAAGTAATCTGCATAGTTTTAACTAATGGCTAAGTAACCTAGTATGCTGTATCTTCATAGAGATAAATCTGTTGCAAACATTATTCTCAGTAAGAGTCATGCACATAGTGTCTGAATTATACATAGAAAATGTGAATTTTTATAAATTACATTATATTAAATACTAAAATTTCAAATTAATATGATACAAATTAATCCTATTCATTAATGGCCTGGCTTCTTGGATTTTATACACATTTTGACAATGACATTGCTAGAGCAGTTTGTTCTTGTTGTCCAGTTAAGGAAATCATTGTCATCATGTTCATTAATGTAAGACATGAAGTGCTGTGTATAACAAAATGGAATTGATTTTGTCTGATTAAATCTTAAACACTTACATTCTCTTTTTCTCTCTTTCTTACACACACAAACATATTCATAAGGAGACATACACTACCTACATGAAATGTGTGAAAACCACACATTTTCTAGGGTATAACCATTTATCTCTAGATCAAGTGAGACATTGTCTCTCTACAACCCTATTGTTATTGAAACTCAAAAAGTTGTTCTTGCAATTGATTGAATACAGCAAAACTGTAAAATAAGGATATGAGAGGAGATGGAAAAGTGGTACAAGAATTGCCCTTTAGTGCTCAGTGTACTTTAAGCTTTGACATAGGAGGACAAGAGGTTAGGTCCTGACTACCTGTGGATTTATGGGTTTACTTGTAGTTAGGGGGCCAGGTACAAGATGGAGTATGTTAAGTGACAGAGGCATAAAAAAGACCATTCATTTCTGAGAATATGGCTGTGTGGCTATTTAGCCCAACCCTCTGCTAAAAACAAATTAAAATGTCAATAAAAGGATGTCTGAAACCATCAAATTGCTATAAGAAGATAAGGCATCATGATGCTGAAATCCAAGAAAAGTATTGGGAGCTCTGTTTACCCAACGGTATTTGCTGATAATTAAGCTGCACTTTTCATGGCCTGGCAGAAGAGGGCAGAACCAAATCTTGGGACTCAACCCAAGCGGGGAGCCTAGGGAAACCCTCCCATATTAAGCTGGACTCTCAGAACCAGAAATAACCTGTGATTATATGCACAGGCAATTTTATGGAGAGCGTCCTTGAGGCTGAGCAGAACGGGGCTGGGGATGGGAAAGTGAAGAAAACAACAACAAAAAACAAGACCCTATCCCTGAGAAGTTTCTGGCTCTCAGCTCGTCAGAATACTTGTAAGCTATATTTGCATAAATGAATGGTGAAGAACCCTCCAGCAGTGAATTTAGTTTGAGATGGTTCTCGGTCTGTAGTTCTTTTAAGCACCTGGCAGAAGCAAATGCAAAACTTCTTTAAGGAAGACGTCCTAGACTGCCGGGAACCACCTCCCCACTCCTTCATTTTCAAGGGTAGTGAATAGTATAGTCAAAGAAAACCAGAGGAAACAACAGAGTGCAGAAACAGATCAGCACATTCTCCAGACTTTGGAATTATTGGCATATAGTATGAAACAACTATACTTACCACATTTAAATAAATAAAAGGGAAGCTTAAAAATATCTCCAGGAACCAGGAAAGCGCAAAAAGTATTTTTGAAGATTTGTAAAAGAGCCAACTAAAACTTCTAGGAACAGAAAATAACTGAAAGTGTAATAAAAGCTCATCTGATTGATCTAGCAGCTGATTTGTATAGAGCTAAAGAGAGAATTAGTGAACTGGATGAGGAGTCTGAAGAATTTTCCAGAAGGCAGCAGGGAGAGACCTTCCCCACTGTCTTCCATGCATATAATCAGAGTGGTGAGAGAAAATAGGCAGAAAAAATATATCCGAAGAAATAATGCTGTAGAATTTTCCATGATCACATCCTCATGAGAAAAAGTTTATTCTACCAGAACTATGTAACAATTTTGAATTTGTACATACTTAAAAACATGGCCTCAAAATATCTCTGTTTATCTACCTATAGTTATAAATGAACAGATCTACAAGAAGAAAAAGTCAAATCTACAGATTCAAAAGGCCCAATAAGCACTAAGAAACATAAATAAATGTATGTAACATTTATATCTCAAAATGGTTTCTGCCTCAAAATTATATCATAATATTATAGCAGAAAATCAGCTAAGTAGAGAATATCTTAAAAGAAGTTATAGAATAATGGAAGATTATTTTTGAGAAATGATAGGCAGATGAACTCCTGACTTCTCAAGAACAACAAAAGCCAGGACATTGTAGAAAATTTATGTGTCAAAAGAAAATAACTGACACCTTAGAATTTTACACCAGTGAAAATGTCTTTTAGAATGAAATAAAAGTTTTAAAGATTTGGAAAAATAAAAACTAGAATTTTGAACACCAGCAAACCTTCAGTAAACGATATTCTAATGAACATAAGCCCAAGATGAAATGTCTGAGATGCAAGATGGAGTGAAGAGCAAGTGGAGTAGAAAATGGGAAACTAAATGATTATTAGCCATTTGCAAAAAGATAAAGATGACTAATAGTGATGCAATTAAAAGTAAGAAAAATAATGACAACAAAAGTGTACGTATAAATTAGGCAGGAAGGTTAATGGGGTTAAAGTGTCCTAAGATGCTTGTATTTTCTGAAAGAAGGGTAATGATATGAATTAACTCTAAACTTTGATAAATTAAGTAGACATATTTTAATTTCTAGGACAATCACTAAGACACCAGAAACCAAGTGTAGAATTTACAATTAGCAGATTGGAAATAAAAAATGATAAAATATTCAGTCATTGTAAAGAAAGGAAAGAAAGAGAGAAAGAAGAAGAAACAGAGGAGGTGTGGAACAAATAGAAAACACAAAATAAGGTGATAAATTTAAGCCCAATAATTACACTAACTAAAAATGCTGAAATTACAAAATCATTTTCATATTGTATTAAAAATAATATTCTGTTTATAAGTGACATATCTAAAACATAATGGTACTGAGTGACTATACAAAGTTGGAAAAACAGATGCCATGCAAATATTAGTCAAAATAACACTAATATACCTATATTAACATCAGATAAAATAGACTTCAGACAGATTGGTCACTTGAATTGATTAAATATTTTAGATTATAATGTAAACATCTTAGATTATATGAACCTAGTAGCAAATCTCAAAGTATATAATATCAAAGTTAACAGTTGTATAATGAGAAATAAAAATATTCATGATTATGATAGGAGGTTTTAAAAATACTTCTCTCAGTTACTGATATGGATATAGGAGATTCGATTAATATGATTAACAAACTTGACATGAAAAGGTAAATACAGAACACTCTAGTAAAAAGCTACCAAATATTACTTTTATTTCAAACATATATGGAACATTTAGGAAACTGACCATTTATCAAAACTTAAATTACATCTCAGTGAATTTCAAAGGGACTGAAATTAAGGCCAGGAAGACCTTGTTCTTCCTGATCGAAGTGCAATTTAGCTATAAGTAAAAAGCAAAAGGACAACTAGCAAATCTCATATGTTTTGGATAAATAACTCGTGTTAAAGATGAAATCATAATAGAAGTTTAGAAACTATTTCGAATTGAACAATAACTAAAATGCTACATATCATTATATGTAGGTTGCAGATAAAACAATCCTTAGACAGAAATTTATGGTCTTTATAGCTTATATTTTAAAAAAGAAAGACTGAAAAATAAACTAGACATCTGTCTCATGAAGTTAGGAGGAGAATAAAATTAAAAGAGTACGAAAGGAAGGAAATGATCAAGATGAGAGTAAGAATAAAAGAAATTTATGATAAACATATATTGCAAAGTATTCATGAAACGTAAAGTTTTTTTTAAACTTATACATTTACAAATGTCTGGTAAGGCTGGTCAACACAAAATAATATAAGGTACAAATGGTTTAAGGAAGAAAAATGGGGATATCACTAGAAGTGCTACATGAAATAAAGAGGTAAGAAATCATTATAAAATTTTATGTTGATGAATTAAAAAAATTAGTTGAAATAGAAAAATTATTGGAGAATATAACTCACCAATATTGATTTACAAATAAATAGAAAACTCAAAGATTATGATCATTTTAACATTTAATTATTAGTAATAGAAATCTTTCTAAAAAAGTGTGCCAGGCTTAGTTAGCTTCATTGGCAAGTCTTGGCAACCATTAAAGAAAGAAAAATTATTATTTTTATTATTATTTGAGAGGGAGTCTTGCTCTTGTGGCCCAGGTTGGAGTGCAATGGCTGATCTCAGCTCACTGCAACCTCAGCCTCCCGGGTTCAAGTGATTCTCCTGCCTCAGCCTTCTGAGTAGGTGAGATTACAGGCGCAGGCCACCACACCTGGCTAATTTTTGTATTTTCAGTAGAGACGGGGTTTCACTAGGTTGGCCAGGCTGGTCTCGAATTCTCGACCTCAGGTAATCTGCCCACCTTGGCCTCCCAAAGTGCTAGGATTATCGGCATGAGCCACCATGCCCGGCGAAAAAGTATACTCTTACACAAACTCTTCAGAAAATGAAAAAAGAGATGATAATCCTTAGTTTTTTGTTTTGTTTTTTTGGTTCATTTTTTAAAATGTATCTGCAAAGACCAAAAAATAATGTAAAGCATTATGAATTGAAGTAGATGAAAGGAAATGCTATATTTACATACTGAAAAACTGCATTTTAAAATTATTAACTTGCCCCCTAAACGATGTAAGATTCAATTTAATTGAAATTAATATGCGGCAGATTTTTTTTCAGAATTTAACAAATAGATTGTAAAATTAACTTGAAATTGCAAACAGCTAAGACACTTAAAGAGAAAGAATACGATGGGAAAAATTGCTTTACCAGATATCAAGATTTATTTTACATTACATTAACTAAAATTGCTCCAATTAAAAAATAATTATCAGATTGGATTATTTTAAAGCTGAATGGTGTAACATTTTTGCAAGGGTATACAAATATATCAATGAAATGGAATAGAAAACTTCCAAAACAGAGCCCCACTTTTATAGTCACTTGATAAATAATAGAAGGGCATGGCAGATTGGTGGAAAAAGATAGACTTTTTAATAACTAATGCTGAAAAAATTTGATATCTGTATAAAAAATACATTTCTCACCTCACAGCATATACAAAAATTTATTTGAGATATAAATGTGAAAGGTAAAATACAGAGACTATAGGAATATCTCATGAACTTGAAGTTGGAGTAGGGAAATTTTTTGTGTATAAAGCAAAATACTTCTAAAAATAAAAGATGAGATTGATAAATTCAACTATATTAAACTTAAAGTCTTTTATTTGTCAAATTATACCAAAAAGATAATGAAAAAACAGATCACAGAGTGGGAAAATATATTTATAAGATACGTAGCTGACAAGACTCATATTTACTATTATACTGTCTAAGACGGTAGCCAGTATTACATACGCCTATTTAAATTAAATTAGGTTTAATTTAATTTAAAAAATGCTTCTTTATTCTCACTAGCCACATTTCAAATGCTCAATAGCCACAAGTGGCTACTGGATACCATATTAGATAGACAACACTGATTTAGATTTTATAAAGAAATATATATCCAAAATATATACAGGGTAGTTTCTTTAAGTTATATTCATTTATATCTGTTTAAAGTATCCATAATGTATAAAGAAATGAATATTCTTGTATAAATGAGTAATAATAAAAAAGATAAATCAGTGGTAAAGTGGACAAATAGGCCTTTCCCAGAAGAAGATGTCTAAGTGGCCAATAAACATATGAAAAGATGTTCAACCTCATTAGGAAGCAAAGGAATGCAAATGAAAACCACTATAAATTGCCGATATATACTCAACTGATTGGTTAAAACATTGTTTAAACTTGGCAATACTGAATGTTGGTGAGAATGTAGAAGAGGAATACTTCTACACTGCTTGTGGAAATTTAATTGGCCCAATTTGAAAAAATTGTTTGGCGTTATCTATTAAATTTGAATCTTAGAGAACTTCAGTTATTATTGTACTAGGATTCTTGGACAAGAATAGACATGTCAGAATTGCCCCAAGTTGGAATCAACCCAAAGGTCTTATCTACATTCTAATGTAGATAAAGAAGTTGAAGTTTAATCATAAAGTGGAACAGTACATAGCAATTAAGGTAAATGAACCGCAGCTGCTCCCAACAACATGGCCAAATCTCAGAAGTATGCTATAGAGTAAAAGAAGCAAGAGGGGAAATAATACATATGGTATGATTCTAAGTGATTCTATCCACGTAATGTTCTAAAACAAACAACTGAACATACTGTTTAGGGATGTGTCATTATGTGAAAATTACAAAGAAAAGGAAGAATACGATGATAATACTCAGAATATGATTATAGTACTCAATGGGGGTTTCCTGCACTGGTGAGGGAGAAGGTTATAATATGGGAAGGGCACACAGGGACATTTTTGGACGCTTATGGATTCTTTAATCTGGGTGATAGTTATGGAAGTATTTGCTTCAGAATTTGGAACAATGTGCATAAATGTTTTATTAACTTTTTTTTTTTTTGAGATGGAGTTTCACTGTTGTTGCCCAGGCTGGAGTGCAATGGCGTGATCTCTGCTCACTGCAACCTCCGCTTCCTGGGTTCAAGTGATTCTCCTGCCTTGGCCTCCTGTGTAGCTGGGATTATAGGCGTCCACCACCATGACCAGCTAATTTTTTGTATTTTCAGTCGAGACGGGGTTTCTCCACATTGGTCAGGCTGGTCTCGAACTCCTGACCTCAGGTGATCCACCCTCCTTGGCCTCCTAAAGTGCTGGGATTACAGGCATGAGCCACCGTGCCCGGCCTTATTAACTTTTTATATGTATATTCCACAATGATGAAGAAGGGAAGCTCTAAGCTGCTTATATTTTCTTGAGTTGATATGAAAAGAACTTGTAGAGGAAGGATATTTGAGAGTGTTCTTGAAATATGAATAGATTTAACAAATAGAGAAAGAGAAAGATCATCCTAAGATGGGAACATCATGAAAACCACATGGGAGTGGTAAAATATGCCTGTTTGGAGCCTATGAATAATATGTGGGTGTCCTTTAGGGGAGCTGGTAGGATATAAGGCTGTTATACAGCTTAGAGATATAGCATGTGAGATCATCATAGACTCAAAGACTATGGTGAAATTATTCCTCAATTAAAAAAATTTGTACATATACTGTCTTCTATAAAGCACATCTGTGGATTTCTCTAAAAAAAGCATGGCCATAGCTACGTCTTCATAGGTTTTAGTATCAGACAAAATAAGAAAAGTTTCCAACATCTTAACATGCTCTTCTTTGTGTATGCTAGCTAACAGGAAGTGGATAGTTGGCAATGTCCCCCTTTGACTTATTTAATTACAATGAATTATTTGGTTTAAATTATTATTTTGACATAGGAAATAATCAGATTTAATGTTAATGTGTTCCTTAATGTGTGTCAGTTACTTTTTACTACTATGCTGTGTGCCTAACAAAAATGCCTGGGCCAAGAGGAGACAACACCCCTCTGGACATTGCTGCCTATTTTCATTTTCATTTGGGTTGAACATGGCTTACATAAGGTACCTCCCCGATTGCCCTACGATTAAACACTCTTCAACTTGACACTGACCCACTTCCTTTTGCCAGATCATAGTGTCTTGTCTTATTTTTATTGAACATTACCCAGTCTTTTTTTTTTCTTTAAGGGCTGTTTTTCCAATTTAAAGAAGCTGTGTGCTTTGTTTTCTTTCTTTCGTTTGTTTGTTTTTGTTTTTGTTTTTTTGACTTCAAAACAATAGGGGGCTTTGCACAAGTTAGTCTCCTATGTTAATTTAATTAATGTGGTCTTGATTCCAGAATTCAAATCTTTCATAATATATTTTGAGTTGTGTAAGACAGTGTTAGGTTCTAAATTTATCTCCGGTTTATAAGCTAGATTGACCTGACTTATTGGCCTCTTAGAATTTCAAGTTTTCTCATCTGTAAAATGGGGAAAGGAATTCTTATGGAAACCAAGCACAGTATCTGACAAAACATAATTCTCAGTAATTGGTAGTGGTAGTAGTTGTAATAGTGGTAGTAGTAATAGTTGTTGCTATTATTATTATTTTTGAGACGGAGTTTTGCTCTTGTTGCCCACGGAGTGCAATGGCACAATCTCGGCTCACTGCAACCTCCGCCTCCTGGGTTCAAGCAATTCTTCTGCCTCAGCCTCCTGAGTAGCTGGGATTACAGGCATGTGCTGCCACGCCTAGCTAATTTTGTATTTTTAGTAGAGATGGGGTTTCTCCATGTCGGTCAGGCTGGTCTCAAACTCCTGACCTCAGGTGATACACCCGCCTTGGCCTCCTAAAGTGCTGGGATTACAGGCATGAGCCACCGTGCCCAGCCCAGTTGTCGTCATTTTTTGCACTAGAGAATGTGCCAGGAAATGTAACAGGCAGACAAGGAAGAACCACACTTGTGTTCTTCCTCTTGCATTCT
This sequence comes from Homo sapiens, assembly GCF_000001405.40. Classification (NCBI taxonomy): domain Eukaryota; kingdom Metazoa; phylum Chordata; class Mammalia; order Primates; family Hominidae; genus Homo; species Homo sapiens. The sequence goes on along the minus strand of NC_000012.12, from coordinate 13,898,536 downwards.
CCCACATCCAGCAAGTGGGATGATCTGGCCACATAGTGGTCATACAATGTCAACTAAGAGAAGTGCCTGTGGTTAAAAGCACTAGCCTGAGAATCAGGCAAGCCTGGGTTCAAATCCTTACTCTGCCATTTATTAGTTGTGTGGTCTTTGGCTAGTAACTTGTCTCTGCTTTGATTATTAAATGCAGTTATATGTGTAAATCACACAGCATAGTGGCTGGCACATACTTAAATACTCAATAAATGACATTATTATTTCCCTAGTTCTATTAATCAATAATATAAGAAGCTAGATAGAAATAATGACTCGGAAAACCCCTCCAGATCAGTGTCAGACCCTAATAGTTCCCATTTGCAGCCTGTGGATTTGTTTTGCTTAGAAAGAGGAGAGTAACACACTTAACCCCTGTCTATATTCACTGTCATTGTTTCTTTTCCACCTCTCTTTTCCTCATTAACAATAAGCCTTGTTGATAGAGCTAGTGCTGTATAAAGGTAGCCCTTTCTTTTTTATTTATTTATTTATTTATTTATTTATTTATTTATTATTATACTTTAAGTTTTAGGGTACATGTGCAGAATGTACAGGTTAGTTACATATTGGGAGGGTAGACAATAAGGACCAAGTTATTAAGATAATCTGGGCCCAGGATATAAAATTTTCTAGTAGAATGAAATCATTGAGTCATTCAATTATTATGACTTTCCCAATAAAAACATGCTTTCATTATATATCTATCATCTATTTATCATTATCTAAATATCTATTCATCCATCTCTTTCTGCTTTATTGATGTAATTTTTAAAATGATATTTAAAGATTCATAGGCTGTTATTTCCAGAAAAGACCTTTAAGATTACCTAATACAACATTCTTATTTTCTAGCGGGGAATCCCAGGGCCCAGAGGGATAAGTGTCCTGCCTGAGATCTCATAGCTAGTTACTTCTAAGAGTCTAAGGGCTCTCGACTCATTGGGAGAACCCACATTTTCTACAGATTGAAATAGAATGTGGAAGGCTTAGGAGACCTTTCTTTAGGTAAAGGTGTAAATCTGTACTCTGTCAAATATGGAGGATTTGGGAGTCTCTCTAAGCTGATGCTCTTCTGGTGCTCTTTATCACACAGTAAGATTTCTCTCCCTGGAGCCTGCTCATTGGTAGATTTTGGCTTTACCGGTGAAGCAGGGGCAGGGCTGGGGAGTCTTTTATTTAGAGTGTGCTAATGGAGTAAGTGATGGGGTAATTTGGACAGGTGCTGCAGTGGGGCTCTAGCTAGGCTGGGCCCTAGTCTCCCCGCGTGAGTGAGGCTGACTGAACTGAGAAGTTCTGAGGAAATATGCTGAGTTGGTGAGAAACTTTTCTAACACATCAGGCTTTTCCTAGTTCTTGTCCATTTATCGATGCGTTGCGAGTAGGAGGGGGAGTGGCAGAACGATGCTTCCTTTTAGGGTAATTGAAAAGGGCGAGAGAAGGAGGATTTTGAATGTTTGCAATATTTTAAGTAACATCCTCATCATAATCATTATCATAACTAGTATCTATTATGGGGCAGATGTTCCAGGCATCTTTCTGAGTTGCTTTACATACATTATCTCATTTAATTCTCACAAGAGTTCTGCAAGGTAGATATTATTCTTACCATTTTACAGATGAGAATACTGTGGCTTAGAAAGTTTAAACAGCTTACTCAAGGTCACCCAGCTAGTGCATGTGAAAGCCACACTAGCTCTGTCGGTAGTGCTTGCTACATAGTGAACTGTATTGCATATAATTAACTTGCTCATAAAACAATAATATTCTTCATGTTTAAATACCCAAAGGCCCTCCCCAATCCCCCAACACATTTTGTATTCTGAGCTTTTCTTTTTCAAGGACTTTACTGTCCACAGAGCTGTGAGATCATCATATGAGTATTATTTTAAAAAATGGAATGGAGTTTTGTAGTGACTTAAGGAGATCATTGCCATGTAGTTGTACATTATATTCATTTTGGAGACATGTTTCAAACGTTACAGGCGCCACTATGGCCTTAATGATCGTTCCCTTTAATCGTCCATTTTTTGCTTCCTTTGGATGCTTTGCATGCCCTCACTGGCCAGTGGTAATACTGCAGACCTTCTGAAGGACTAACCCATCGCTTTGCTCTTTTCAGTGGACACCCTATCCTCTTCTTGAGTCTATTCCAAATGGCTGTCTTGATCTTTAATTACAATCCTCCGTGGACTTGTCATAGCCAAGCTCATCCTGCACCTTCGCTTTGTCAGCTCTGCACTCCTGTCCCCATCTTCCTCACTATTACTCATTTCCCCTGGTGTGATCCTGCTGTTCTCAGCTTTGAGTTTATTGCCAGTTAAAGGAGCCTCCTCGTTGGTAGAGCCTTCTGTTAAACCTAATCTCTCCTCTGAAATCACACTGCGATCCTCTGTTTGTGTACTTTATTTTCTATTTTGTTATCAACATTGAGTTAGTATATGTAGAAAATATTTGCATAGTGAATTTGTTGAAATAGTATAGATTAATATAGGATATATATGATATACTATCGTATGCACACATGTATTTGGTAAAAGCCTATCAGATATAAAGGGAGTTTAGTTATTCTGCAAAGTGTTTTAAGTCATGACTTAACCTCTGCCACATACCATAGTACCATGATTAATAGGCACAGGACTCTTAAAAAAGAGCCAACACACACCTCATTAGAACTTGAAGTTAGAGGAGCTCACATAGCATGAAAAGATCTAAAGATCTACATTCCAAAACTTTTTCTAAAGTCCTAGATAATAAGCTTAATAAGTCACCTTGAAAAACTTTACATATGCTAATCACAGCAAGCAAGAATTGCAAAGCAGGGATAGCTAGCCTAATGTTGTACAAGAACAGTAAAATATTTATTATCTGGAGAGTTCCGTTTACATTATTAACCCACTTTTCTGTCATTTCTCAAGAACTTCTGAAATTCTTAGCCTTTCAAACTTTGGAAAGACCTGTTTTGATCTTAAAACACTAACAAAACAGACGTGCTTTAGCCTCTACTTTCAGTTTATTCTGCTAATTGAGATATTAGTGACCACCAGGACAGTCACATACATATCTAAGGGCTCAGCCACATACTTCCAACTGCTTTTTCAAGTCCCTTTAATGAAGGAACATACAAAATGGTTAAAGTGAAAGTGATTATTTCCTGCGTAGGGTAAGAGTTGGATGTTACTGCAACTTTATCTCAATTTTCCAGCTTCTTACAGTCATAATGCTGGGTGTAAATGTGGCAATATAAATTAGTGGAAAACCTCTCAGACCGGCTTTGCCACTGGCCAGCCAAGTGATCCTGAGCAAGTTCTTTGACCTCATGATTTCTTTGGACCTCAGTTTCTTCATCTGTTGAAGGAGGAGGTTGAACTGAATCAAACCATTCAAGTCTTAGTTGCTCTAATATTCATGCATATATATTTACACAATGTGCACACATTCACAAAAATTACACAAAGTACATATGCCTTTATATACACACAAATGAGGGTGCAGCACTTTAAATAAATGTGATAACTCAAACTTAGATCATGACTCTTACTTTACAGAAATGATTCTTTCCAAAATGATTCATTGTATGGTTCCTTTCAGTCAAGACTGGGAAATATGTGACCCTAGACAGATTTAGGCACTTAATTTTATCCAACTAATGGAGTAAATATTTCATATGCTAGTAATTGCTAAATTACAACACAGCCTTAAAAATTTAGTGGCATTACCTAAAAGGAGACAGGAAGTGGTTGATTCTCCATTAATCTGTTTCTCTGTCTCATTTCAGTTGTATTATTCTTCCTTTGTCTATCGACTGGTATATATACTTAAGCAATGTTTAACATATAACTTTAATAATTTTTTCTGATTATAAAAATAACATAAGTTCATTGTGGGATATTTGGAAAAAAAATAGAAAAGTTGACAGAAAAAAAAGTCACTCGAATTCTAACAAAGACAATTGCTGCTAATGTTCTGTTATTTCCTTCCAGCATTTTTCTATGCATTTTAAAATAGATGAAATCACACCGTTTTTTGGTGCTCTTTTTAAAATTAAGCATCACAGCATACAGATTTTTCTATGTTATTGAAATCTCTTGGTAAACATAATTTTTTTAGGCTACTTAGCATTCTGTCATAAAGCTATAGCACAATTTACTTAACCACCTTCTTACTGTCGGCCATTTAATTACTTTCCATTTTTCACTATTATAAATGATGTTGCAATGAACATTTTGGTATATAAAGCTTTTTCTGCCTGTATTTTACATTATTTCTTTAGGAAAGATTCCCAGAAATTGAATTACGGGGTCAAAGGTATGCACATTTTTAAAGCTCTTGATCTGTAATGCCAAATGGCTTTTCTAAAATGGTTTGTATCAATTTATATTCACTGTAGTAATATGTGAGAGTGCTGTGTTTCACCATGTCCTTGGCCACCCCCCTCTAAAATCTAAATAAAAAATCTTTATGATTTGGTAGGTAAAAATTACACTCCACCGCTGTGTTTTTATTTCTGTAATTATGAGTAATATCGGACAATTTTCCAGGTTTCTTCATTGTGGTTTCTCTTTTGTGAATTTTCTGCTCATATCTACAGTATATTTTAAATTCTTTATTATAGTTGTGAACATAATTCTGTGTCATCCATTTATAAATCAGATAAATGCAAGCCCCCTTCTTTTTTTTAAAAAAAGTCACTTTAAGTTCCCTTTTTTGCTCATTCTTGGCTGATTTTATTTTCCTGTATCAGTTCTTCGAAATCATTGTTTAAAATAGTAAGTTATGTGCTTTTGAGTAGATGGCTTTCAAATATCTGTGGAATACATTTATAGATTTGAGTTTTATGTTTAGCTTTTGAGGCACATATCTATTAAATAAAAGTGAGATTCACGTTTGTCTATCTTTTCACAGATTTCCAGGTCACTGTGGGGTCTCAAGTCTTAAGTTTTTCTGATTTGGCATTAGTTAATAATGATTAAACAAATAATTTATGAACATTTATCATCCAATATTTTGGTATATTTCTTCCTACTTTTGTATGTGGATTATTTGATTTGGAATCATAATTTTTCATGTTCTTTTCCTTTGATATGACAATTTAAGGATTTTTCTATTTTATTAAAACCTTTTTTGGAAGTATTAGTTTTTAATGTTTTCTGCTACCCCCTCCCCTCCACTATCTGTCTTCTGCATCATTTTTCACCAGCACAGGAAAAATAGAAACACATGCTTCTTCAGTAGTTGGCCATATGATTAGAAATCAATGTGTATGTAAGCCCTATGAATATTTTATTGATAACAGTGGTGAAATAGAGCATGTTTACTATTCTAAAATATGGCTGTTTAGATGTAATTCAAAGGCTGTTCAAAACAATTTAATCAAATTTACTTAGATAATGGGCCAAGTGCTAGTCATTGATCAATGCTAAGCAAGTCAATTTGAATACTGAACAAAATCTAGAGCTAACTAAATGATTCTCAAGGGGTCACAGGGATGGTTTTGGTCAGGTCATCATTCAGTTCTGACTTCAGGTTCTCATCCCTGATGACTGCTTACTCTGTGCTTTGAACCCACTTGTTCCATGAAAGAGAATGTTCTTTCAGGGAGTCAGGTGAATTCACGTTTAGAACAAGCTTTATAGGATTCATTCTCTACAGTTTCTTAAATCTTATATCTTCCTAGGAGGCTAAGTAGATAACCTTCACTCTCTCAAAGTCCTCAAGGGAACGATGTGATTTATGTGGGCTGCAGTTAGCTCTTGGGACTTTTGTTGGTAGTTTAGGCCCCCGTGTTATTCTCATATACCACAAAGCTTAGGAGACTGTTTTGTATTTACAAGGAGAGGTGTCTTTCTCTAAGGTGGCAGTCTCTGCCTCACCTCCACCACTTCTGCAAAGCTAAGTGGAATAAGCAAGCTGTTGGAGATTAGAGACAATGGGAGTTTAGTTTCATTCTGGCCTGCGCCCTGTTTCAGCTTATGGTATCCAGGAATCTTGGGTGCTCACTGGCCCCCTGGATCACTTAGGGAATCTCATTTATTCCACTCCCAGCATAGGGAGGATAAATCTAGCCTGTGTGATATTTCATTATGAGAATTTGAAATAGTTTTTTTAAAATAATATTCTTTATAAAAGGACCAAGACTGGAAAACTGTAAGGACATTATATTGGATTTGACATATAAGCATAAAATACAAATTAGAACTCGGCCATTGGGAGATGGGACTTCTGGTTTTTTTCTTCCCTTCTGTCATTATGGCCCTGAATGAAAACCTATTATGAGAAGGTTTTAATTTAAGGATCTCACCTTGGTTCTTTGGGACGGTTGTGTTTCACCTATGAAATTTCAATTCATTTCACTTCAACAGTTATTTATTCATGAGTCACTAGGGTGGTTTCTTTGAATTTAGCCTCCGTCATTTATTAACTGTAGAATCCTGGGCAAGTATGATTGTCATGAGGATCAAATGACATGTCCCAGGCTGAGTGATGGAGCATGGTGCCTGGTGTAAAAGAAGTGCTAAGGCAATATTAGTTATTGCCATCATTTTTATTAGATGTATGCTTCTAAAGGGCAAGGCTTGTCTTATGTTTATATTTAAGACAACTTAGAAGAGTGCCTTTTACATAGTAGGTAAATAATTTTTGAATTTGATTGGCTTCTTCAGTAGCTTCTTCTGGGTCTGAGCACCTCTTGGGCTTTTTGTGGCTTTGGTGTTGACGATGGTGATCATAATGGTGATGGTGCAGGCAGCATTTGTAAGATACCTATAATTCACCATTCTAAGGCTAAATAGAGGATTCAATTTTGCAGTTGCCAGTCTGACACCTTTTGCCAGCACCATGGTAAATTTCACTTTAAAAAGCTTTGTAAACTGCATTTTTTTTTTCATTAGAAAGGTTGTGTGGCCACATTTGTACAGTAGGTGAGAACATTTAAATTTAGACTTATTAAGCAGACTGCTGACAGTCTTAACCATGAGGTTAAGAATAAAATTCCAAATTGGCAGTTAGATGGTGTGAACCTCATTGCATTGGTGGCACATCTATAGATATGCACTAAACAATGCCTTACAATGACCATTATAGGTTTAAATGGAATTCAGTGGAGCCTGTAATTTTTTCAGGGCTTTGAAACTTAGTGAAGTTACAAGCTGGTCAGGACCTTGAAGGGAGGAGGGGGAGAACATTGGTGCAGGGGGATGCAAGGAAGATGTTCTTCCTTCTTGAATAGGAATCACAGTCCCATTAAAAGAAAAATGCCAGAGTCTTGGCAGAAAACACAGATTTGCATATTATTCACATGCATTTGCATATTGAGTTCAAGAGGCTCTGTCTTCAAGTATGTAAAATAAATAGTGTAATCTGCTGCAATTGTGTTCCAATCCAGTATCCAGGGCATTGCACAAATGAAATACGTAACATATTTAAAAATCACATTTCAGAAGATGAAAGATGGCAATCAGCTGAAGGTGGCTCTGCATCACTAATACTGATAGGGAGCGGAGATTGGCTGGCTTGGCTAATGTGTAAGATTGGAAAAGCCATTGCCTTAAGAGGCCTCATCTGCAGAGGAAACCTGCTCAGATGGGTTCCGGGCCCACTGGACTTTGCAGCCTCAAAGTTGTGATACCCAGGGCACTACCTGTCTCCCAGGGTGGAAAGTCTGCATGGTGCTCAAAGGACTCTGCCTTCTCTGAAGCTGAGCAGGAATCACACTGTTTCCAGACTGCAGACCAGGAATTTAATTTCATGGGCCCTTCCATGTTCAATCCTAGAGATCTAAGTGCCTAAGCTGGTTCAAGGGACAGCAATAAGACAAGGGGTGTCGTGGGAGAAACATATAATCCCATACTGTCAACAAGCCTTCGTGAAGCACCCCTTCTTCTCAAGAAATATATACACTAAGTAAAAATAGTGTGAGCTATGGAAATGCTACTCTATACCAAGTCCCCTGGTTTTCTTCTCCAACCAGATTGCTGCCACTGAACCTCTCCTGAATAGAAATTCTAGTGCTGCCACTGGGCGCATGGGGTAGTGGTGGTACCTGTCCTCCAGTCCTCCGCAAACGATCAGATTTTGAGATGCTGTTTAGGCTCTGCAGCTTACAGATCCCCAATATGGCTTTCAGAACCTATAGAGCAATCAGTAAGAGATTTAGATTTGAGGAATCCCTGATGTAGTTTGCTTACTAGAGGCGGTAGATAGGTGGGCAGACTTCACAGGATGTTAAAACCAAAAAGAACAGAGAGATAGGGCAAGAGAAAATTACTGGAGGGGGCAGTGATTTTGTAAGGAGTGGCAAAACATCCAGGAAAGGACACCCATTCTTCATCTGTGTTGAAACAACGTCCTGAATGTTTATTGTCCATGAAACGAGATAGGCCAGCCATATAGTCAGGGTCAGCCCAGCAGGGGCTGAAAGGAAGGCTGACGTCTTGTGGACAGCAGGGACTCACATCCTCTCAGTACAGGGAGGACAAAATTAGAGCAGGAAGACAGTTTCGATCCTCACTAACTGGAGGGTGCCAGCCTATTGTTTTGATCAGGCTTTTCTTAGAAGTCTAGGCAAGATGAAATCCTCTGAGCAGCAAGGCTGGAGAATGACGGTCACTGAAGGGGAGGATTGTTTCCCTGATTGTACATCTCTGTATCTGTTACCATTGAGCGTGTTAGCTTCCTGGGCTCAGATCTACTTGTGAAAATTGTACTGCTTTTTGTCATTTGAATGAAAGACAGGTGTATGCCAATTTTGCCAGTGCGAAAATCCATCCTTGCTGCCATTCCATAATGCCAGGAGGTTGACAGCATGATAGTTTCGGGGGAAAATGAGTTTGGCATGGTCTTGGGGAACAGAAATATTTTACTACAGTTCACCTTCTGATTCCACATGCTAGCCTTTTTATTCATTTTAAGGTAGTCACTTAACCTCTTGCTCGTGATTTGTCCATTTACAAAATGGGTATTTAATACATGCATACCTTGCAGAGGTTTTGTGAAAATTAATTAGGTAAAGGTTATAAAATAGTTGGCAGATGAAGCACTAACTGTTATTAAGCTGGGTAATTATATTGTGCTTACTTAAAATTTCTTCAGTAGACTCAGATATAAAAGCATTTTATATGTCCTATCTCAAGCTTAATCAGTAGATGGCAAAATTGTTTTATGTGCCTAGATATGTAATGTACAATTGTGTGCTGCTGCATAATGATGTTTTGGTCAATGATGGACCACGTGTACAATGGACCACATATTTGACGGTGGTCCCATAAGATGATAATGGAGCTAAGAAATTCCTATTGCCTAGTGACGTCTTAATGATTTTGATTCTGTGTAGAACTAGCCTAATGTATATGTTTGTGTCTCAGTTATTGACAAAAAATCTAAAAGCCAAAACAAATAATTTTTAAAATAGAAAAAAGCTTATAGAATGAGGATATACAGAAAGAAAATATTTTCTATAGCTGTCTTACAAAAGAGACAGAAGTTAAGCAATTTTAGAAGTTTATAAAGTAAAAAAGTTATAGTAAGCTAATTTATTACTGAAGAAACTCTTAAAAATAAACTTAGTGTATCCTAAGTATTCAATGTTTATGAAGTCTATAGTAGTGTACAGTAATGTCCCAGGCCTTCACATTCACTCCCTGACTCACTCAGAGCAACTTTCAGTCCCTGCAGGCTCCATTCGTGGTAAGTGCCCTATACCATTTTTTTTTTTTTATCTTTTATACCGTTTTAAAAAATCTTTTATACTGTATATGATATTTCTTTTTTTTTTTGAGATGGAGTCTTGCTCCCTCTCCCAGGCTGGAATGCAGTGGTGCGATCTCGGCTCTCTACAACCTCCACCTCCCGAGTTCAAGTGATTCTCCTGCCTCAGCCTCCCGAGTAGCTGGGATCACAGGAGTGCACCACCACACCCGGCTAATTTTTGTATTTTTAGTAGAGACGGGTTTTCACCACATTGGCCAGGCTGGTCTTGAACTCCTGACCTCCAGTGATCCACGCACCTCAGTCTCCCAAAGTGCTGGGATTACAGTTGTGAGCCACCACACCTGGCCTATTTTTTTTTTTTTATCTTTTATGCTGTATTTATACTGCACCTTTTTAATGTTTAGAAGTGTTTAGATATACAAATACTTACCATCGTGTTACAAGTGCCTACGGTATTCAGCACAGTAACAGGCTATACAGGTTCGTAGCCGAGGAGCAATAGACTATACCACAGAGCCTAGGTGTGTAGTAAGCTATACCAACTTGGCTTGTGGAAGTGCACTCTGTGATGTTCACACAATGATGAAATTGCTTAACAACACATTTCTCAGGGCGTGTCCCCGTTGTTAAGCAATACATGGCCGTATATTGATTTTTTTGGGTTAAACAAAATTGTTTCTTTTTACATTCTGTCCATTCCACTCATTCTCTTTCCCTTTCTCATTTCTCTGCCTTCTCTTTCTGATACCAATTCAGCTGTTTTATTGTTTGCTCAACTGACTTGGAATTAGGACAGAGGAGCCAACAGGCTTGTAGAAGTGGCTGAAGGTGGACTGTGCACTGCGTCAGTCCTGGGGCTAAGTCCACAGCCACTAAGATAGAGCCATTGTCACCATATATTTGAGGACATGACACAGTTTTCTTCCCATTTTAGAGGGCAAGCACTATGTAAATGTAATACCTGGCTGCAAAGCAAGCTTCAGAAGTAAATGCCTAAGAGCTACTCACCCATGGAGGCATCAGTTGTCCCTCTCTTCTTTTCGAGATTGCTCCAAAGAAATAAAATACATGAGATCCACAAACCATCAGTCTTCATTACTCACTTTCCATAATTATTACTTGTCCTAGATGAGTGGGTAAGTATAAGTAAGACTGAAATAAATCCCCAAAGCATTCTAAAAGCAGGTCACTTTGACTAAGAATTGATTCATTCTGTTAGAAGTTTAGATTTCTTTTTATTTATTTATTTTTCTACTTCCATTCATGCTATCTTTTGCCGATCCTTTTGTATGAGTTCTGTTGAATTCTGTGCCTTGTAATCCCATGCCTACGTATTAGTCTTTTGGGTTTTTTTCAGTTTTGAGGATAGAGAAAACTTTTTTTTCCTGTGAAGATTTTACTACACTTCCTAATTACAAAAGTATTGAAAAATATGAATGGTGGGTTTTAAAATAGAAATTCACTGAGCTGCATGTACATTTATAATGTATGTATTTATATGATTGTACTTGCCTGTATAAATACTACAAATTATTAAAAAGTTTTAAGAAGCCCCTTATTCACATCTGTGCTTTTTAAAAAAATTTGTGTCTTTGTTTCTCCTGTATCATTGAACGGTTTCTCCAAAGCATTGCAGCTTATTTTTGTAATAATTTTTGGCTTGAAATCTAATTTGTTTTCCTATGTTAACATCTGAGAGGATATATAGGGTAGTGATTAAGAGCATGCGCATTAGAGATAACTGCCTCGGTTTGTATCCTAGCTCCTCCATTTAGTAGCCATGTAACCTTGGGTTAGTTACTTGAATTTTCTGTACTTCAGTTTATTCGTCTGTTAAATGGGGCTAATAGGGCTAATAATAACATCTACCCCATAGGGTTGTGTGAAGATTAAGTGAATTACTATATATAAAGCACTTGGAGTGTGCATGTGACATGAGTACTGTATAAGTGTTTATGGGTGAGGGTTTATTCTGTGAACCTCTATTGTAGAAGCATCATACTCTAAACATGTGGTTAAGAAACACTGATACCCCCGGAGCTGGCTTGCATTAGGAGGTTTATTATAGAGGAAGGAGTATGGCCCTCAAGAGGAACTGGGGAGGGTGGTGGGTGAGTATTGGGCAGGCTGCAGGAACCAGGCAGCTGCTCTCCTTGTCTCCTTTCCCTGCTGGCTGCGGGAACTCGGTTCTGCTTCTCATTCTTTGCTTCTCAGATGGTGCCATTTCTGTTTCTCTTTGCCACCTGGCCCTTCCTGCTTGTTCATCAATACTCCTCTGTTCAAAATCCATCACCCCAAATGATAGTCTCAACCCAGCAGTTTAGTCGGCCTCAAAAGTCCATTGCCCACAGCTAACTTATTTAGCTTCTAGGCATTTATGTTCCAATTTTCCTAATTGGTTGAGCTTGGTCAAGCACCCAGCCCTAGCTCAAAGCCAGAGCATGTGGGGTGATATGGAACTGTGGGAGCAGATGATGTATAGGATGCTTCTTTGGAGGCAATTTCTGTATGAACTATATGAACCATGGCTTTTAAAACATTTCCAATTAAGAAATACATTGAACATCAAACCAGTACATACACCGGTAAATATTAAACTGAAAATAATCTTTGCCTTTACAACACGGTGTGAACTGATCTGGTCTATTTCATTCCCTTAAAAAATGCTAGTTATGAGCATATTTGGAAAAACACTGCTCTGAGACTTGTGTGTACTTGGTGCATTGGGTTGGGGGACAATTGGCTTTTTTGCACTCTTCTAATCAGGGCTTCTCTTTAGTGCACAACAGTGTCATCTGGGGCGCTTGTGGAAAATGTAGATTTCCAAATTTATCTCCAGGTGTTCCACATCACCTGGCCTGGGATCAGGCCTAAATATTGGCCAATTTTGCCAAGTGCTCAGGTGTTTCTGATGCAGGTTGCTTGCAGATTTTATTTTGAGAAACACTGCATTAGATATGTGCTCTCAACTAAGCTATATACCGTTACCACCTTTATTTCCTTCTGTGCATGAATACTTTGTCTAATGAACAAGTTGTATTCTGAAAGTCAGTTTATGAGACTCCTATTTAAAACTTCAGAATACTACTTCTTTTAGGAAGCTTGGTAGATTCCTAAACCAATACATAAAAGCCTTGTTAAGCGCTCCTGTAGATCTTGTTACCAGTGCTTCTCAGACCTGATTGCTGGTAGCACTGGGTTGAGTGACAGAGGGACCAGGATTTGGATTATAGGCAGGGGCAGTGAGGGAAGAACACAGGGGAAGAACATTTATATGGAGGATGAAGTGGACATGAAAGATGAAAGAGTGAAATCTTTCACATTAACGGGGAGAAAAGGTTCCTCTTAGAGGGCTTCTAACCACACCCGGCTAGTGAGGAAGATCTCTTAGGAATGTATACTTGCACTCTCAATTTAGAGATAGATTTCATTCTTGTAATGTCTTCATTTAGTTGACACTTAAGTCAGATTTTTCACCCTAACTGCTCTTTTTTGTGGTTTAATATTTGTCTTTCATTGTCTATAGGAACTTCTGCATTTTTATGTACTACTGCTAAAATCTGGAAATTGATATAAAATACACAGAACTTATTTTCTACATTGTTTCCCACCACTAACTTCTCCCAAATTTTGGTGTAGGGAACACTTTTGCACAATTTTCCTCTCCAACTTTTTTCACATCTTACTGTGTTTTACCCCTCATCAGTTTCAAATCTATTATCTTGTCTGCAGCATTTTTTTATGGCCTGATTATCTTCTACACGAATAGCTATAACCTCTTTGGGAGGTTTCTTACTTTCTGTGATCCTTCACTCAATCTCTCAAACTCTAACCAAAATAACCACTACATGTGCTAATTTAAGTGCACAACTCCCTTCTTAAGTCTCTACTTTTTGAGCAGCCAAGTTCATAGAATGAATCTTGAAGCAAGAGTGGAAAGAAATATTTCTTGTAAAGGAAAAAGACAAAAATATGTATATATATACACACACATATTCATGATTTAAAAAATTTCATCAAACTGGAAACGGAAAGGAACTTCCTCAGCTTGACAAAGGTATGAAAACCCTACAGGTAATATCCTATTTAATGCTGAAAAACTGAATATGCTACCCCTAAGATAAGGAAGAAGATAAGGATGTTCTCTGTTACTAGTTCTATAAAAATTTTTATTGGAGGTCCTAGCCAGTGTTATTGGACTAGAAAAAGAAGAGGAAGGAGAAAAAAAATTATCATTACTCCCAGGCAACATGACTGTCTATGTAGAAAGCAGCAAAAAATACACACACACAAAAACTACTAAAATAAATGTTTAGTAAGGTCACAGGATACATGGTCATACAAAAATTAATTGTATATATATTATCAATGAACAATTAGAAATTGAAATTTAAGAAATTTGTAGTAACATCAAAAACATGATATTCTTAGGTATAAATTTTATAAAATATCTGACTCAATATTGTTAAGGTGTCTACGTTTCTTAAATTTTTGTAGATTCAACAAAAACACAGTCAAACTCCCAGTAGGATTTTTTTTTTGTAGGAATTAACAGCTGATTCTAAAATTTACATGGCAAAACCAAAAAGGCAAAACAATTCTGGAATTAAAAAGTTGCAGGACATACACTGCCTGTCTGTAAGACTCAAAAGCACAGTAGTCAAGACAGTGTGGTAATAGCATAAAAGAGTCCACAAGTAGATTTTTGACAAATGTGTCAAGGTGGTGGAGGAAGGGCAGTCTTTCCAGAAAATGATGCTGAAACAATTGTACATCCATATGCAAAACATACATACAGCCCTAAATGAACCTCGACTCATAGCTTGTGCCATGTAAAGTGATTAATAAACTGAAAATGTATCATAGAACTATAATTATACAACTCTTGAAATTAAAAATCTTTTAGAGGAAAACAGGAGAAAATCTTTATATCCTTTGTTTAGGCAAAGACTTTCTAGATATACAAAATGTATGAGCTATAAAAGAAAAAATTAATTACACTGGACTTCATAAAAACAAAAACTTCTTTTTTTGAAAGGCACTGTTAAGAAAATGATCAGCCACAAAATGGGAGAAAATATTTATAAAATACATATTTTATATAAAGGACATATCTAGAATATGTGTAGAACTCTCACAACTCAATAGCAAGAAAACTCAATTGCAAAGTGGACAGAAGATGTGAACAAGCACTACTAAAGAAGAGATAAGATGGTAAATAAACATTGAAAAAAATTTTCACATCATTAGTTGGCAGGAGATTCGACTCAAAACTACAATGAGCTACCACTGAACACCAAGTAAAATGAATGAAATTTAACAAAAAGAAAGAAGGACCAAAGGCAGGTAAGAAGGAAGGAAAAAAAGAACATTCACAAGACTTTGGAAAGAATAGGTTGGTAGGAATGGTAAGAATGTGGAGAAACTGCTGGTGGGAATGCAAAATGGGATAGTCACTTTGGAAAAGTTTGGCAATTAAATATAAATGTTAAAGTACTCTAACCAATAATTTAGCAATCCCACTGTCAGGTACCTACTTAAGAAAAGCAAAAACATATATCCACACTACAGACCATATGTGAACATTATAGCAGCTTTATTCATGATCACCAAAAGTGGTAACACCCCTTAATGTCCATCAACAGTGAATCAATAAACATATTGTGATAAATCTATACAAAGGAATATTACTCAGCAATAAAAAGGATGAAGTTCTGATACACACAACAATATTGAGGAATTTCCAAAGCTATTATGTCAGGTGAAGAAAGTCAGACACAAAAGGCTGCATGCAGTATTATTCCATTTACAGGATGTCTGGGAGAAGCAAATTATAGAAATCACATCAGTGATTGTCACACACAGGAGAGGGCTAAGGGATTGATTATAAAGGAACACGGAAATATTTGGGGTGATGGAAATATTTTATATCTTGGTTATGGTGGTGGTTATATACTGTATATATTTGTCAAAAACCTATAGAACTGTAAACTTAAAAGCGTGAATTTTAATGTATGCAAATTGTACCTCAGTAAACTGGATCTTAAAAGATTTTCATAAATTAAAATTTACATACTGATGTATACATAAATGAATAATGTCTTTGTCAGGCCCATTTAGTAATAACAAGCTTCCACATTTGCATAGTATCTTTCAACTTTTAAACTGCTTTCATACCCATTTTCTCACGTAAGTCTCACAACGCTGTGAAAGAGGCATTGTTGCTTATATTTTAGAGATGAGCCTCTCTGAGGTTCAGAGAGGCTAAATGATGTGCTTAAGGTCACATAGTAAATCTTTCTCGAATCCAGGGATTTTCCACTATTTCTCAATGCCTCTTTAAAAAATAGATCATATTTGCCAATTTTGAAAAAAAAATTTTTATTTGTTTGTTATGGCTTACTTGGCTTCTCTTTCCTCCTCTTGATTGACGGGGAATTCCTGCTTTGGTGCCTTCCGTTTATCCAGACAAATTCCAGAGAGCTTCCGAGCACTTCACTAGTCCTCTGCCAGAGTTCCATTTTGTCCAAAGGACAGATCTCTTGGGAAAGCTCTCCTGATAAACTCAGAATCTCCTACCCTTCAAGAGCATTCTAGGTCAGGAACTGTGTCCCTTCCTCTTGGCAAATGAGACATATACTATGTTTGTATCTTATGTCACTAGTTTATCTCTGCGTTATTTCTTCATCTATCTCCGGGAGATTTGTGTAAGAAAGACTCATATTGACTCTGCGGTGAGGTGACAGATGGCAGTTTAGAGAGTTGGTGTAGGAATGAATATATGCACAGGATGATAGAAGAATGAGTAAATTTTAAGGTGTAGATGATTAATGAGGTGCAGAGGTAAAGGCTTAGTGATTCCCTCATTAAACTCTGCAGAGCTCAGACTGAATCAGGTATGTTCCTGTCAAGCCACATCACTATCTCTCTATGTAGATTCTTGAGGGAAGAGGAGAATAGGAGAGAAGATGTCAGGTTTTAGAGGAAGGAAAGTGTAGTATGGCAAGCAGGAGAAAATGATTCTAATGGAGATATTTTGATGTAGAATGAGAGGAGAAGCCAGAGAAAAGATGGTTGTTGGAAAATATTAGGATATTGCATCGGGTGATGAAGAAAGAATTCGGTGCTAAAGTAGAGAAAATAGCAGGGTTTGACTTAGGCCTGAATATATATTAGACAAACGAAAATGACAAGGGCATGCGAAGAGCTTGTGAAAATGTTTTAGATGGGTCAACCTTGCAGTGAGGCCAGGCAACTAGGCAGATGGATAAAAGTGTGAAACCAGGCCTTTCTTCTAGTTAAGGAAGAGTAACTTTTGAGTCACTGACTCAGTTGGGGGACAGGGGATTGGTGGGTCATGGTTATATCCTGGTCTAGAAATGAAACCCGCTGAAGAGACAGGATGAAGAACAAGAGAGAATGGCCCAGGCAAGGGAAGAGAGTAGAGGAAGAGGTGCCGAAGGAGACCGCCAGGTGCTAGTGGGCCACGGAAATGTGGAGAGATTAAGTGTTGAGGTGGATGGTGCAATGGGGGAAGAAACAGGTGACAAATCTTGTAAAGGACAACCAGGGAAAATTAGAACAGCAGAAAAAAAGCGGCAAGTGGAGTTGTTCATGAACATATTTTAAGAATAGAGAAGACAGATTTAAGACACAAGGTGAGGAATAGAACAAAGAGGATGGAGTAGGAGAGGCAAAATGAATAGAAATAAAGTTATCTTTTTTATACATACTCTCGTGTGCACATGTGCATGCACACCTGCGCACATGCGTGCGCGCACGCGCACACACACACACACACACAACCTTATACCCCTTTGTCAGCCAAAGCAAGGCAAGAGAATTTGAAAACTGAAACAAAGCTGCCTCCAGATGCGAGGTCTCAAATAGGCTGTGGAACAACCTTTGCACAGCATGAGAGTGAACACAGTAAACAGGAAGGCAAGAGCTGAAGGAAGACTTGGGCTAGAGATGAGTGAAGAGAGGCGTCTGTACACAGGGCAGTTGCAGGCAGTAGCCCAGGGTCATTGTACTTAGGTTCATGTGAGCAGAGGGAAGTTTTCGTGTAGAGAAGAAAACTGTTTCCATGAATATTATTTCAATTGAAAACGCTTCATTGAATGTTATTTTTAAGCACTTCAGTTTCTTAATCATTATAAACTGGGGTCTTCACTTCTCAACAGTGACAGCTTATTTGCTGTTTTTGGGAGGCAGGGAAGGAATTTCCATGCTGTAATAAGCCAGCCTAGCTGATTTCCTAAACAGCTCTCAGAGGCAGCTGCGGTTTCAGTCACCTAGGAAGCTGAGGATAAAATGGATTTAGCGATGGGAGATCTGTTCCTCTTCCTCCCGATCTTCCATTGTTTTTGGTTGCATCTCTAGCGTTAAGTCCGAGCGCCAGCTGAGCATCCCCAATTCCTTGGCTTGCCTTTTCAGCTTTTCTCCAAACATTCCTTCCGTGGGCTCTTGCTCCTGGCCAGGCCACGCTGTTCTCATTCCCCAATATGTTTTGTGCCTCACTTGTTTTCTGACTTAAGGCAGCCTCATTTTTGTATTTTGGCTCCTTTCCTCAGATACCCTCGGTGCTCTTTAGTCCAGCTCAAAAGCTGCTTCCTAATAAAGGCATCTCCAGGACCCAAGGCCAGGGCAGTCCCTGTGCCCTTGTCTTTATACTGCCTTAGCCCTCTCTGCGGCCCTGACAGTCCTGTGTTGGGGAGTGTGTGTGCTTTTCTGTGCAGGGGTGTCAGGTCCTTGTGGCTGAATTCTGACTCCTTATCACACTTTACAGTGACTCACAGATGGACACACAATAAGGACATGTTGGTTCATTGGACTTTTGAGGACAGAGGGATAGAAGCTGGTGTGTGAAGTCGTAAGTCAAGTTTTCAGCTTTCAACATTTAATTTAAGGTGGGAGAGTTGCAGACATCCTGATTGTACTCCCTTTATCTGATTTTGGAGAATTCTGCCCATGGATTCTGGCCTGGCCTGCAGCTGTGTCCGGCATGTCAGGGAGGAGCTCCATTTGGCCTCAGTGGGGCATGGACAAGGAGGCACTGACTGTACCGGCCTGTCCCCCTTGCCATTCCTATGGCGATGGTGGACATGGTCACTCAGGCCTGATATATGTGCTATTCTAGCAGGGTCAAGAGGCTGGATTCAGAGAGAGCAGCTACTTGCTTTCAAAAACACTATGAAATGTGAAGGGTGACCAAATTGCAACTATATTATTACTGTTACAGGAAAAGATTCACAAACAGTTCTCATTTTTTTTTTTTTTTACTAATTCTAATTTCTTTTCTGCATATTAAGAAAAACCACAAAGTTAACGTTATATATTTCTTTGCAATATCACCTTTTTATTTTCTTGTGTTGTTATACGGTCATGTGCCCTATAATGACAGTGGTTCTGTAAGATCATAATACTGTATCGTTACTGCACATCTTCTATGTTAGATGTATTTAGATGCAAAAATCCTTACCACTGTGTTACAACTGCCTACAGTATCCAGTACAGTAACATGCTGTACAGATTTGTAGCCTAGGAGTAATAGGCTATCCCATATGGCCTAGGTGTGCAATAGCTGTACCATCGAGCTTTGTGTAAATACACTCCATAGTGTTTGCACCATGATGAAGTCGCCTAATGATGCATTTCTTAGGACATAGCTCTGTCATTAAGCCACGCATGATTGTATTTCCTTATACTTTGGTTTCTAATTTGTATAGTCAGTAAAAATTGATTCTAAAACTCAATTTTTTCATGAATCAGATTCCGACCAAATCAAAGAGAAGAATAAAAAGTTAGGGCTTCATTAACCAATTTGTTTCTTCAGCAAAGTCCCATTTAATGACCACATTTTCCCTGAGTGAAAATGCACTGCCTTTCTCTGAATTTTATTTTGTAGTCATTCTAATAATTGCTTGCTATATTTTTCTGACTCCCAGTGCTTTTACATTTCTCATTCTCAAAATGCTGGCTCCCGACGGTTGTTCTCTTGAAATAGTCTTCAGCTGTTTATCTGTTCTTTGCTGAGGACCAGGCACCTGGAGACCATTGCTGCTTACGATGCTGCTCAGCAGGGCCTGAGGATAAGCAGGGAGTAGCATCAGGAGAGGCCATACTCGACTCAGTGGTGGAGTGGTGGTGGCAGAATTCAGGTCTTGCTTTCGCCACTTTGAATCAAAGAAAGCCTCATAGGTATTATTGTGGAACTCAGGAGGAATCTGTATCATTTATAGTCACAGCAGAACACAGAAGCCGCACTCAATTTGTTTAATTTGAAGATAGTTCAGTCAAAGGGCTATTTACCAAGGTGTGGACAGTGCACAGAAACCACAAGAAATGAACTGGCATCCTGGAGCTAGTAGCAGCTGGGTGTAGCTACCACCACCCGTGGCCCCGAAGGAGGAAGGTGGGAGCAATTTCTGAAGTCTGGAAGTAGGCTGTATGGAGCCAGTCATGAGGAGAGGATTGCTTAGCGGAAGCTGTGACCTTCAGTCAAGTGATACAACCAGCCCACAGTGAGTGGCAGAAAGGGAAGTGGGTCGGGGGAGTCGATAGCCCTGTCTTGGTCTTGTTCCTACTCATCTCCTGATTGTGTTGTCTATTGGCGAAACCCACCTGGAAACCGGACGACTGGGAAGTTTACCATATAGTCCAAACAGGTCTGCTTCCCAGGGCTTAGCGCAGAGCGGAGTAGACAGTAGATTTTTTTTTTTTTTTTTTTTTTTTTGAGACAGAGTCTTGCTCTGTCACCCAGGCTGGAGTGCAGTGGTGCGATCTCGGCTCATTGGAACCTCCGCCTCCCAGGTTCAAGCAATTCTCCTGCCTCAGCCTCCTGAGTAGCTGGGACTACAGGTGTGTGCCACTACCCCCAGCTAATTTTTTGTATTTTTAGTAGAGACGCAGTTTCACCATGTTAGCCTGGATGGTCTCAATCTCCTGACCTCAAGTGATCCGCCTGCTTCCGCCTCCCAAAATGCTGGGATTATGGGTGTGAGCCACTGCGCCTGGCCTGAGAGTAGATCTTAAGTGGTGAGTGGAAGACCAGAATTCACAGAATTTTAAAGCTGGAAGAGACTTCAAGAACCAGTTCATTTCTCTTATTTCAGAGATCAGGAAATAGAGCCACAGGCTTGTCAGTGGTAGAACTGTAACAAGGCCTAACAATTTCCTCAGTCTGTGTGCCTCCTACCCCATTATTCTACCCATCCTATAATTTGGGAGAAAGGAGAGAGAGGAGGAAGGCAAGAACAACTAAAGAGTAAAGCTTCAACTTATAATAAATGCTTCGAATAGGTGCTCAGTTACACAGGTAATGTTAGAGGGATTTTAACAAGTTCACAATTCGGTTATGCTTAGTTGTGTGGCTAACTATGTACACTGGTAGGAATAATGATGGAAATTTATATTAGGAAATGTGTGATTGCACCTATAGTTGGCCTGATAACCAGGAAGCTGAAATAATGCAGCTTTTGTTCCCTATTGACACTGGCCTAGCTACAGGGCTCTCTTTGAGGTATAGTCTCAAAAGCTTGTTTTAAACCTTGGCTCTGAGGTGAAGTCTGAGTCATACTTGGGTGCCATGTTCCATCAGCAGAACCATCCTATAGCTCAGAGACCAAGGGAAAGAGGGCTAATTTGAGCTCACACACATGCAACTCTCATATAAACATTGATTTACACATACAAATATACATCCAGATACATAGGCAATTACCAACTAACAACATTGACCTAGAAATGATCCCTATATATCAAGAAGTTGGAAATGATATTGGCGTTTATTGTATTGCCCTTCTGTTATAATAACCCTTGAGAAATGAAAGACCTAGAACAGTGCCTTTGTTTCTGATCAGTGGAGTTAGAGAGTTGCAACTCATTATTGGTCTGGTTCATTCATTAATGTCATTAACAAATGTTCATTGTGCACCTACCATTATGCCACATGCTTTGCCAAGTACTGGAGATAGATAAATAAGACATAGTCCCTGCCTCATTTCATTAGGGTTTGCAAGAAAAGCCTTGTTACTAGCAAAAGCAGTGAGTGTGACTTCTGCCTTTCCTGTACTTCTATACTCCTTTCCAGTACTCTTTGTGATTGAAGATATTGATTCCAAATCTGACG
Source organism: Homo sapiens (assembly GCF_000001405.40). Taxonomy (NCBI): domain Eukaryota; kingdom Metazoa; phylum Chordata; class Mammalia; order Primates; family Hominidae; genus Homo; species Homo sapiens. The sequence goes on along the minus strand of NC_000012.12, from coordinate 13,876,668 downwards.
TGTGACTATTCTGATGTCAGTAATATGATAGTTGTATAAAATTTGGTGGCTATTTGGTGGCTGGTAGGAGGGAGGGAGTGAGGAAGTAGGTGCTGGCTCTCCCTGGGATTAGAATTTAAGTATTGTTTACATTACCCATGAGATTGTCACTTACAGACTTTTTAAAACAACCTATTTCTAAGGTCAGTAGAAATTGTGCTAAAGCCAGGGAAGGAGGTGGGAGGGCAGAAGTTCTTTGACTCCTTTCTAAGTAATTGGAGTCAACAGAAGCTCCTTGTCTGCCTCTGAACAGAATATATTCACATTCAATGAATAAATATCAGGTAACTGCATTGTGCTAGATGCTTTCAAGTAAATTGTTTAATATTCACAACAACTCTGTAAGGTGAGGATAATAATTCCCATTTTATAAAGAAGAAAATGAGGTCTAGGTAATTTAAGTTACTCTCTTCCTTCCCCCGCCCAAGATAAGTGTCAAAGCCAGGTTTCAATTCTAGCTCTTTTTGACTTTAGGGCCTTGCTTTCTTCAAAAGATTATAAGGATCTTCTAAATGATATTTTATTACTTTTGTAATTTCAATCTGCCGTTTTCACTACTATTTCCTACTTATCTGTTCGTCCTTAGCTCATTACTCTCCTGATCTCTTAGGTAGCACTGGGCATGCTCTGTCACAGCCCTCTCACATGATACTGTAATTTCCTGTTTATTTGTCTTGGCCACTAGTCTAATGGCTGCTTGGAGATAGGATCCCATTCCCATTCTGTGTTGGATCCTGTCTCCTAGCAGGTTCCCTGGCCCATGGAAAATGTTCAACAAACATTTATCAAATGAATCGATCTTCACAGTGATTCTGTGAAGGCAGTAGTTATCTCACATTTTGCAGATAAAGGACTTGCAGTTAGAGAGGTAAAGATCGCACAGCAAATTAAGACTAAATGTTAAAAGTGAGTCCATTAACTCTAAAGCTTTGCTCTCTCCATTACAAAACAACATGATTATTATTGCAAAAGAGGCTTTGTGGAGGGATGCGGTGGCTTGGAATATGTCTGGGCTACAGAGCAGATTGTTTTGGGGGTTGGGGCTTGGAAATAGCCTTCTTCGACACCTACATTTCATTTTATTTTTTACTTTTTATTTCTTTTGAGACAGAGTCTTGCTCTGTCACCAGGCTGGAGTGCAGTGGCGACATCTCAGCTCACTGCAACCTCCACCTCCTGGGTTCAAGCGATTCTCCTGCCTCAGCCTCCCAAGTAGCTGGGACTACAGGCGCTCGCCACCATGCCCGGCTAATTTTTGTATTTTTATTAGAGACAGGGTTTCACCATGTTAGCCAGGATGGTCTCGATCTCTTGACCTCGTGATCCACCCACCTTGGCCTCTCACAGTGCTGGGATTACTAAAGGCGTGAGCCACAGGGCCCGCCCATTTTATTTTATTTTTTTTCTTCAACTTTTATTTTAAGTTCTGGGGTACATATGCAGGATGTGCAGGTTTGTTACATAGGTAAACTTATAAATGGGAGCTGAACGATGAGAACACGTGGATACATGAATGGGGGAAAAATACACACTGGGGCCTGTGGGGTGGGGAGGGAGTGGGGGAGAGAGAGCATCAGGAAGAATAGCTAATGGATGCTGGGCTTAATACCAAGGTGATGGGTTGATCTCTGCAGGAAACTACTATGGCAGACGTTTACCTATATAACTCCTACTTTTAAATCTCCTCTAGTGCAGGCTGTTCATCTGTAGCTCAGAACACCACTGTTTTCTGGGTAGATGCCTATAGGTTTGGTGGTCTGTCCCCTATTCCCTGCTCTCTGTAGTCCTTCCAGTATCTTCCTTTGACTCCTTCCCAGTTGAGATTTTCCTGCTGCCCTGCTCCTGTGCTTCTCCTTTTATCATCTGCTCATTTTCACTGCCCGTCCCCCTCTTAATAGATAGTGACAAGCCAATAATTTTTATTAACACTTGAAAATGCTATTTTGCTGTTAAACCAATACACACAATTGCCCTAATCTGCTGCCAAATGGTAATAATCAGAATCAGGTTTCAAAAGGTTTGGATTTCAGCAGTGCCCACACTGTCCTTGGAGGCCTATAAATTAATTATAATTAAGAACTGCGTGCAGATATTAGGAGAGGAACTTTGAGCAATTTTGATGTCTGCTCTTGCAACATATTAAGGAAAAAAGAAAAACCCGTGAGTGTTTGCTGCTGGTGAGAGTACTGATAATCATCTACGTTTGTATTACAAATTTCTATTAAAATGCACACATGTAAAGTGATTTATAATCCTTTATTAGTTATCTGTACAAACCTTGTATCAAGAATATGGGTGACAGTAGAAGTGATACTTCTGCTTTGTGCATACAGCAGGAAAGAACAGCTCAGATAGAAAAACCTGGCTTGAGCCACTGGAAGTGCTGTAAGGACAAGAAGGAGCCCAGGTGACAGGTCTGGTTGAACGAAGAATGAGAAGGCTCTTACTCGGGAGAGGTTCCAGGAAAGATGTAGCAGAAATATTGCTGCCAAGAGATCCAGTATCACCTTTGCTTTTGGCAGTGATGGGGCCATCTTCTTCTAAGGGTCTACAGGAGCTGGGGGGCTTAGGATGGGCGTCCTTACCTGCATTATGTAAGAGGACTTGTTGGTTCATCTGCTGGCTCAGAGATTTGGATAATCAAAGCCTATGTCTTTTCCCTCTCTCCCATCTATCCTGCTCTTCTCTGATCAAATATTTTCCAAGAAACAGCTTTAATGAAGGTTTTGATTTTCTGTTTCCATTATTTATGTGGCTGTAATATGTTGAAATCCATTTGGGGTTAATTCTCTGCAGGACTATATTTAGGTGAGTAAATTCCCCAACTCCAGGACCAAGGATCCCTGTTTATTGTCATGTGGGTCACTCAATGACAAATGAATTGGGCATGTATCTAGCATGTCCAGGGAGATATTTCTTTCTCCACTGGTTTCACAGGGGCACAGTCTCAGCCCCTGCCTCCATGCCCCAGACTCTCAGGATTTCTTACCTTGCTCCTTTCTGAAGAAAGAGCAGGGCAAGGGAGCTCAAAAGCTTGAAAAGAGTAACGGATGATGGTAATAGTGTGAGAGGGAGGAAAATAACAGAACACAGAAGTGTAGGTTCCAAGTCAATTCAAATCAAAGATTGGTGCCTTTTATGTGTTATTTCTACAGACTTGGATGATATTTAGTAGTTTAGCAGACACTAAGTGCATTTAGAGGATTGAAATTGGATTTTTAAATGCCCTGAATATATAGATGCCATTTGACAAAAATAGATATTGGTCTTCTACTTAATAGTGATATTGAAAAGTAGATGTTTGTCATCTGTGATACTCACATTTCCTACCTCAGATGGTTGATGAATGCATGTATTGCCTAAGCTAAGCATTCTGAGTCAAGATCACTTCTTTGGTTCAACATTTGCCCTGCTTCTCTAGATTTAAATTTAGAAGGTATAACTTAAAACTTTAATTGACTTGGAACTTACAATTCTTAAAAATGTATTAATTAAAAATTATTTTGGATCTGTTCTGCAGAATTGAGTCAACCATACTTCTTAGTTCATAGCACAGTTTCATTATAGGTTCAGATAAGGACATTGTGTTTAATAGTTCTTTGGGTACTTTTATCCTTTCTTATACATTTTAGAATAAATTTATAGCATTTCTTTTAAAATCTTACTATTATTTTGATAAGAATTGGCTTGAAATGATAGAAAATAGAACTTAAAATACTATGATATCACATTCATGAATGTGGTATATGGTTACATTGTTTGGGTCTTCTTTCAAATCTTTTAATAAAGTTTTCAAATTTTTGCTGTAGAGGTCTTGTTAAGACTTTTGTTAATTCCTACATAGATTACAGTTATTGGATGTACCCACCAGGTAAAGGCTGACGATCTCTTGATTTCCTATTATCAAAGAGTGATGTTTTATTTGTTTGTTTTAAACACAATTTAACATTTCTATCATATATATTTCCCTTAGTCAAGTATGTTATCTGCATTTTTCTGAGATATTCATGTAAATATCTCATTTAGTTCTTTAATGTGGTGAATTATTTTGATACATATTCTGAAGTTAAGCCATTCTTGCATTTCAGATATAAACCGCAATTGATCATGGTGATGATGATTACTATTTAAAAAATATACTGTGTTTTAGTTAGCACTATTTTTTTTTTTTTTTTGAGTCGGAGCCTTGCTCTGTTGCCAGGCTGGAGTACAGTGGCATGATCTCAGCTCACTGCAAGCTCTGACTCCGTTGTTCAAGGGATTCTCCTGCCTCAGCCTCCAGAGTAGCTGGGATTACAGGCACGTGCCACCACACCCAGTTAATTTTTTGTATTTTTAGTATTTTTAGTGATCTGCTCACTTTGGCCTCCCAAAGTGCTGGGATTACAGGTGTGAGCCACCGTGCCTGGCCACTAATTTTTAAGGTTTTTTTTTTCCTTTATGTCCATAAGTGGAAGGGGTTTATAATAATCTTTTCTTATAATTATCTGAATCTAGAATCAAGCTTTCCGTCTTTTTCTTTTTGTTCCACTTATATGAGCAAGGCTCGTTTCCTTCTTAAAAGTTTGATATACTTAATCTATAAAACCATCTGTACCACTTTTGCTTCTTTTTATTTTGGCAGAGGTGGGGTGGGCTGGTGGGATGATTGGGTGGGAAGTGGAGGACTAGGGTAGGGAGTAGTTTTGTCACATTAGGGGTGTGGGCTTTAATAACAATTTCTAAAATTTCTAAAACTTAATTCAAATGTTCTACATTCTTTTCAGCCCCTTTCCCTATTTGCCATTTTTATTATATATTACACATTAAATGGAAAAGTAACTAGTTTTCATAATATTCATTATTTCAAAATTTCTATTATATATGTTATTTTCTCTTTCATTCGCATTTTCTCTCCTTTTTTTTTTTGATTCATCTTGTCAGGACTTTACGTCTTTTAAAAGATCAGTTTTGTTTTTTGCTTTTCTTTGTCTTGTGTTTCATTCATTTGTTATTTTCTTGTTTATTAGGGTTGACTGTTAAGTTTTTAATGCAGTAAGTGAAAACTTAATTATAATTAATCATATTTTATTTTCTTGGTTTCTTATAAATGTATTTAAAAGTGTATTTTTCTCTGTAAATGCTTTAATTGTGCTCTAGAAATTCTGACATTTAGTATTTTTATTGTTATTCTGTTCAAAGGAATTTTAGTTTCCCTTATGATTTCCTTTTTAACCTTATAGTTATTTAATCACAAGTTTTTTTTTTTTAAGATTTTGGATATGTAGTATTTTTAGTACCTTTAAAAAGTACTTTTAATTTAATCACATTATAGAAAAATGACAATTGATTTCATATTGATTTTTTTAATCTATTGATGTATTTTTGTAGATTTAATATTTTTCATGTATGTACTTAAAAAGAACATCTATTCTCTGTTCTATATACATTTCTAGGTATCTGAACTAGTTCGAACTTATAACTCATGCTTTAAAAAAATCTTTTATGTCTTAGTTAATAAGATCTTTTGTCAGTTGGATTTGTCTGTTTCTCCCCATGTAAATTTTAGTTGTTGCCTTATACATGAAAAGTCTATATTTTAGCCTCATATGTGTTCATAATGATTGCTTCTTCCTGGTACCTATATGTTATACCACTTAATGTCCCTTTTGATATTTTTTGCCTTTGAATTTTATTTTGTCTTGATATTAAAATTTCGATAGATACTACCACTTTGACCTCCAAAAAGGTTATACTCGTTTATACTCTTCTTGACTTCCATTGTATGAGAATTATTGTTTCCCCACTCTCTAATGTGACATATTTTAAGCCTATGTCTCTTAACTTTCTGTCTTTATTGGTAGCTTGGAAAACTGGACCTGATACATAGTTCTGGCATCTTAATCTTAACTTCACTCACTGCCTGTCATATTCCAGTCATAGTCTCCTTAATTGAATCACTCCAAATAATGTCCTGACTGCATTAAGGGATGGTGCTTGGAATATTTTTGACTTAATTATTGATTAAGTCACATTTTATTCTTCCAGTTGTGGTTGCCCCAGGACTCAGTTTTCTAAGGACAGGGTTGGCCTGGCTTCTCACCCAGATGTATCTTCCCTTTGAGCCTGCTCTGAGCCTGCTCTGAGCAAAGTGTAGACTGTTTCCTGCTATAGTTACCCTGTACCAGTTACCAGCATGAAGATAAGCTCCTGTGGCCTTCTGTTTGCTATGGATCTCGGGATCACTTAGCCCAAGCTTCAAGGAGGCAAAGAGCCAAATGAGTGAACAGTCAACTCTCTAATCCTGCTGCTTTGTTGCTGGTCCTTCTGGTGCACCCTGGTTTCTGAATTCATGGCATGATTTCGATATGCTGAGCTCCACTGATTCCCAATACTGGCCCTGGCCTGAGTGATTATTGAATTCATCTACATGACTAGTAAGCTGTCAGTGGAGGTCGCTGCTACCCCGAGGCCATTATGGGACATCTTCAGGGAGTTATATCGCTCAGGGAACTAACATCTTTTGCCCCATGCGCGGTTCCTCTTAACATTCCTTTCAGCCTCTGTCTGCCATTCTTTCACCCTCACCTCCCACACACTCACTTTGTGCTATCATAAATAGCTAGGCTCCTTGAACAGCTTCTATAGAAGCTTAAACGTAATATCCTTTGGATCTGTGGAGTATTTTAGATTATTCAAAGCACTTCCATATACATATTTTCATTTGATCTTCACAAAAATCTTTCAGGTATGTAGGTTAGGTATATTATCCTGGTTTCACCGATGATAGCATAGAGATGGTAATTAGGTGACTCGCCCATCCTCAGGCACTGTGTTAACACAGAACTGGTATTAAAACGTCAGTTGGTTTTGGTTGGGGATTTCATTCATTCATTCATTCATTCACTCAACACTCATATTATACTGAGAGGCCCCAGAAGGGAAAGAGCAAGGGCTTTGGAGCCAGACAAACTTGGGTTTGAAAATTGATGTCATCCCTTATTAGCTGTGTAATCTTGGTCATGTACTTAACCCTCAGTTTTCTCATTTGTAATAAAAGGAAAGTATGACTTACAATGTTTTTGTGAGTATCTAATAATGCATGAAATTTACCTGGCAATAATAATATCTGGTACCCAGCAGGTTGAACTATTTGACTAGCAGGTCAAAAATGGTCAAATATTAACAATTTTATATGGTTCAACCTAATGGTAGAAACTCAGTATTGGCCACCATTTATTGAGTCCTTCCTTATTGCATATGAGGCACTGTTAGAGCTCAAGAATATGAATAAAAGTGAGGAAAACATTTTCCTTATGGGTCTATGTCTGTATCTTCTGCTAGACCATGGTCCTGAAGGATAGAATCTGTATCTGTTGCATCCTCCCCACCAAAAAAAAAAAAAAAAAGAAAAAAAAAGAAAAAGAAAAAAGTTCTCTAGGTTATAAGTGCTCAATAATTACTGAATTGAAAAAGTCCCTGCTCACAAGGAGGTTATCAACTAGTTAAAGTAGGTGGACACATCATCATATATTGGTAATAAAAGTTTATGTGTATTTAGATAGATACATGCAGGCTATGGTGAGAGCCCAAAGGAAGCAATGCTCAATTCTACAGGGAGAGCAAGACTTCCTAGAGCAGGTGCATCAAGACTTATGGTCTCTGTGAGGAAGGGAGCAAAGCCACTCTGCTTATCTTGGACTACATGCTTTCCCTCAATGAATCCCCTTTTAATGTTGGAAATTGAGTTTGTATTCAAAGTAGCCTCTTTGTCTCACAGCCCCTCTGCTACTGTTATCTCCCATAATGTATTGCTTTGTAAAGTGCTTTGCTGTATCCTGAGTATAAATGAGATGCTCTGTAAAACCAGATGCTATTCTTTGGGTGTCACAACTAGCCACTGCATAGCCAAATATAATATATTGTGTGAGACAAGATAAAGGAACACAAGAGATACTTTAGAGAGAGCAAATAAAACATCAAAGTGGGAGAGTGGAGTGCATTAAAGTTAAACTGTCACGGCAGAGTGGGCCACTTTTAAACGTGAAGGAAACTAATTTAGTGACTTGTAACTGTAGGATTAGAATACCATTGGAATGAAGTTAGCTTATAGTTTTGCCAAATGGTAAATCTTTTGGCTTTCCTTGAGAACCAGTCATTGGAATTGAACTGTGTGTGTGTGTGTGTGTGTGTGTACTTTGTCCACAGCTCTTTGTGGTGTCAAACTCCTTCTGTCTTCCTCTGAATATCAGTACTACTCAATTGCCTATCTAGTGTTTCTTTCCTTTAAGTTCTGGGAGGAGGAATTCAGGCCCTGTTTCTCCTGCTAAATTGTGTACAGCCCATCAGCAAAGGTTTCCAGGGCTCATGGAGTCATTCTCTGTTTTCACAGAGACACTGAGATCAGAAAACTGTCAGGAGTAAACTTTGCTCAGGCATGAACCACTGAGCTACTCATCTTATTTGTGAGAGAGAGACAAGGCAATCAATACAGGTCTCCTTCTTGGCAGTGTTGAAGGATGACTATACCAGTAAAAGTTCCAAAATGTTTTCTGCCAAGAACTGGATTGGATTTTGTGCTTCTTCAGCCACAAAATGTCCCCAGCATCTTGCTCCCAAATCATTAATGCCCTTTGCAGTCAAGACTGACTGCTCAACTCGAACACTTCCTTATCTTTCTTTATTCAATACTGTCATGATTAGCTAATCTCTCAACACTTTTAGATTTTTAATCTCTCACCATTTTTTTTTTTTTTGAAACAAGCAGGAGATCTGAAGCAGCATTTTCAACCTTGATTGTATGCTCTCTCTCTTTGTAGAAGAATGAGAATCTGGTTTTGGTTCTGGTTGCAGTTTGTAGAGTATTGCCTTGGAGTATTAAAATGCTGTGTTTATGTATTGGCATGCTGGTGTTATAATGCCATTGACCTTGGATAATTACATAACTGTGTTGAGCTTCTGTTTTTCTATTTGAGAAATGGGAATAAAATGTCTAATTTATAGAGTGTCCATGAAGATCAGAGAGATTATATATGAGGAAATGTCTAACACAGTGTGCAGCATATAAAAGATGTACAATAAATGATTCTTTTTAATTTTTTATGGATTCGGGCAGTAAATATGTGCTTTTGTTACATGGATATATTGTATAGTGGTGAAATCTGGGCTTTTTAGTGTAGCCATCACCTGAATAGTGAACACTGATTATTTAAAATAAAGCGACATAAGCAGAACTAGTTATATTAAAATAAGAGGAGCTCTTGGAGAATAATGAGAAGCATAGAGAGAGATGGCCAAGGCTTATATTCTATAGAGCATTATGTCCTTAGTTTGATGCATAGAATAAGATTTAGGGTCATATGTGGAAGTAAAAAGGAAGGAGTTCTTTGTAGGTAAAAGGTGGCAAATTATATGAAAATACGGTATCAGTCATTTTAGGGAAGTCACGACTATAGGATGGCATCAGGAAAAAAAAAGGAACATTTTTCAAATGTGGCTCTAACATTACTTCAGCTGCTAATGGTATTTGTTTAAGTTTCTGTATTTTGGTGTATAAATAGATTGGAGTAATATGTGTTCCTTATAATAATTGGTTATATGAGAGGCAGTTCCACGTAGTGTAATAGAACACATATTGGAATACAAAAGTCAGAAGATCTGGGTTCAGGTTTGTTTCACTTAATTGATTGGTTCATGGTCTTAGAACACTTAGCTTCTCTGAGCCTTGGCGTCAACATTTATAAAAATGGTGATAATAATGTTTTTCTTATTTTATTCCCTACTGGGTCATTGTAAGGATCAATTGAGGCAATGTTTTAAAACTACTAGTCATGTATCAGTTGTTCTTGTAGTTTAATATTAAGAGCCAGATACTAACAAGGTTACTAAAGAATTTTCTGGCTGTTGTCCTCATTGAGGCAAACATAAGGTGAAGGCAGCAAGAATGCAGGGCTTGTGTACTTATAGCCCCCCACATCCAGTTTATCCAGCCCATGTTCTGTTGCTCACCTCTGCTGAGCACGTTTTTCTGCTCACTTTGTCTGGCCTTGCTTTCCTTCAGCCCAAGAACAGTACAAGGGTGGGCTGTAACAGGAGGGCCAGGAGATTTGTGTATGCATACTCGCATGGCTACCTGGACCACTCACAACCTCTTTTCCTCCTTTGTCTCTGCCTGTAGCTGCCAATGACTATAGCAATAGCACCTTTTATTGCCTTGTTCAAGGATTTCTGAGGCTTTTGAAAGTTTCATTTTCTCTCATTCTGCAGAGCAAATACCAGAGATAAGAGAGTAGGCTGGTAGATGGAGTTGGGTTTGGTGCTCAATGAAAGGAGATAAGGTCCTTGAATTGCAGTATCTAGCCTCTTCTAAGACAGGTTACGTGATGTAGATCCTATTTTAACATGCTCTTTCTTTGTGTTTGCAGGGAGTCGACGAGTTGAAGATGAAGCCCAGAGCGGAGTGCTGTTCTCCCAAGTTCTGGTTGGTGTTGGCCGTCCTGGCCGTGTCAGGCAGCAGAGCTCGTTCTCAGAAGAGCCCCCCCAGCATTGGCATTGCTGTCATCCTCGTGGGCACTTCCGACGAGGTGGCCATCAAGGATGCCCACGAGAAAGATGATTTCCACCATCTCTCCGTGGTACCCCGGGTGGAACTGGTAGCCATGAATGAGACCGACCCAAAGAGCATCATCACCCGCATCTGTGATCTCATGTCTGACCGGAAGATCCAGGGGGTGGTGTTTGCTGATGACACAGACCAGGAAGCCATCGCCCAGATCCTCGATTTCATTTCAGCACAGACTCTCACCCCCATCCTGGGCATCCACGGGGGCTCCTCTATGATAATGGCAGATAAGGTAAAAAGGGGCTGCAGGGAGAAGGGCCTGAGGGTTTGTGCTGAGGACTAAACCATGCATTTGTTTTCCTGTAAAACTTGATTGTTAATGATGGAAGGTAACCAGATTGCATTGACAGCGTGGATAGGCCAGCAATTAATCCTTTTTTTTTCTCTCTCTCTCTTTGAGACAGAGTTTTGCTCTTGTCAGCCAGGCTGGAGTGCAATGATGCCATCTCGGCTCACTGCAACCTCCACTTCCCAGGTTCAAGTGATTCTCCTGCCTCAGCCTCCCGAGTAGCTGGGATTACAGGCGCCTGCCACCACACCCAGCTAATTTTTGTATTTTTAGTAGAGACAGGGCTTCAGCATGTTGACCAGGTTGGTCTCAAACTCCTTACCTCAGGTGATCCACCTGCCTCAGCCTCCCACAGCGCTGGGATTACAGGCGTGAGCCACCGTGCATGCTTAGCAATCTGTTAAAGATGAAAGTGAGGGAAAGGTGCTGGTATCTAGAAACTCCTATAGTTTTGAAAAGGTTTTTGTGTCCACTTGTTTGTAAATGGACTCACTGAAATGACTAAGGGATGTTGACGCTTGTAGCTCTGGGATACCTTTTCTTCAAATAGGTATATGAAAGGCATACTCTGTTATTCTTTGGCAATACGTGTTCTCCCCCATACTGTTTTCAAGACTATAAAAAGAAAAATCCCTCAAGGCAGGTGATTTCTCTACTTGAAGATACAAATGTCATAGGGAAATAATTCTTGCCAAGGTATTAACGCTCATCACACATATTGATCTGCACATCCAGATGGATTTTAATCCGTGGAACCTGTAGCAACACATTTTTCCCCATGCTTAGATTTGAAGGCAATTGGGTGCACATTAAAATCACCTGAAGAGCTTTCAACACTGCTGATGCCTGAGTCCCACCCCTCGGGATTCTGATTATTGGCCTGGGCTTCGGGAGTCTTAAAAGCTCCCCAGGTGATTCTAGAGTGCAGTTAAGATTGACAACCACTGCTTTAAATCTCCAACAAATCCTAGCCTCTCCTGCGTTAATGTTAGGCTAATTGTCATATGACTAATTGCCACTTGACACTGGGGCTTATTCCCTAACTGCAGAAAAAAGCGTTTTATTCTGCTTTGGGTTGTTTTGTTTTTACATACTATCAGTTATTCAGTTATTTTCCTTGCTTTACTGATTATTGTTCATTACTTAGATACAGCACTTAGTACATATGCACTGTCCTTTGCAGCCAGCCATTCACGTCTTAGAATAGTTAGTTTCACCACAAGTGCTACGTTTATCATTTTTCATCATTTTGGGTTTCTACTATTGTCATTGTCATACTTTTTATCACCACATTCAAACCTGCCTTTAGTTTTGTACTTAAAAGACATGCTTTCGGGTTAATAATGTTTGTAAACACCTTAAAACCTAGCACAGACACCACAAGCATGCTGCCTGGCTAGTTGACAACCTCCGCAGTGGAGCAGCTGAGCCGAGACTAAAGGAACCTTGCATGACCGTTACCGCCACCTGTCGGCAGCAGGCAGAGATGACTAGCTTCTGCTTCAGAGCTTCCCTTCAGTCTAGGAAAGGTCAAGTTAAAAGTGTTAAGTGAAGACATTCCAGTATCATATGAGAAACATATTCTTCCATTTACGTGGGTGCAGGTACAGATGTTAGAAAATAGGCACTAGCACAAATAGCCCATGCTAAGGGAAGTGGGAAAAATAAGCAAAATGGAAAATGTAGACTGCTGTGGCAGAACCCGTTGAGTTGTGCTTCAGGTAGATTTTTCTTTTTTTCAAATATGATTGTCCTTAGCAAATTATATTTTATTTTAACAGTGGCAATTTGAGGGCACAATTTTGCTTTGAAAGAATTCTGATATGGTTAAGAGCGAATTTTAAAATTACCATGAATAAGTACATATCTACTTTGAGAGCACAACAGGTAAAAATGATTTTTTTCTCATGTGGGCTGTTGTGCAACCTATATTATTTCTCCCTGGTAGAAAAAGTTATGCCTAAACTAGCTGATTGCTTCTCTCTGGTACCTTTTACAAATCCACAACATCATTATACAAATATAAGGTAACTTGCAGAGCATGCAGAGAGACTGAACTCTTTTTTTCGCTGATGTATCTTAGGGGCTTTGAGAGTGTTCCCCATATGCTAGGCGCTTAGTGCTGTGTATGTACTATCTTATTTAATACTCTTAACCAGTTAGCGACCTAAGTGATATTATTTAATCTTTATCTTACAGATGGGGAAACTGAGGCTCAGAGAGGTTAAGTAACATATCCAAAATGCTACAGCTCTTAAGTGGAAGCCAGGATTTTAACATTGGTTGCTAGCTTCAAAGGCTGTGTACTCTCTTGTCTCTCAAGAAAATGACTGGTTAAGGTCTCATATATCTTACTACCCTTCACTTTCTCCCTTGTTAGATGGCATTGTGGGGGATGTCATCTGACTGAAAGTGATCTATTACATGATTTATAATCAGGCAATACTGGAGTCTAACTACAAGAGAACATAACAAGGGTATGAAATGGTGGAGCGCTTAAGTGTAGCACAGTTCCATAGAGGACCCACTGGCTACTGCCTTCCAGGAGTAAATAGGAGAACTGACACCAGTAAAGTGAATTCTTCTAGGTCACTGTAATGAGACCTCCTCTCATCACTTTCCCCTTGCTCCTTCCTTCATTGCTACCACACCCAAATATTCCATCATGTCTTTCTCTCCGCCAAATAAGGAGGTAGGTGGGCAGTGACTTTTAGATGCTTTTCTAAAATAGCGTAAATATCTGACTTTTGACCTGGAAAGAATAGTTTCTAAAAGGTAAGCAGCAAGAGGGAAAAGAAGAAAGAAAAAGATCCAGTAATGGAGATCCTGGAAAGTTGGAGGCTCAGCCCCAGGCGTTCGATGCTGAATGGGTGGTGGCAGGAGCTACCTGGAGAGAGAGTGCCAGCAGCAAACTTCCCAGCAGCCATGCAGAGGAATGTTTGGGGGCTTAACAGATTTGCATAAAGGCCAATAAAAAGAGTCCCCAAATCTCAGAGAAAAAAGCCTTTGGGACAAATTTCAAAGATAAAACACCTCAAAACTAAGGCCAGGTTTTTTTTTTGTTTTGTTTTGTTTTTTTAATAGAAGTTTATTTTTAAGTACCATGACCATATTTTACAAACATAGAATGGGGACACACAGTTGGACAACTATTAATCAACAACAGGGGAATAGGACAAAAAACATTTGAAAGTGGAACTGATGCAGTAAATCTAAGACATGTAGCTTGGCCACACTGAAGGCTCATAGTAATCGTCTGAAGGATGATCAATAAGCCTTCTATTTTGTTCTCCCCTTCTCGGAGACAGGTAATTGTCAGTCTGTTTTAACTTAAGTTTTTGTTGTTAGTTTATTTCCAATAAAACCCACTTATTAAGTGCTCTTGTGGATGATTGCATTACAGGGATAAAGTTTGTATTCAAGAAGTTTTTGATGCTGGAAGGACAGCATTCTTCTGAAGACTTTTGACAACAGCACAGACACAGTTCAGCAGTTCAGCACCTCGTCAAATAGCATGTGCTCACTTTTTTGCATATGCTAATTAATCAGTAAGAACATTAATTAGCACTCTGCTTTCCCAAAGAGGAAATGAGCTTTATATTATGGTGGAAAGAAGCACGGGGGCTAGCTGAGTAGGGCTATTAAAAAATCAGAATTTAGAGTCCAAGCTGGATTCGGGCATCACTTCCTAAATGTTAGAATCAGGACAAGTCACCAATCCCTGACTCTCAACGTTTGTTTCCTTGCCTGTATAATGGGGATACTAATATGTTGATTACAGGGTTGTCGAGGATTAAATGAGGTGATACATGGCAAGTGCTTCACTGAAGTGTCCAGCCTAACATTCAGCAGGTGAAGCTGAAGGCCATGTGGAGCAGTTTGAAGGGAGTGAGAGTGTATCATGATGCAGGAAAAGAATGAGAATCGAAAAGCAGCATGGACCATTGTAGAAAAAACTCTAAATTGGAGACCACCCAAGAAGGGCATATGGTTGAAAGGTGAAAATCTGGGGGAAGGCTCTGAAGTGTGAGGTGGGAGTCTTGGTCTCACCCCACCAGGGAAGCTGAGGCTCACAAGTAGTATGGAAGCCTGCTGCAGCCACACGGGGTCCCTTAAAGAAAATCTCTAACCTGGAAAGAACTGCTAGGTGCTTGTAACAGAGACTGTTTCGAATAGTAATGGAGAATGTTTAAAAATGTATGAGGTGCTTTTTGGCAGTTCCCCACCTGAGTATAAAGAGCCTATTTTATTTTGCCTTGTTATAATTGCTTTTATTCTCCCTGAGATCCTGGATTTAAGATGCCCATCTGAATCCAAATAATGAACTGAAGCTAGATGTATTTCCATTTATTTCTAGGAGGTTTTTCTACTGATTGTCTGAAATCTTCCCTGGGTTTTCAGATTTTAGCTTAGAAAGGTTAAGTAACTAATCCAGGATATCACAGCCCACTATTAGCAATGGGACTAGAATTCAAATCTCAGGAATACCTGTTTTGAAACCTATGCTTTCTATTATACAATTCTGCATCATAAGACACTGAACTAAGAATTATACATCCCTGAGTTTTAGTCTCCATTCTGATGAGCTTTGAAAATGTGGACAAACACATTAGTTATACTACATGATACTCAGTTTATAGTTTATGAGATATAAATTTTGTGTTCTGCCCTATACACCTTACATTTTGAAGATAAAATGAAATAAAATATATGGAAGATTTTAGGGCAGTACCGTGGCAAACAGACACTTTAGGTGAGGGAAATAAGGAGTAGTGATAGGGAATGACAGAGTCAATGACAACTGTTTTGTCCTTGGCATTAGGACTAATGAAAATGGCTTGAGCAGAAGGTAGGAAGGAAAATAGAAAGGTAGAAGTTACAGTAGGAGCAGGCAAAAGGATTCAAGATCCAACTTTAATGCTCCAAGAATGGGGAAGAAAAGGGTATGCTGAGTAAAGGGTCAGGATCTGGAAATAGACATGTTGATCAGGGTGTAGCATGGTAGCTAAAACGTGCATCACATTCTGGATCTTATTCTTCCTTAGATGACATGCAAAAATATTCTTACTGTGGAGTCTATTGCTATGATTCTTTCCTTTCTAAATTGCTTCTTTGGGGGCCAGGCACGGTGGCTCATGCCTGTAATCCCAGCACTTTGGAGGCGGAGGCAGGCAGATCACCCTAAGTAAGGAGTTCGAGACCATTCTGGCCAACATGGTGAAACCCCGTGTCTATTAAAAATACAAAAATTGGGCGTGGTGACGCACACCTGTAATCACAGCTACTTGGGAGGTTGATGTAGGAGAATTGCTTGAACCTGGGAGATGGAGGTTGCAGTGAGCCGAGATTGCACCACTGCACTCCAGCCTGAGTGACAGAGCGAGACTCTGTCTCAAAAATAAAATAAAATAAATAATAAATTGCTTCTTTGGGAATGGATGCTTTCAATAGCACTTTTCATTTTCTGTACTGAGAGCCACATTTTGGAATCTAATTGGGGATAGGAAGATGGCCCTACTCTTCTTTGGCTTCATCCTCTGGCCCTCTTCCCCTATCCTCTACCCCCACTTGCTTAATGACAGTGGGTTTGGAGAGAGTAGATGGGCTGGCAGTGGTGTGTGACACTGGGAGTAGACTATTGCCTTCCCTTGGCTCATATGGATTTGCATATCCAACATAATCTTGAAACCAAGATGGCTACATGTTACTCATGCCTTACCCTACGCTTCTTCACTAATTTCTGGTGTCTGTTAGATTGTTACCTTGCTTTTAGTTGTCTGTGATATAATATTCCTCGGGACAGAATACTTTGGGAGAAAACTGTAATGTTATGGCATTTCTTGGATGAAGGGTATTAAGACATAGAGGTAGGAAAAGTGAGAGGAAAAAAACTAACATAATATGTCAATTTTGAACCAGGCATGATGTTAATGAGCATTTTAATTCTTATGCAATCCCATGAGGGAAGTAGTAGTATTTCTTCTTTCTTGATGGGGAAACTAAATCAGAGAGCGTTTATGTATGTTGGCCAAAGTCACACATCTACAACAATAGTGGGACTGAAATCTGAATTCAGACATGCTTGACTTTAAGACTTTTTCCCAGTGCATACGATGAGGGAGTAAGAAAAAAAAGCCAGGACAAAATTACCTGGAGTTCAGTTTCTTCTCTCCAATTTTCCCTACTTGAACTATATTTTGGGGAAAGATGGGTAGGCAGTGCTCTCTAAGGCACTGGAAACTTTGTAGTGATGTAGCTCTGTCTGGCTGGCTCTTTCCACCTGCTTCTGTGAAATGTGTTTCTTGTTGGCCAGCACATCCTGTCTTTAAAAATTGGAGCTAGGATTTTCTTTAGGAGCAGTGTTAATGCTTGTAACAATTGAAGCCCAGAAATTGCTTCGACATTCATAGAAATACAGGCACTTGGTGCTGGAAAGTAACACACCAGCCATCACTTGTCATACATTTTCCAGGGACGTGATGGTGTCTAAAAGAAGGTACCAGCACAAGGAGAGAATGCAGACTTTGGAGTCAATGGGCTTGAGCTCTATTCATTCTCAGCCATGTGACCTTAGTTGGACTCTTCAGACTCTCTGAGCCTCAAAATCTCCTTCTGTAAAGTGAAAACAAAAATAACACCCAGCTTATAAAGGGTAGCAAGCCTTATGACGCAATGTACCCAGTGCATGGTAGACAGTTGGTGCTTAGTATATGCCATCTTGCATTCTCAAAAACCAGACTTGTCCTAAATCACTTGAGGAAAATGGATTCTAATTTTTCCTATTAACAGAAATAGAAGATTTGGGGATGTTAACCTGCTTCCATTTAGACATGGTGGATAAACAACAGCTCAGTAGGTTCCACCTCTTTGGTGATGCAATTACTGATATTGACTTGATCAGAACTTATCAGGATTTTCAAAGCAGAGACATAAAGTGATTTCAACAAACTGATACACATAGGATATAAGCATTAAAGACAAGTCAAGATCATTTTCTAAAAACATAACGGAATAAAATAGTGTTTGAATCAGAGTCACTCATAGATTTGGAAGTGTTAATATGTTAAAAAAAAGTGAATTATTACATGAAGAAAATATTCGTGGTACTAGGTGGGAAGTAGTAAAATGTTACAGATACAAGAAAACATAAATTTACTAAATATTGCCAGCCAATTTTTACATCACATTGATATTGCTGAAAAAAACTCCCTGAATTATGAGTTCTATACAAAGAGTATATTTTTAGTCCCCTTTCTGAGACTTCTGTGATTCTTTTTGTCTTACTGTTAGATCTACATTTTATTCAAAATTGTATTTTGATTCTGTAGTTTAAAGGTCTAGCATGCAGGAGAGTAACATTAAAGGTGGTTATTTTTATTCTACCTTTCTGAGTACAATAAAGGTTTATTGCTATAATTCTATTTTACACGGACAAAGAAGATCTAATTATTGTAAGTTATTTTGAGGTTATGATGAGAAAGACTGACACTGATCATTTATTTTTTGTCAAACTCTGAGTTAGTCACTTTATATGAGCTAGTCATCTTATATATTTTATCTCATTTAATGTTTTCATTGAATTTAGAAGGCACATATTTTATCTTTATTTTAGAGACAAGGAAACTATAGATCAGAGAGGTTAACTATGTTGTCCAATACCTTTAGGTAGTGATTTGCTCACCGTAGCTTAAACAAATGAGTCTGTGGGTGTCTCAGAACAAAGAGTCTAGAGACAGAGGCTGCTGGGGGTGGTTCACTGGCTCAGTGATGTCAGTACTGACATCTGGGGTTCGCCTGGCATTTTGTCATGGTTGGAAGGTGGCTGCTCCAGCGTTAGTCATCCATCATGCTCATACTTAACGAAGGAAGAAGAAGTGGGTTGGTATTGGATTAGAAGAAGTCTTCCCCACATCCTTGATTTCATGAGCCCAAACAATGTCACATGGGCAACTCTGTGGACGTTGCAAGTCTCTCTGGTGGAGGTGACAAGGGGGGAAAGGAGTGGGAATGGCTTTGGGGCTAGTCAACAGACAGTGTAGTCAACAGACAGTGTAGTACACTGTGTCTCAAAGGAAGTGACATCCTGGGAATTCAACCAATGCCTGTAGGAATCAAAGCCCAAACATGGTGCATTTCCCTTGTCTCACGCCAAACCCTCTTTTGTGTCTTTAGTCTAGTCTTCTCCAGAATTAGGATCTTGGTTCATCAGTTATTTTCTTTTTTTCTTAACTTTCAACTTATTCCTCTCTACTGGTATCTTCCCTTTTAGGGATTCTTAGAAGATGTTTGGGAATGTATGAGGGTGATTTTTGGATGCCATAATAACTGGTGTGTGTGAGAGTGTGTGTGTGTGTGTGTGTGTGTGTGTATGCACGCGTGCGCCACAGGCACTGAGAACTTAGAGAACCGGCATGTTAAGTGGCCTGTAATATATGTGTTAGTGTCCCACTGTCAAGAATAGTCTTACCCAAAATATCAACTATCACTGTGGCCCATAAATATGCTCAAATCACTCTCATCTTATTAAACAAACATGAAAGCTTTCCTTGATGCTCATTCTCCCTCCTTGTCTCCTTCTTTTCACAGTTCAGCTCCTTAAAGGGTAGTCTGAAATTGCCTTTTGCACTTCCTCATCTCTCACTTCTCCAAGGTGCCAAATCCAATGGACTTTTCAAGTTGTTCTTGACCTTCTGCAGCACTGAATACTGTTGACCCTTTTAGTGCTAGTCACAAAAATTATGATGACAAGAGTAATTAGATTTGTCACAGATTTGGTGACAGCAGCAATGAGAATGTATAGAATTTAGAACATGGGTGGGTCATATAGGTGGAAATGTCTAGTAAGCACTTGGATTTGGGCCTGGAGGTAGAGTGAATGATTTGGGCTGGACATGTAGCTATAAGCCTTATTTGCGGGGACAGGATAGCTGAAACCATGAGAGTGGATGAGATGGCTCAGAGTGAACAGTGGAAAGGGGAGAGAAGTGGGTCAAGGGCAGAACCCTGGGTGCACCACCATTTGAGGGATGGCCAGGGGAGGTGCAAGGTGCAGATGATAAAGGATCTGAGACAAAATTATCAGAGAGATAAGAAAAGAACAAGAAGAGCAAGGAAGGAGAAGCATTATAGAAACCAAGAGTTCTAAAAAGGGAGTTATTTCTCAGTCTGGAAATCAACTTAGAGCCCTCCCTTCCCCTCCGACAGTAACGGGACCTTGATAGTTCCACCTTCGTAGGTAGCTCCAATTTGTCCCCTCAACTCCATACACGCTGCAGTGACCCAAGGGCTGGCACTCATTCTCTCTTGTCTGTGCTGCCACATGGAAGCTTACCTATGATTCTTTGGAAACTCAGATCTATTATTACTTTTTTGCTTAAAACCGCCCTGGCTTCCTTCAGCTTAGAATGAAGCGTCCTCTTTAATCTGGTCCCAGGCCACCTCTCCAGGATTTCTCTTAACCTCCCTGCCCTTGAGCAGCAATGTCAAGCCACACTAAATTATTTACAGCTCCCCGAATGGTTCTGCCTGTTTTACATCTCTGTGCTTTTGTCTTTGCCACCTCCTCTTCTTAGAATGTCCTCTTCCTTGCCCACCCCTTGTCCACTTTATAGGAGAATTCATGGCGTTTCTTCTGTGCACACTTTCCTGACTCCCACCTTCACAGAATTTGGCATTTCTTTTCTTGTGCGTCACCTGTGCCCTCTTCGTGCTTTTATTGTAACCTGTCTTGTTAACACATCTGTCTCTCTTGCTGTAGAGTAGGCTCATTGTGGGCCAGGGCTATGCTTTAGTAATTTCGTCTTCCTAGCACATAGTGTCAGGTGCATAGTGACAGCTAACTTTGATTAAACAATTAACACTCATTAAACTGTGCACTCTATACACACTGCACTGGGTAGCATGGTGATCCTTCAAAAGATAGGTCCATGTCTTAACCCTTGGAACCATAAATGTGACCTTATTTGGATAAAGGGTCTTTGCAGATGTAATTAACTTAAAGATGTCATGATGAGATCATCTTGAATTATTTGGGTGGGCCCTAAATTCAATGACAAATGTCCTTATAAGACACAGAAGAGGAGAAGACACAGACACAGAGGAGAAGCCCATATAAAGAGAGATAGAGGTGGTAGTTGTTGAGCTACAAGCTAGGAAAGCCGCCAGAAACTGGAAGAGGCAAGGAAGGAATCTCCCCTAGAGCCTTAGAGTGTGAGACTCCCGACACCTTGATTTTAGGTTTCTGGCCTTCAGAACTGTGAGAGAATACATTTCTGTTGTTTTAAGCCCCCGAGTCTTCTGCAGCCTTAGGAAATGAATACACACACCACAGTTAAGTGAGGGAGTTCTGGAATCTCACTGCCTTGCTGTTTCCTGGTTCTATCACCACTTACTGTGTGACCTTTAGAAAACTCCTTCACTTCTCTGAGCCTTAGTTTCCTCATCTATAAAATAGTGATACAAATAGAGCTTTTGCTCTCTCACTCTCTGTCTCTCTTTTCTCTCTTTTGTCTCTTTTCTTTCTTTCAACAGGGTCTCATTCTGTCACCCAGCCTGGAGTGCAGTGGCATGATCTCGGCTCACTGAAGCCTTTGCCTCCCAGGTTCAAGTGATTCTGCTGCCTCAGCCTCCTGAGTAGCTGGGATTACAGGCATGCACCACCACGCCAGGCAATTTTTTTTTTTTTTTTTTTTCAGTAGAGATGGGGTTTCACCATGTTGGCCAGGCAGGTCTCAAACTCTTGACCTCAGGTGGTCCACCCACCTTGGCCTTCCAAAGTGCTGGGATTATAGGTGTGAGCCACTGTGCCTGGCCTAGACCCTATTTCTTGAGGTTATTAAGTAAGATTGTTCAAAGTACCTAGAAAAGGCCTTGAAAATGGTAGGAATCAGCAAGTATGGGTCTATGAGAGTTATTTGGTAAGTCTCCATTGAATAAATGAATGAAGTAAACAGAAACACAAACCATCAACAGTATGATCTTGAACTCACCTAGCTCTGTGGTCATTGGACATGCAGTTTGGGTGTTCTCTCCAAAGGTGATGCTCTTTCTAGTTCACTCCAGGCCTGGGACAATGCTGAAAGGGTGTCAGTGTTCCCTTTAGCTGTTCCACTACCGAGGCCCTTGGTGGGACTGGCAAGGTGAAGTTCGTCTTTTAGCACTAGTGTTTCCCTTTCTGCATGCCTCTCTCCTTGTTTTGTTTTTGCTTTTTGCTTCTTGTTTTGTTTTGTTTTGAGGTGGAGTCTCACCCTGTCACCCAGCCTGGAGTGCAATGGCACTATCTCGGCTCACTGCAACTTCTGCCTCCTGGGTTTGAATGATTCTCTTGCCTCAGCCTCCCTCATAGCTGGGATTATAGGCACTCACCACCACACCGAGTTATTTTTTGTGTTTTTAATAGAGACAGGGTTTCACCATGTTGGCCAGGCTGGTCTCGAACTCCTGACCTCGTGATCCGCCCACCTTGGCCTTCTAAAGTGCTGGGATTATAGGCCTGAGCCACTGCTTCTGGCATGCTTCTTGTTTCATGTGCATGTGCATGTGTGTGTTTAAGTGTGGTGCTGATATTTTTCTACTTTCCAGGGCCCAAGTGGTACATCTCCTCTAGGGCTGTACTCCTCACCCAAGGTCCTCATGCCCTCAGATATTTTTTCTTCTCTACCATCAGTTCAAAACTCCTGTTTCTTTTCCCTTTATTTCTTTTCATTTCATACATAGTCCATATCACAACTGTAAGTAATGGTAGTAGTTCTTTTAGTTCTCCGTCCTGCTAGACTACAGACTTTGCAAGGGCAAGGACTAGGTCTTTATCATTTTTGTATCACCAGAACCTAACATATAGCTTGTCACAGAGTAAGCCCTTAATACATATTTATTAAATGTATGGATGAATTAATTATTTCGGGGCAGCAAATGTCAGTTGCAATTAAGAGAAAAGTATTTTAAACCCAAATGAAAATGGCTGATAGGTTAATCTCTGTGGTTACTGGCAGATACATTCCTACGTCTCTCTGGGCTGCTAGCTCTATCACCTTTCCCTTCCTCACAGATATGAGGGCCAGATACCAGCAATCAGCAACCTGGCACTTCCAGCTGGAGTTATCACATTTGTGTCCACTTTATTTTTAGCAGACAGACATGGCAAAAGGCCTGCTTCAGGTTAGGGGTGCCATCTGAGGTAGCAGAGCAAGACTTTTATCATGAAAATATTTAAGTGCCAGTGATAGCCCTGACTTTATTAGCGCTCTTTCAAAAGAGTGAGCAGAAAGAAACAGTTTTAAATGTTTTGGAAAATAAACATATGCAATTCATATTATATGCTAATTGTCAAGGTATCACCCAACTATATTTAATCAATGTAATTAACTTTTCAAAGGTAGTAACTTCCTCTCCAAACAACATACTTTCTCAGTTATTTATTCACAAAATATCTTTTATCTACTGGGTATTAGGAACTATTTGAGGTTCTGGAGATGTGATCAGTAAGAGAGACATGTCCTCATGGAGCATTGACTGACAGTAAACAGACACATCAATTAAACAGTATTATTTTGGATAGTGGTGAATGCTTTAATGAAAATAGCAGAAAGAGGTATTGTGAGCTATTTTAGTTAGGGTTGTCAGGGAAGGCCGCAGAGGAGGTAGCCCTTGAGATTTTCATGGTGAGAAGGATCAAGATGCCTGAAGATCTGAGGGGCAGCATTTTGGCAGAGAGAACAGCAGGTGTGAAGGCCTTCAAGTGGGAAAGTGTTTTGGTTGCTGTTGTTTCTTGATGAGTAATAGGAGGGTCAGTATAGCTGAGGCTGAGGAGGTGCTCCGGAGTTGGCTGATATAGGGCCTGAGGTATTGGCAGGGTGCTGTTTTTTTATTCATTCTGGGTGTAAGAATGGGGCCATGTTACCTGATATAGTGTCTTTTCAGATGGCGGCAGTATAGTATCGTGGATGGAGCATATGCCATGGAGCCATTTTGAGTTCTGGTTCCACCTTTCAGAGCCCGGTGACCTCTTGCCACGTGTGATTTCTGTGATCTGTTTTTTTTTTTTTTTTTTCCTCATCTCTCTGTTGTGGTTAATACTCTTCCACCTCAAAGAACTATTATGAAGATTAAATGAAATAACCTTTTAAGTCACTCATTACTCTGCCAGGTACACACCTGGTTTTGAATAAATGGCTTCTGTTATCTACTAGTATTGAAAGACAAATTCCTCTTAAAAGAAAAGGCATCCTTTTCTTTTGATAGGTGTATTATGCAGGTTTTGTTTTGTTTTGTTATTTTTACAAAATTTGTTTACAAGCTTGCAAACAGTTGAGCAAAGCAATGGAGGAAGTTAGATACATTATAATTGGCTTTCCTCTAACTAAATGGCTGCTTCTCCTTTTGAGTTCTTGGAGTTTCCATGCACTAGTGTCCCTTGACTCCTCCTGGATTTGTCTACCTAGTTGCAGCTGAATATCATTTCCTCCCTTCCCAAAGTGGGGTGGTGGCACTGAGAAGAGTATCACAGGGAATGCTGCATCTGGGGTGAGCTTCTGAGGTATGGGTTGAGAGTGGAAGGTAGCACAATGGTGCAGCCAGCCAGGGTAGCCTGTCTTGAACTGAGGATTCCTGGCATACCCCCAAGTCCTCATGGCCTGCCACCACGTGTCTTGGGTGCCTTCTGTTGCCTTGGCAACATGTAATCCAGAGTAGTAGGGAGCAAGCAGCCTTTAACCTTTCAGCATCACGTTGCTAGGGCAACAGGCTTCCCAGGAAGCCAGGCTGCACTGTGGTTTCTGCATGCTGCTTCCACCCACCCACCCTCCTCCTCCTCTGCCTACTCTTATTTCTGCTGTCTTCCATCTGCATCGCTCCACTTCTTTTGCCTTCACAGATCTACTGTCTGCATACCCCTTCCATCTCCTTCCAACCTCTTTGCCTTTTATTCTTACCATTCCTGTATTCTCATTGCTTATATCAAAGCAAATATTGTAAATTCTCAAAAATAAAACAGTTTGACATAATGAGCTGAGAGGATGGTGAGAACGAAGGAGTTAAAAAATAGCAAGAAAGAGAGAAAGGAGCTTGGTAGAATTTATAGTTTATTTTAGTGTATGGTAGTGGTTGACTTTGAAATCAACAGGGGAGATTTTATTTTATTATTGTTATTTTAATAGAGGTACTCTGGCCTCATACCCAAGGATTTAGATTTAATAGGTTTGGAGCAAAGCCCTACTAATTACTGTTTTTATAAACTTCCCAGTTTGAGAACCACTGGTGAGTAGAACATGTCATGTTGTTTAGGTTATAAAGTCTGTGACAGGTCAGGCTCTATTTGGTGAGATTTCTCATCATGGTTTCCAGTGCAATGTCATTGAGTGAATGCTTAATAAAGATTAAGAAGGAGAAAGAAGAGTTGGAGAAAAATGAAAAGAAGCTAATGGAGATGAGGAAAGGAAATGAAAACAGAAGGGAGGAAACACCATGAAAATGACAAAGAAAGTCAGTGGAATTAGAGACGCTGAAATCCACCATCAGATGTCAGTTCAACAACTCTCTTGTCTCTGATATTCAGTGGGAGTGCAGGTTGTTAAGGGTCTTAACCCAGAATTGATTAACATACTCTTTTGGGTATGTTTTGAATCCTGGATTTGCCCTGGTTGGGAGGAGAGTGGGGTGGGCCAAATTTGGAGTTTCAGAAGAGGTCAGCTTCATTTTATTACCCCTTTAGAAAAACCAAATGCCTACTGCATTTCTGGTGCCACTCTTTATACGAAATGGTGCTTTGCCTGCACTGAGCCAATTTAACCTTCAAAGGAGACCTAGGATTTAGACAGTAGTATTATTCTCCTTCTTTTACAGATGAAGAAAGAGAATCAGAAAGGAAAGCAACTGGCCCGCACTATTAATGGCAGTGTGGAAACTAGAACACTTATCTAAATGACAGTGAAGTCCATGGATTTCACCAGTATGCTTCACTTTATTTTGAACACTTTTATTTATTCAGCCCTCCTGGGACATCAAGCATTTAGCCTTGGAGTAATAGGATATCCCAGCTATTGCAACAGGGGCTAACTGGAGCCTGGCAAAGTTGACTTCCTCCCTTTCCCAGTTGACCTTGATTAAGACCTAAATATTCAGAATAAGGGAATAGCCAAGGGAGAGACAAGAGTGGGATGAAAGACAAGAAGTAGAAAGGGAAAGAGAATTAGAGAAGAAAGGATGTAGGGTGGGCAAAACTGTCAGGTCCACCCCCAGTCTGATGGGGCCTGGGAGCTGCAGCTGCATGGGAATTCCAATTCTCTCCAAACTCTAGACTCTGGTTGAGAGTGAACCTGAGACCTTCAAGCCCAGAACACTTTCAACTGGATGCCCCAGGATTTGATCCTGGATCAGCTGAAACTCTTCAATAACCCTGGGGATTGGGGGAATTTTTTTCTGTACCATGGTGTGTGTGAGGAGAAAATAAAATTGAGTGCACATCAGTCTAAGGTCTAGGATTCCATCTCAGTAGATGAGAAGTTGACAAGGAAGAGAGTATCCTTTCCTCACTATCCTGGATGGCGATAGGTCTTAGAGCAATCTTTTCCTTCTTACTTCTTGAATAGTCTTAGAGAATCAGCTGTAATTGCTGTTACCACAGACCAAAATCTTTACCAGTCAGTGTTGGTGTTGCCCAAAGGCTGTTTCCATTGTCCCCCTCAGCACCCTCCCATAGTTCCTCCCATTGCTGGTCCTTCAGCATCTATTGTCCCTATTATTTTCCCAGGATAATCAGAGGCTTGCTTATCTGCAAGAGGGGTATTCAGGTGTTTGGAAGATATCTGTGTGAGCATGATGGGACAGATATCTAGGCGGGCTCAGGCAATGCATGAGAGAAGTAAATTTATCACACAGTGTGCAAGCCCTTTCTAGAGAAAGAGAGCCCCTTGGTTTCCACCCCTCATGACTGGGACAACACAGAGCACACGAGGTGTGCTCAGTGTGTATTTGTCGGTAATGATAGATTCTTTGAAATCAGATGGGAACAGGCCATATGCTCTTGGAAAACAGCCTACATTACAAGGTGGGATGGATGAGTGAGATGTGTTTTTGCAAGTTCTTTTCATCTCTAACATCTGTGATCCTGTGAATAATTCTCTTCCCCTAGGCCCAAGCTGGCTGCTTGCCTGGGGTCTCTGCCAGAACCTTTCCCCCACCGCCCCTCTGAATGGAGGTCATAGAGAGTCTTCTGTTCTGGAAGGATGGCTCTAGAAGCCAGAGTTGATACTGAAAACAGGAAATAAGGTCTGAAGCCTGGAGTCAGAGCCCAGGAAGAGAGGAATTGGGGCAGGAAGTGTGAGTGCAACAATTCCCAGGACCAAGCAGGGGAGAAGTAGGGGAACTGATGGCTCAGACCAACATTACCTGAAGTTGTCCAACGGCTGTGACAGCTGTAGGTCCAGTTACACTCATATAAGCCACGGAAGCTTTGCTCTGGCCAAATACAGGGACTGGCTGAGTAGCAGGACTCAAGACCGGGCTGCTCTGCAGGGTAGAAAGAGAGCAGCGGCCAGAGTCCCAGTTCTTGTCCTGCTTGCCTGCTTGCCTGCCATGTCATTTTTTCCAGACATCTAACCAGCACATCTGTATCAGAAGAGGCTGATACAGACGTGAATGCCCTGGTCTCTCATCACTGTTGTTCTCCAAGAACAAATTGGTGACTAATTTTATTGAGGAAAGTACTATTTGGGGTCATGGAACTTCACCCATTTGGCCCTGCAGTTTCTGTGCCCGAGGAGAAGTCTCACTGGTCAATGAAAGGGAAGACTTGGTAACCCAGCAAGTAGTTACTGGTGTCATTTCAGTTCTTCCAGAAGGGAAACCAGTTCAGTGGTTGTTATGAAAACTACTCAGCAAAGCAGAGAGGGGGATAAGGACACCGTTCAGCTTTCTAGATGCTCTAGGAGAAGAGCACTTTCTCTCACGTTGGTGTATTCCACTCTTGTGCTCTGTTGGGTTCAAGAAAGAGGCTAACTAGTCATTGTAGTGGGGGCTTCTGAAGCTGTTAAGAGTTGGAAGTATCTGGAGCTGGCTTTTTGTCTGTGGGAGGAAGCATTAGGGCTTGAAAAGGGTTTTTTTGTGTGCTTCTGGAACTTCCAAGTAGCAATCATGGCCACTTTGTGATCTTGATCTTGATGGTCAGTTCAGGGAAAAGTTATGCAATTGGAAAAGAATCTACTTTTAACCATTTTTTCCTTCCTTTTCCATGTTCTTTTCTGTCATTTGACAGCTCCTACCTCTAATTCTCCAGTGCCTTTTTTCTGCCCTTTGCCTGCCCAGAGGACTCTTTTCCTGCTTCCCTCTGCTCCTGGCACTGCTGGGGTTTCTCCAGGAAGTAGTGTTCGATTCAGTCCTGGGTCTGTCCTCCACGTGGCCCCAGAATTTCCTCCTTTCAGTCTGTAACACTAAGTCCTTGCCAGGGTCCAAATAGACAAGAGCAACTAACGGGTTTCCCTCCCTAGGGGCATTTGTATTCTAACTTAGTGAAAGAAGTTTGTAATAGTGGAATTTCAGATACCCCATTGGACCATAAGGGAAATATGTATTTTAAACGGAAGGTACTTTCCTGATGGCCACAGATTCCACCGTTTGTGGGGATCCTCTCTGATCCTAGCATGAGGGGTGGCTCTGCTGGGATACCTTGCTGCAAACAGAAACCCTGAAGGGGAGCTGCTTGAGGAGGGTGTCAGTTGTCCTCAGCTGAGCAGGGGACTGTCCATACCTGCTCTGGAGCCTGGAGAGAATTTTGTCTATTAAGGCAGAAGGACTTCAGGACCTGCTCTGGGAAGTAGAAGAGAATCTGGCAGAGGAGGGAAGTCCACATAAATTGGTGAACTCCGACGATTTATGGACCGTTTTAACCATCCACACTACAGAGAGGGCTTAACCCTACTTTCTGCACTAAGAACCCTCAGCTGCTTTTCCCTGCCCTCATGGACTCATCTCAGCCTGCCTGTGCATGCATCCTTCTTTGTTTCTTCCCCTCTTGGCTTCTCTGATTGTTCCTTCTCTCTGTCCTCCTTTCTCTCCTTGCCCTGCTCCCTGCTCTCCATCATTGCATCTCTGGTTCGTGTCTCTCTGCCCTTCTCCCACCTTGTCCTCCCCCCCATCTCCTGTGACCCACTGTTCCACACGGCTTCTACCTTATGTGGTACACGCAGCCATCATCGTGCTTCATCCTGTCAGTGCTGAGGCCCCTCTGTAGCCTACCTTTGGACCTGGCATTAGTTAAAAGTTCCCAGGTGGTCTGCTCTTGACTTTTGGAGCTATCAAACATTAGCTTTATTGTCTGTGGCCAGTTGGTTCAGTTGGTTAGAACTTAGCATGTAATGAGGCCACCCAAGGACATAATGCCCTATCTCTGTGGGACCTTGTAGTGCTCTTCCATCCCACGGCAGAGATTCCCTCCAGCAGCCACCTTCCCCATCCATATGCTTGGTCATAGTGGGGGCCTGGGTGAGGAGCTGTAGCTAATTTATTGATAAGGGATATCAGGAATAATAATATAAATTTTTTAGATTAAACATTTTGTTGTGAGATCATCATAGATTCACATTTTGTAATTTTAAAAATTGAAAAAGAGTTTGAGCTCAATATAATAGATAGAATTCAGGCCCAGACAGACCTGGACTGATTCTGGCTCTCCCTTATTAGTTCTATGTTCTTAGCCTGCTTAACTCTTCTCTGCCTCAGTTTCCTTAGCTTTGCAATAAGGAAAATAATAGCAACCGCGACACGTGTTTGGCCTCTTTTAACCTTCCTCTGCCTGCACTCCTTTCTCTTTCTCTCTCGCTCCTGGGTCTATTTTGTTATACTGCTTTCTTTCTTAATTGTTTTTTATTTTTACCAATGTTCCTAGGAATCCTCCCCTCCTTTCTCCCAATTTTGTGCTTCTCTTTCCATTTTCCCGACTCTTAACCATTTCCTTATTTTCACTCTCCAACTTTCTCATTTATCATCACCTCACTGAATTTTTACTGCCTTCGCAAATATGTTTCCTCATTCATTCCTCCCTGTCATTCACTGTTTCTGGGCCCTTCGTGGCTTCCGGGGGAATGTGCAATTCTTATTTATTTATAAGCATGGGAGAATAATTACAGAAATGATTTAATTGCTTTTTCACATAGATCCTACAGCACTGACTGAGCTAAATGGTGGTGGAGTCGAATATCAGCAGGCAGTCTCAACACAAGAAAAAGATTGGTTTGGGTGGATTTGAGGTAGAGATGCAACAATAAAGTCTATAGAAGTCTCAACCTCATTTGTCAAAGCAACTGCGAAAAATATGCAATTATTCACAACTAGGATTATATAAAATGGAAGGTATATGTCACCAATATTTGAAATAGAAGGAAAGAGAGTAGGGCTAATATTTTTAAAAATAATTTAAGTCTTATGGGCAATGTAGCGGATGGTATGCTGCTACTCGCTTTTTAGGGCTTTATTCTTCTTTGGAGTACTCCATAGGGTTGAATGGAAATATTCATTGCATGGTGTAGATGTTAGAGTGGAAAGAGCCTAAACTAAACTACCAAATCAAGAGGTCTGGTTCTCATCTTTGCTTTATAATCCATATAGCTGTTTGACTCTGGGCAAGTCCCTTAATCTTTCTTTGTTCTTCATCTGAAAATAAAGGGGTTGGGATTTACAATCTATTCAAGAAGTTTCTGGTATGATGTCCATGAGAAGAGAATGTTGAGTGAAGGAAAGGTGAGTGAATAAATAGGTGGAAAGCCATCAAAAATGCACAGGGTTCAGGGTGAGTAGATTAAAGTAAACAAAGGAAATGAGCAGTGGTGGTAAAATCTGAAGATGTATGATCCAATTATGAATTTTTAAACTGCATCCTTGCTGACAGATTTTAAGATTTGGCACATAAAAGGTTGCAAAGAGAATGTTGAAGCTCTTTACATGCAGTAGGGAAAGGAAAGGGAATTCCTAATAAGGCACACTCTATTTTCATCCCCACTCCACTCTATTCCTCACCCCTCCACAAAAATCCAGATGAACATGTTATCTTACTACATGGTATCAAAGACCATCAAGGTTGGAAGGGATCTTAGAGACTAGTCTCATGCCCTTATTTTACAATAGAGGACACTGAGGCCAAGAAAGATTAAGTGACTTGCCTGAGGCCACATCTCAATTCTCTCCTGGAGCTGGCCTACTTTTCCAGATTACCAGATCAGTTCTAGTAGAACTTTAAAGTCAACAAAATACCAGTCCTCTCTAATAGTTCATAGTCTACAGATAATATGATGTAATGAATTGCTATCTCTTCTCTCTCCTGATTAGAGGTGAGGACAAGGGCAAACTGAAATTAGGACTAGGGTAGGGAGGGAGGATATGATATTTTAATGTGGTTTGAGATAATTGATTGAAAGTATATTAATGAAATATATTGATATTGATAAAAGTTAATATTAATGACATTTGGGGCTGTATATAGTAGAAAGCCTATATATTAGAGATTATATGAACTTCTGATAATCGTAGGCAGACAGATGGAAAGAAAATTTGGATAATCTAAATTCTATTTGGGTGAGACTCTTCAATGATCAAAGAACACTCCAGAAACTGGTGTGTCCCAACTACTCACAGGCCATAGATAGTTCTTTTATTTCCTCCAAATGTGGCACCCTGAAGTCAGCCCCTTTACTCCTCATCTTGAAGCATTCTTCTAATGAGCTACTTAGGAAAGAAGTGCTCAAGTATGCAGAGAAATTCGTGTACAGCAGAAATTCATACTGGAAAAGCAGGGAGTCTTCCAGAAAGAAAGGAAAGGAAAATTGGAAGAGAGAACAGGAAGGAACACTACAGTACATGTGGCTGGAGGTAGGAGATAAAGATAACAAAATATTACCTTTCATGATGTTTTACAGTTTTCAAAGTAAATTTATATACTTTACCTTAATTTGATACTCATAACGATTGTGCAGTATGGGAAACTGCATCTCAAATTCTCTCTCTGAAAAGTGAAGATAGCTATTGTCACTATCCCCATCATCACCATAAGTCTCTGAGAAGTTAAATGATATGTCAAAGATGGAGAAATACTAAGTGGCAAGGCTAGGACTAGAATGTAGGTCTTCTGGCCCCTAAGTTAATGGCTGCAAGAGAAGAGAACCATGTAAGCTACACTGAAGAGTGCTGAATGGCTATGATTGATGAGTGGTGCCATGTCAGCACAGGGGAGTCAAATGGAATGCAGAGGATTTGGCCACGGAATTCTTTGTAGACCTTGGCTGATGGTTTTCTGTTAAATGAATAGCTTTGATGGGACTAGAGAGGATGAAGAAGTTACTTAAAGGGAAGAAAAAGAAGCTATGGGTATGTTAACAGTGCATGCTTAAGGGCCTAGACATTGATTGGAAAGGTTGGGCAGCTATCTAGAATGAGGAATTCATAGGCCCATACAGAGGAATGGACCCATACAGAGGAATTTTAAAATAAGGAGAAGGATTAAACCTCAGTTTAGTGAACAAAAGGCAAAACCATTCAAGCCAAATATGACCAAGTTAAGTCTACAGCCTCTCACCTTATCCGTCCCCTCCTGGGGAAGAAAAAGAGCCACTATTAAAGCCTTTTACCAGAGTACTCTTAAATCTGTTCTGAATAAAGCTCTAAATGGGCTGGGATGGTTTCCCTTCATTAACACTTCATTAAGCTTTGTCAGATATAAGCCTCCTAGCCAGATCCTGGCAAGGGACTCTCACTGAGGTGATAATGAGGAGAAAAGGTTTTGGCCTACTCCAGAGCTGTTGAATGTAGGCTAAAATATATTTTGATAACATTGGTATTAAAATGAGTATTAAACATCACTTTACCCTGGGTGGTGTAAATAGAATACATAGGCACAAACAGAAAGAGACAAGCATGCCAATATAACATGACACATTTCAAAGAGATTTGGTGATTGGCTGGAAACAAATTGTTAAAATCTAAGTCATGTTGGACTTCACAAATGATGGGATCTTGATAGATTTGCAACGTGTTCCTAATATTTTTAAAAATGCCTCTTTCAAAAACAGACATAATAATTGTACATGATTCTTAGAATGTTGGTGCTTCTAGCCCTAAATTGTCTTCTGACTGTTTAATATTTATCAACTACCAGCTGTTCTTAGAATTAAATTGTGCTAATCTTCTAGTAGCTTACCTACGCTCCTAAAAGTGCTGTCACACTGATTTAATATCCTGTGAAAGCCTGAAGGTGCAGACATTTTAAGAAAAAAAGGTATATTTAATCTTTACTTTGAAGAAGCTTCTGATTTGGCCTCATGGAAAAATTATGAAATTTTGTGAAAATATTATAAAAATACAAAAATTATAAAAATATTAACACAGAATCAAATGGGAATGACCCCTAGGGGTACTTGATGCAGACACAGTTGTCTGGAAGATCACACTCATAGTAATCAGCAATCAGATGTCAACCAAAATTTGGAAAGTGAGTATTTGTGTGTGTGTCTGTGCGAGTGTGTGTGTGTGTGATGTGTATGGGGATTCAGGAGAACATAAGAAAAGCCAAAATGGTGTTTTTGAGGTGGTTTTCCTGGGCCCAGTGTTGATATTATTGTTTTTAAAAAGCAGTGTTTTTTTTTTTTTTTTCCCCAGTGTAGCAAGCCTACACATTCTGCACATGTATCCTGGAACTTAAAATAAAATATAAATAAATAAATAAATAAATAAATAATAAAAAATTTTAAAAAGTAAAAATTAAAAAAAAACAAAACACCGCAAAAAATTAAAAAGCAGTGTTTTGAAAACAATAAGATTTTCTAAAAAAAAAAAAAAAAAAAAAAGAAAAACCAATCTTCACAACATTCCAATGAGCAACTAATCAGAAAAGGAGTTGGAAAAGGAAGACTATTATGTATGGAGCCCTTGCTATGTGTAAGAGCTTTATATGAATTATCTCGTTATAATTCTCCTAATTAATTTTGCCATCACTTCACTAGACCCCATTTTCACCCTATTTCCATAATGAACTGTAGAAGTTAGCCTACTTTTCAGGTTTATTTTTATGCAAGAAGTCAACATTTTGATAATTTCATCAAATTATCTAATGATTAGCTTTTTGGAAAGTGGTCTAGGATTAGTTTTACTCATTCAGAACATCCTTTATGTGTTAGATGTGGTACAAATCACTGAGGGTATGGTGAAGCTGGAGAAATAGATGAACATGCATAGTGTTTTAATCAATAGTGGTATGCAGAATGCATCACAAAAGGAGAAAATGGCACAGAAATTAGATGAGGAAGATTGAATTTGAGCAACCAAGATCTGGGGGACGATCATGAAAAGTTTGCGGCAGTGAGCTACAAAAGCCGGGTGTGGTATACCTTGGACATTTTAAGGGCTTATCTCATAGGACTAAGAAAAATAATGCATATCAAAACTGCTGGTGATGTTGACACCTGGTAGGTGGTTACCCACCTACGTTAATTGAAGTGAAAAATGAAAGCAAATAATTTAAAACAGAAGTCTGAACTGTAACATAATGAAACCCCTATGTGGCTGAATTCACAAGATACTTGAGTGGAGAGTGTCATATTGGGATATGGTTATACGAAGCTCCCTGATGTCCCATGACCCATACTGGCAGTGGCAGTCCCTTCGTCAAGCCTCCTTTTTGGCCAAGAGGGAACCAGTCTTGGTGGGGACTTTGCTCCTTCCAGGCACACAGCCTCTATTGCCAGTTGCTTAGAGGAGAGGTTTCTGATTTCTCAATTTGCAGACTAATTATTTTATAATGATAGTGGCAGTGGTGGCATGATGTAGCACGATGAATTGTTATTTTTCCAATTTCGACTTTTAAAAAATAGTCCTATACCATATTTTTTTTAAAAAAACAAAGGATATGGAAACTACAAACAAAACTAAGAAATATATGATCTCAGAATAAAGAACAGTCCTTTAAATTGAATACATCTCGCTGTGTCAACAACCCAATACATTGTTTTTATTTTTCTCATTTTTCT
The DNA here is from genome assembly GCF_000001405.40 of Homo sapiens. Lineage (NCBI taxonomy): Eukaryota > Metazoa > Chordata > Mammalia > Primates > Hominidae > Homo > Homo sapiens. The sequence goes on along the minus strand of NC_000012.12, from coordinate 13,841,738 downwards.
GTGGGCCAGTGATAACTTTATCATGGATTGTCATTGATCCATGGGCTAGTGTTTGGGAAGCACTGGTGTAGATATTGTTGCTAGAGACAGTGTTTCCAAGGAAATTGCTTCTAAGAGCTGTGGATCGAGATGCGTCCCCTGAACTGTTAGGCTAGAGCCTGACAGGTAAGGGCTCTGCTCGTGTCTTGTTTCTCTGACAGAAATTACAGCACAGTGAAAAGTGTGGCACTGAGGTCCTATGGGATATCATCATCTCCAGCAGTGACAGACTGATGAGGTTCCGGGATTGCGGGGGAAGTGATCAATGTACTGTGTCTTGACTTTAGCGAGCCTTTTATTTCTGTCCCGTGTGACATATTCATCAATAATCTGAGAAAATAGAATCTACACAACTTTCTGGTTGGAAGTTTATATCAAAAGTGTGGTACAGAGGTAAGAGGGCTTATCTGAGAGTTAGAAACACTGGGTTAGAGTTTAGGCTCCGGCATGGCTAGCTGTGTGATCTTGGATAAATCATTCATTAGGTCTCAGCTTCTTCAGCCATACAATGAGAATTGCATCTCCTGGGGCTCATCAAGTTGTCTTTAGTGTTACAAAACCCAACATAACTTCACATTTATCTACAACTAGGCTGCTTAGGCTAAGAAAAATATGTTTCTTTGCTTTGAGTTAATATCATGTCATATCATTGATGTACAGGAATCTCATGCTGCTCCAATATATATTTGTAAAAAGAGGAAAACTATGATTACTTAATAAACACATGGCTATAGGGCGTTATTCATACTCATAGTGAGGAACAATTTTTCTTTACTTCTTGTTTCTGCCCTCTGGAGAATGGAGCTGAAGGAGTTCTTATATTTTTAGAAATATGTAAAAAATGATAGGACAAACAATTCAGGGCTCAGAGAGAACACCACCACCATCACCACCAACAACAAAAAACTCAGAGAATGTAGCATACGAAAGATAAAAGTCAGCTATGTAGTAGTATTTTTGGAACCAATCAATAAAGAAACATCCAGTGATTTTTAGACAGGTAAAAGGTAGAAAGTAACCTAACTGGAACTGATCAGGTACTTTGCTGTGTGCTTTATTTTTTATTTTATTACAGTGGCTATATTATTTAATTGCATTATATTAATTAACATATGACATTAATGATCTTGTTTTTATTTTTCTATAATCCTGTGAGGTAATTATTATTACTCCCATTTTATATACAAGAAAACTGGGGCCCAGAGATGTTGAGTTGTTGTCAAAGTTGTCCAGCAGGTAAGAGGGGCAGCCAGGATCTAAATCAGGTATCTTTGTCTACGAATCACAAGGTCCCCTGCACTGATACATTCATTTACTGCCACCTCCTAATGCACAGTAAGCATCCAAGGCACGTTTCTCAGCCTTGGAATTTTTACCTATTTTATTCTGCTGTTTTTCCTTTCAACAAAATGACCTTGAATTCCTTTCCAGCTCCATGTTTCTAGAATGCTTGGATCCCTACCGAATGAACAAAATCCAGAGGGAGTGAAGTTGGCCCCAGTGATATGGAGGGCTGGGTGGGGCAGAACTGAGAGGCACAGGCTGAAACAGAGCAGTACGTTACGCACTGTAGTGGCATGCATAATGCCCTCTTAGAGATGGAGTGAAACACACCTCACCCTTTGAGTTACAAGTGGTTTGATCCCTCACTCTAAGGTAAACTCACTTGTTCTCCTTCTAGCTAGGTGGGGAGAAACATTACATTTTATTCCAAAAGATTCACGTATAAAAATATCCCATGGTTTCTATATGGGATAAATATACATGCATATGCGTATTTTCTATTATGGAGATTTTTTTATGTCCATTGAATGAGCTTACTGGACCGTTCAATAAAATCAAAGCTTTGACCTGGTTATGAGTCACTAAAGAAGCTGAATTTTTATAGTCAATTGATGCTGTTGGATGGCTTTAGTACACACATTGTTCTCGGTTCTTTGGGCCTTTCTTGTTCCTGTCCTTGTTTCTCTGAGCACTGTGGACCATGGTGGCATCAATCTGAGGCGTGCAGTCACAAGACCTTTGTCTGACACCTGGGGCTTCCGTTTGTCTCTGCCTCTTGCCAGCTGCATGACCTTGGGCAGATCACTGAACCTCTCTGAGCCAAAGCTGCTTTGTCCATAAAATAATGGATGATGTAATGACTGAAATGAGATACATGAGAGTGCTTCGTTGAGCTATAAGCACTGCACAATCATTAGGTATTGTTCATATTCTGGCTAGAGGGAGCTGAAAAACATCTCAGGGATTTTCACCATGACGATTGTATGTGTGGTTACATTTCACTGATTGAACCACTTTCAAATTTTCTCCAACTGGAAAATATTCTAGCCCAACCTCTCCTCTGTGTAAGTAATCATGGTAAAGCTGCTTCTGGGCTCCATCACTCTCATTCAGGTACTTCTTAGCCCTGATCCAACCTGTCTCCCTTGTTCTGTGGATGTCTCTGCATGTTATGCCATATAATTAATTTTAGATGATAGAAAATCAGCCTGCCAGGCTACTGTAGAGATGACGGATTCTTTGCTGTAGCTTCATTCACCTTTCTGCACATGTATGCTTCACAGTGCCAGAGCTGACTTAACCTCAGAGTGTGATCAGTAGGTGTTATAAACAGAAGAGTCCTTGGTGGCACCTCTTTTGCCATGTGTTGGCAGAGTGAATGGGTGAATATGCTGGCAAAAAAAGTGGTTCAGGCACTGGGGGCCTTGCTAAATGACTGCTATCTGATGAGCTCCCTGGTGGAGTGTTTCCAAGAGGGGCAGTTGTCAGTGAACATGAGTATGTGAATGCTGGAGTGCCTGGAATAATACGTAAGAGGGGAAGAGGCAGATTTATGCTGCTTTGCATCAGCAGGGCACTGGGAGCAAGCTGGTAGTTTCCTCTACACACCACCCTGAAATACAGATATTTCTTGGGCAAGACATCTGGCTTCTCCATCCACTCCCCTTCCTCGCCCTTCCTATTAGATTGCTTCCAGGCCATGTTAGAAATTCTCCTGTGCCACACCTGAGCATCAGTGACTGCTGATGGAATGAGTGTTTTCACCCTATTAATCCTTGAAGAGGTGACAGGAAAGGGAATAGATAAGATGGGGGGGTGGTGGGGAGAAAAGACAGACAGGAAGAGACAGATAGTGTAGGAAGTGGAGGCCAGAAGGTTGGCGCTGTAATCAGAAGAGGCCATTGAAGTAATGTGATAAAACAATGCATGGATAATTCAGTTATTTTTAAAATGCAGGTTATTCAACTGAGGAAAGGAGAGAGAACTAGGAAGGTAAGAAAGGTTACACTGAAGGACTGGGGTGCTTCGGATATGGACCTTTGTGTTTTCAGGATCAAATGGATTTAGACTAGGGTTTTTTCCTCAGAGAATGAAGCATCCAAGGGAATATCAGGGGCTTTAAGGGTGGAAAATGGACCACGCAGGTGCTTTGGGCCGAGGCTGACTGTGCTTCAGGCTTTGTCTTGAGGAGAATTTTAAGTAGTGTTTGTTAAACACTTCTTGTTTTCCTTTCTCATTTTCCCATTTGCTATTTACCTCTTATTCTTTCCTGTCCTCATCCCTCCGATATGTAGCCTTTTGCACATTTAATTTTGGTAAAAATGGATGGTTTTACATTTCCTCTTGTAACTCTCTTCTAAGTCTTTACATCCCTTGGTAATTCATGGAGATCCAACTAGAGAAAAAGCAAAATTGCAGTCAAAGAATGCATGGTATTTTCTATTAAACAAATATTTAATATTTATTTGCATTTGTTAGAAACGCAGTGTGCCCATGGCCGCTCCTAGGGAGGCAGGGAGGTAGGAGCTTCTAGCTGTTCACAGATTTCCATCAGCTATAACCCCTTCCTCTCCCCACACCATAGCAGCCATCCCAAATAAATACACATGTTGAATGTAGATGTGTTTGCTATGTGGTGCTGCCTCAGCACAGCTGCTGAGCCCTGCCTTTTGAACAGATCGCCAACCCCAAGCCCTTCTATTTGGACATCCTGCACCACCATCGAGAGGAAGGCCATGGTTAAGGACAGTGAATTTGAAAGTCAAAATTGGTTTTGCTGGCTCCTGTCTGTGTGAACTTAGGCAATGACTTAACCTTTTGGAACTTCAGGCTCCTCACTGTTAAAACAGGAATAATGCCAGCCATGTATGGTTAACATAGAAGGAAATGCCTTACCTCACTAAACACTCTGTCCAATGCTTGGCTGAGAAGGGCGCCCTTCTGATTGCCAGCCTGCAAATGGGCCAGGCACCATGCCTCCCTCCCCCACAGATATTTTATGCATGCCTCCCAACAATCCTGTGAGGTAGAGATTGTTGTACAAGTGCAGAAATGCAGGACTCAGGGGGACTGTGGTTTGGGCCAGGACATGCATGTGTGAAGTGGTAGAGGAGGACATGTCTCAGAGAAAGATCTGCTCTTGGTTGGAGGAGATAGGGCCAAGAGAGGGTGTGTTTTGTGGGAGAGGTGTGATTTCCTTTAGCTAGGGATATAGTGAAGCCCCCTAAAGGCCTTGAGGCCTCTGCCTTGAGTCAGGGCCATACAGGACAGATAAGATGGACTCATTCTGAGTTGTGGGATGTTTATGGAATGGAAAGTTTCAGAGAGAGCACAGCAGAGCAAGTGGAAATTTCAGTTTTGTGTGCTAAGAATAAATCTATAGAGAAAATGATTTGATGTAAGCCAATGAACAAAAAGAAAGAGAGAGCCCGGGGATAGCAGTGCACCCATCTGCTTCTATTATTATTGTTGTTGTTTAGCTAAGAGAAGAATGCATTCTCCATTCCCCGGGCCGTACGGGGCTCATCAGGTTACCTGGACACCTATGACACACACCACTTCTCACAGTGGCATCTGAGTGTGCCATGAGGCATGGGACCATTTGCTTCTCCTTCTCAGCTTCTGGCTTGGCCCTCACCTGCTGGAGCTGCTCAGCTCACAGGGCTCTGTCAGAAGATCTCCAGGTCCCAACAGAAGAGAAAAGGGGAAAGGCAGAGCAGGCAAACAGGCCAGAAGGACTAGGGGAGAGACTTCTGAAAGAAAAAAGAGACAAAGTAATGTGGAAGGCAATGTGATTGAGAACTAGTTGCAGGGTGAAATGAATGCTGAACATTAAGTGCATAATTTGAGTAATTAATGTTCCAGATGGGAGAACAGTTTTATATTCTTATTCCTATTTTCCAAAGGTTCAGAGCCACGCAGAAAACTCTTCCCTGAATTGCCAGCATCACTGGCTTGATCCCAAAGGACCACACATGGCATAACTTCATTTAGGCATGGTTTCCAGGTGGCTTTTACATTTTTTGAATAAATAAAATGTTTTTTCTTCCCCCTTAGGCCAGAATTCCTAACCAGTGTTCCATGCATGGTTACAGGTGTGGCCGAATAATTGCTGTGCTCAGCCCTCAGGACTGCTGGGTTCACTTCCCCAACGGCACAAGATCACATGCCCGTCAAGTCTCCTGGGAAAGGCCTGAGTATGGCAGGCAGGTTTGCTGTGGGGCTGGCAGCCCTGGAAAAGAGGATGAGGAGTACTGGGCTGGCAGCTGTGTGGCTTTGGGAGAATCTTTCTGAAGATACAGGTTAACTACATACAAATGCAGTCCCCAACCTGCCCAGATCAGAGAGAAAAGATCCAGTTCAGGACTTGCAGCTTCGCTGTATGAAATTTCTCTTGAAGAATGGCTGGGCCTTGGGCAGCCTCTCCCTCTGGCCCTCAGCAGGCTTCAGGGCTCTTCCTCCTCTCTCAAACCTCCCTTACACTCTTTTCTTTCTTCTTCTTCATAGTTGAACTATTTAACATGATGTTTAAAGGCATGCCTGGCTGCCTTGTGGAGATTCAGAGTTGCCATGGCAATGTGGCCTGTTTCTCCAAATTAGGACATATTCCTGCTGGCTTTCTTTTTTTTTTTTTTTTTTTTTTTTAATGTGCTATGTTTTCCCTCTCATACAACTCCTGTGCCTCTTTACATCCATCCCTGCCTTTCTCCCTGAGAATGCTAATTTAAGTACCTGTCCCCAGAACTGGAGAGGTCTGAAGGCTAAAGGGGGTGCCTTCCTGATGTTCTCTCCAAGCTCATCCTTTTCCCCATTGCACGTGGGTCTATGTCTGTGGGGCTGCCATTTCCGTGGCCTTCTGAGAGCCCTTTCTGTGAGGTTTTCTCCTGATGCCTGTTTTTTTTCTGGGCTGGGCTGGTAGCAAATGAATTTCTGTTTTACGTAAAACCCTTTTGTGAATGGCAAGAGGTAAGGAAGAGACAACTGTGGCTTGGATTTTAAATATTATTTCCCAGAAACTTCTTCCCAGGCACGTGCTCCCTTTAGGGGATGCTCACAAGATAGACAGGATTCAGGATAAATGAGGGTGCATGCGCCTCAGCTTTTTCTGTACCACTCATTTTAGGATCCCAGGAAAATATGAACTTCAAATCAAGAAAGCTCTGTAATCTGAGGGTAAGGACAAAAACTGGTCAATGTTTTAAAAAAAGAAAAAGAGAAGGCTGTGGGATGGAGGCGTTCCTTTCCTTCAGGATTATTTCTGCTCCATAGATTGTAGATAGCTCTTTGAGCCAGTTGAATTACAGTCTGTTATAAAAATGGGGAAAGAAAGAGAATGAGAAAAGCAAGACCGATTTAACTCTCCTGTTTCTTATTTTAATTGCTGGTGCTCTGTCCTTGGCACATGAAGGCCAATTAGAGAAGGCTCCTTGGCCCACACTTAGAGCAGAGATGCGCAAACTTGGCTGCACTTTGGAATTGCCTGGGGAGTTTAAAAAAATACAGATGCCTGGGTCGCTCCCATAAAGAGTCTGATGTAATTGTTTCAGGGTGCAGCTTGGGCATTAGAATTATTTTTAAATGCTCTCCAGTTGACTCTAATATACAGAAGTTGAGATTTACTGGCTTAGATGGTGATTGCTTTTGGAAGACAGAAATCATGGCTTCCAAATGTTTGGCTATAAAGTGGCTATCTCTGAAATCCTTGGACAAAAGGCACAAAATTCTCAGATTTAATTCATTCACACCTTCCCCTCTGTTCCCTGCATATTCACCTGTGAAAGGGCCGAAGGGAGAGCACCAAGACAATTAGCCAGGTAAACAAGACAAGAGTTGACCCAGGGACGAGGTCCACTGCAGCCAGACAGTGACATGATGGGAACCCAGGCAGTGTCAGGGCTGCTGATATGTGGGCCCAGAGTGGGAAATAACACTGGTGCAGTCACATGTAGGTCAAAGATGACACCCTGCATTGTAAGTGAAACATGACGTGGCCCTTTGATGTGTTGCTGGAGCTTGAGCTAAAGCTGCTGGTGGAACTTCCTGTGGACAGCCTCTTCTAGTTCTAGAAGTTAGCTAAGAGGGCTGGGCATGGTGGCTCATGCCTGTCATCACAGCACTTTGGGAGGCCGAGGAGGGTGGATCACGAGGTCAGGAGATCCAGACCATTGTGGCTAACACGGTGAAACCCCATCTCTACTAAAAAAAAAAAAAAAAAAAAATTAGCCAGGCGTGGTGGTGGGCACCTGTAGTCCCAGCTACTCAGGAGGCTGAGGCAGGAGAATGGCATGAACACGGGAGGCAGAGCTTGCAGTGAGCCAAGATTGCACCACTGCACTCTAGCCTGGGAGACAGTGCGAGACTCCGTCTCAAAAAAAAAAAAAAAAAAAAAAAAAAAAGAAGTTAGCAAAGAGACTACTGTGTTTTCACCTTGCACCTTTTCTGTAGGCAGTGGGCATGTGTACATCACGAGGCAGCAAGCTTTCAAATGACACACTTTTGACCACATTCAGAAAGCATCGCTGGAATGACCTTCATTTTTTTTTCATCTGTAATCTTCATTAGGGAGGAATCCTGGGGTAGTAGGAAGGACCTGTGATACCTGCTGTGCCATTAACAATCCGTGGTACTGTGGAAAAGTCCCTTATGCTCTGGGGCCTTCATTTCTGCATCTGTAAAATGGGGTAGGAATGGGAGTGAAGTGGGGGCTGTTGAGCCCCTTCGGTTGCAAGGATGTTGTTTGTTTCTATCAGTCCCATGTTTGCACCTGCTGTTTGTTAAAAGTTACCTATCAGGTGGCAACATGATGACAGCCTCGTTTTAGGTCAGAGTGGGAGATAAGCCAGATAGTAGGAATTCAAGATGTGGAGTATCTTGGGCTCAGAGGTCCTTCAGGAAAACTAATGAGAACACACCTGAATTTGTAACAGAACACATTCTCAGTTAACTTAAAGAACCAGACTTGGGAATCAGGGAAGGGCTGGAGAGCAAAACTGGAATAAGCAAAAGGCCAATATGCAGAGGAGATGGAGGGGAAGAAGGTTCCGAGGCCCATTGTGACTGTCCTAAGCCAGGTTCTAGGGTATTCATCTCCTCGTGAGGACCAGGCCTGGCAATTCTCCTGTTTGAGTACCTACCTCTGAGTGGAAGGATTGAAATTGTGAGATGTTTTAGTGATCAGGCATCTTTCTAGTTCAGGTTGATGATATACCCATGAGTTAATACAAGTCTACATCCTCTGTCTACTTTCAGTTCAGGGGATGATAATTTTTAATACCATATCATATGTCATGCACTGTGCTAGACACTGTTCTCAAGAAGCTTCCAACCACTGTAATAAGTACTTTAACAATGAACATTTGTATATCATCCAGTATACAGAGCCACTTTTACATGATCCGCTTTGTTCCTCCATACTATTTATTCATGATATGTTTTATTCATCAGAATGACGATTTTTTTTAATTAAAATATATAGTGTTGATGTGAGTGCAGGGAAATAGAGACTTTCATAATTTCATGGTAAACATATAAATTGGAGTGACCTTTGTGAAGACAGTTTGGCAATAAAAGCCTCAAAATATGTATACCCATCACTGCTATTCAACTTACAGAAATTGATCCTATGACAATGCAAAAATATTTACTTGAAAGGTGGTCATCATAGCATTAGTTATCACGGTGAGTAATTTGAAACATTTTACATGTTCAGTGATGAAGGGCTGGTTAAATTAAATTATGGTATGGATGATAAGCAACCATTAAAAATCATGTTATAGAAGAGAATAATAATGAAATAGGAAAATGTCATTTCTATAAATACATGAAAAAGGCAGGTTAAAATTATAATCAACAAATATTTATTGAGTGCCTGCTGTGTTCAAGACACTATACTAGACACTGAGAATAGGGTGGCAAATCAGACAGACTCTAGACTTCAAACTCCCATCCAGTGGGCATGAGGGGTCTCTACTCTGGGAGGTTTTATTCAGTAGTAGTGTGGAAGGTGTACACTCTCGAATACTATGTTTGATGTGGTATATTTCAGAGGATAAGGGTGAGATGAGGAGGAATACATGTTTGTACTATGAAGATGTGAGCATTTAAAGCAGATTACATATAGACACCAAAATAATGTTATATCTGAATGAAAAGTAGCACAGATGATGTAAATGTTCTTCTGTATCTTTTTAATAATTCTTTGATTTATGAGCATGCTTTATAATGTTCTCATAATAAGAATAAATACGTGTAAGAAGAAACATAGTTCTTAGAAAGTTGCTAAATTTTCATGGACTCTATTTTCATTTGTAAACACCACCTTTCTTTAAATTTATCCTTCTACTTCTGTTGGCCAGCACCAATAAATAAAAATAAACTTACAAAAACATGCTACCCTGCCCCCCACTGCCCTTCACCACCAGGGGAAGAAAGAAAAGCCCATCTATATATGGAAGCCTGTATTTTGGAACAGACATATGAAAGTGTTTCTTCCAAAGGCACGTTCTCCTGAAAAGATGATAGAACACTAATGAAACACAGGGTACTGCTTATTGTATTTATTTTGGGCCTGCTGATTTGTTTCTCTTAAGAACAGTCACATTAATATTTGTTTCTGGATATGTCAGCACACAGTGTTTATAAGGCTGAATAAGAAAAGAGACTAAAAACCTTTCACCAAGGAGGCGGCCAGGTCTGGCCTGGTGCAGACAAGGGGCCTATGACATTGGTCTAGAGGGAATTGTGGGTGGCAGTTACCGGGCTCCCCCACATGAGCCTCTTTTTCTTCTTCTACTGTCCTTGCCTATTCCTAACGTGTTCCCTTTCTCCTACTCAATTTCAGTCCCTTTCAATCCATCACATTTATTGAGTGTTGCTTGGTCTGGCATTATGCTAATCTCCCTCTCCATAGCCCTTGGTTTTAGTAACCTCTTCTGTGACTCCATGCCTGTTGGGCCTGAGCTGGCATCTTCTAGGGGATCCTAGAAGAGAGGATCACCAGCAGTTAATAAACACTGAGAATTCTCCCAGCTCTGTCATTGTCATTTGGGGCAACTTAGAATTTACTTGTACTGGTTCTATGGAGAATCAGAAAATTAACTTGCCTGCTGTCTTAGTTCATTTATGTTGCTATAAAGGAGTACCTGAGGCTAAGTAATTTATAAAGAAAAGAGGATTATTTGGCTTACACTTCTGCAGGCTGTACATGAAGCATGGCGCCATCATTTGCTTCTAGTCAGGGCTTCATGCTGCTTCCTCTGAAGGTGGAAGGTGAAGGGGAGCTGGTGTGTCCAGAGACCACGAGGTGGGAGAGCGGAAGCAGGAAGGTGCAAGACTCTTTTTAACAACCTGCTCTTAGGGTGACTTTCACAGCAGCTAATAGATTGAGAACACACTCATTGCCTTGAGGAGGGCACCAAGCCATTCATGAGAGATCCACCTCCATGACCCAAACACTTCCCATTAGGACCCACCTCCAACATTGGGGATCGAATTTCAACAAAGGTTTGGACGGTCAAACTACAGCACTTGCATTTTTCCATATGTACCTGTGATAAGGCAGGGCAGATGACCACGATGTTATATGCATTGAGATTTTTCCTGTTAGGCCTTATTTCCTCTTCTCTTGCAGAAAAAAGATTCTTTAAGGAATATTCAGGCAGAAATGTTGCCCGTGAATTAAGCCTGCTTTAACAGGGCTTTTGATCTGTATGTATGCCTGATGCTATCTTGTGGCTTAGTTTCTTAGCTGGGGAGGGTGTACATATATATAAAATGTAATATAGAACAGATACATATTTTGTGTGTCAATATATATACACAGATACATTTGGCCTTCTTCTGATAAGATCTTTTAAAGATAAGCTAATATGTGTGAAAGAAAAGCTAATGCTTGTGTTTGCTCCAGAGAATATTAGGACATTTGTTTTTTTCTCCTACTATGTTTGCTATAGTTTCTCTATGACTCTCATGTTCATTAAGAAATGAAAGAAATGGTATCTCTGGGTATTTCTGCAGGATCATAAATCTAGAAGTCATGTGTTGAAAAAGACTTATTTCTCAAAGTAGAAGCATGAGTACCTTAACCTTATTTGTTTCAGTTTTTGCAGTACTGATAGTTTTCTTAGCTGAAAGAGTCTGTGTACTAACAGGTTATAATACAATTCACAAAAACCATATTATTCAATCATAACAAAAAGTATGAGTTTACTAACTGTGCCCTGCTTTTGTTTTGGGTTGCTGCCCAAGTTATAATCCCTGACCTTAGATACATCCTTCTTTAAAGTCCCCTGCTTTTGTCAAATATCTCCTATATTCAGCTTGTTAACAGAACTCATTTTTGATGACACAGTGACAGACAATCTCTGCCTTCCAGATAGTGGGTCTCAGGTGCTTTAAAGAGTGGATTAGAACTGCCACACAGACTCTTGTTCCATCCTCCCAGCCCCTCCTACCCCTACTGCCTTACCTGCCAGCTCACTTTACCACTTCACTCCTTTACCTTCTCACAACATGTTGGGAAGAAGAAGGAGAAGACTCTTTGAGGCAGGTCCTTTCTTTAAGTCAGAGAGCTGTCGTAGGGACTCCATAGTATAAGCATGGAGCAACTGCTTTGATAAAAGTCATCTTTCTATCCTTCTCTCTGAACTCAGGAATATCTTCATCTGAGAAAGGAAAAGAAAGGTTTTCTGAACCTAAACAGGTGGACTTCCCAGGACTTCCCTTCCCTCCCACATCACCCTCTTAGAAATGGACATTGAAGAGGATTCCAATTTTAATTTGGATAAAGATAAATCTCAAATACTCAACCAAGACTTAGTTAACCTGCATTATCATTGGGTCTTCTCAAATTAGCTGTTAGGCCAGGGCTGCAGATGATAAAGCAGGAGTGGGAGCAAAGAAAGAACAATTAGAAAGACAGGGCAGTGGCAACGTTAAGGGCTCAATTCCCGCACCATCTTTTCTTATCAATCGAGGTCACAAGCCTATCTCTATGTTCTGAATTTTCATTAAAAATAAACAATATGTAACTCAACACATATTGAGTACCTAGTATATGCAGACACTCTTCTAGGTGGTGGATATTCCGGAGTAAATAGACATATCTTAGATCTAATGGCAGTTACATCTTCTGCTCTGGGAGTGGTCAGATAAAACACATCAATAAACAATTATTTTAGACAGTAGTAATTTCTATTAAGAAAATAAAATGGGATCTTTTAATGAAAGGTGATTGGATGAATAGCTAATTTGTATTGTGTGTTCAGTGAAGCCATTACTGAGAAGGTAAAGTTTGAACCGAGGTTAAATGACAAGAGGATGCCCCCTATGTGATGGCCTCTTCTATGGTAGAATTACCCTAGGAAGGGTTAACAGCAAGGTGAAGGGCTCCAGTATGGAAGTGTAGAGCAGAAAGCAAGCAAATGTGGCTAGAATATAGTGAGCAAGGGAAGATTGATAGAAATCAAGGTCAGAAAAAAAGACAGGCACCAGATAATGTATATCTTTCTTTAGAGGCCAGGGTAAAGACTGGATTTAATTTCATGTGTAATATGAAGCCACTGAAGGTTTATAAGCAGGAACTATATGATCTGATTTGAACATTAGAAACAAAAATTGTGATACTTTCACTTCCAGCCATGAGGGAGTGTGGCAATCTGAAATTACCCTCCCACCATAAATAACTAGAAAATTGGAAGGGGGAAAAGAAAATGGCTACTTTTAGACATTGGACAATGGGTAGCACAGGATTATTATTCCTGAGAAAAGAAAAGTAAGGTTTTTCTAGGCTGTTTACCTGGAGATAATTCCAGGACTGAGGTTCAATGAGGAGTAACCCAGCAATCTGACTGAGTTGAGGAGACAGAGATCAGCATTTGGGGAGGATAAGGCATGAGAGTTTTGTGGGATGGAATTCCTAAGGTTAGAAGGAGCTCCGGTAATATGCGCTGGGTTCCTTTTGAGTTTTTGCTCAAATCTGTGCATATTATAGGTGAAATTCCATGTCTGGACAAGGTTACTTTCTGTGGAAAAAAACAATTATCAAGGAGCCATAAGAAGAACAATTCCCAGAATTCCCACTGGGCCAGAGGCCATTCTAGTTCTCTTAAGCTAGAGTAGAAAGAACTCATTGAGACTTAATAGAGATCTCAGAAGAGCCATATCTTAGAGGCAGGGATAAATAAGTGCTAAAATAAAGGTTATTAGATAATGCCATAAAGAGGAACAAACTAACCTGAATGCTACTTCCTGCCAAAAAGGTCTCACATTTTAAACAGGAGCTTCAAAAATTATTACACACATGAATATGTGCACATGCACATACACACATACACAGTAGGAAATATGACCCATAAACAAGAAAAAAATGGTAGAAACAGACGGAGAAATAACAAAGATATTCACAATATTAGTAAAGAATATTAAAAGACCTATTATAGGCTGGGTGCGGTGGCTCACGCCTGGAATCCCAGCACTTTGGGAGGCTGAGGCGGGCAGATCACGAGGTCAGGAGTTCGAGACCAGCCTGGCCAATATAGGGAAACCTTGTTTCTACTAAAAATACAAAAATTAGCCGGGAGTGGTGGCATGCGCCTGTAGTTCCAGCTACTTGGGAGGCCGAGGCAGGAGAATCGCTTGAACCCGGGAGGTGGAGGTTGCAGTGAGCCAAGATCATACCACCGCACTCCACCCTGGGCGACAGAGTGAAACTCTGTCCCCACCCCCCACCCAAAGAAAGACGTGTTATAAATATGTTCAGAGATATAAAGGAAGACATGAACATGATGAAGAAGAAAAATGAAAGACATCTTTTAAATGACTCAGTGGAACTTAAAGAAAAAATATTTGAACTAAAAATGAACTGGATGAGATTAATGGTAGATTAGGCATTGTAATAAAATATGAAGGATCTAGAGTATAGCAAAAGAAAATGAAGCACAGAGAGTAAAAAGAACAGTATGAACTGTTTTAGAGACTCATAGGAAATTATCTATCAGTCCACATGTATATAATTAGAGACCCAGAAGGGAAAAGCAAAGAAAAATATTGGAAGAATTAATGCATAAAAATAGAATTCCACATTTGATTAAAACTATATGAAATTATTTGGTGAAAACAATTGATAAAAACTATAAATCAACAGATTTAAGAAGTTCAGTAAATCCCAAACTCAAAAAAAAAAAAAAAAGAAAACAACAATAAGGCACATTATAAACAAAATTGCTGAAAACTAGCAATAAAGAGAAAAATATTTAAAACAGCCAGAGGGAAAAAAAGACATATAATATTCAAACTAACAAAGGTTAAAATAGCAGCAGACTTCTCATCATAAAATATGCAAGTCAGGAAAAATGGACTGATGTCCTTAAAATACTGAAAAACATTAAAAAAAAAAACCTCTCAACAAAGAACTCTACACCTAGCAAAAATATCTTTTAAAAAGATACAAAAATATCTTTTTATCTATGTAAAGGCAAAATAAAGGCTTTCAGAGGAAAAAAAAAGCTGAGGTAATTAGTCAATGGTACATTTGTATTTCAGAATTATTAACGTTTTTCAGGCAAAAGAAAAATGGTATCAGATATAAACTTAGAACTACAAAATGGATTGAAGAACATCAGACATAGTAAATTGGTGGGAATTTATAAACATTATTAAAAATCCTGAAAAAATAACTAGCCATGTAAAGCAAAAAACTAAACAGTGTATAGTGGGGTTTATGATGTATATTGAAGTAAAACATATGATAAGTTCAGTAAATCCCAAACTAAAAAAAAGAAAACAACAATAAGGCACATTATAAATAAAACTGCTGAAAATTAGCAATAAAGAGAAAAATATTAAAAACAGCCATAAGTAGCCCTAAGAATGAGGGGAGGGGTGAAATTTACTGTTGGAAGTGTCCTATACTATCTATTTAGTGGCAAAATATTATTTATTTATTTTTTGAAATGAAGTTTCACTGGTTGCCCAGGCTGGAGTGCAATAGCATGATCTCGGCTCACCGCAACCTCCGCCTCCTGGGTTCAAGCGATTCTCCTGCCTCAGCCTCCAGAGTAGCTGAGATTACAGGCATGCACCACCATGCCTGGCTAATTTTTGTATTTTTATTAGAGACGGGGTTTCTCTGTGTTGGTCAGAATGGTCTCGAACTCCCAACCTCAAGTGATCCGCCCACCTCGGCCTCCCAAAGTGCTGGGATTATAGGAGTGAACCACCTTGCCTGGCCTGGTGTAATAGTATTTGAAGAAGGAGTGTAGCAGTTTCAAGAAGCACATTGTTAGTCCTAGAGAAACCATCAAAACAATGGCAAGGAGTATAGCTAATAATGGTGGAAGTAATACAGAACTCTAAAAAAACAGTCAATTCAAGAAAAGGCAAGAAAAAAAAAGAAGAAACAAAGACTAGATAAAAAAGAAAACAAATAGCAAAATGATTTAGAGCCAAACATATTAATAATAATATTAAATATAAATGGCCTAAATATGCCACTGAAAGGCATATATTGACAGATTGGATACAAAGCAAGACCCAACTATATGCTATCTATGACAAATCCATGTTAAATATAAATATGTAGATAGGTTAAAAGAGATTAATTGGCCGGGTGCGGTGGCTCATGCCTGTAATTCCAGCACTTTGGGAGGCCGAGGTGGGCAGATCACCTGAGGTCAAGAGGTGGAGACCAACCTGGCCAATGTGGTGAAACCCCCTCTCTACTAAAAACACAAAAATTAGCTGGGCGTGGTAGTGTATGCCTGTAGTCCCAGCTACTCGGGAGGCAGAGGCAGGAGAATCACTTGAACCCAGGAAGTGGAGGTTGCAGTGAGCCGACATCGGGCCATTGCACTCTAGCCTGGGCTACAAGAGCAAAACTCCATCATACACACACACACACACACACACACACACACACACACAAAATATATATATATTTATTATATATATATTATATATATATAAAATCTACCAGCTTGACCAAATTGACCTTTCTAGAATATTGCATCAAACAACAGGAGAGAGAATATACATTCTTTTCTAGTTTATATGTTATATTTACCAAGGTAGAAAATATTCTATCAAATAAGTCTTATTCTATCAAATGAGTCTTATCAAGTGTAAGTTGATTGAAATTATACAAAATGTGTTCTGTGACCACATTAGAATTAAAGAGAACTATAGCTAGAAAATACCTAAATTTTGGAAATTAAACATTAAACTTCTAAGTAATGCATGAGTCAAAAAAGAAATCACAAAGGCCTTCAGGATATATTTTGGACTGAATTAAAATAAAACAACAACATAGTAAAATTTGCACAATATGGCTAATGCAGCGCTTCAAGGGACATTTATAAAATTAAATGATTATATTCAAAAGAAGGAAGATAAACAATCAATGATCTGAAGCTTCTACCTTAGGAATCTAGAGAAAGAAGAGTAAGATAAACAGAATAAACAGAAGGAAAACAAATGAAGAGGGGAAATCAATGAAGTAGAGTATACACAAATTAAAGAAAATCAGTAAAACCTAAAGCTGGATTTTTTTTTTTTTTTTTTTTTTTGAAATGGAGTCTCGCTCTGTTGCCCAGGCTGGAGTGCAGTGGCACAATCTCGGCTCACTGCAACCTCCGCCTCCCGGGTTCAAGCAATTCTCCTGCCTCAGCCTCCCAAGTAGCTGAGATTACAAGCATGTGCCACCACACCTGGCTAATTTTTTTTGTATTTTTAGTAGAGACGGGGTTTCACCATGTTGGCCAGGCTGGTCTCAAACTCCTGACCTTGTGATCCGCCTGCCTCGGCCTCCCAAAGTGGAGGGATTACAGGCGTGAGCCACCGCGCCTGGCCTAAAGCTGAATTTTTGAAAAGATAAGATTGATAGATCTCTAGCAAGACTGGCTCAGAACTGAGGAGATAAAACATAAATTATCAACATCAGGCAAGAAAGGGGGATATCACTATAGAGCGTATCAAAATTAAAAGGCTAATAAAAGAATATTATAACCATCTTTATGTCAATAAATTTGACAACTTGGGTAAATAGACAAACACCTTGAGAGACAGAAAACTACGAAAGTTAACTCAAGAAGAAAAAAATAATAAGTCATTCTTTATATATCAAAGAAACTGAATTCCTGGTAAAATCTTTTCTTGTAAAGATAATGCCAAGCCCAAATGGCTTCACTGGTGAATTCTACCAAACGTATAAAGAAAGAACAATACCAATTCTACACAAACTCTTCCAGGAAATAGAAGGGGAGGGAACATTTTCTAACTCCTTATCAGTATTCTTTTCCTACCAATAAGTGACAAGATACTATAAGAAAACTATATACCAATATTTCTCATGAATATAGGAGCAAAAATCTTCAAAAAACATTAGTTAATGGAAATCCAGCAAGATATAAAAAGGATAATACATCATATCTAAGAGGTGTTTATCCCAGTAACACTGTGTTGGTTTAACATTTGAAAATTAATGTAATTCATTATATTAATATGAAAAATATATATGATCACTTCAATAATGCAGGGAACAGTTTGAAAAAATTGAACACTCATTCATGTTGAGAATTCTCAATAAACTAAATGTAGAACATCCTCCTCAACCTGATAAAGATATGTATGGAAAACCTATAGCCGACATCATACTCAATAGTGAAAAAGTGAATATATTTTCCCCAAGGTTGGGAAAAGGCAAGGATGTTTGCCTTTACTGCTTCCACTCAGCCTTATACAAAGGGTTGTAGCATATGGAATAAAGTACAAAAAAGAAATAGAATATTGATGAGAAAGGAAAGAGTAAAACCATCTTCCTTCACAAATGACATGACTTTCTATGCAGAAAATTCTAAGGAATTTACATAAAATCACTAGAACTTAGATGAATTTAGGAAGATTACAAGATACAAAGTTAATATACAAAAATCAATTGTATTTTTATATACTACTGGAGAATTATCAATTTAAAAATTTAAATAAAATACTATTTATAGTAGCATCAAAACCATGGAAAAAATTATACATATATATCAACATATTCAAGACCCCTACCCTGAAAACTATGAAGCATTGCTGAGAAATATTGAAGACTTAAATAAATGGAAAGCTATACTGTGCTTATGGATCAAAAGAATCAGTATTTTAAGATTTCAACTCTCTTTACCTTCATCTTTAGACTCATCTCCATCCTAGTAAAAAGCCCAGTGGGGTTTTTTCAGGGTGGGGGTAGAAATTGATGTCATTATAAAAAATTTATGGAAATACAAAGGACCTAGAATAGTCAATACAATTTTAAAGAATAACAAAGTTGGGGGACTTACAATACCTTAAAACTTGCTATAAAGGACAATGTGGTATTGGCATAAGAACAGATATACAAATCAATGGAACAGAATGGGGCTCAGAAATGGACCTATACTTATGCATTCAATTGGTTTTCAATAAAAATGCCAGAGTAATTTAATGGAAAAAGAAGGCTTTTCAATAAATGATATTGAAATATTTGGCTATCCAAATGGAATAAAATGATCCTCAACCCTTAGAAGTATCTTTAAGGAATTACAACTAGGATTGGGTGTCATTTATGTAAGAAAGATTGGAACGCCAGTCATCAAATCAGTGATCAAAAGAAGGCTTTGTTCCTATATCAAAAGATTGGCGGATGTATGCAAATTTATATATTTTGACTTAAAATGTGTAAAGACTAAATGTTTGTTGCTTAACCAAAGTTTCTTGTTTGTCCTGATATTGTCAGGGAGGAAAACTTTTTATCACTGTGTTTTTGTATGGTTTTATGAGACTTAACAGAGGTGTTGTAAAGTGCTTGGCATGTAGAATCTTCTCAATAAACAGTTTTTAGTATTACCCCCTACCTTCATTTCTTAACTGTTCCTCATCTCTTTACCCTTTGTCTTATTCTATCATATTTACCTTTCTTCATTGGCACACTGCATCTTACCAAATAGATTGTAAATGCATAGACTGTTTTTTATACTTCTAACCCTCACAACTACATTTTGTACTTCTAACCCTCACAGCTACATACAATGTGCCCGATTGATTATGTTTAGATCTTTTACTACTGCCTAACTGAGAGGGTGGACCTACCTTAGGGATACCTTTCAGAATCTGTTAGATTGTTCAGCTTCTCTTGACCTATTATATTAGAAGAGTGGTAACATTATTTTTAACCAAATATATTAAAAGTGTGATTCCATCATTTTTTCCTAGAGGTATTGTCTCCTCTTTTTGCACACATCCAAATTCCCTTTGAAACTCTTGTGCTAAAAATTTCATAAGACTTTAGGCCCAGCCCTTTAAGGAATACTTATAGTTCAGAAGGCAGAATAGAAAAGCAGAGGAAATGAAATTGTCTTCAATATCATTCCCTGGTTTTGCTTTGACTTGATACCTTATATATATTAGAATTAGGACATATTTCATGGCTGAGATCGAGAATATTTATGGCAGGCTTCTTACAGCTTCATTGCTTCCCGTATTTATTTTGTGTAATAGAGAAAGTAATGTTTAGAAGTCTGAAAAACTTCAAGGAATATATTTTCTTCGCTTTAAGTTTGGTTGGTAAAAGAACTTCTGGTCCTGGATAGAATGATGGCTTGAAATTCTTGTGAATTCAATAGTTCACTAGATTGTAAGCTGTTTGAGAATAGTGGACATATCTTTGTCAATCATATGTGGCTCCAAAAGAACATTGCACAGTGCCTGGTGCTACGATTTTTCTAAATGACCAAATGATCAAGATTACTACACAGAGCCAGGATTGATCCCAGACAAATGGTGAAATAAGGAAAGTTTGTTTTATGCTACCTCTTTTTATGTAGCACTTTTCTTCCTTTCTGTCTTCTGCCTTCTTCCTAACACCAGTCCCATTCTATTGCTCACCTGGCCATTAACTAAACCCTGATAAGATGGAAGGGATCATCAGGTTAGCCTTTGCATATGAGGCATCTTTCAGACATTTGCATTTTAGCAACTGCCTCTTAAAGGATGAGGGATGCATTTCACAGTTCAGATTTGGGGCCAAGAATTAGCTCCTCTGAGCTGCATGGTATGTGTAAGTGTGTGTGAACAGAGCCCTCTGTCCTGGGATCCACCTTTACTCTATTGCTTGGTTTCAGAGGATGAGGATGACTGCCTGAGGAAATAGAGAAACTCTGTGTAAGAAATGACACTTGAGCTGGTCCCTGAAAAATACTTGAGTTTTTCAGGTTGGGAGGTGGTTTAGGGTAGGGGACAGAGCGGGAAGAGAGAAATAGTAGGAAAGCATTCAAGAAAAATGGAACAGCATGAGCAGAGGTACAGAGATGGAAGAGCAGGGGGTATTTTAGGCACATCGAGTGGTTCTCGGTAACTGGGGCAAACTTTGTACGGTAGCAAGTAGAAGGAAATTGGAAAATAAGAAAAAAACCAGTTGGGGCAGACTGTAAAGGGCCATGTATGTTATTCAAAGGAGTTTAATCCTCATTCTGTGGGCAGTAGAATTCAAAAGGGGGAAGAATCAAATTCCTATTATAGAAAGCTCTTCTTGGTAGCAGTGTAGAGGGTGGATTTTGTGGGCAGGGAGACTAGTTACCAGGCTGTTAAAGCAATTCAGCCAAGAGATAGCAAAGGCTCAGCAGTGGGGAAAAGGAGGAAGGATTTCCTTTCAGATAGTTAAAAGAGAAAATGGATAGCATTTAGCAACCAGGTTTGCCCTCATCCCAGTTCATTTATTCATTAATTCAATCAACATTTAGCTCCCTAATGTAGGCCAAGCATTGTACTATATGCTTGAAAAATAAATAGAACATGGTTGCTTCCCATAACAAGCTCAAACTGTAGTAAGGAAAGCTGACACTTAACAATTAGAATGAATTGAGTACTATAACAGGGGTGAACAATGCGTGCTGTCAGAATACAGAGAAAAACAATTTCTAAGAAGCTCCATGAGGGTAAATTCAGTGTTTTACTCACTGTTGTATCTCTAGTTCTTAGTTGATTTGGGGAAACTAATAGGTGCTTAATAAATATTTATTGAATAAATATATGAGCTTGGGTAGGTGGCTATATATGGTCAGAGAAATGACAACGTCTTCTCCACTGTACTGTAGACCAGAGAAGTATCAAATATATAGGGTTGTGTCCCTAGGTGGTGGAGATTAGGATGGCATTGGTATTTGGCCATTGATCTAGTCTCTTTTTCTCTTGGGGGCTCATGTGGGCTCCATGGGGACTGTAAGCCTCTGAGAGTTAGCTAGCAAGAATAGGGTCAGCATGGCTGTGTTTGTTTCCTCTTTGGCATTTCTTGGAATTTGGTACAATCTTTTGGAAAATCTTAGCTTAGTTGATCAGAGATAAGGGAAACTAAGGGAGAGGTTTTGTCTACACTTGGGTCAGACAGAGATTCAAGGAGAGTAGGACCCACCTCGGGTCAGGAACCAAGTGGGAGAATCCTATGAGGAAAATGAAACCCCAGTGCAGGAAGTTTAGGTTGTTTATTGGTTGCTCCTGTTCACTGGAAGTCTCCATTTATGTATGGACCCTGGACCTTCTGGATTTCATTTTATTAAGGGAAGTTGACCAAGTCCACAGTCTCTTAATTGCCACTCTGAAATCCAACAGGTTCAGATATGCAAAGGATTTTTTTGTAGTTTATTTAGCATTAAAATATGAACTAATGTGAATTCATTTGGCAGCAAAATCTGACATACAGTGCTGTAAAACTGTTTGTAGTCTTAATTTCATCTTAAAAGTGCTCATATTTTTGTGTTTTGTGGGAGAAATGTTTATGTGTTTGATTATAGCATCTTGCCCCAGACACCCCTAGGATAGTGCTAGGTAGTATTTGGTAAATACACGCTATTACCTTTTCAAAATCTGAAAATTTTTGAACTAGGAAACACATCCTGTTCCTAGGATCTTAAAGAAGTGGAGATTTATTATATATTCCCTTTCAGGGATTAGTAAGGGTTTTTGGACAACATGAGTGTAGCTGAGTCTTGAAGATGCATAGAACCTTGTTTTGGTTCTCAGCTGGAGGTGGTATTGTCCCTGTTTTAGTTTTCTAGGGCCCCGGTAACAAAATACCACAGATGTGGTGGTGCAAACAACAGGAATATATTTTCTCAAAGTTTGGAAGGCTAGAAGTGCAAGATCAAGGTGTCAGGAGGTTTGGTTTCTCCTGAGGCCTCTCCTTGGCTTGTAGATGGCCACCTTCTCTCTCACTCACACGGTCTTTCTTCTAAATGGCTGTGTCCTGGTGTCTTCTTGTGTGTTCCAATTTCCTCTTTTTATAAAGACACTTGTCAGATTGGATTAGGATTAACAGCCTCACTTTAACTTAATCACCCCCTAAAGACCCTATCTTCAAATACTGTCACATTCTTAGGTCCTAGTGGTTAGGCCTTCAACATATAGACATTGGAGGGACACAGTTGAGCTTATAAAGCTCTCATAGGTGTTGGAAATGTGTGAATGTATTCTTTCGAGGTTATGTGGCTGTAGAGTGTTACTCTCTCTTCATGGGCAGGGCTAGGGTTGCTAAACAGCTTTTAGTATGAAAGAGACCCCTGTATGATGATTTGTCTGCCACAAAAGGCCGTCAACATCTCTGGTGTGAAACACTCATGAAGGCTCCAAAGAAAGGGTTGGACCAGTCTCTGGGACAGGCTCTGTCATGATGGTTCTGTCTTTGATGGAAAGTTGAGGGCTAGTAATCTTAAGAGAATGGATGTTCTCTTCTTAAAACTACTTTCTATTCTCTCTTTTTTACTCACCTTTTAGTTGGTTCTCTCAAGCAGCATTCCTGGACTTTGTGAAACAGGTATAATAAATAGATTTAACTATATGAGGTTTGACTTGGAGCTTTGGCTTCTCAATCTCTAAGAATAATGAGAAATATATACTTTCTGTGTTTCCTCAACTTACCTGTGACTCTTAGACTGAAATAACACCCCTTCTTAAAAATAAATCCTGCCTTGCCTCTAGGCTTGCAGTGGTATGAAATAAAAGTGCATGAAGAGCTTAGCACAAGTGTTCAAACAACCAGGGCATGAATTAGTACCCAGAAATATGCCTGTGGCATGTGTGGGCTCTGACTTCTTCTTGGAATGGCCTTTGGTTCCAGTATGTCCCCTTTTCTTTCCCACTGGGTCGCTGGCTCCTTCCTGCCCTTTGGTTAAAATAAAGGGAGTGGGACGATTCAGTTCTTTTCCTGTTTAGAATATTGAAATGCCTTGCAAATATTATTGCATTCATTAGTGCCATCATAGGTTGTTATTAAATTATAAATCAACATATCATACAAATGTTAAAAATAACAAGAAAATGAGTCTATTTCATAGGCATTCACTGCCCAGACAGTACTCCATTTATGATTTCTTGAGTCATGCTGAATTATTCAGGCCTCTTTTTACAATCTCAACATATAGGAGAAACAAAAAAACGATAACAATTGCCACTACAATACATAAATAAAAATGAATAATTCAGAACTCCCATCTTATTTTACTCCCCATTGTCTAACTCTGACTGATCCCAGCTTTGCTTTCCATTTCACAGTACTCAGCAAGGTAGACAGGAGAATTTTCAGGTATAGAAATAATGACAGAGCATTTTAGTTGTTTGACCCAGAAGAACCATTCCTGAGCGGTTGGAAACCCATGGCCTGACTTGAAATGTCTTTGCCTATATATGTGGGCTCTCCTTAGTCTTTACTCATCATTGGGTTATTCTGGGGACATTTAAAAAAATAATAACCATTCTCCAATCAGCAAATTTTTGAAACTTCCCTTTATTAAGTTTCCTCTCAACAATTTGACCAGCAACTGTAGCAACAGGTTCTTCTCAGGTATAATGCTTTTTTGCATTTTTGCATTCCACATGTGCTAGAATTAATGTCCCAAGTTTATTTTATCAGGTGGAGAAAGAGTTGAAAACAGGAATGGGATTTCAAGAGTTCTAACTACAATCCTGTGGCTCGTGTGTGGACCGTGCTGCTGGGCCAAGAGCCTTTCTGATATGCCCTGTCGAGTTCCCGAGCATCTGCTGACTAACAGGCTTCCTGACCTTTGGTTTGCTCCCAGTCAGTGGGCGTTGCTCCAGCCCAGCTAGAGTACATGCTGTGGAGGCAGATTCTGGACCACTGCACCGCTGTCTGACTGTCATTTACCCCCTTGGAGACATCAGAGAAGGAGGCACGAGGGCTACAAAGCTAGCTAAAGAGCCCATGCTTCCTTCTGTTGGACTTTTCTGATTCTAGAAAACCATTTCCAAACTTTTATTCTTCTTGCAAAATTATGACCAAGGGATAGAAATTGAGAAAAAAAAAAATCCTGCACCAAACCCTCAATGATAAAGATAGGGAAGAGCCTCTCCTTGGCTCTAACAGTTAATTGAATCCTTTGTATTTGTATGCTGGCATCCAGGCAGACAAAAGAAAATAAAAGAACCCAATGCATGGGATTAGTAGGCCCATCTCTTTAATAAACTGCTTGGCAAGATTTGTATTTTTCCAATTTCAAGTGTAGGGTTTTTGACTTAGGTTTAGATTGCTTAGGTTTTTATTTTTCTCTTCTTTACCAGCCCGTTCCCCAATAAAAGAGGAAGAAACATCTGAATTTTAAAATCATCTTTGAAGGAAATTAATGTACACACACATAACACATATAATGTATATTATCTTGTTAGAACCCCACTTTCTTAAGACATTCTTTAATCATTTGTGAGGGGGTTGGGGGCATGTGATACGGAGGTGGGTGTTGGAGCGATGCTTTAGTTTCAGAAGGCCTGGAGGCACAGAGTCACAGAGAGCTGTTTCCATGGCAGTGCTATGGAAACCAGGTCTGCTGCTCACTCCTTCCCAGAGTGGAATTTCCATGCTTCTTATAGCATGGGCTCCAAAAAAGCCTGCTGGTATCTTATCCAAACTGTGACTTTATCATTGAAATCTCATTGTAACCTATTATTCTGGCCTCTTTTAAGTATGGGAAAATGGGGGAAAAAAAGGAGTTCAAAACACTGCTAGAAAGTCTGAACCTTAGATTTTCTGGACATTTTCCAGAAGGATGGGGAGAATATTAGTTTTTTGTCTTATCAATTGTCATTTCCATAACCATCTACTTTTCTAGGTCCTGTTTTATAGCATTGTTAAGTCCCACAGTACTGTAGGTGATAGGTCCTTGTACCTATTTTTTAATCTGTTGAACTAGAGGTGCAAGATCTGTCCCTTTAGAGACCTGTCATCTCTAATATCTAGCCACGTAGGGTGGTCTCACCCTTCATATGACTTGTCCACGTGTGCTGTTTTTCACACATGTGGACCAGATGAAAGGTCACAGATGAGTCACTGTAAATTCTTTTTCACTCTGCAAATGCCTCTCAAGTATATCTCTTGCTAGCAGTGGGTTTGTGGCATCATTTCATACCTGAGGAACTGCAGGGAGTGTGTGTGTGTGTGCACATGTGCATGTATTTGGTTCTCTTGACATGAGATGTTGCTTTACACTTACAGTTATCACCTACTTGTGTTCTTTTAATGGAAAGATTGTTGTGTAAGCAATGACGTCAAATGAAGACCATGAATATAAGTACAAGAAGAAGAAATGTGAAAGTATACAAGCACATTTTTAGAATGGGAGAAAGAAAATTCGTGAGTATTTTAACCCCACCTTTTCACTTCAAAGTTAGGCATAATGAGCTTCCATGAGCAACACCAGGCAAGGTTGTCTGCAGCAACAGCTTATTTTGTTAGACTAAAAACCAGCAATTTTTTTTAAACTTCTCTGATTCTCTTATTACATAGAAACACTCCCCAAAGTCCTTTATCAGAATGTTCATACATCTTTTCTATAGTCTCTTCAAGTTTTTCTAGCACGTATCCCCAAATCTCCCATCTCTAATGATTCCATTTCCTTCCTCAATAAACAACCCACTCTTTATCATTTTAAATCATTTTCTGCTCAAGGAACTTGTGAATTTCTCAATACTCTGTGATTGTTTTGTTGTTACGGTGTCAGAAGTTCCTATATGTCTTTTTTTTTTTTCTTGTCTGTTCTGAATGATGCCTTTACTGAATTCAGGACTGAAACATACTCTCAGAGGTTTTTGCTTCATGGCTGAATCTCAGTACCAATACATTGAATTCATCTGAGGAAAAGTACCCTGAGTATTGCGCAAATGTCTGCTGCCTATCTGACTTTGTCACTCATTTATTCAACCAATATTTAGTCATCTATTCTTTCATTTATTCGGCCACTGATGGTTCCTATGTGTATAGCATTGTGCTACATCTAGGTCACATTGGAGAAGCCTATGATACATTATATAAAGTTGAATCATATAAGATTGCTGATATTGTACTGTTTTTGACCTATAAAAGGTGAATTTTACATATCTTAAGACAAAGATACAGTATAAACAAAATCTAGAAAAATGAGATCAACGTTTAAATACAGGTTTAAAAAATCAAAGAGATGAAACTTAAGGGAAGAGTTGAAAATAACATTCATAGACAAGAAGAACTAGAAAATAAGAATCTAGGACCTCTCAATGCTCTGAAGTTCCTGTAGTGACCAGTACAGTAGCCACTAGCCAAATGTGGCTATTTAGATTTCAATTTAAATTAGTTAAAATTAAATAAATTTAAAATTAAATTCTCAGTAGTATGAGCTTCATTTCAAATGCTCCATAGTCACATGAGACCATTGGCTATCACATTGGACAGCACAGATGTAAAACATTTCTATCATCACTGGAAGTTCTGTTGGACAGTGCTGCAAGGCTGTTCATGTCCATAACTTGATAATGGAGGAAAAAATAGGTTAAGGGAGCTTAAATTTCCTTGTGAAAATCTGTAATGGTGGAGAAAATGTTTTGTTACTTGGAGGCAATTCTCATTATTCACTGAAATTCACTGGTTTTCTTCTTAGGTACTAAGCTGATTTGTAGGTTATTTTGTAACTGTTAGTGGCCCAGTGAAATTTGTCATAAGTCCTAAAACATATAAAATAAGCATTACACTAAAACAAACACACAAAACCTTGCTTTTTAACGACTCTCTCCTTTGCTGGTCATCCAGCCAACCCTAATGGCTAAACATAGCATGTGAGATCTGGCTTGGCTCTTCGCTCTCTTCGTGGTCCCTCTAGCTGAGAATTAGTGCATACTGAGGAATACTCTAACACGGAAAGCAATCCTTTGCCAGCCTTCACATCTTTTGTAAGAGTTTTGTACATTAGGCATTAAGTTCCTAAATCTAAACACTTTGCAGATTCCCTAGAAACCTGAACATTTAATCCCAACTCTAAATCTCCGCTACTTCCTTCCTGATGACTTTTTGTCTATGGTAACTTTCCTATTTCCCCCAAGAGGAATCAGTTTTGGGAATCCTCAAGTGGTGACACATTTATCATTTTCACCTCTGAGTCATTGCCCATGTTGATCTGAAGAATCCATGATGATGCATGAGAATACATGTGCACAGAAGCATACAGACTATTAGTCTTGTGATTTTCAAATATCTCCAAAAGTAAGGCTGTTCAACTTAATGAAAAGCAAGGAAAAAAGAAAGCAACTCAAGACGGGTAATTTTATTACTTGTTTTGTGAGATTGGACACACCCCTATTGACATGTATGGACTCAATTCAAAAAAGGAATGAATTCAAAATTGTTCACTACTTTTAGCCTATATCATATTGAATGAATTAGCATTTTGACATTAGGCAGGCTTAGGTCTAAGTCCTGTATAAATGACCTCTGGCAAGCGCCTTCATCTTTCTGACCTCGGCTTCCTCATCTGCTGTAGAATCTTGTAGAGTGGTCATTAGGATGCAGTGAGAATATGTGTAAGGCACTGGAACATAGTAGGGGCTCATTAATGCTAGCTATTATTATTACTGTTATTTGGATGTTCCTGCACTGCTTTTGTTGTTATTGCTGCCAACAAACATTTTCTCCTCATCCTGTTTCCAATTCTTGGTACCCAGCGTCCCAGAAGTGTAGTAATGTTTGGAATTTACAACATATTCACATGCTTCCTTTGCCATCTGGTTCCGATTTTTGCCTCACTCTTATTCTGCCCTTATATCATAATTCTGATATTTAGCATTCGAATGGATGACTCTAAATAGCTTTATTGCTTGGTCTTTACTTTTTTTGATTTCCAGTTTCATATAAAATTTCCCAGGCCGGGCACGGTGGCTCACGCCTGTAATCCCAGCACTTTGGGAGGCCGAGATGGGTGGATCACATCAGGAGTTCGAGACCAGCCTGGCCAATATGGTGAAACCCTATCTCTACTAAAAATACAAAAATTAGCTGGGAGTGGTGGCGGACGTCTGTAGTCCCAGCTAGTTGGGAGGCTGAGGCAGAAGAATTGCTTGAACCCGGGAGGCGGAGGTTGTAGTGAGCCGAGATCAAGCTCGGACCACTGCACTCCAGCCTGGAGAGACAGCAATACTCTGTCTCAAAAAAAAAAAAAAAAAAAAAATTCCCAAAACTTCCCAATTACTTACCTTGTTGCAAGTAATAATATCTGGTTACAAGTTTGCCATGATTCATGAAATGCCTCTACAGATGTCTACAGTTGTCACGTTAAGGACAAGTCCATAATTTCTCCATTTCCAATGCAAATAGTTTCATGGTTTTAAATACCTTGTGTCTATAATAAACACCCTGAATCGACATATCTGATCTTACCTTTCATTTTCTTAGTTCTATTCCTCACTTCCATTTCTTTCAGAGGTTGTGCTCTAATCTCTTACAGCTTCCTCAGACTTAATAGATTAAAAAAACAGAATTCTTAATTTATATCATTTGCAGTGTTCATTTGTTGAATATTGTACTAATATTTCTTTAGTGAATGCAAAGTAGTGTAGCAGAATTTTGCTCATGGAAAATGTCTACAGTTGAAATAGGTTTAGTTGAACATGAGAAGAGGAACAATGAAAAAAAAAGATAAATACATATCAAAACAGAGATTAGGGAGAATACATAGTGGGAAATGATAATGTAATAGGCAAATAAAATTCAGTCCAAATGCATGAGCCCAGAAGTTATTTCAGGGCTGGGTGTGGTGGCTCATGCCTGTAAACCCAGAAGTTATTTCAGTCAACATTTTGCTAAGAATTTTGTTCCCATGTAGAAGAAAAGAATTCTGACTTTTTTTTTTTGCAGTTTCTTCTGTTGGGCATACACCTAAAAGTGGGGCTGCACAGTGTCTTTTATATAATTTGGGGCTTAGTACATATTTGTTCAATCGATTTTTATGGAGGTTGGAGGGGTTGATTAACTCAAAACTTTAACCCTGCCTGTGAACACCAGTATGTCTTCAGAATACAGAATATATTACTTTTTTTCTTTTGAGACTTCTATGAAAGATTGGCCACGAGTCACGGAGACCTTTGAGAATCTAATGAAAACTATAGACCCCTTTTCTGGAAAAGTATCCACTTACGAAATGCTGCATGCAGTTTCAGGGAATTCAAGGATCCCTTGAGGCCCATTCATAAACCCTGAGCTTTGTATGTTTACTACATGTTCATACATTTCCCTTAATGTCTCCTCCATTCCTTATCTCCGTTAAAAGAAGATCTCCGTGCCTAATTCCAAACTAGAAGCATTTTATCACTCTCCACTCTCCAGTCAGGCTAGTATGTTAGTTGTCTGATCCCACAGCTTCATATATTAAGCCTGGAATGTTCTACTTTATGAGGGGAAATGCAGGAAATGCCTGTTGCAGCCCTCAGGTAAGTAATAGAGTCCAGAATGTCATTGCACTGGCATAGGGAGGACTCTTCTTGATGTTTCTGTGGCAATAGTGACCATATTTATTTATTTAAAAGACAGGGTCTCACTGTGTCACCCAGGCTGAGTACAGTGGCGCTTTAATGGCACACTGCAGCCTCGCCCTTCTAGGCTCAAGTGATCCTCCTGCCTCAGTCTTCCAAGTAGCTGAAAATGCAGGCACATGCCACTGTGCCCAGCTAATTTTTTCTTTTGTAGAGTTGAGGTCTCTCTATGTTGCACATGCTGGTCTTTAACTCTTGAACTCAAGCGACCCTCCTGGCTCAGCTTCCTAAAGTAAACCGAAACCAAAAAAAACCAAAACCTGGGATTACAGGCATGAGCCATCATGCTCAGCTGAGTGATCACATTCTTTAGAAGACTAGGTCATTTCTGAATAACACCTGACCCTTACCAGATGAGAATAGGAGGAGAGAGTGTTTGGTTTTCATACTGCCAACTCTATTTTGGCATTTTTCTTATCCCCTTCCCGAACACTTATAAATGCCTGATGTCCATTTCACTGAAGTTAGGCCTCTGTTTTTGGCCAGTTGCCATAGATGGCAGTGGCTAATGATCAGATAAATGAATCTCACTACTGGACCTAATAAATTAATCTTTCTCAATGTGACATGTAGCTAATGTTTTATTGCTCATTGACACCTTAATTCAATTCAGAGAGTGAGACTTTCAGACCAGGTGGTAGATGGTTATCTGTAGAGATGTATTAGGGGTATTGGAAGGAGAAGAAGACAGGTTTTCTGTGACCCTCTTCTGATACAGTACGAGTGACTGGCCCAAGATTTGAAAGTGTTGACAGTAGCAAAGATTATTATTTCTTGTTCCTCTGATTCATCTGACAGTTAAGAGAAATCAACATTTTTGCCAGACACTGTATAGGCATTAGAAGTGCAATAACTATTAAGAAGAAGGACATAGAATCTGCCTTCAGGTTCAGTTTGGAGTGGGATATAGACATAGAAACTGATTGTTCATTCACTAGTAATGGGATTATTCCATTTCTCAGGGCCCTGTACGAAGGGAGGCAGGCTGCTGGAAAAATATACAGGCTCCACTCACAAATAATAAAGCCCTTTAGAATGACCACATGGTCATGAGCATATTCACAAAACTACACCCAATCAACAAATATTTCCTGAGTGCCCATTATAGGATAGACCTCGAAGCTACTGAGTAGACACAGTAGAATCCCTGCTTTAATGAAACTTTTTAGTAGAGGACACAGATGGAAAACCAAATGCGCGCACACACACACACAAATATCCCCGCTACTCAGGAGGCTGAGGCATGAGAATCGCTTGAACCTGGGAGTCAGAGGTTGCAGTAAGCCAAGATCGTGACATTGCACTCCAGCCTGGGCAACAGAGCAAGCCTCTGTCTCGAAAAAAAAAAAAATGATTTGAGACAGAATTAAGTACTATGCGGAAAGTAAGTACTGTAAGAGAATAAAGAATATTGGAGGTTGGTGGGGAGGGGGGTGGTGGGGTTTCATTTAAACAGGATGGTAGGGAAGGTCTCTTGGAAGCGATGGTGTCTGAGCAAAAACCCGGAGGGTAGGAAAGAATGGGGAGCTCTCTGGGTTCAGAACAGCAAGCAGAGAACCCCTAAGCAGGAATGATTCTGGAAGTTCAAGGCAGAGCAAGAAGATCTCCTGACTAGAGCAGAAAGACTGGGGAGAGAGGCACAAGATGAGGCAGACTGGATCCCACAGAGCAGCCTAACATTTCTGGGTCATGTTCTAAGTGTGTAGAAAAAAATTGGAGAACTTCTGTTTACAAAAGAGTACTCTGATTGCTGGATGAAGATTAGACAGTGGGAGTGGGGGAACAAAAGTGGGACAAAAGGCCAATTCAGATAGGTTTATCCATTTATTCAGTATTCATTTAGCACTGCTAGTTATAACTTATTCCTGCCTTTGAGGAACTCATCTTCTAGTGGGTGTTGCTGATTTCTTTCTTTTTTTCCTCCTTATACCCTTTTAAGACAAATTGTCATGCTGACCATCTCTCAGGCTAATATTTTACTTTATGAATTCTATCTTTGGCAAGTGGTTCTCTGTCTTAGATTAGCATTTTAGGATTTTGAGTCACATAACAACCATTATTTTAAAATATCTCCTATATAAGCAGCACCAGACATACATTATTATCTCTTTTAATCCTCTTAAAAGTCCAGCAATGGGGTTATTATTGTTCTCATTTGACAAACAAGGATATGAAGTCTCACAGAGATGAACTGTCTTAGTTATGTCCACATGCTTAGTACAAAGTGGCTGGGACTTGATCATAGCCTCTTGGCCACTAAACCTCCTGGTCTTCCTACCACACCTTGTTGTCTCATAAAGAGCTGAAGTGTATAGTGAGCTTACTTGGGAAATTAGGAAATTGGTTTTTCTGAGACCGGTAATATTCAAGAGCAGTTGTCCTTGATGAGGTAACTTTGCTTCCAGAAGACATTTGGCAAGTTGGGGTGGGGTTGATACTGGCATCTATAGGGTGGAGGCCAGGGATGCTGCTCAACATCTTACAATGCACAGGACAGGCCCCTACATCAAAGAATTGTCTTGCCTGAAGTGCTGATAGTGCCATGGTTGAGAAATTCTGTTACACCTCCACTGTACTCTAGGTCATCACTCTGGTTACGTTTCTTTGCTCTTGTTCTAAGCAGATGTTTGGGTCCAACTAAAGAGGATAGAATCTGTTATTAAGCTGTTTTTGGTTTGGTTTTGTTTTTGTCATGACTGGTTTTCTCCTAGCCTTGCTTTATCTATTGGCTCATGATAGCCTGAGCGCTGAACTCTATAGGGCTCGGGAACCCCCTCAGTCATTCTTTTATTTTATATGTATATATATATATATATATTTTTTTTTTATTATACTTTAAGTTCTAGGGTACATGTGCATAATGTGCAGGTTTGTTACATATGTATAAATGTACCATGTTGGTGTGCTGCACCCATTAACTCATCATTTACATTAGGTATATCTCCTTAAGCTATCCCTCCCCCCTTCCCCCACCCCACAACAGGCCCTGGTGTGTGATGTTCCCCTTCCTGTGTCTAAGTGTTCTCCTTGTTCAATTCCCACCTATGAGTGAAGTTCATGTCCTTTGTAGGGACATGGATGAAGCTGGAAACCATCATTCTCAGCAAACTATTGCAAGGCCTCTCAGGCATTCTGAGCCATTCTGATCATGTGCTGGGGATCTGCCCTGAGTTGCTCCATTGCTCTGTGCTGGGTTTCCTCTGGACTGGTGTAAGTTGGGCCATTAGAGCCCTTCTACCAGAAAGTTGTGTGAATTGGGATCAGGTCCTACTTAACTCTGTTCTTACTAGCAAACTCAAAGTGGCCCTAGAAGCTCTGAGATTTAGAACATGGGCTAGGAAGCAAATTGCCCATCAGTTAGCACCCCTTCAGTGTTTAAAAATGCTGATGCACACTGATGGGAAAGAGAGAATGTCCGCTATTGTCCCCCACCCCCAAAAGCACTCATGCAATCTTTATGGCTTTCTCAGTCTAGACACTAACATAATAATTCAGAGCTGCCAGAGTATATGGCCTTAGAAAGGCAGCAGATGTCCCACACATTTGCATTTAACTTTACAGTGGGTAATGTCATCTAGAATCATCCTTTGTCTCTAGGTCAAAAGGTTCATTCCATTACTAAAAGCATAACAGATTATGGATTATCTTTCTACTGCTGCTTAAACTTCCCTTCAGAGGAGCCATCCTAAGCTGGGTGGGTTGGTTAAGGTTCCTGATTCTATGACAGTCCTGCTCTGTGAGACGGACTCAGAAGCAGACTGACAGTCCTTGACTTGGTGCCCTTTTTTAAGAAGCCCCTTGCTACCTTTACTTTTCCTGTGACTTGCCTGACTACAAAAAAAAAAAAAAAAAAAAAAAAAAGCCTTCTGCTTAATAAACGTCTGCTTGTAATATTCTGAAACAAGGAGGCTAATCAAAGGCCCTGTTCTGCAGAACAGGGACGCTAAATGACAAGATTAATTTCCGTAATCAAGCAGCTTAATTTGGACAGTTTTTCCCTCTCTGTTGCTGATTGCAATTGAGGCAAATTTCGCTGTGGTGAGATTCTGCCTTTGCCTAGGAAAGCTTACTTACTGGTACTAGAAGAGGGGAGGCAAGGTGAATGTGGTCAGAGAGATGCAGGGAGGTGAGAAGGAGAAGGGCATTATGTGAAGTGAAATGTGAACGAGTGAGCTAGTGCACAAAGTCATGGGAATTTTTCTAGGCCCTCTTATATGAAGTGGTGTGAAGGACTTTATGCAATTGTCCACACAGCGACTACTCACAGTCCTGAAATATTTCCATCAGGAGAATCACAGCACGGTTGTCACTTAGACTCATACAGCCGTGGCAGGTTTGGGCAGAAGGTCACCATAGAAATCGTCTAATCCAACCACCTTTTTTTCATAAAGCATTCTCAAAAACATTAAAGAACTTGCACCCTGTTCATTAACACCAAGCAAAATTTCAAGACGAAATGGCTAAGCAATCTAATGAGATTTGCAGGAAAATAAACAGTAACATTGTGATGGACCTTATGTTTATATAAAGTGTTATAATTTACAAGGCACTGTGAGTAATTTTTTTTTTTTGAGATGGAGTCTTGCCCTGTCATGGCACTTTGAGTAATTTTAAGTGGCAGACTATATTACTCAAATTAGAATTTAAATGGATTTTTTAACCCTTATCTCATATATAAAAATCAAATCAAATGGATTAAAGACTTAAACATAAGACCAGAAACTGTAAAAAATACTAGGGAAAACAATGGGAAAGAGCTTTATAACACTGATTTGGGCAAAGATTTTTTAAAAATATGATCCCCAAAGCATGAGCAACACAAGTAAAAATAGACAAATGGGATTGCATCAAACTAGAGAGTATCTGCACAGCAAAGGAAACAAGCAACAGAGTGAAGAGACAAACCTACAGAATCGGAGAAAATGTTTGCAAATCATACATCTAATAAAGGTTAATATTAAAAATATATAACTCAAGAAACTCAATAGCAAGAAAACTAATAACCTGACTTAAAATGGGCAACAGACCCAAAAAGACATTTCTCAAAGGAAGACATACAAAAAGCCAACAGGTATATGGAAAAATGCTCAACATCACTAATCATCAGGGAAATGCAAATCAGAATCACAATGTGATATCACCTCATAGCTGTCAAAATGGCTATTATGAAAAATACAAGAGATAACAAGTGTTGATGGGGAGATGGATGAGAACATAACTTGCACACCGTGGGTGAGAATGTAAATTATTAAATCATTATGGAAAACAATTTGGAGGTTCCTCAAGAAACTAAGAATAGAATTACCAAATGACCCCAGCAATCCCACTTTTGGGCATCTCAAAGGAAATGCAACCAGTATATCAGAAAAAGCTGACTCCCATGTTCATTGCATCATTATTCACAGTAGCCAAGATATGGAGTCAACCTAAGTGTCCATCAGTTGATGAACACATAAAGAAAATGTGGTGTGTATATACAATGGAATACTATTCAGTCTTAAAAAAGAAGGAAGTTGTGTCATTTACAATAACATGGATGAATCTGGAGGACATTTTGCTAAGTGAAGTAAGCAAGATACAGAAAGACAAACACTGTATGATCTCACTTATATATGAAATCTAAAACCAGTTGAACTCATAGAAGCAGACAATAGGATGGTGGTTACCATTGGGAGTTGAAGGAATTGGGGTATGTTGATCAAAGGATACAAAATTCCAGTTAGACCACGTGAATAAATTCAGGAGATTTACTGTACAAGATGGTGACTATAGTTAATAACAATGTATTATATACTTGAAAATTGTTAAGAGCAGATTTTAAATGTTTTCACCACACAGAAAAATGATAAGTATGTGTGGTAATGTATATGTCAATTAGCTTGATTTAGACATTCCACAATGTAAGCATATATCAAAACATCATGTAGTACACTATAAATACATACAATTTTTATTTGTCATTTAATAAATAAATGCAAATAATTTGAATTCAATATTTGTTGAC
Source organism: Homo sapiens (assembly GCF_000001405.40). Taxonomy (NCBI): domain Eukaryota; kingdom Metazoa; phylum Chordata; class Mammalia; order Primates; family Hominidae; genus Homo; species Homo sapiens. The sequence goes on along the minus strand of NC_000012.12, from coordinate 13,805,566 downwards.
TTTTAATAACATAAATAATAATAGCCTGCCAGCTTATTGTTTCTTAGAAAGATGAAACACCTCCCCATGGGGATTTAAGAATCTTCTTTTTTTCTTGTGCTGTAGTTAGCACTGAAGAACACCACTTTCAAGGAAAAGAACAATACCATCTTGTAGTTTTGGATAACTATTTGAAATTTTGACCTTCAGGCTTTTCTAGATATAACTTTGTTTAGATTATCTTATGCGGATCCATGAACTCTGGTTTCTGCTAGGAAATACGGTGAGGTAGGTTAATCTGTGGGCAAGAAGCTAGGTAGCTATAGGTTTTATTATTAACTTTGTCTTTAACCTCAGTGAGTCATTGCACCTTTCTGCGCTTTGGTTTCTTAATTGTAAAATAGAGATGACTATACAGATCTACTTCACAGAAGAATAACTAATCAATGATTGAAAAGCTCTTTTCAAACATAAAGTACTAAATAAATACTAAAAAATGAAATAAATTGACTTCTAAATAAAATGGGGACAATTAAATCAAGGCTAGACCAGACTGAAACTAATAGTAAAAGCAACAAGGCTTTGTGTATGTCTGTGTATTGCGAATATGACAGGGGAAAACTTAATGACCAGTAAATCCATGAACCCTGGGTTAGCACAGTGAGGTATACATGGATCAAGATGCCACTGTGCACACTAACCCAAGCCCTCAAGAGCAGGATGTTAGAGAAACCTGGTTGGTTCATTTTCCCATTCATTCAAAAAATACTTAGTAAGTGCCTATTATGGGCAAGGCATTATTGCTACAAGACACTCTTCTAGACCTCATGGAGTTTAGAATGTATTGGAGGAGACAAGAAATAACCAAATGTATATAATATAAATCTCTATGAGAAACACGGCAGGAACTGTAAAAACTAAGTGTTATATAGGAAATCAGAAGTTTTAATTAGTGTGACCAGAGAAAGCACACTGGAGAAAATGTTATTTGAATTCTACAGGTTCCCTTGGGCACTGACAAGGCAAAGGGGATGCAGTCAAGGTGGAGGGACCAGGACAACCAAATATGAAAGTGTTATAATTTTTAAAAATGAAGGGGTTCAGATATCTTATGTTTGGATTTGCATTGAACAGATGGAAGAGACAGGACTAAAAATAGATGGGGTTGATCATAGTGAACCCTAAATGATTGTGGAGAACCTAAAAGGCATAAGACTATATGAAAGTAAAAACTTTAGGAATAACAATCTGAAACACTAACAAACCACTGATCTCCCTGGGAAGTGAGAAGAGCAGAGAGTGAAAATCAATTTAATAGAATGTAAGTAATGCAGTGTACGGTGAAAAAAAAAAACAGTCCACAGAGGATTAAATGAGCATTTAAAAGATTTCTTATCTAAAAATAATATCTCACTAACAAAAAAAAAAAAGAGAGCTGCAGAAATGACAAGGTACAGTGAGATCAGAAAGGAGAGGCAAAAGTTGGCAGGTTTATACTTGATCACCCAGGAATGCATATTCTGGTGAAAAGATATAATTTGGCAAGTTCAGAGAAAGACGAAAATGGGTAAATGGTGAATAAAGTACTTAGTGAAGTGGCAATTCATATTGAGAACAATATCATTCTTTGTCCTGTACTTGAAATAGAAACAGAGGGGCATAAAATGGCTGGTTGGGACAAACAGAACTGCAGGCTCACAGGCAGAAAGGCAAATGCCCAACTGGGTTGACTCGCTACATCAGCTCAGACTTGGCTGTGGGTAACCCCTTGTGAATTGTTGTTTCCACATGTGTGTTGCTTCATTTTTGGCTCTCCGTTGTCCCCATCACCTTCCCATCTCACCATAGGGTTTAGGGTATTTTGCTGTGTGTTCAAATAGAACATGAAAGAAGCCTTTTAAAAGTATTTCTGTGCCTATTCACAGTCCCCTAAATTTTATTACAGTTTTTACGTTGGTTTACAGAGTATTTTGGTTTGATTTATATGGAAAACTTCTTTTTTAACATTATAGTAGCATAGATTTTTAAAAAATGAAATTCTAGGAAACAAATATTATAGACTAGTTAGATGGCAAGGAGAACAGGAGTTTTAGAACTAACTTTTAATCTCCATAGGTACTAGTTGTCTGGACTAGCTGAGTCATTTCATCTCAGTAATACTTGGTAGTGCTGTGAATAGCAGATCTTGCATGCACAGAACACAGCCCAGTACCTGGCATGTGACAGGCACTTTATTTTCTGTTAAAGTTAAGTACAGTTGACCCTTGAACAATGTGGGGGTTAGGGGAACCAACCTCCCACACAGTAAAAAATCTGTGTGTAACTTTTGACTCCCCAAAACTTAACTACTAACAGCCTACTGTTTACTGGAAGCCTTGCTGATAACAGAAACAGTCAATTAGCATATATTTTGTATGCTGCATACATTATTATACTGTATCCCTACAATAAAGTAAGCTACTGAAAACAAAATGTTATTAAGAAAATTATAAGGAAGAGAAAATACATTTACTATTCATTAAGTGGAAGTGGATAATCATAGAGGTCTTCATCATGTCATACTCAAATTGAGTAGGCTGAGGAGGAGGAGGAAGAGAAGAGGTCGTTCTTGCTGTTTCAGGAGTGGCAGAAGTGGAAGAAAATCTGTGTGTAAGTGGACCCTGCACAGTTCAAACCTGTGTGTTCCCGAGTTAACTGTATCACTTTAATAATTTTTCTTGTTACAAAAGCAATGCATGAACATTTGAGAAAAACTAGAAGACAAGGAAAAAATTAACCAGATAGTTAATCTCACTAGATAGTAGTTAGCATTCTGAACATCTCTCAATGTGCAATATATAAAACAAAAATAAAGTCATATTGCACATACTGTTTTGTATTAGTCCTTTTCTATTTATGTAAAAAATTTAAATTTATTTGTATTCATATATGATTATCCTTTCCCATCAAGAAACATCTTTCTACATAATTTCTTATGGCTTCATGGAATTCTGCAATTTAACCAATTCTCTATTCAGTATTTTATATTATTTTTAAATTGGGAGATTTTACAAATAATAGAATGATGGACATCCTTGTAGATAAATCTTTTTGTCTATCCTAAATTATTTCTTCAGCATAAATTTTCAGAACTGGACTTACTTGGTCAAATAGTACCAACATCTTGTGGCTTTGAATATTTATTATCAAATTACTCTCCATTAATTTTAAACTAGTATGTGTGTTGATCAATAGTGTATGAGAATATCCACTTCCCCCGCCTTTGCAATATGGAAAAAAAATTTGTGCTTAAATTTCTATTTAGTTGATTTACTAGTGAAGTTGAACTTTTCAAATATACTTATTAGCCACTTGATTTTAATTTTGCCTTTGTGAATAGTATGTTATTCTGGTTGGTATTTTCAAATGGAAGCTGTCTTTTCCCCGTGTCTATCTTCATGATTTCATTTAGTAAAGTATTATTCTTTGTTCACATTTGTTTATTTGGCTAGACTTCAGACTCCTTCAGGGCAGGATTATATGTTATTCTTTTTTGTATCTTGAGCACCCAAGCACGGAAGAAGGACTCAGTAAGCATCTGGTGGGTGCGTGAATGGAGGGGTACCAAACAAACAGAAGGAAGGTTGAACCAAGGTAAGTGTCCCTGTCTGCTCACCCAGACAGTGAAGTCACTGGAGTGTAGGTAACTCGTCTTGTCTAAACCAAGTGTATAGAGCTCAGAGCAGTTCCCAGGGAACAGACTGAAGTGCTTAGTCCAACAAGAGATGGATGACATGTAAGACAGTGAGTAAATGAAGACAGAAATGAGCTGAGTGGTCTCCAAAAGTTCAGATGAAGGCTGAATGCTGGACAGCTCCTTGACACAGGGCTGCTTTTCTTTGGTTCTGTCAAGATTTTTCCTGAGTGACACCTTAGGATCGTTATGTCTGATTTCCTCATTGATCACCTCACCCGGAAGGAATTCTTTGGAGTATCAATCAAGGGTCCTTGCTGTATTTCTTATTGAGAAGGTCATTTTTGTTTGGCCAAGACTTTGTTTTCATATTAGATGGTAAAGCCATTTCTACAGGCCCCACTGGGACAGTACAAGTTTCTCTGTCCTTCTCTGTTCTGGGCCTGTGGTGTTGTACCTCCTAGATGTACTCTCTTGACTTCTTGCTCTCTTTCTTTGAAATTCTTATCTTTTGAGCTCCTAATAGTTGTAGAGAAAGATATAGGGATGAAAAAATGGAAGAAAGGGAATTGACACTAGATAATAAATCATTGATCAGTTTTTTATATAGGGGTCACAAACTGTGATCTGAACATGTGGCAGAGTGTTTTACACAGCCAATGTATGTTTGTAACATTTGCACAATACATTCCACATAGTGCGCTTAATGATCACGTACTGTCCTCGTTATATAGAACTTAATTTTAAGTCAGTATTTACAATCAATAAGTATATGTTGATATGGCAGGTTTTGGTTTATTACAAATTGTACGTATTGTTTGCCTACTGTTCCTGCAGTAGGGACAGACAGTTTTATAAATCTCCGGCGTATTAGGCATTCAACCAGAAACAAAAGAAAGAGAAGATAAATCCCCTTGAGGAATTTATTCTTAATTTGTATAAACTGTTAATACTTGCTGATCTACTACAATCTTCTTTTCAGGTAAATAACATATATAGACCTAGCATCTTACATCATTTATATCATTTTCTTATGTATTTACATCAGAATATAGCATAGCATGACATTTAAGACATCTCTATACAATACAAAGTGAATTTTTGACACGTATTTGGTTAATTAGATCATTGTGAACATCCAAATCATGACGTACATTCATAGTAAATGTGTTAGCCTGTGACATCCAGTTTGGTCCTCCATAGAAGCAAAATTAATCAGGCAATGAAAGACTATTATTTTCACTGTAACAGTATGCTGAACAAGGATGCCATGTTCATTTGTCTCATAATTTCTGTGCTTGTGAGTTCAGAGATGTTGATACTATATGGAAGCCCCAAGGGGTGACAGTTTAGACAATTAATGGAGATTTAAACCGTGGTTAATAACCAAATTTAAGTAAATTTGTGCATGCAGAAAATAATCAGGAGAGACATTAATAACTATGAAGCCACTTTAGCAAAGAGTGATAAAAATGGTCAGGAGTTTGGATAATGTCAGTTAAACTAAGTTTAACAAACACTGTCAGTGAAGAAGAGGCTGGGAGATGAAAATGAATGTGATTGTGCTATACAACTGAGGGAAGATTGTAAATGTTCCAGAGTACCCACAGAGCTTTGATAGGAGAAGGCAAGTAGAGGCTAAGAAACACTATGCCCAAACTTAGCAAAGACACCAGAGACTGGGATGGGTCCTTAACGTCAAAATTGAGCACAGCTGTAGGTTAGTCATCAGGTTCTAAGACTGCTGCACTAGAGAATGGTCTTTAAGGGAATGTGACATAGTCCTCCCATGGGGTGAATTATCAGTGATTCCAGGAGGAAAATGGCACACATCGGTTGGGTTTGAGGGAGCTGCTTTGTGTTCCCATTATTAGAGCTCTTTCTATTCTGGTGCTGATCTTTCATCAACACTGAAGAATGGCTGGTATTGTTCAGTAGAGTCCCCTGGGAGAAATAGAGTACTATGGAGCGGTTTCTTCCAGGCAGGCAGCAAGGTTTTAGGTCTGGCAGATCTTCATATTAGGAGCCTGAGTTCTCTCCCTGCCCTGCCTAGCAGGTTCTCCTGATGCATTCTCTCCCTCACTCTCACCCTGGGTGGCATCCTTAACTTGCCTGTACCCCCTGCCATCTTTTGACAGTCAATTTTTCTCAGAAACAATCCACCATGCTCCTGACCACCCCCAGTCCTCCTTCCCTGCTCCTCCTTTCCCCCCCTCTCTCCTGCTGATTTGTTATTATGTACTGCAGCTGCCCGGAGGATTTTAAATAGACCCATAATGGCACAGCAGTGCCTCTTGGAAGTTTAAATATAACCTTCTTGTTAATCTTGTCTGTGGCGGCAGCAGGAACAGCACCTGGAGAAGGCAATGGGCAAGAGATGCCCTGGGGTTCTACCCTGAGATCAGGTCTAGCAATCTTTCAGGTGTCCTGTGATATGAAAGTATTTGGTCTCAGCCTCATGGGTGACTGTGTCTCAGCCTTAAGTGGATTTGGTGCCAGATTGACAGTCCCTAGAAATGTGAGCACAGTGGAATACAAGGGCGAAAGAGACTGAGGGAACCACAAGGAAAGTTTAAAATTCCTCTCCACCTTCTGCCAAAACATGTCACCCATCCTTTGCCACTCTGAGAGGCAGAATGTGTTTAGTCCTATTTAGCCTTTGGCCCTGTGTGGGGACCTGCAGGGGGAAGGGCTAATTAGTGTCAGTTACATCAGTGGCCATGATTCTTAAGGAGCAGGTGTACAAATAATAAGCACTTCCAAGCCACAAAATAAAGGCCTCAGAACAGCTTCCAGGGGATGCAATGGGTGGTTGCTCTGACCCAGAGCAGTGAAATTGTTCGTGAAGGAAAGATGCCTACAAATTGCAGTCCCAGTACCCAAACTTGTCAGTATTTTCTTGGATTTAACAAATGTCAAACACTAACATTAATTAATTCATTCAATGAATATATGTTGAATACTAGTGGTTGTGGGAAATGTTCTCAGATCAATGGAAGAAAAGAGCAACAGGGAAAGGAGGCACCTTTTTGAATGTAAGGAGGCCTTCAATGCTGGAATGACAGACCCTTCAGAACAGAGATCGTCATGAGGACATGTTCTAAGATCCATCTAGTTTGGTTTTTTTCCTGTTGAAATGTTCTAGAATGAACTGATTGTCCAAGCGTGGGAATAAAAGAGATTAGACATTTAATGAAAAAGAATTTAAATTCTGTGGAGTGTAAAGAAGTATTTTAAATGCTTAGTTTTGGTGGAAGGGATACAGGTGGTGTCATTTGTTATCTTAAGGCAGATTACAATATAAGAGAGGAACCTGAACAAATAATAAATACATATGATAATAAGCATATCAAACATTTTATAGTATATTTTGGGGTATGTTGTATGTTTACATACATAATTCTATATTGTACTCATACTACCCTATATGGTGAACATTGTTATCTTCATTTTATGTAAGAAAAAATTAGCAGAAACTGATTAGATGGTTTATCCAAGGTTAATGAGCTAGTTAGTTGTGGGACCAAGACATCTAACTACAAATATGATTGTGTGTTATTCATAATTGAATCCCTAGGGGCTGGTATGATGCATTGCAACACTGACTTTTTTTTTTTTAGTAAATGAATGAATGATACTATTTCCTTGTTTCATAACTCTACAATCATATGTTCATTTTTAAATAAACACACAAAAGCCATTTCAAACATTTTAGTATTTTAGTAGAGAGGTTACTGAGGAAGGAGAATGGGTCAGGAATGGTTCTAATGGATCCATATAGTTGATCATGGGATACATTCTAGAGTTTTGCTATTCAAAATATGGCCTAAAGGCCAGCAGCATCAATGTTATCTGGGACTTGTTAGAAATACAGAATCTTAGGCTTCAGAATCATAGTTGTGACTTAAAGATTGACTTTGAGCAGGTAGAAAGTCTTCTTACAAACTGAAGTCTGCAAGTGATTATAGGTAGGAGATGTGTGATGGTAGAGAATTAAATATTACTAGAATATCACTGTAATAAGAGCAGAAAGCAAGTGGGTAGAGAAAGGATCACAGAAGGGCTTCTATCCAGCCTGTGCTTTCGTGAGGGAGAACAGCTGAACCATCCAATTTAGACAACACTTTTTTATAAGATTTCTAAGGATAAAGATTATGTAAAGTCTGTTTATAGAGTTTTAAGTCCATCAAACAAGAATATTACCTCCACCTCATAGATCATGAAACTCTTGCTGAATTTTGTTTATTTAATAGCTTTTAATCCTATAAGGAAATGGAGACCAGTTGGTTGTTACATTAGTCAAAACAGTATGTAGTTTCCTACCTATTTGCATGAAAGTAGACCTTTTTGAAAATGGCAAAGCAGGTCCTACCCACATTCTGAGAACCATTAGGGATTCTTCAAAACTATAAGCAGGTCTGATGTGAGTGAAACAGAATAAACCAATCCCTGCCCAAATGGGAACAGATTTCTCTACTTTCCATTATCATTTTAGTAAAAGTGCAACTTATAGTATTTGCTATTGTCTGAATGTTTGTGGCCCCTCAAAATTCATATGTTGAAATCCTAACCCCCAAGGTGATGATGTATTAGGGGGTGGGGAATTTGGGAGGTGATTAGGTCATGGGGGCAGAGTCTTCATGAGTGGGACCTTATAAAACAGACCCAAGAGAGAACTTTTGCCCCTTCCATCATGTGAGGAAGGCATCATCTGTAAACCAGGAAATGGGCTCTCATAAGACATTGATTCTGCTAGTATTTTGATCTTGGACTTCCAAGCCTCCAGAACTGTGAGAAATAAATTTCTGTTCCTTGTAAGTTACCCAGTCAATGGGTATTTTGTTATAGCAGCTTGAATGGACTAAAACAGTATTTTTAATCATCTATTTATTTCTTTGAGTGAGAAATACAAAAGCTGGATAATTTAGCCTCCTTTAAGGACTCACAATCTAAATAGATAGAGGTAGAGGAATCATATTGTTTGTCAAATAAAATCTTTGAGGTGAGAATGAACAAGGCAGGCATGACAGGTAATTAGGAAAACTAGGATCTGGTACCAATTTTGCCACCGAATTTGTGTTCTTAGAAAACATCTAATTTCTTTAGGTCTCAATTTCCCATCTGTCAAAATGAGAAGTTTGGATTGGATGGACTTTCAGGTCTTTCAGTTCATGCTCCCAAGCCTGCAGGGGAATGGCAGATCAAGTGTTAGAGTGATGGATGGAGAGGTTTCGCTGGCCAGATGGAAGACACTAGATATGCAGCATAAAGTCTGTTTATCTCACAAAGGTTTTTTAAATGAGTTGATCATTGTCTTTTTCCTTTATAAGATGGTTTAATATTTGCATCACTCATTGTCTGCTTTCAAGGTTAATGGACATTTCCATTTCAAATGGCCCTAAAAGCTTCTCTGAATTGGGGAAAGGCTTGTCTGGTGATTTGTAAACCCAAGCTATAGTTGATCATGCCTGTGCCTTGCGGTCCCAATTATGCTGCCCTCTGGCCTTCTTCCCCCTGACTCACAAAGTGAGACTAAAAAGAAAGATATCCAAGGAGTCTGGCTGATGACCCAGTTGGAGCCTCAGAGACTGGGGTTGGGGCCCAAAATCAGAGGGTCTGATCCTCAGCTTTGTGGGTCTGCAATTGGTCAAGTTTTCAGGAGAGGCCATATTTTACAACATTAAAAATGTGTGGTGTTCTCCAAAAACCTTCTACATTTTCGTTTATGCTTCTTTGGTTATATCAGAAACGGATGTTCCATTCATAGCCAATGTGTGTTGAACTCTTATTGCATACCATACACTGGAAAGCTGTTTCTTTTTTTTTTTTTTTAATTATACTTTAAGTTCTAGGGTACATGTGTACAACGTGCAGGTTTGTTACATATGTATATATGTGCTGTGTTGGTTTGCTTCACCCATTAACTCGTCATTTACATTAGGTTTTTCTCCTAATGTTATCCCTCCCCCATCCCCTCACCCCACGACAGGCCCTGGTGTGTGATGTTCCCCGCCCTTTGTCCACGTGTTCTCATTGTTCAATTCCCACCTATGAGTTAGAACACGTGATGTTTGGTTTTCTGTCCTTGTGATAGTTTGCTCAGAATGATGGTTTCCAGCTTCATCCATGTCCCTACAAAGGACGTGAACTCATCCTTTTTTATGACTGCATAGTATTCCATGGTGTATATGCGCCACATTTTCTTAATCCAGGCTATCATTGACGGACATTTGGGTTGGTTCCAAGTCTTTGCTATTGTGAACAGTGCTGCAATAAACATACATATGCACGTGTCTTTATGTAGTGTGATTTATAATCCTTTGGGTGTATACCCAGTAATGGGATCGCTGGGTCAAATGGTATTTCTATGCATTAGCTAGTTGAATTCTTACAACATATGCAACAATAAAATTATGCATTATCAATATGCCCATCTTACAGGTGAGAAAACGGAAGTTCAGAGTTAAGCCAAGCAGCATAGTGAAAGTGCATGGCAAGATCAAATTCAGTTCTTCCAATTGTAAAACGTTTTTTTTTTTCGCCACTGCATCAACCTGAGTTCCTTCTCTAGAAAAGATCTCAGCCATGTTTTAATAACTGCCTTCTTATATCTACCTTGCCACCTAAAATTTAGATACCCTGATGTGTTAACTTTTTTTCTATCTTATAGTATTAACTCAGTTAGCTTATTATCCACTAAATGTTGTTAGATATTTTTTCTCTACCCAATATAGATGGACACAGCTTATTTTTACTAAGCTCATTTGTTCTTGTTAAACTTTTCTTGTTTGGTTCTAATTATGTCATGATTATGTATCCTAGTCATTCTGAATTCTCATGAGTGAGCAGAGCTGGGCTTTAATTGCTCCTTTAAGTCTCAAAACATCAGAATGGCCCAAAGAATCATAGGGCTCTGGCCTTATCCAGCCATCCCAGGAGCTGGCTCTAGGCATGTGGCAGCTCCTCTCATGGTGAGGCTTGCTGGCAATAGAAAAGTGGAACTGAATTTCAGCACACACCTGCAGTGCAGTCTGGCTTCGATGCCCAGGACAATGAGGTAGCTTGGTGTCCATCTGGACTCACTGATCACCTCCTGGGAGGACAAAACCTGAATTAGATTGTCATGGCTGAACAGAAAGGGGCATTGTGCATTCTGAGGCTTGGCGAGTAGAGAAGCACTTGCCAGCATTTTGCTGAGTTATATCTTCCCATTCCATGGCTAACGTTATTTATTTTTAGTCTCATTTCTTCTGATTACTCAATTGACTTGAACATGAGAAAAATGATGGCTCTATCAGACAACTGTAGAGGGATTTCTTGCTGGAGACATATTGATGTAAAACTATTTTATTTTCTTGGATGCCACTGGATCTTTGTGACCTCTTGGGTATTTCGGGTCCGGGGGGGAGGTTAGTGGGGAGTGGTTCACAGTAATGGAAGTAGCTGAGGCATGATAGTGTGTTCTGGTGATAGCTCATTCTAGTTGGACATTTAATTTAGTAGAGCAGTGCCTTTGCAAATGCATTGAAATGGATCTGCTGCTGGAGAATACTGGCATCTTGCCATAGGAATGGAGGTGGTTCTGACTTAAGAATGTAGACGTGGGGAAACTACTCTGCTTTCCTTTGCTTTAACTTTTCTTATGCTTTCTTTTTCTTGATTTTTCTTTTTCTTTTTTTCTTTTCTTTTTCTTTTTTTTTTTTTTTTGAGACAGAGTCTCACACTATTGCCCAGGCTGCAGTGGTGCAATGAAGTGATCTCAACTCACTACAACCTCCACCTCCCAAGCTCAAGCGATCCTCCTGTCTCAGCCTCCCACAGGCACATGTTACGACACCTGGATAATTTTTGTATTTTTTTTTTTTTTTTTTTTTTTGTAGAGATGGGATTTTGCCATGTTGCCCAGGCTGGTCTCTAACTCCTGAGCTTAAGCAATCTGCCTGTCTTGGCCTCCCAAAGTGCTGGGATTACAGGTGTGAGCCACTGCACTAGGCCCTTTTTATCCACTTCCATGAAGGACTTGAAGACACAGATTTTAAAGGATTTAAAAACCTAACCCTCTCCCACTTCCTTCTTCCAAAAAGTCTGATTTTGAAGATATGACTTACTGATTGTGCTCAGAGGCTAAGACAGAGTGTGAAGAATCCCCCTGGAACACACCATTCAGATAAGGGGTCAAAATATGGAGAAAGCAGCTGGAATAGCAATAGCCAGAAAGGCCTTTCTAAACTGTAACCAGTGGGAAAAGTGCTAAGGATAGGTTACTAGAGCCCCTTGGGAACTGATGAGGAGTGGATTCGAATTAGGAATCATAGGCCAAAGAAAAGTAGGAGAAAAACAGAATCACAATTGGCATGGCCATTAGGGCTGATGACTTCATTCTGTTCAGAAAGGAGGAAGGGTACTGAACACATCTTTGGTTAGAGGATAAGCACATCCTGAAATTTTCTTGAGAACTAAGGATTTGTGAGTTGAATAACGTTTTTTTTTTTTTGAGACAGAGTCTCACTTTGTTGCCCAGGTTGGAGTGCAGTGGCACAATCTCAGCTCACTGCAACCTCCGCCTCTGAGGTTCAAGAGATTCTCAAGCTTCAGCCTCCCGAGTAGATGGGACTATAGGTATGCACCACCACTCCTGGCTAATTTTTGGATCTTTAGTAGAGACTGGGTTTCACCATGTTGGCCAGGCTGGTCTCGAGCTCCTGGCCTCGAGCTCCTGGCCTCATGCCATCTGCTCGCCTCGGCCTCCCAAAGTGCTGGGATTACAGGCGTGAGCCACTGTGCCTGCCCTGAGTTGAATAACTTTATCCAGCACATTCAGACTTGCTTTGGGGTTCATCTGAATTACAGACGTGACAAATGCAGTTGGAAATATTACAAGTAACACAGACTTCCCCAGGCTGCACCACTTTGTGATTGTATAATATTACTAAGAGTCCAGATCTCATTGATTCTTGCTTCTTCCTACTCATTTAAGACCACAATCCTCCACAAAATCACTATTCCCTGATGTGCTGTGGGGAGTTCTCAGGAGGGCCTATTACAGATTCACAGACAGTTCAGGTGCAATATCTGCTGAGAATGCCTGCCACTTTTTGTGTGTTTCCTGGTTTTTCCTGGGTGCTGCCAATGTTTCCTGTTCTAATTGCAGTGGGGACCACTATATGTGTTAGGCATGGCTGCTGCTTCTGTCAGGTGCCACAGCATCTGCCTTGCACCATGGCCTCTTTCAGACCCTGCGGTCTTCTTCCATTGAGAGCACAGACCCCTGTGGATACTAGTTTCCCACTAGTCACCTTCCTCAGGGAGCCTGAAGCCTTCATGAAGTTAAAGCTTCAACAGGGTCTGGGGTGAAGTATTTGAGAGAGATTCTTATCCCCAATTATGTTAGGCACCAAAGCTGGATGGTCATGTCACAATATCTCCTAAAGGTTTTAATGAAAAAGCTCCTTTGGTTTTTACTTACATCTTCTCCTTTCTTATTCCCTGAGGACCCACAGGCCAGGCTGGGAGAGCTTCAAGGGATAGCCATCATGGTGGTTTCTAAACCGCTTCTCTCATCCTATGACTATAGCTCTGTTAATTGATTGAGCTTGTTTGATTCCTTCCTTTCCTTTAAGTAAGTTCTCCTCTAGGGAGCTCCTCTGTTTCTCATGAAAATAGACTTCTGCAGAGCCCATCCCTTTAGTTTCTTAGACATGCCCAAGCACTCAAAATGCTGGCACTGGCTTAAGCTGGGGCATGCCCTTCATAGGTCCAAGGCCAATGGCCAGTGGCTGCCCTTGAGATGCTGCCATCAGTCACGGCAGACATTTGAGGCTTATGTTAAGTGAAACAACGAAGCACAGAAAGACGAATATGGCGTGTTCTCATCCATCTATGGGAGCTAAAAAGTGGATTTCATGAAGCTAGAGAATAGATTAGTTGTGACCAGAGGCCGGGAAGGGTAGGGGAGAGGGAGTACAAAGAGAAGATAATTATTGGGTACAAATATCTAATTAAAAAGAAGAAATGAGACCTGATGTTCGATAGATCAGCAGGGTGACTACGGTTAACACTAACCATTTGCAGATTTCAAAATAACTACAAGAGAATAATTCAAATGTTCTTAGCTTAAAGAAGAGATAAATATTAAATGTGATGGATACACTAATTACCTTGATTTCATTATATGAATGTATCACCTGTACCCTTAAAATATGTACATATAATACATATTAATAAAGAATTATTTAGTTAATTTAAAAAATTCCTACCTCATAAGGCTATTGAGAAAGTGAAAAAGCTAATAGAGGTGTTTATTCATGTGGTTAACTCAGAATATTGTAGGAAAATTATAGGTACCCCAATAAGAAACAGAGTGCAACATACTGTCCATGGTGCATTCTGTGGTTCTTTCTGTCATTAAAAATTCTGTAAGCCTTTCACATGACATGGAATTTTTTTTTTTTATTTTTTTTTTTGAGACAGAGTCTCGCTCTGTCACCCAGGCTGGAGTGCAGTGGCGCAATCTCGGCTCACTGCAAGCTCCGCCTCCCGGGTTCATGCCATTCTCCTGCCTCAGCCTCTCCGAGTAGCTGGGCTACAGGCGCCCGCCACCACACCCAGTTAATTTTTTTGTATTTTTAGTAGAGACGGGGTTTCACCATGGTCTCGATCTCCTGACCTCATGATCCGCCCGCCTTTGCCTCCCAAAGTGCTGGGATTACAAGTGTGAGCCACCGCGCCTCGCCAGGACATGGAATGTTAACCCTGCTGTCATAAACATATTCTACTTCAGCTCCTTAATTCTCTGTGTACTGTCATTTTTTTCTGTAGCTATGATATTATGACCTATGCTGAATTAGGTGAAGGCCACCCTGAGGGCTGCCCCAAGCCACCTTCTCCTTTCCCTGATGCCAAGCACAGGCTGTGACCCCTGTGTCCCTTCTGGACCCTAGTTCTGTGTCTGCAGGGAAGGGTTCCAGCCTCGTCACTCCCACTGGAACAGCAGCCTCTGGACTTGTTCTGCTTCTCACTCTTGGCCCCGCTCTCTGGGTCCTTATTTCAACCTCAATCTTGCCCAAACCAAACTGCCTTCCTTAGGTCTTGCTTTCAGTCCTGGCATAGGTCCTCATAATGGTCCTAATTTCACTTTAACAGCTTCATCAACAAGAGTGGGCCTCCTTTCTAAGTCTGAAGTTCCTACTGTGTATTTTATAAAATCACTACTCAGCACCAATGAACAGTGACCATGCCCCTTCAAACCAACTGAAAGAAAAGAAGTGATTCTCCACAGAGGATTCATGGGAGATGACTATTATAAAATGCAATTACCCCAAAAGTTATGGAAAATATAATGAGGGACCTCGGCAGACCTCATGTCACTGTGTTTAACTTGTACATATCTATTTGGGTCTCTCAAAAGGGGAAGTGAAAACATTTTCATCTGGGTCAGGTGGATTTATGATTAGGGAACAATGTTTTTAAAAATTAAGCTTCTTTGTTTCTATTAAATGTGTCTACACATTCAAGGAAAGTAAAGATAATAAGAGAGGTGACTCAGATTGGAAGGGTTTGGGGATGTGTGGGACAGGAAAGTCTGAAGAGCCAGGATGGGAGGGGATGAGAGGACACAGGAGAGTGGAAGGTCAGTGCAGAAAGATGGGGTGCTGTGAAGGAGGGAGGTTCCTGCAGTGATATTGAAAGAGGGACCAAGGTCCTGCAGGCCGAAGGCTTAGAGATTTACTACAGAGGGGCTGCGTCTGTGATGGATAGGCAGATGGAGGCCAGGAGAGGAGAGGATTAATCCAGGCCTGTACTGAAGGATATTTGCATCCCTCAGTTCCATGGGAGATCAGAACTGAGAAAGTGAGCAGTTGTCTCAAAGGAGGAGGATTTCTCAGCTCATACCTCAAGTATCAGGGGCTATGTAGGAAGAGTAAGGATGCTTTCAACTCATGCCAAGCTAAGTAACGTAAAAATCTACTTCCAATTCACCTCACCTCTATGGTCATGCATGTTCTGGGGCCCTTGCACATTTTAGTAAAGACGCTAGAGGAGCAAAAGATTGCTTCTGCCACTCACAGTGTCTCCCAATTTTACTTCTGGGTGATAGTAACAGCAAGTTAATTTCAATTGATATCAGTGGTTATGGGGGACTCTGCAAGACATTCTATTTAATTAGGTTTTCTTAAAAAAATAGCAAGTAACATATATTGAGCACTTACTTATACTCCTCACTTTACCCAACTCTGATGCATAGCCCTGAATCGCTTAATCCTTCCAACAATTCTTACATGAGCATAATTATTATCACCAGTTTATAGCTGAAAAAACTAAGGCTAGTAGTGCTTAGATAATTTCTCCAAATATTCAGAGCGACTAAAAAAAAACTGATCTTGGACTGACAGTTCTTACACTAGGGTATTTGCCATCAAAATAGTCTTCCTTTTAGGGTCTCTTGTGATTTAAGGAAAACTTGCCCAGGGGATGCAGGGGAGTGGGGCATCCTAAACTAGAAACATCCTTTTCCCTCATCCAAGTCCTTTAAGCTGCAGCCATCTTCTGAAACCTTTTTGCTGGAATGTGGAAGGCACATGCACTTAGTTTAATGGTAACATGCTTTTGCAGTTATTGCCTCTTAAGATCTCAGTTGTTAATGGGATACCATTATTGCACCGTTGCCAGTGGTTTTTCATTTTATTCTGATACTCTGGCATGGATCCTACAGAGGCTGTTGTTGAATATAAGAGTTTATAACCTCTGACATGCAAGTCTATGGATAAAACATGATTTGACTGTTTTAAAAACATTCTCTCTTGTTTAATGAGGTTTTTAAGTGTGTATAGGAAAAAAAACAACAACCAGGACTCTTTAAGAAGCCTTTGGCAAGAAGCTCCAGAGGTTTAGCTAGAGCTGACTTGAAATGTGGTGACCAGCCATTAATCGGATGGTCAGCAAATTAAGTGAGTTCGACATTTGCCGGAGCTTTGTATCTCCATTGCCAGTTTCATGTTCCACTTGCTTGCAGTCAGCCAGTGCAGAGGGAAGGTAATGATGCTCAGGCCAAGGCAGGTCTTCCTTGGAGAAAAAGGGAAGTGGTCTCTCCTAGCAGCAAAGATAGTTCTAGCAAAGTCCCCAGAGTTCAAAGGGAGATGCTTGGGCTGAAACTTAACACCTTCCCTCAGCAAAACAATCATTTTGGCTGCAAGCAGGTTTAACTGTCACATGAAACATCAATACACAGAAATTAAGGGTTCCTCGAAAAGGAAAGAAGGGAAACCAAAGTTTATATAAGAGGCACGTGAAATTGTTTTCCCAGTGGGCACCAGGTGATTTCTGTGTCTAAGTAACAGGAAACCACTTAATTTTTCCTTCCCTTGGTAACCTCATTTTTAAAACGAGGTTGGGTGGCTGACTTCCAAGGCTCTCTTGTGAGCAAGCATTCTATGGTTCTAGCAAATGCTTGGTAAGAGTTGAATATATTAATAAGGTCTTTATGCCTAGATTTTTATAATTTTTCTCTGATTGACAGTATCAGTAATGGTTATAATCAGTAGAAATGAGAGAAATGTGTTATTTTAATGGTTATATTTGCTGGAAACTTAGTCCATTCTGTTGAATACTATATGTGTTCCCTATAGTGGCCCTTCTAATGTTCTGAGAGTCCAGTTCTGTCCCCGCAATTCAACATCTTTTCTTTGGAACAAAGTGGAAAGCTTCATCACACATAATCTCTCTTCTAATATCTACCTGACTTTGGGAGAAAAATTATATATTTAGACCTCTCCCACTTGAGCCTCCCTCTACCTGCCACATAAGCTATTCAGATGGAACCTGATATTTTATCCTTCCTTCCTCTTCCCTTGCCTCTGAGATGACAGGATATCAGTCCCAAAAGGTCTTAAGGTTCACGAGGGCTCCATTGGCTTATGCCCCAGAGAGGCGTGGGGCTGCTATGAAGAATCTTCCTGGTGTATTTGAGATAAGTTGGTATTTGCAGGCTGGTCTGGGGTTGCAATCCCCATTTATTACATTGGATCAATGGGAGAATGCTTTTGGATTTCTAAATAACTAGCTTAAGGATGAATTTTTGGAATGTGATGTATTTATGGATTGGGGATTGATCAGCCTAATCAGTGAGATGAAGAAGTTGGGATCTTTATTCTTAAAAATGTAGGTTCCATGAAAGATGGCTCCCACTGGCCTAAATTGTATCTTCACAATTGTCTCTGAGTTTGTTACATGGATTGGAATCTTAGTTACAGGCTTAAACGACCATAATAGGATGTATGAAATCCTTAGATAATTTGCATATTTTCTGAACACTTAAATTCCTTGCTTTTTTTCTTCCGCCCATGAGATCTTTTTCTAGCTGAATTGGCAAATCTTTGTGTTTCAGTTCTCTGGTACGGCTTGCCCTTTTGCAGAAGTGCTAATAAGCTATAACATTGCACAGGGAGAGGCGCTGGGGGTTAAGTCACCTGAAATAATGCAGATGTTTCTGGCAGGTATAGTCCTAGAATTTGAATAGTACTTTTTCTATTTCAGACCATTGGTAGCAGCCAAGTCCCATTGTACTTGCCATTTCCTTTCTGTCTCCTAGACTATATGAAATAGAATCTTCACCTTTTCTGATGATACGTGTCCGATAAGCAATGAATGGCTGAAGAGTTGGGGAATTCCACTGAAGTTCATCTTCTTTTATGCAGGGGCTTCTCATAGACTTAAGACAGCTTTTCAAATAATATTCAGTGGCCACTTCTCCTAGCCTAGGTTAGACATGATCCTGCATTTCATCTAGTTAACAGTTATGCCTATTTTAATAGGCCTTAAGAAAAAACAATTTTAAAAAGATATTTCTTAGATGAATTGTGGTTTTGGGAGGTAGAAGCTGAACAGAAAGCAGCAGGTAAGAACTGTCTATCAAAGGTTCCTTGGAGGAGGTGGATCGTGCTACATACTTTTTTTTTTTCTCCTTTGAAGCCTGTATTTATTGTCCCTCCTTTGTGCAGAGTCTCAAACCGGGAGGACTAGGCACTCTTGAACGGGCCCTTTTACCTGCTCCCTCCCAGCCCCCACCTGCAGCGCAGCCTGCATGGACAAAGAAAGGGAGTGGACAACAGGCACAGCGGCAAAACAAGCTGTGTCAGTTTCCCTTTCTTCCCCTTTGAGTTTGTAAAAGAGCTATTTCCAAGCTTACATGGTTCACCTGGGTTTCAATTCAATCAGGGATTTTTTCTTTTCCTTTTTTTTTTCCCCTCAGCCCTGATACCTGTGGGAAAAATCTGGTATATTCCTGGTTCACCAGGCCTTTCTCAGCCCCTAGCCTCCGGACCCTGATCACCACGGCCAATGGCAGGTCTGCTTTCTTAAGTATGTAAGTGTGTCCGCCAGGACTCAGGACTGCCTTGGTTGACATTTTATGTAATTAAAATGGCGTGCAGTTCTTGAAAAGCAAATAAGTTCAGCTATGTGGCACTCTTTGAGAGACAAGTGCATAAAGTAGGATAGAATGAGAATGAGATTAACATGTTTAAGGCATCGGTGGTCCCAGCAAAATTGAATACAATTGGGTATATAGGACATTTAGTTCAGTTGTATATTAACAGGGTTACTGGGTGGAATTTTTCTGACATTTGAATCAAATTAAACCCCAAATTATTTTAATTTGGTTTTAGGCTTAATTTCTCCCTCTAGCCTTGGGACCCTTTGCTGAATAACTATGGATGATTAAAGCAGTAGGAGAAAATGAAATGTACCTGCTTAGTTTAGTCGAGGCGTTCTTTACTGAAAAAGTGGGCAAAGGCAAAACTCTCAAGCTTTACTGGAGAGACCAGTCAGCAATTATCCTTTCCTGGGCAGCAGAAAATTAGCATAAGATTGAGGGAATCAAAATATTTTGATTCATGATGTAGTACTGCTGGTGACTCTGTGACCTTGGGCAAGTCATTTAACTACTTTGTGGCCTAGTTTAGTTTATTTCCATAAATATGGAAAGTTCAAATGAAAACATTACTTAACACAGCACACTGGCTCCTAGAGTCTTAGATTCAAATTTTAGCTCTGCCTCTTAGTAGATATTTGACAACGGATTAACATTTTGAGTCTCAGTTGCCCATATATTACATATGGAAAATAGTAATCATAACTATTTTGTTATCTGTTGCTATATTTGTTACATCACAAGATTGATGTGATGATTAAAAGAGAATGCACATAGAGTGCTTAGCAGAGTGATAGCTCATAGTACACACTTAATATTGTCGTTGGTGTTATTACATTCTTTTCATTACATGAAGATACAGTGGAGAATTAGGATACCTTTTTAGAATTGGAGGCTTTGAATGAGACTTTGGTGAGTGATTGCAAGCACATGAAACAAGCTGAATAAAAATATGAAGGTGAGAGAGTAGGAGACATGCTTGGTAAAGGGTGGAGGCAGACTGGGGTGGCTGGGACATAAGGCATGTGGGAGTTGTGGTGTGAGACCAGCCTGGAAAAGGGTGTTTGGGCAAAAATGTCAGAGATGGAATTGGCCATCTGAGTAGTTCACACTTCATTCTGTACGTGATAGGAAAGGTCTAAACTTTTTAAGGAGGGGAGTGATATGATCACACCCATGTTTTATCAAGATAACCCTTACATATTATGCAGATGGGGTTAAAACAAGGATGGATGCCAGGGGAACATCTAGGGACTGATTTTAATGGAAAAATTAAGAAATAAATGAGGAATTTATTAAGTAGTAGCAAGTAGTGGGAACAGGGAAATGACACATGCAGACATGTTATAATTGAATTAATGATAAGGATTCCTTTGGCTTTTTCTTTTGAATTGAATTGCGAAGCTAAAACAGATCATAAACATTTAAAAACAAGGTTAGTAATGAAGAACATAAAACATAAAAGCAACATTTTGTGGGGTGTGTTAGTTTGCTATTGTTATATAATGAAATATACAAAACTTACTGGCTTAAAATAACAACCATGTCTCGTTTCTCATAAGGTTAGCAGTCAACTGGATAGTTCCTCTAGTCTCAACTGGACTCACTCCTGCATCTGTGGTCAGCTTTGGTTGGTAGGCTTCTTTGCTCATCCTGCTTGGGTTGCCCCATGTTTCAGTGTTGGCTGGTTACAGGCTGGTCCAGGATAACCTCAGTTGGGACAGCTGGGCTCTTAGCCATGTGGTCTCTCATCTTCCAGCAGGCTAGCCAGACTTATTCTCCTATCATGGCAGGCTTCCAAGGGAGAAAGCAGAAGTATGCAAAGCCTCTGGAGGCCTAAGCTGGGAACTAGCACAGTGACACTTCTATCACATCATATTGGCCAAGATGAGTCTTTAGGCCAGCTCATTTCAAGGGGGCAGGGGGGTGGAAATTGACTATAGCTCTCAATGGGGAGACAGCGAAGTCACATTGCAAAAAGGTGGACACAGGGAGGCCATCATTAGTGGGACAGCTATCACCTGGGGACAGTTGAAATTCTGTCACCTGGGGACAGCTCAAATTGTCATGTGGGGACTCCTCAAATTGAGCTATTGTGCCCACATAACAAATACTTATTCAGCACTTGCCGTATTTTAGTCACTCCTCTAGGTTGTTCCTGACTTCAGGAAGCTTCCTATTTAGCAGGGAGACAGACACCTACATAGATAGCTATGACAGCAAAGGGATTTTTTTTTTTTTTTTTTTTTTTTTTTTTTTTTTTTGAGGCGAAGTCTCACTCTGTTGCCCAGGCTGGAGTGCAGTGGCGCGATCTTGGCTCACTGCAAGCTCCGCCTCCCAGGTTCACGCCATTCTCCTGCCTCAGCCTCCTGAATAGCTGGGACTACAGGTGCCTGCCACCATGCCCGGCTAATTTTTTGTAGTTTTTAGTAGAGACGGGGTTTCACCATGTTAGTCAGGATGGTCTCGATCTCCTGAACTCGTGATCCACCCGCCTTGGCCTCCCAAAGTGCTGGGATTACAGGCATGAGCCACCGCGCCCGGCCGGGATATGTTTTTTTATTAGGTATACATTCAATTTTGCCTTTCCCTGACCTGCTAAGGTGCAAATTCTGAAAACACTGAACTCTCAGGCTCAGCCTCTTCTAGTTCCTCAGCTAATCTACACCAAGTCTGGCCAGCAGGTAGATTGTAGAGTTCTGCTGCTTGGAGCAGGCCTCTTTGTCTATTTAAAAGAATTTCATCACACTCTTTTCCTCTGATCATTTGACATTCCTTTTCCTTCATTACAATGAAACATACTTTTATCCCGTTGAAGAGCCCAGAGACCTTCATCAATTTCTCTGGGTATTCACAGACTTCAGTCAGCTCTCTTTGTCCATGTGCCCCAGATTCTTATGCCAAGATCATCGCGTCTTATTACTGCAGTATTTTAGCTTTTGAAATATGTCTCTGTTAACACCCACCTAACTCTGCCTATTGCTTGGAACAAAGGTGGCATTTCACCCTGCTGCCTATCTGTGGTTTTCAAAAAACAAAACAAAACAAAACAAAACCTATTTCCGTTACCAATTCTCTTGTCCTATATTTTGGAGATCAAAGAATGTCTGTAACTCATTACATAGGGAATCCTGTTGCCTATAAGCGGAAAGTAGATGTTGTACATGAAATCACTAACTTACTCTTTTCTTTATCCCTGGTGTGTGAGGTGTTTTATTTTTGTGTGTGTGTGTGTTTGTCTTTTCAGTGTCCTGCCCCTTGGTGATTGGGGTGCGAAAGAGATGAATTCATCTGGAAGAGAGTTGAATGAATTTTCAGTAAAGACATTGAGTAAAGTGAAGTTTTTGCTATTTTTTGGTAGTGTATTATAAAATTGACCTTTATATTATTTAAATTTGACATTAAGTGTATAAATTATAGTTTTTTAATACTAACATTTAAAACATTTCCCAGTCTTTGGAAAGTCTAGGTTTTTTGGGGGGAAGGACAGTGACTTTAAGTCACTGGCATCCTCTAAATGTGGAAGAGCTCCAGGTGTTTACACAGTGTATCCCCATTCCCATGAAGACTAGATAGATCCATTTTCCCCATCTGCATAGGCTAGTGGGTGGACTCTTTCCATATCTGTACTTTCAGAGTCCCTGGCCCACTGCTGGGCTGCAGCTTTGACCTTTGGTGCAGAGGTAAGATGAGGCAAGGAGTGTGATGGGGAGATAAAAATATGTGGGTGAGCTGGGTCTAGAGCAAAGAGCCTCTCAAAGTTTGATTCGCCTGAGTGAAAGACAGCTTAAGAAGGATGAACATAGCAGAACTATAAAGTAGTGAGAGTTATATTCTCAAATCTGCAAGAAACATGTCTCATTACATTACTGTCAGAAGGAGAACCATGTTGAATCATTGATCTTAAAACAAGAGCTGAGAGATAATCTAGAATTCTTTCTGTATTTTATTGTAGTTTCAACTCAAAGACAAGCATGGTATCTTACAATCTGGGAAATTTGTCCCTTGAGAAGAGCAAAAGTATATTACTGTTCTTAACCTCAGTGGCAAAGATCATCTGGATATTAAAGAGGAAGATTTGCTCACAAGCTGCTGAGAAATGTTGAGAGTCACAGAAGCCTGGTCTTGGGCTGTTAGCAGAAGAGAGATATATATATAAAGAGAGAGGGAGCGGGGAGAGAGAGAGAGAGTGTGTGTGTGTGTGTATTCTGAGTGGCCACCTTTTTTCCTTTCCCCTGTGTGACCCCCATTGTCAGGAGAACTGAAAACTCTTCATTTTTCTCTGTAGCCTTCCTGCTGACTGACATATGCTTTCTAATTATGGAAAAAGTGAAGCCTATAACATCAACTTGAATAAATTCAGACACCGTTTTACGTTCAACCTCACTAGCTCAAAGTCTAGCCCATAACTCTGTTGACATAATTGATCTACAGACACAGAAGAGCTAAGGTTTGTCTCTAGTAATCACACACATACTCTGTGATGGGGCTATGTGTATGTAATGACCTCACATTCATGTTATCATGTCAGACAGAACTGACTCAATTTGCTTATATTTTACTACATAAATACCATATTAAGAGTCTTAGAAGGAACCTTAAGGGTCATTTAGTTCAACATCTCACTGAGTGAAGGAATCCCTGACAGCTGACCCCGTGACTCCTTTTCTTCGAACATTTCTTGTGGCAGAGAACTCACCTGGATCATGAGGAGAATCCATTCCATTCAGATTGCAAGAGATTTTCCTTATACTGAGACAAAAATCTACTGTGCTATAATTGGCATTTTTAGGGTCATATTCTACTCTTTGGAGTTACTTTTAACAATTTTTTCATGTGATTGCCTCTGGGTGCATTATACATCTCAGGCAGTGTCTGAGTATTTTCTTCTTCAAACTAAGCAGCTTAAATTTCTTTAGCTGGCTTTCAAATTAAATGATTTTTTAGATATTTCATGCTGGAAACTTGATCAAGCTACCAATGATCAGTTTATCAGTGTATCAGTGTGTTCCACTTACAGTCAAGTACAATAGAATTATCATCTCCCTTGTTTGGTATGCTATCTTTTTATTAAAGTAGTTTAAGATCATATTAGCTGTTTGACAGCCGGGTTTCCCAAATTTACAATAATCTAATATCCAAAGTAAGCCAAACATTCTCATGTGTTCTTTATGAAGTTGGTTTCACATTTAACCCAGACGAATATCATTTGATTATGTTGATCTCAACTTTCGTGCCTACCCATGTATTTTTGAAGTTTGATTCTTGCCAACTGACACCTTCATTATTCTTTCTACCATCTGGCCATGTGCATATTTTTAAAATTAGTATAAATATTCTTCCCCAAGTTATTGATTAAAATGCTGAATAAAACAGGACTCAGTAAGTTTCCTTTGGTTATCTATCAGGGATCTCTCTCCATGTTATTTTTTTATTTTTTCTACCAGAACTACATAAGGAACTTTGTTGAGTGTCCTGCTGGAATATTGGTCTACATCTGTGATCAGAAAATATTTCTCCTTAAGAAAAATAAAATATAGTTTCATACTACATCTATAAAATTTATTCCATTTTTTTCCCTTTTTTGCAAGTTTTATAAACCATGCCACTTAACTATGCAAACATCTCTGTAAAGGCTTTTTTTTTTTTTTTTGGCAAAACCTGCCCTTACAATACCTTTTCTGGGCCTTGAAAAGAATCCATTTTTTTCTCCACAAGTAATGTCATACTATCTAGTTCTGCAAATATTTTGGTTCTTAGATTATTTCTCACTCTTGACATTTGACTTTCATCTTTGTAAATTCTCCTGCCACGTCATGTTATAAACCCTTGCTCTCTGTTAACAATTTGGCTCTTGATAAGACTGGATTCTTTACATTCCCTTCCCACTATCTACCTCCAGCCCTTAATTCCCAACTCTCCAGTCATTAATGTTCCCATTTCTTTTGGAATCTACAAGACTGTTTTTAAAGGAATTTCGGGAAACATAGTGCATCTGCTATTCTTTGTGGTTGAAATGAAGCCATGGTTGGGAATGGATATGACAACTGCTTAAAGGCCACACAAATAACATTCTGCAATATTTGGGAGGGTAAATTATAATGAACGTGTTTCTCTGGCTGAACCTTCATGAAATACTGGCTAGAATTCAGGCACAGAGCTTGAAGTTGCTTATGTAAATGAAGAGACTTTTTTTTTTTTAAATAGCTCTATGGTAAATAAGGATGCATACAATAGGTAAATAAAAATTGTGCTTATCACTGTCCTATACTTGGGCTATGGTTGGGTGAATTTACTTTTGTGTTACTTTTGGTCCATCTAGGCCAGGAAAGGTATCATCTAGTTAGTAAAGGTATGGTACTCTTCTAGGTAATTATTTCCGCAACTGAGAAAAAGCAGTGGCTGAGAAATGAGTTTCTGGAGAGAGAATTTTCCTGATATGGTGACACCCATTCTTTTGTATATTCAATAAAAAGTTGGAACAATGGATAGTAGTATTGGGAGAAGAAATAGCAAAATAATGATCATTTGATAATAACAGCTGACATTTATTGACGTTTTATTCTGTTTCAGGAATTGTGCCTTCTCACTAAATTATAAGACTCTTGCGACGTGTGTTCTATCATTATTACCGTTTGACAGATGGGGCAACTGAGGCACAGAGAGGTTATTTACCCGAGCTTGAGCAGCTAAGAAGTGGTGGAGCTATCAGTAGCTGGACTAGGTCGTTTGGCTCTAACTGCAGTGTTCAGTATGGTAGCCATGAGCCACATTTAGCAACTGAGCACTTGAAATATGGCTAGTCTGAACTAAGATGTGTTGTAAACACAAAATACACACTAGGAATTAAAGGGTTTATATGAACAGAAGCACATGAATTACCTCATTAATAATTTTTGTATTGATTTCACATTGAATTAATATTTTAGATATATTAAGTGAAATGTATTATTAAAATGTGTTTGCCTATTTCATTTTATTTATTTTAATATATCCACCAGGCTATTTAAAATTACATGTGTGGCTTGCATTATATTTCTGTTGGATAGTGCCATTCTAGAGCTTAATTCTTAAGGATTGCTGTTTGGCAAAATACCAAAAACAAAACAAAACCAAAAAACATCTATAAAGATAAAGAGGACCAGGCCAGGCACAGTGGCTCACACCTGTAATCCCAGCACTTTGGGAGGCCGAGGCAGATGGATCACCAGAGATCAGGAGTTCAAGACCAGCCTGGACAACGTGGTGAAACTCCGTCTCTACTAAAAATACAAAAATTAGCTGGGTGTGGTGGTGCACACCTGTAATCCCAGCTACTTGGGAGGCTGAGGCAGGAGAAGCACTTGAAGCCAGGAGGCGGAGGTTGCAGTGAGAGTGCACCACTGCACTCCAGCCTGGGTGACAGAACAAGACTCAGTCTCAAATAAATAAAATAAAATAAAGAGGAACAATGCAAGTTACAGAGCAGGGGTTGGGTCGCGTTAAGGAAAGGAAGCTGGTTATGGGATATATTATATCTGTAACCTAGAAAGCCTACAGAGGCAATTCTGGGTCATTTGAAGGGGTTAATTTCTCAATTAAAGAAATTCCTCAAATTAAAGAAAAATATTTGATCAAGAATGGATTGATTTCCTAGAAACCAAAAAATCTCAGAGCACTGGTCTTGGACCAAAATATAAAACGAAGAATGAACGATCAAGTGAGGGACAGGATTACTTAAAAGTACGGGTTTCAGGTGATTTGACAACAAGGAAGACTGGGGAGAGATGGAAAAAGATTTTTGGCCAAATAAAATGGAATCAAGTAAGATCGTTCTTGATGAGCCACTTGATTAAAGTTTAGCTGGTAAGCACTCATGTGGTTGTGCAGTTGTTAAGATAAGGAACTCTCTATACTAGTTAGTAAATGGCAGCTGCTCTGAGGCCTCTGGGTGCCCTGTTATTCCCCCAGACTTTCTTGTAAGTCAGCACCTAAAGGGCAAATACCTGGCAGAATAGGAGCCACAAGACCCTGTCCCCTCCCTAAGGCTGGCTTCTGTTCTGGTTGGCTGTTAAAGGTGCCGTGCTTATGGGGAACTGTAACTTGTAACTTCTCTAATTTTATATGATTTGCACCATCATGTAATATGATCGAAGAAAGTTGTGTTCTCCAGAATACCTTTCAGAGAGTGTAATACATTCTTCAGAAGAAACAACTTGAAAAATCCACCTGGGGTAGAAGCTGAGAGTTTGAGGGGATTCAGAGTGGGAGAAGCTGTTCTTGATATAGAGAATTACATGAATAAGATAAAAATAAGAAAACCATATATTTAATCTTCAAGAATGGGAGGACAATTGAGGAAGAAAGGAGCGGGTCAGAGGTGTGGAACAACCATGGAGATAGGGAAAGTCCACTCTATCAACAACACGGTCTTTCCCTGGGTCTACCCAAGTCTGCAAGATTATTAAGCTCACAGAATGGATGCAACAGGTAGATTTTTTTCTCCTTTGTGTAGAAACCAGTTAAGGCTTGACTTTGAATTTCAATTGTTTTAGGTAGAACCATAGCAGACAATCAAGGCAGACATAGGAAATTGGAAAGAGACTGAGAAAAAGTAGACCACAGATATTGTAAAAAATTTAGGAGAGATTGTGCTAGCCTCAGAGTTGATGTTTGGACCAAAACCAATAAGACTGCCCAAGAAGAGGGAGGAGCACCTGTAGCTTGTGAGCTGCAGGCAAATACTTAGCACCTTTAATATGTGATGCATCTATTCTGAATATCAGTGTTCTTTAGGGAAGGAGAACAAAGGAGAAAGGCTAAGGAATCCTAAGACTTTGGAAGAGAAATCACCCATGTTCTCCAGGAGCCAGTGATGGAAAGGCACCAAGCGTTAGGCACCTTCTCTTGTTTAGGGGCCTTGAATCCCAGCCATTGTGGATCTTGCAGCCACAGCTGCAGCCCTGCCTCCTCCCAGGTCCTTATTCTGA
The DNA here is from genome assembly GCF_000001405.40 of Homo sapiens. Taxonomy (NCBI): domain Eukaryota; kingdom Metazoa; phylum Chordata; class Mammalia; order Primates; family Hominidae; genus Homo; species Homo sapiens. The sequence continues at coordinate 13,777,518 of NC_000012.12, read as the reverse complement.
AGATGGGTATTGCGGAATACTTCAGTGCAGTGTGGATAGTGACCTCCTTTAACTCTTCCTTCTGCCTCTTTCCCTTTTCCCAACTTGCCTTTCCTGCAGATTCCTGGCACAGGTGAGGTGGACTGAAATTGACATGGAAAAGAAGAGGTCTAGAGGAGTCTGGAAACTATTGAGTGGTCAGGATGTAGATGAGAGTTTGGCCAGGTGATCACTCTTGAGCAAAAGAAGCTTCTCCAGGAAGTTGGTGAGAGGAAGCAGCTTTTGGTGTCAATTCATGCCCATTCCTGGCCCCATTTTTAACTCTTTATTTTCTGTGTGGCCCTTGCGTTTCTAGTACCAGGAGGGGACATTCCAAAGGGGATGTGGGCTGAAACATCCATATTCAGAAGCGATTCTTACTTAGATTCTTCTTGTTCACCTCAGGTCAGGACAGAGAGGGAGCCACTAGGTTAATGGGATAGGGCTTGGGATTCCCTTGGCTCTGAGAACTTGCACCTTAGGGACACCCATTAGTGTCCCCTTGCTCTGCCCCGCTGTATTATTAATCTCTCCTGCCTGCATTATTGCTCATTGTGCAGCACAAGCAGCACAGCCAAAGCTACACTTTTCTAAGTACAGAGGTAGGAAATGAAAGGCTATAAAATAATAAATGTATTAATTTTAAGAAGTTTTGGGGGCTCCTGTCTCCTCTCCTCCATTTCTTTGCCTTGCTTTGATAATCATGTTCCTCTCACTGTCTTTCCTTTTTTCTTTGTTTTGTTACCTATATTCATCTTTTTATCTGAAAGGTTTTCTGCTTATTCTCTTGTCTCCGCTCTAATCCCCACTAATTCCCGCTCCCCAAATCCCACACACTTGCTTTAGTATTAATCTTGTTTATTTCTGTTTTTTCCCTAAAATATGATAAGAAATGAACTAGCACATGTGTGCTGTCGTGTAAGATTATATTAATTTGTTCTCCTCAGTAATTTTCAAGGACTATATCTTTCCTGACTCTTTAAGTGCAAAGAGAAATTCTGTTACCAAAATTTCCAAAATTCCTAAAATTCAGAATTTCCCAATTTATAAAATGGGAAGTTTTTTTATTATTTAACTTTTATTTTAAGTTCAAGGGTACATGTGCAGGTTTGTTACATAGGTGAACGTGTGCCATGGTGGTTTGCTGCACAGATCATCCCATCACCTAGGGATTAAGCCCAGCATCCATTAGCTCCTCTTCCTGATGCTTTCCCCTGACCAACCCCTGACAGGCCCCAGTGTGTGTTATTTCCCCCAGTGTGTCCATGTGTTCTCATAATTCAGCTCCTACTTATAAGTGAGAACATGTGGTATTTGGTTTCTGTTCCTGCATTAGTTTTCTGAGGATAACCACTTCCAGCTCCATCCATGTCCTTGCCAAGAACATGATCTCATTCCTTTTCATGGCTGCATAGTATCCCATGCTGTATATATACCACATTTTCTTTATCCAGTCTATCATTGATGAGCATTTAGGTTGATTCCATGTGTTTGCTATTGTGAATAGTGCTGCAGTGAACATACGTGTACATGTGTCTTTATAATAGAATGATTTATATTCCTTTGGGTGTATATTCGGTAATGGAACTGCTGGGTTGAATGGTACTTCTGTTCTTAGGTCTTTGAGGAATTGCCACACTGGGGAAGACTATTTTTGTGAGGGAAAATATATGTGACTAATGAACATGAAAAATATTTAGCCTCCCTGTAATCCTATAGAAATTAAAACAACAATGACATATCATATTTTACCTACCAAATTAGTGAAAATTTAAAAGAATTTATTAACTATGGGGCATGGTACACTTTTCATATACTGCTTATGAGAGTGGGAAATGATGCATTTTCTTGAATACAATGTATACAAATGTATTAATGACTTTTGAAAAGTTAATATGTTTGGCTGATTCTTCCCTAATTCTATTTCTAAGAAACTATCTTCTTCTTGACATCAGATAGGCAGACAGAGAACTGCAAACAAATACCTGCCTCCCAGTACTATTTCCTAAGCACTTACTTGGTGCCCAGCACTATGCTAAGTGCTTCCCGGGTACCATCTCATTTACCCGGAGAGGCAGGTGCATTCCTAACTCACTTCACAGTTAAGGAAAAACATTGGAAGAGAGGCTAACTTGCCTAAAATAAACAGCCTGTAGATGATGGAGTCTGGTCCCTACCTGGACAATCTTACCACAGAGCTCTTACTCGCAAGCCCCACCTGTAATCCAGTATAGTTATTACCTATTATGTTATCTTCTGTTTATCTTTTGCTCCTCTGCTAGATCTAGGAGGCTCTTGTCTCCATCCTCAGCCTTTAACCCAGTGTTTGGTGTTTATTAGGTACTTGATAGATATCTGCCGAAGGGACAGCCTAATTGAAGCTTTACTGTCCTCAGAACCAACTCGTCACTTCTGTTTAAATTGTTCCCACTGCTGGAATTGGCCTCTAATCCCATGAATGCCTGGTAATAATCATCACCAGCGGCAGCACCAGCATCATCATCATCATCATCATCATCATTTTACCTCTCCTGCATGGGAACTTTCCTGATTCATGATCACATGTGATCTCTTCCTTTCCTATGCCGCATATATTTGTTTTCATTCATTTTGTGATAATTACATTTCACTTTACATTAGTGTCACTTGTATATTCTGGGTGTAAAAACTGTAAACTCTATTTGATCAAGGATAATTTCCCATTACTTTTGGTAATCTTTGTGCCTAGGAAAGGGCCTTTTATATGGTAAGTGCTCAGGAAAGATTGAACGCATGTTATGCGTTTAAAAGGAAATACATAAAGCTAAACTGTTTGCCAGACATGTCCCTCAATGACAACTCTTGATAAAATGTCTTTACCAAAGGCACTGCACATGTTATGGCACCATTTAAAAATGATATTTACTCTTGCTTTGTACACTTGATTTTGCAAGATTAGTAATCCAGTGGATAGTAATCCCTTCTGCTATAACCCTGTCCTCAATTGAGGCCTGTAAAATTATTAAACGCCTCTTCTAGACTCAGCACTATTCCCATTCATATTATTCCTAGTTGCTGTCCCAGGGATGAGCTTTTCCTGACGACATTGACTTGAAGTCACACTGGTTTCCATGTATTAGGAAAATGAGCCACAGTTCACCATCTGGATGCTCACCTTTCACCACATTACACTTCTATTTTTTTCACTTTTTGATAAAAACCCACTAGCAAAATTATCTAAATTAGACTAAAGTGGTTCTATCTTTATCTTTTGCGTAAGCAATTTTGCACCCATTTGTACTGGTTATCAGCTGGGGTATAAAGAGAAATCACATCCCTTATTTTAAAATTTACTACTAAAACTCCTGTCTGCTCATATTAACAGAAAAGCAGTTTTCCCTTCTGAAGTTCTCTCTAGTATCCACACCAGATTTTTCAAGAGCACTAGGAGTTTACTCAGGCCATGGGTCAGCCTGCTTCTAGACCTCAGATGAAGAGAGAACTGGACAGTCTGAGTGGTCCAGTACTAGACACTGTTATACTTATTTTTCTGGTTTGTCTTAGGCTTGCGATATTTTAAGTTAGTTCATTTGCTCACCCAGTGTTCCCAAGGCAGGACCTCTGTTCTAGGGTGTGTATGTCTGGAAGGACTTCCAGATTCAGCCTTATCCTGTGTGAAACTAGTTCCCCTCTATGTACCTCTAGTCTCTTATGTAAAGCTGGATTCTTTCTCAAATTCCCCACTGTCTCATGGAATGTTCCACCATTTTTCTTTGCTGTCCATGGTCTCAGTCTGAACTGTATCAAGGTACAGAAGAATTTCTAGTAATGTTGAAGGGGTTTGGAGTATCAGTCTCTCTTTTCTCAACAGAATCCTTGGCTCCTTATGGCTTTTCTCCACCTCTTCTCCAGAGATCAGTGTGCCCATACCAAGAAGAACAGTTTCGTCATACTCCAAAAGTCTTTTACTCCTCCTGAGAAAAAAGAGGCATTTGCTTGCCTTTGAGCACTTTTGGGAAGATGTAGACTTCTGTTCCAAGGTGATTCTCTGTGTTCACCTTAAAGAAGAAGCAGACAACTGCTTTTACAACAGTGTTAGGTGCCATGGCACCATGATCCACCTCATGTGTATTTGACAGATGCGTAGCTCTGCATGTACAGATCTGAGATGACTCATTTCTGCATTTTTGTACATAAACATTCAATATTGTGCAGGTGTGTGCATGGACACACTCAACTAAGGACATGCTAGCTACTTTAGACCTAAAAAAATTAGACTTGGGGGAAATATAGGCCTCCAAATAGAGGATATTTTGTCTCTTTCATAAAGACTCGCAGTTCCTTTATTGCTGGATGGGTAGGAACTTGCCAAGTACATGTCTGTGAGTCACTAGGTGGGTACCTGGAAACACTGGTCACTTTTGCAGTTCTAACTGTCCCCTCCAACCCATCACCCCATTGGTCTGGGGCTGCTCAAGAGTTCTTCCTATGATTGTGTTGGAGTGTGAAATCCACCCATCTATAGTCCATGGTATCTCTGGGCCCTTCCAGAGGATGGACCTTAGAGCATTTACTTCACCTTTGAGGATGTGGGTGAGAATGGAGGCTGAGACTTTGTTAAATGAGAATACATTTGCTATAGAGCAGGGGGTGGCTTTGATCCTGAGAAATAGCAATGGAAAGTGTGATTATTTTATAGTCCTGTGAAGATATTTAGAAATTGGTTGATTTGTAAAAGAAAAAAAAACCTCTTACAAGGTTGCAAACTTGCCTGTGATAGAATTGTGTCTTAAGTGATTCAGATATTCAGAATTTCAAGTTTTACTTCCGCCTTACCTCTTCTTGCTCTTAGTTCAGGTATTTACTCTGTGCAGACATGATTTAAATACTGCTTCTTTATCAGTAGGAATTACTTTGCATTATTTTATGTGTGTGCTTAGAGAATTTTATATTGTAAAATTATGATGCGCTGATATTAAATTGATACTTCAGCGAGTACACTGTAGCTGATGAATCATCCCAAAGAATCAGGGCAAGTGGGTGGAGCTTGTCGACTGAGCAGGGGGCATGAATGGGAGTGAGAAGTGGGTGGTTTAGCTTTTCTTTATGCTCAGAGCAAACCAGTCTGCAGATGAGACAAAAAGCTGGTGGCATTCCTCAGATTGGGGAAGAACTCAGAGTGGACAAGCCTAGAGGAAATCTAGATTTTCACATGGGAAGAAAGAGATTGTTTTCCTTAAGATAGTGAAGTGGAATTGTGGCTGGCAAAGGAAGGTAACCTGATGGTAAAAGAGCCATCAGTGGCACAAACCAAACCTCCCCAGAGGGAGCTGATCCATCTGAGACCGGGTGATAGCTGGGAATAATAGCTGAAGAACGTGACTTTTATGGAACAGTGGAATCAGTATCCTCAATGGGTTGTTGAACATTCTTCAGACATCTGACTATATAGTAAGAAGCAGGAAAGAGGCAAGATATTTCTCTTGGGCCAGGAATCATAGCAATCATCCAGCTGAGTGAATGACCTAAAGTCATGGGAAAAATCAGTGGGACCCACACCAGGCCCTGAGGAGGTGGAGTGTTCTGACATATTCAGAAGGGACAACTCAGGAGCCCATGCTGTTCTAGGTTGCATTGAAGGACCAGTCAAACTCGGAAGCTGTGTTTTTGATCAGATATGACTGATGCTTAGATGATGAGGACAATGAAAGTGATGGTTAATTTAACAACGTAACCAGTTTGTAAACCAATATGAAATGAAACGCATCCTCACGTATATTCTTGGCTATAATATGTGGTCAATAGATTCACACTTAATGAACCAGGGAAGTTACTGTGTGCTAGGCACTGTACTGAGCACTTTCTTATGTAGTGTTTCATTTAATCCTCTTTACAGTTCTATGAGCTAAGAATTAGCACTTTTATATTCTGGAGGAAAATGAGGTTTGGATATGGTAAATAACCTTTCAAAGATCACACAGCTAAGTATTCAGATTTGAATCTAAATTTCTGATTCCAAATCCAGTTCTTTTTTTTTTATAGCAGCAATATGCTTCTGCTCTGTTTTGAAATTATTGCTTTGTTACCTTGGCTACTTACTAAATCTTTCTTTGTAAAACTGTGTAGGTTTATCAAAACGAAAGTCTAAATTTTAGTTTTTTACTGTATTGTCTAATCTCATGCTGTTAATAAAGACATACCCAAGACTGATAAATATATAAAGGAAAGAGGTTTAATTGACTCACAGTTTCACATGGCTGGGGAGGCCTCACAATCATGGCAGAAGGTGAAGGGGAAGCAAGGCATGTCTTACATTGCAGTAGACGAGATGACTTATGTAGGGGAGCTCTGCTTTATAAAACCATCAGCTCTCGTGAGACTTATACACTATCACAAGACCAGCACAGGAAAGATCCACCCCCATGATTAAATTACCTCCCACTGGGTCCCTCCTATGACATATGGGAATTTTGGGAGCTACAATTCAAGATGAGATTTGGGTGGGGACAGAGCCAAACCATATCAGTTACTTAGGAGCCATTGTGAAGTGGTGGCTACAGAAACCAGTTGTCGAAATCATTCAGAAAGTTGAGGCACCTAGGGAAGAAATACGGGGAGTAAAACTTTGTAGGGGTTTCTGGAGGCTGGTGCCCCTGGTTCTTGTCAGATAGAATCCATTACAGAATATCTTTAGTTCCTCACAGCTTTCCAACTCTGCACATATATCCTCATAATAAATTGCCTGAGGATGATGGCTTCCAGCTTCTCACTCATAAGTGGGAGCTGAGCAATGAGAACACATGGACACAGGGAGGGGAACAACACACACCAGGGCCTGTCCATTACAGAATACCTTTAGACCATTATTCTCAGGAATAAATAGCACATATCTAACTCTCTTTGTGGCTTGTGTTGAGACGCTAATACCAAGGGCTAAATTGATGTTTATTTGACTTTTAAATCTGTGCTAACAAGTAACTCTGTAACCTCCTCTCACACACCAAATTTCTGTGAAGCCTATTAAATATTTCAGAAACTAGTCTTTCTGACAACGGCTTAACCACCATTTTACAGAGGGTAAACTTAATATCTTACCTTGTCTTATTCTGATATAGGGTAAACTTAATGTCTTACCTTGTCATATTCTGATATATTCAAAGTGAATCAGACTTGGTCAGTGTCAATGAACATTAAATTCTTTTGAAGTGATCATGGACACTTCATTGGCCAGTGTGAAACACCCAATGATTTGGAAGAAACAAAGCTGTAACCTTGATGGTCAGAGCCAGTTCTTTCATCCTAAATTCTTAAGGATGTGGGGAATGATGTGATTTGAACAAAGTGCAGATCAGCCTTATGTGCAATGAGGAAAAGCTGAATACTGGTGAATCTGGCCTTTGTTCAGGACCCACTGATAAGGTACTTGAGAGAGCAGAGCAAGATAGGAGAAATTTCATTTCTTGCAGCTGCAGAGAACTGGATGTAGTGAAAATTTTAGAAACCAAGAACCATATAAAGATGAGCAGAAACTCAAACAAAATAGAAGTTCAGATAAAATAAATAGCTAACTTTCCGCATAGTTTAACATCTGCTTGATATTGCACAAAGAACCTTCCTCAAGTCCTAATGGAGGTTTGTGTGAGTCCCACTGGCTTCAGACATGTGGAGCAGCCACCATATCCCAGGGTTTCATGCAGCTTCACTCATCTTTGATTATCCCCACATAATCTGGGATACCAGCCCCCATCTACCTGCTTATTTATTATTTGGGGGGCACGTTTGTAAGCAACTTCTGATTAACCCTTGCTATGCCTGTGAAGGCGATATGGTTTTGTTAGCATCTATTACTCAGCTTGCTGATGCAAACAGTATTTAATCTCCAAGCAAACTATAAATCTTCAAGTGCATGATTTGACTTTATCGCCAAGTAAATTGTCCCTGCTTGCTATGCCCAATTCTCTGTTAGCCATGAGCTGCATACTGAATAAACACCAGTGGCTGGATAGATGAAAGAACAGATGGAGAAATGCTGCAAATGTATACCCTTACAGCTCCAGAGACGTGCCTGGGAACTTGGGAGCATATGCACGAAACACTGAGTATGAATGTGGTGAGCTTGCCATCCATCTTGAGAACCGTGTGACAAAAAAAAGCCACACTTGAATGAATATTACAACCAGACAGGGGATGAAAACAGAATGGGAAATAAGAAAAGGGCCTTGAGGGGGTGGGAGGGTTCTTGTGTGAGTGACCTTGCATTACTGAGGGCACTCTGTCCCCTGTCTCAGGCCAGGGGACTAAACCTGACTCTCACCTTAGCTCTGCTGTGTTGCATTCTGAGCAAGGTAAACGTCATGGAGGCAGATGTTTGCCTCATGAAAATGGGAAGCTGTAGAATAAATTCCAAGAATGATACTGTAAAACAAGGAAATAGTAACTAGCGGTAGCCTTTATACCTGTTTATTTTATTTTATTTTATTTATTTTTTGAGACAGAGTCTTACTCTGTTGCCCAAGCTGGAGTGCAGTGGTGCGATCTCGGCTCACTGCAAGCTCCACCTCCCGGGTTCACACCATTCTCCTGCCTCAGTCTCCTGAGTAGCTGGGGCTACCGGCGCCTGCCACCAAGCCAGGCTAATTTTTTGTATTTTTAGTAGAGACGGTGTTTCACCGTGTTAGCCAAGATGGTCTCAATCTCCTGACTTCATGATCCTCCCGCCTTGGCCTCCCAAAGTGCTGGGATTACAGGCGTGAGCCACCGTGCCGGCCACCTGCTTATTTTTAATTAGGCTCTTTTAATTAGCAGGAGCAAAGACTAACTAAGTTGTTGCACAACAACCAACAAAATAAAAACAAAATACCAGGCAATTTACTACGAGGATATTTGTGCCTAGAGTTGGAAAGCCGAGAGGAACTAAGACCACTCCCCAGCTGGCTCCCTACTGGGTCTTCCTCAAGGACATATGGTCTGTATTTTGAAGATCTTGGGTTCTTTGCTTTCCACTTGCATCTGAGCCACTTCCTTCTCTACTGCAGGCATCCCCTGCTATCCCATAGCTTCTGCTTCCTCATTACTTCACAGTGCCCATGACCTTGGTTGTCAGGGCCCTTACTCTGTTTCATGTTATAGGTGAAAGACTTGCCATTCTTTCAAGTTTTTTTGGTTCAGACTCCTGAGAGAGACAGAGGATCTGATGGTTCTGGCTCATTTTTCTAGCCAGGCCCAGACTGCAGGCACTGGGCAGCTGCAAGATGGTCTGCTTCGGCCAGGTACCCACCTCTGATTAACAATACTTAATGTGCAAAGAAAAGCTGAAGCTGTGAACCAGGGCAGGTAGTCTAAAAGGAAAATTGGGCATGATGGATATGATGAGTTGACATATCAAAGAAGGAAGCTTAACTAATTCTGACTCTAGAAGGCATTCACTGAGCAAAGTGAAAATCCTCTTTTAGTGCATATTTAATAAATAAGGACAATTAGGTAGCTGAAGAGTTTTATTGTGGTGAAACTTTGCCTTTCTGTGAAGGAACAGAGAGGGGAATCTGAGGTTATTCTCCCTTACATTAGGAAAGGATTAAGAAGTTGAGAGAATTAAGGAGAGACAAACTTACCCTTCGTCACCGAAGATTTCAATATTAATAACTTACTGTAACTAGGTTACTAATACTATGGAGTTTCTTGATGAGAGGTCTTTTGGGGACTCTTATGAAAATTTTGATAACCTGTGCACCTTCATGGAACTCAAAAATATGAACAAAAGAGGACATTTTCCTACAAACCAAGATATCTTTCATCTGTGTGAAACTAACTTGCAAACTTAACCCATGATCTGGTAACTCTGTTGGTAAATTGTTACATAGATAACCAAAATAAGCATCAACATACAGACAAAAACATTGTGCCTTACTCTATTTGCACCTGGAAGTACCTCTAGCTCAGATCATATGCTGTTTTTTGGCAAAAGTTGAGAAACTATGTTGCTGTTTATAGTGTTAATACACATGGGCGCCATTGCTAGTGTATATCCACTTAATGTCATCATGCCAAGAATAAAAGCAGCCTTTAAAATATACTCTTGATTCATCAGTAAGAAAATTAGAAAAAAAATTACATTTCTTTAACAGACATGGAGGCAGTTTTGAGAACTGATAGCATTTAGGTAGTCATCTACGTCTTTTTAAATGAATGGAGCACAGGGACTAGTCAGTTGAACTGGAGAAGGAAAATTTGGCATTAGAATACTTTTTTTTTTTTTTTTTTTTTGAGACAGAGTCTGTACTTTCGCACAGGCTGGGGTGCAGTGGTGCGATCTCCGCTCACTGCAAGCTCCGCCTCCCGGCCTCACGCCATTCTCCTGCCTCAGCCTCCAGAGTAGCTGGTACTACAGGCGCCCGCCACCACGCCCGGCTAATTTTTTTTTGTATTTTTTAGTAGAGACGGGGTTTCACGGTGTTAGCCACGATGGTCTTGTTCTCCTGACCTCGTGATCCACCCGCCTCGGCCTCCCAAAGTGTTGGGATTACAGGCGTGAGCCACCGTGCCCGGCCAACATTAGGCTACTTGTGTGAGTTGCTTGGATTTAAATTTGAAAGCCCACATCATCTCTACGGTAGGAACGCTGAAATCATGATTGATTTCCTGACCAGTGTGTATAATTATTAAAACTGTCGGAAGGCTAGAGGAAAAAGGCCAGTGTAAAGAAATCAAATACACTGAGAGAAGAGAAGAGATGAGGAATTATCATTCCCCCAGCTTTTCTGAAGAATAAAAATCTTAACAAAATCAATTTGCAATCATTTGAAGAGAAAAAGGTTTTTTAACTGGGTAGCCTGACTTCATAAAGGACAAGTCCTGTCATATTAATCTAATCTTCTGAGATGAAAATGAAAGGCTGGGTAGATCATGGAAAAAGATATGTATAATTCATTTAGACTGTAGCTGTGATTTGGACGTGATACTCTATGGTATGCCCATTAGCTGAGACTCGATATCAGAGGCTCATTGTCCACCTGAGGACAAATACAAGGAACAGTTCAAGGCCCAGTGTTTCTTATGTTTCTTTTCACAGTCTGGCATTTGGATTGAAATGCACATGGATGTTTACTTTGCTCACTGCACAAAACTAGTGGGAGAACTGGGAAAGAGAGGGATAAGTAGAAAGAAGCTTGAAAAACAGAGTTGTCCAGACATAGTGCCCTCTCTTCTCACCATTCTTAGGATACTTATATTCTAAACTTCATGATGGCATTTAAGGAACATCGTCAATAATTTCATATATTTTTATCTTCCAATTAGCTTGCCTGAGGTTGATGATGGTTTATACTTCATTTCTACTTCCTACAGCACCTGATAAGCATTTAATAAATATGTGATTGATTAGCAAACAATAATGTTACAAAGAATCAGTTGTATGCATGTCCAGTAGAAGAACACTGCAGAGTAATAATGTGTACCGAGTCCATCACTAGTTAGCAGTGCCAGTGGATAGATGCATGGGATTGAAGCTTAAGGAATTAATGAAAATAATCTCTGTAATATACTAGGCAGAGGTTAGACTTTTACTAGACTACTGTAATCACTCTGTGCTTCCTAAAGAAACAAGGATGTATAGACAGTTCAGATGAGAGCTACAGAGATGAATAAAAGAAACTTGAGAACGTGTGCTGCAGTGGTTGGTGGGTGCACCCTGAGCCAGATCTACACAGGTTCTCTTTCCAGCGGTTACCCTGGGCAAGACCCTTCATGTCTCTGAAGCTCACTTTCTCTGTTGGTAAAATGGAGAAAATATCAGGGCCTGCTGCAATGGAATATGAAAATATATTCACATACTGCATGGACAGCATGGAGCCTGCTATAAGCACTCAATGAATATTGTCATAAGAACTATAAGAAATGAATTAGAAAGGGAGATTGTTTAGGCTCAGGAAGAAAAGGCTGAGAGTGGGCTTAGTAATAATCTTTACATACAAGGTAATGACAAACCATCATCCATCTTGACATCAGTTTTGTTCATACTGACAATATTCTTGAGGGCTTATCATGTGCCTTCCACCAAGGAGAGCATGAGACCCAAAGAGCTTAATCTGCAGCACGATGGACGTAAGGCAGACAAAGAGATGAATTTCTGAAAGTCAGGTTTCTGGACTCACCGGCTTAGGTAACTGAAGAAAATTGTGGACTTTTCTTTGAAGACTTGTAAAATAATCTAGTTTCACCTCATGTTCTACAAAACCGGTTTAGTTGTGGTCCTACTATGAGCTGGACTAATGTGTTCTCAGGGTACTCTGGTTAGTGTCTGTTCTTTGAGATCTTGGGCTGGCATTTAACAGAGAGTTTCATCTGTGCTTATAAAAGATGAGCAGATTGGCACTTTTAGGCAGTACCGAATTAACATCAAAATGTCATTGCTGAGCCATAAGGTTGCCCCCATTTTGTTTTGTTAGCATGGATCAGAATTCACAGTTGGCCGATGTGAGCCTGATAGCTTCAGGTGAGTTGATTTACTGCCAGTTCTAAAGATAACGAGACTGCATGTTGCACTCATACTTGTCTGGGATGATTCATTTATAGGCAGAGGCCCCATTGTGAAGGATTCAGATTAGCCATTAATAAGTACTAGTATCTGATTATAACAGTGACTGTGTACTCCAGAGTCTGACGAGGATGGGGGCAAGAATAAGCCCCGAGTTTCCTTCTGTTTGAAATAACAAATGACATTTTCTTTCAAGGACCTCTTTCTTGCTTGTCAACTTCCATCAGAGGAAAAGTATCCGGGTGAAATGCCATCAACAATAGAAATGTTGGAGACCACTGAATGTGGTTTGAAAGCAAACAAGTAAACAAATTTCAAAATAAAAATGAGTAAATAGACCATTCTTTTACTTGCCAAGTTCTTATTTCTAGGGAAGATTTTTTCTTATTTCCATCAACGTTGGCACCTTCCATGAGTGATTTCTGCTGCTTGTCCAGGCTTGGTCCATCTCCCAGAGTCAAGTTGAGATAGCAACAGCATTTCAGCTACCCAAGGTCCCACAGGGGAGGATGGCAACACTTTTTGGGCCAACGGTGTTAGCCGGTTAGAGCATTCCGTTGGGGTCTTTATCTGTGGAATTAGGACTGTGTAAAAATGGAGGCAAAGAAGGAAGAGGTCACAGCCTGGGCTGCAGTGCTGATTGCAGCAAGGAGGGACAAGATGGGCTCCAGGAATGTTGACAGGATTAGTACTGGTAAGTCAGAGGGGATGGGCTGGGCCAGAGAGAGTGTCTCTTGACTGTGTTGGCAACTGGATCCTTAGCATTCTGTACGTTCTAAACTAATATCCTTTTTTTTTTTTTTTTTGGTATGGATATAGAGAAGGATAGGCTCTTTTCTAGGACTGCGGACACAATTGTGTGGTTAGAAAAGTAGTTTTCGTGTGTTTCTCCCTGTATCAGGTTAGGAGCTGGGCATCCATCCTAGTGGATTGTATTGCACTCTCAATGAAACTTCACGTGTCTATTCCCAGGAAAGTTAGAGATCAAGAAAAGAAAATGAAGGTAAGCAGTTAGAACCTCAGAAGTCTTAAACATCCATTTTTAGTGCTAATAACCAGCAGCCATAAATGAGTAAAAGAAAAAGTTGAATAATTCTGGAAAAGGAGAGCAATTTTCAGTATAAAGAAAACAAAGAAAATCTCAAATAAACTTGGATGCAACCAATCAAACACTGAACACAATTTGTATTGCAGGCCAAGGTCTAGGGAGGGTCAGAAAGCTGGGAAAGATTGGACTTAACCCTGCCATGGGGTTGCCTGCCACAGGGTGGAGGTCAGCAAGCTCTGAGTCCCTATTTAAGAACAGATAACCCCCTTGGTGGGATTCAGGCTAGTGTGGGTGTGCAGGAGTTTGACAAAGTAATGGAAAAAGGCAACACAGATGTGTTGACACTAATAATGCCCTAATCATCTCGTATAGAACAGGAAACGGTAGATGTGTCAGACCCCAGCTGGCATCTGTAGGTACAGGAAGCCCAGCATCAAGGATTTAGGCAGCTTCTCATGGACCGTCCAATGTAGTTGGAGGCTCTGAATAAGGCTCCTCATCCACGGGAGACTGGAATAAAAATCAGAACATGAGGAAGTGATTTAGTCCTTTGGATTGAGTACGTGGGAGGCACACGAAAAGACAGGCTTCATCTGGGTGGCCATGTCTGAACCCAGCCAGGTTCACAATCAGTGCACCAATTCCTGGGTGTAAAGCAGCCCAGCCAGCTTTAGAAGATGGTGTCGGTGAGGACAGTACTTGGCCTATCCTGGTTTAAAGATCAGAAGGCAGTACTTGGTGACTAAAGTTCAAAGTCTTATAGTTGAATGAAGCTGGGACATGCAGGTGCTGACAAGTTGTTGGAAGATTTTTTTTTTTTTAATCTGTCTCTGTGCAATTTTATTTTCATTTCTGGAGCCCTTCAAAATGCATTGCCTCTTTTAGATGGAGGACCAAATTGGTTTGGGAGATGTGAATAAATTCAAAGCCTCTTTGATTGTGAACAGCCGTACTTTGCTATATGTGAGGAAGTAGTGATCAGTTTTCCAATCTAGAGACCTAGAAAAACACATCGCTGGATGTTTGGTGGAAAAAACAAAAAACAAAAAACCAAACAAAAAAAAAACTTTCTCAGAAAACTTCTTTCTGGATTTAGCCTTTGGAGACAATGGCTTGTTAATCTGTGGCCAAACAAGCATGACTGATCCACATTTTAAACTCAGCCATGCCTAGTCTCTCACTCCATATGGAGCTGGGACAGAAGGGCAAAGAGCCCTTTGTTTCCCAGGGATCCCTTGAAGAGGCCCATGTGTACAAGCAAGATCACTGTATCTAGAACCAGTGCTTGTGTTATTTTCAGCAACACATGAGGTACTAGCACTCATAGCTTAATCAAATATAAAATGCCTTTTCTACCCTTCCGCTTCTCTGCTCCCCTTGGTATATGAACGTGATGTTCTGATCAAATGTGTTTGAAGAGATGGGAATGTTAATTTATTTGAGACAAATGTCAACATCTTTACTCTGAAAAATGCCGCTAGTACGTCAAGTGCCATCACTGGCTTGCACTTAACTCTGCTCTTTAGTAATAATCACAGTTCTTTTGTAGATGCTGTCCTTTCGGCTTAAGTTAAATAAGATGATTTTGATGAGATAAGGCAATTTTGGATTTAGTATTTCATACCTAATAAGAAATGATGGCTGGGCGCGGTGGCTTATGCCTGTAATCTCAGCACTTTGGGAGGCCGAGGTGGGAGGATCACGAGGTCAGGAGATTGAGACCATCCTGGCTAACACGATGAAACCCCGTCTTTACTAAAAATACAAAAAATTAGCCGGTCGTGGTGGCGGGCGCCTGTAGTCCCAGCTACTCAGGAGGCTGAGGCAGGAGAATCACTTGAACCTGGGAGATGGAGGTTGCAGTGAGCCGAGATTGCACCACTGCACTCCAGCCTGGGTGACAGAGCTAGACTCCCTTCCAAAAAAAGAAAAAGATTCATCTTCCCTTTGGTTATTAGGTTTAGTTTTATGATGCCTGTCATTTTATTCTATAAATGCCCAGACCTATATTTGTGTTGACCACACTTGATTTTATTAAATTTAGTGTGATATTGATAACGCTACTACTTAATTAACACTTAGTTTAATATGTACACACCTTTTCTCTATTCATTTCATTTTTTTCCAACCTTTCCTATTTTCCTGCCTTCTTCCCTTGTGTTTATTTAAAAGTACATTTATTCAGTCACAGAACCTGATTGTTGCTGAACTTGTCAGCTTGCTCTTTTATAGAAAGGCACCTCTTAATAAAAATACAAGTCAGTCCATCTGAGAGTAGGTTTGATTGCTTTTAGGAAAGGAATTTTACTTTAAAATGAAATGAAAGAGTCTTGTTAAGATTTTAGTGGTCCCGATACCTTACAAAGGGGCACAAACACATTCTCAAAGTGCTCTTACTATCCTCCAGGACCTTTGCTCCCTTACTTCTGTAATTCGTTTAGGTATCTTAGTGATGGGGAATCTACCTGTTCCTTCTTCTCCTCTTATTACACTTCCTGTTGTTTTCTTCTGGCTATAAAGTTGTCTCTGTGACCTAGAATATCAAGAATCTTGTAGACATTCTCAAAGTGAATGAATACCTTTAGTTTGTTTCTCTACTGTGGTTTAAATTTGGCGATTAAAGCACATCCGAAGAGAGACTCAGTCAGGGAGGAAAATGGGGCCAAATTCAAGTAGAAAGGACAATTATCTTCTGAAAGAACAAATAATAAAAAGAATGCTGGCTTCTGCGGAAGTTGTTTAGTTATCCAGAGTGGCTCTTAAACTTGCCAGATCTGCTTGAATTTCTTTGAAAACTCAGAATGTTCTCCTTTGTGTGCAAGGGTTTAAAGAAAGAATGGGTCTGGCATTTAACAGGCAGGAAAGATCATGATTCTGTATCAATATGCTTCCATTGTGTGTTTCAGTCATGATATTTTTGATTAATGGTGAGGCTGGAGAACATCGGAAATTTTCCCTATCTTGCAAGACACTGTTCGCAAAACTCTGACACTATTCAAAGCCATGCTAAAGAACTAACTCCAGCCTTAGTCACCAGAAAAAAATGATGGTGTGGTATCAGAATTTCTACTCATCAAAGGAGATGATCATTTAGGATTTGGTGAGTAGAGGAAAGTATTTCCCCTTATTTTGGGAGGAGAAAGAGATTTTTTGTCTCCCATATTCTGCTTCTACTCTGTGCTAAATGTGGAAGGAGTGAAGATGGAGTACTCAGAACTTCTCAGGACAGCTGGGTAACCCTGGCCTCTTAGCCCATCATTTCTACATTTGCCTTCCTTAATCTGATGGAGAAAGTCTCAGGGAAAGCCTACCAGTTCCAGAGTTTTTCAGACACAGATTGTCCTCAAGAACTGAATTTAGAAGAAAAGAAGGAGAATTTTCTTTATTAATATAATAGGAAAGAGAGTAGAGGGAAACCAGATTGATTTAATCTGAAACTATACTAGTGTACTAACAGGATTATATTCCCTATGATATTATACAGTACTAAGATTTGAATAATGTGAAAGACTTTAAGATGCTGGAAAAATATAATCACAGTTGGATAGCCAACAAAGATAGGTTAGATTTGAGAGCATCTGGTTGCAGCATCCATGACCCCATTTAAAAAATTCAAATATTTACTGAGAGCACCCTATGGGCCAGACCTCAATTCCATAATTGTGGGTTATAGCAATGAACAAACACATGCCGATCCCTGCCCTCCTGGTGCTCACATTTAATTGGGAAGAGGCAGGTGAGTTCATAATAAACATGTCAAATAAGTAATCATGTAGTCCATCTGATGGTGAGAGATGCTATGGGAAAAAGAAAAAGCAAAGCTGGACAAGGGGATCAGATATGCCTATGAAAAGTGAGGACAGGCTTCAGCATTCCGTGTTGTGGTCAGGATTGAGAGCACTTTGTTGGGAAGGCAAGATTTTAGCAAAGACGTGGAAGAGGTGCATGTGTGATACCTGGGTAGCTGGAGAAAAAGTGTTTCAGGCAGGGGAAATAGCTACAGCAAAGGCCTGGTGCAAGAATGTGTGAGTGTGTTCAATACAGATCAGAGTGCATGGAGCAGAGTGAGGGCCTGGGACCCAAGGGCCAATATGGGATCAAAATCAAGGGTGCTGGCTGTTTCTTTGTAGTACACTGGGGAGTCTTTTAGGGCTTGGGGTATAGAATAACATCTTAAGTTTACAAAAGATCATCCTTCTTTGTTGAGCATTAGACTAGGGGGTTAAGACAGAGCCAGTGGTACCATTGAGCATGCTCTTGCAGGGATTGGATGAAGAACATCAAATGTTGCTGGTAGATAAGGAGGACTGCAAGTGGACATTGGCGTTGTCAATATCAAAGTCACCTGCCTTTTACAAGAGGGGTTTCAGTGAAGTGGTGGTGTTGAAAGTCTAATTGGATTCAGTTTATGAGAATGGGAGAAGAGGAATTAGGAGAATTGAGTATAGATGATGCTTTTAAGGAGTTTGCTACAAAGGGATGTAAATAAGTGACTATAGCATTTTCTGCCACTCTGGCTGGCTACAACAGGGATCCCCTCACATTTTGTAAAAGCACAGTTTATGTATAACTTTTTAGGCATGCCTTATTTCTGTGAGGTAGATATGTGCCATCAGCATAAAAATTTGAAACTAGCTGGGCGTGGTGGCTCATGCCTGTAATCGCAGCACTTTGGGAGGCTGAGGTGGGCGGGTCACCATGTCAGGAGATGGAGACCATCCTGGCCAACATGATGAAACCCCATCTCTACTAAAAATACAAAAAAAATTAGCTGGGTGTGGTGGTGCGCATCTGTAGTCCCAGCTACTCGGGAGGCTGAGGCATGAGAATTGCTTGAACCTGAGAGGCAGAGGTTACAGTGAGCCAAGATCATGCCACTGCCCTCCAGCCTGGCAACAGAGTGAGACTTCGTCTCAAAAAAAAAAAAAAAAAAAAAAAAAAAATTGAACTAGATGAGATCATCAAATTCATTTCAGTTACTCTCCCACCCAGTAAATAAAACGTCTACAATATTAATACAATGAACACTAGAAAAATGTTTCATGTGTCAGCTAGGGATCTAGAGATGAACAAGGTATAGTTTATCCTCTTGAGAAACATTTTTAGTCAGATAAGGCAAGTATGCATGTTTACTGTGTAAGTATGATGACGGAGGCATGCACAAGATGTGATAAAAGCAAAGGGGAGATAGAAGTAAGTTGACCAGGGAAAGTTAGAAAAGATAACATACCTAAAAGACCTGACATTTGAATTGGGTCTTAAGGATAATCATAAAATTTTCCAGCCCATGTACTGGCAAAAATCCCTCTGTTAGATAATAATCCAGCTCTTGTTTGAATGCTTACAGTGACAGAGAGCTCACTACCTTAGGAGACCCATTCCATTTTAAGAACCTATAATTTTTGCAAATGCATTTCTTATATTGAGCCCAATAATGCCTTTTAATATTTCTACTCATTGTTCCCAGTTCTCTTCTCCTCTGAATTTAATGAGCCAAGATTTGTCTTTCTACCAAATAAGTCATTTCAGTATTTGAAAATAGATATGTTCTCTTTGAAGCAATTTCTTTTTGGTGTTGAAAAGGGGGAAATGGGTAGAGTCAGGTTCCCAGGGAAGCAGACTCTGAGCCTGAGGTTAGTGTGCAGGGGGTTTATTAGGGGGTGCTTTTGAGATCAGCACCATGAGTGGGAAGGGAAGATTGGACAAGGCTGGACAGGAGAAGTGCAGGTGTGATGCAGTTTTAATGGAAGCTTCAGAAATCCTGTGGGGGAATTCTGAAGATAAACTGACCCTTTGGAGTTGTCTAGAGTTAGGGCAAGAAGATTAGGTCTTTACACCTGTAACAGCCAGTCATTCAGTCCCATTTACCCCAGGAAACGGATATGGCTTTGGGGAAGTGGGCTTTTTTAGCTGAGGCAGTCCCCAAGGGTGTTGAGTGGAAGCCCTATTGCCAGGGGCACTACCAGCCGCTGGGGCACTTAATCCTTTATTTATGAAGTGGATCCATAAGGGATCTGGATGATGCAGAAGAGGAATCTTAGGTACTGCTAATTTTTTAGGCAATTATTTTCTGAGGCAGATAATAAGATGAAAAAGCACCTCTTTTTTTTTATTCTTATTAGCAAATAAACACCACAAACATCAAAATGATGGGGGCCCCACATTATGGTTCTAGACTGTTAGGGTCTAGTGTACAATTCTACCTTCCCTGTGCTGCTTATTCATCTCTGTTAGGATGGCCCTTTATATAGGAATATGTTAAAGATGCTCTTGAGGTGAGTTGAAGAAGGACATTCAGGTAATAAATTTGACTGGGATTCTTCACTAGGAGGAGACTGCTCCAAGGACCCCTGCATGTCAACATTTTGTAATGACATTAGGAGATAAAAATGTAAGTGGGGAAGCATAGTGAGCTACAAACAGAATTATATCTCTGTCCTTCATCCTCGATAACTTGCGGTAATCACAGTGCATGCTGGGTGCCTGCAAAGATGGATGTGTGGCCACCAGTCCTTTCTACTCGATGCACACATGAAGATTTCCCTTTTATTTGTGGCTATGGCCATAATTTGCAAAGCCTGTCACCATTTGCAACTTACAGCTAGACTAGAGCTTTACTGAAAAAGAGCTGTCCCATTCCTGATCACTGTATACCATATTGATGTGTCAACTAAATGAATAATAACTGGACTACTCATTATACCAGGAAACATTGGCCCAAGCTATTATTCTGTTTCTTGACTTCTGTTTGGCTTCATTAGCCTCCTTTGGGTGCCAGATAAAATGGTCATATAAAGCATCCTTATTTAATAAGGGCTTGGCAAAATAAAATGGTTGAGCTGGGCATCAATCGGAGCAGAGGAATCAGGAAAAGGATCAGATTGTGGAGGACAGTAGAACTAGAAGGTACGGTAAGGATGTAGTTGGGGATGATGGAGCCATATCAATTTTTCTCATTTCTCACTCTCATTATGCATTGGCTTCCTTCACACAGTAGCTAGCAGTGTCTTTACAAGCTACTTGCAACTGGGGGAGAGAGAGTATTAAGAGAAGCCTAACAGAGGGGAGGGCCAAGTTGGTATTTAATAGATTGGTTTTCTTCTAAATTCAATCTAATTAACAAAGCCCATTTACTATGGACCCCCGTGGCTTTTGTACCTCTTGCTATGTATTTCAGCCAGCTGTGGTTTCATAGCACATGAACTTTGCATCTATTCAAGAGCCTTCTTGTGATAAGATCTGTTCATTTATCACAGAATAGGTAGACCTGCTTTGTTTGCCACT
Organism: Homo sapiens; assembly: GCF_000001405.40. Classification (NCBI taxonomy): domain Eukaryota; kingdom Metazoa; phylum Chordata; class Mammalia; order Primates; family Hominidae; genus Homo; species Homo sapiens. Next base: position 13,756,657 of record NC_000012.12, on the reverse strand, counting down.
GGGATCCCTTTCATCCCAAGCTTGTACATCTTAAAGCATATTGGAAAGTTTCTTCACTTTGCTATAACCACTGGGCTTGTGGAAGCTCATGTGATAATATTTCTCATTTCGGAATCCCCCAGTTTTTCTTTAGCTGGAAGCATGACAGGAAAAACAAATGGGTGTCTCTTTAAAGTGACAGCTATTCTAGGGGTGTCACCTTGCCACTGGCCTTCCTTTCCTGTCGTCGTCCTCTGTAGGCCACTGACAATTCTTGGAATAAAATTGTATTGCCCCAGATTCCCACTTGTCTCAGTCCTTTCAGGCTACTTATAAACTGAGTAACTTATAAAGAACAGAAATTTGGATGGGCGCAGTAGCTCACGCCTGTAATCCCAGCACTTTGGGAGGCTGAGGCAGGTGGATCATGAAGTTAGGAGTTCAAGACCAGCCTGGCCAAGATGGTGAAACCCCTTCTCTACTAAAAATACAAAAATTAGCCTGGCATGGTGGTGGGCGCCTGTAATCCCAGCTACTCGGGAGGCTGAGGCAGAGAGTGCTTGAACCCGGGAGGTGGAGGTTGCAGTGAGCTGAGATTGTGCCACTGCACTCTAGCCTGGGTGACAGAGTGAGACTCTGGGGGGATAAAAAAGAACAGAAACTTATTTCTCACTTTTCTGGAGTCTGGGAAGTTCAAGATCAAGGTGCCAGTAGATTTGGTGCTTGGTGAGGGCTCATGCCCTGACTCATAGAGAGCATCTTCTTGCTCTGTCCTCACAGGGTGGAAGGAGCAAGGTAGCTCTCTGGGGCTTCTTTAATAAGGGCACTAATTTGATTTATGAGGGCCTCACTCATCTCTTGATACCATCAGATACCATCACCTTGGGAGTTAGGATTTCAACGTATGAATTTGAGGAGGATGCAAACATTCCGACCAAAGTCCCACTGTGTTATTTAACCTAACGACAAGGTCAGCTTTGCCTAAGAGTTGTACTCATGTAGTAGGAGAAGTCTAGGATCAGGGACTGGCCAGGGTTTGGAATAGATACACATGATATAATTATTCTATTGTGAATTCATTCCCTTTTTTCTACTCACCTATTCTTGGTGCCTCACCCTCCCTGCTTTCCTGAATTACATGATCCTATGAAGCTCCTCTTCAACTGTATCTTTAAGTCCAGAGAAGAGAGTGCTGGTGAGCACCATTTCACCCTTACCAGGAAAAATTACTCCTATATGACCAAACATCCAGGGTTTCATTCTGGGTAGCCTGTGGAAAATGTGAAAAGTTCAAGCTGTGAGAACAAATAGCCCAGGCAGAGCCAGGGGCTGGCAGCTCTCATTGCCGAATCAGGATTTTTGGATACCAGCTGGATATTTCCCAACCTGTATTTTTTTCAATAAGGGGTGCTGAAGAAATGCTCAGCAATTTCTCAGCTGCACAACAATATGTTCCTGAACTAAGAAACCACTATGTAATTTTGTTTAAAAGCCCAGGTCTCTTGTAACTGTACTTTGAAGCTCTCATTGGAGGATAAGAAGGAACTGCCCCTTAGAAAAGACACAGTTTTGTTAGCCTGGATTGCTATAAAATGGAGATGAGCCAATGGGATAGAAGATAAGGGGCACAGAGCAAGAAAAGACATACCATTACCCAGGAGGAAATCAGGGGAAATAGGAGGACAAGACTGAGAGGGTGTTCATTTTGTGTTTTCGGACTCATCTAGCTAAAGGTAGAGAGAAAATGCAGGACTTGATATCTCAGAACAGCAGGTGAAACACAGCTTAAAATGGGAGACATTTAAAATGGCTTCTCCCTGGAAAGGAAGGAGAAATCAGAAGACGCTCAAAATTGACACGGGAGGGTGTGTGCAATGCCCAGGTCAAACCAAGACCTGTGGTGTCCTGTAGGTCAGAGAAAGAGCATATCTTCTATATGTCTGAAGTAAAGCTTAATCAGATATGAGTTCAAATGGCAATAATTTTAACTTGCAGCTTAGACATACTGTTTGAGCCTTATTCTGTTCTGCATATATTATTATCAGAGTAGAAGTTAGAGAGCAAACTAAATGTGATATTAATTTAACATTTATATGTTTATAGAACACATAGTGATCCAATTTCATACTACGTATACTTCTCCCTGATATCTGTATCTGAGTACCATTCACCTTCTGGACCACTGAGCTTATCTCACCTCCGTAGATAGGTTTATGTGTAGCTCAATGACATTTTTGGATTATGCACTCTGTGACTGAGTGATACACTTTCACAAGCAAGAAATCCAAAAGCCTTGAAAAATGGAAAGTATGTATGTGTGTGTATGTCTGTGTGGGCATGTGCATTTGTGTTTGTATAGCTCATTTGACAACAAAACCTGACCTGAACTGACATGAGGCCGTTTAGAGCCTTTATTCTACACTATGTGACTCTTCATATGTTTTGCTTTAGAAATATTAACATATTTGATTTTAGGGAGCTTCCCTAGGCTCTGGCAGAAACCCCAAGGATTTCAGACAAGGCAAGTATAGACATAGGTTGATTTTCTGTAAAGTCTAGGAGACAATTTTAGGAAGAAAAGTATTACAAATATCTGCAATTTAAATATTTAAAAATATTTATTGTAAATACAAACTTGTAAAGGCATTATATAAAAATAAGTAATGAACACAAATCTTTGTACCCACTTGGTTCAAAATCTCCATTACCATCTTTGGTTTGATTTTTTTCTCTCTTCCTTTTTTTGTCCTGTTCTTTTTCTAGGATGAATCCTCCATGTTCTTCCAGTTTGGCCCATCAATTGAACAGCAAGCTTCCGTAATGCTCAACATCATGGAAGAATATGACTGGTACATCTTTTCTATCGTCACCACCTATTTCCCTGGCTACCAGGACTTTGTAAACAAGATCCGCAGCACCATTGAGAATAGCTTTGTGGGCTGGGAGCTAGAGGAGGTCCTCCTACTGGACATGTCCCTGGACGATGGAGATTCTAAGATCCAGAATCAGCTCAAGAAACTTCAAAGCCCCATCATTCTTCTTTACTGTACCAAGGAAGAAGCCACCTACATCTTTGAAGTGGCCAACTCAGTAGGGCTGACTGGCTATGGCTACACGTGGATCGTGCCCAGTCTGGTGGCAGGGGATACAGACACAGTGCCTGCGGAGTTCCCCACTGGGCTCATCTCTGTATCATATGATGAATGGGACTATGGCCTCCCCGCCAGAGTGAGAGATGGAATTGCCATAATCACCACTGCTGCTTCTGACATGCTGTCTGAGCACAGCTTCATCCCTGAGCCCAAAAGCAGTTGTTACAACACCCACGAGAAGAGAATCTACCAGTCCAATATGCTAAATAGGTGAGTGTGGAACAGAGGGCACATTGATGGTGGAGATGAGAGGGGAGCTTCAAAGACTGGGGTTGGAAGTTCAGAAACTGCAGGAAGAACAGTTCAAGACGGTAGCAGGTTGAAGCCTGGCCTTGGGCATGGCAATTGGTCATGATTGGGGGAGTGTTTTGGATCCAACCTTGCCAAAACAACTTTCATTTATTGAGCACTTATTATGTGTTAGATGTTACTCTAAGGGTTTTGCATGTTTGGTTTCATTTGATCCTCAAAATAACTCTATAAGTCAGGTTTTAACAATTGTTTCTATTTTACAATACGAAAGAATAGGCTTGGAGGTGTAAATTATACAATGTCATGTTGCAAGTGAGTGGTCAGTTTGGAGTTGAACCTAGGCCTCTCTGATCTGTAAGTACTACTTGATCGCAAAGAAAGATGCAGGAGACTTAGAAATAAGGGAGGACCAGTCCGCTTACCTTTGGAATGTTGCCGTATTGTAGTAAGATTGAAGAACAGGTTATGCGGATCTGTAGTCGTATGAAGGATATTCTTTCTTTAAAGAAACAGGCTTGGTTTTTGTCTCTTCCTCCTCCAGCCTCTGCCTTTAAGGGTGAGGATGCTGCTATAGAGGTGGCTTTTACAGTTACTCTTAGTCTGGTTTGTTTGGCAAGCCCTCATCTTGCATAACCCAGCCGTGACTGCAGTGCATCCTCCGTGGGGTATTAAATGACTCTGTGGGGTAGAAGATTCTATACTATACTTTCGTGGTTTTATTATTTGTATAAAACTTCTATGTAAGTACATTATAAAAATTCAAACTAAATAGAACATAAAGAAGTGTGTTTTAGAAATAAAAGTGATCTTAAATCCAACTAATTGGAGATAATCATTGTAGAAATAATTCGTGAACATCTTTCTAGATATCTCTCTATGCATGTACATTTATATGGACATAAATACACAATGTTACATATATGGAAATATAAGTATACTTGCTGTTCAATAGCTTGATTTCTTTCATTCAACAATGTGTTGGACATCCCTTTGAAATTATTTTTAATTGTATTAAGATGTACAGAAAGGTATTCAGAAAAACTTAATGCATACTCAGGTACTCACTATCTAGCTTAATAAATAAAATATTAAAAGGTGTACTTGGGATGTTAAAAAACATATAGTGGAGGTTGAGTGGGTAACTTCTAGCAGGGAGCTGGACTGCAGTCTGTAGAGTACAGCTTCAATTCAGGGTTGAAACTCAAACCAGGTTCACAGTAGTTATATCTGTGATCCAATCTTGATATTCTTCCACCATCAACTCTCTAGAGGTTCCTCTTTCCATCATCCCTAGGTATTGCCCCTTGCTTGGCACAGATTGTCTTGGTTTTTCTTCTACCTCTCTGGTTTCCTTCTATTCCAGTTCCATCTGGGGCTCCTTAGCACACTCCTGTTTTATGCATCCCTTAAATATGGGCACTTCTTGGGGTTCTAGACCCTCTTCCTTTCTCATCCATTCCCAAGGATACAATTAATGTCTGTATATTTTCCAAAGTGACATCTCTGGTTGCAACCTCTCCCTTGAGCTCTAAATTTGTATTCTTAGCTGTGGCCAGATATGTTTCTTTGGATTCCATGGGCACTTCGAACTCACAGTATCCAAAGCTCAACTTCTATCTCTTCTCCCACTAGTCTCCCACCCTCTCCTAGCCAAATCTGCACTGCCTGTCAATGATGTATTCTATTACAAAGTTACCTAAAATAAAAATTTCCTAGATGCCCTTGGTTCCACATCCCTGACACCTCATAGTCAATCGTACTGTTTGCCCCGGATTTTAGTCTCCCCATACCTCTGGAATGCCGTTCTTGTTTTCATCTCTCCTACAACATCCCAGTCCATTTTTTCTCACATGCATTACTACAGGGCTTCTTACATGATCTTCCTCCTCCAAGTTCTGCTGCTTTTCAATTTACATTGCAGCCAGGGTGATCAAAATTAAAAATGTGATTTCATCATTCTCTTGCTTAATACCTTTCAGAGGCTTTTCATTGCTCCTTTAATGAGGTCCATTCTCCTTAATATGGTTTATAAAGACTTCAGCCTCATGGGCCCTGCCTGTCTTTCCAAAATTCTCTCATGCTTTTCTCTGCCTTGCACGCTACCTTCCTGCAACACTGAGCTTAGTTCTTCAAAAACACCATGCTCTCTCTTGCTTCCAGCTCTTTCCTCTCTCTGTCTTAAACTTACTCTCCAGCGTGCCCCTTCCCACCAAACACAGGTGCTGATGTTCCCTTACCTGCCTCATGCTCTTCATTTGTCAGATTCCTCAGGCTTCAGTCTTGGCATTACTTCTGCTGGGAAGTCTTTCCTGAGCTTCAGAATAAGATTACTGTATTATTTGCCTTCACTACATCTTGTACTTTTCAGATAAAGCCACTCTTCAAACTGTGGCAATTGCATGCTGTATTATCTCCCTTCCCTGTGAGCTCTGTGAGAGTAGTGACCCTCCCATAGCACTCATTTCTCTGACCCCATTTCCTGCACAGTGCATGGCACACGGAAGTGAATGACGCCCTCCAAGACTCAGTGCACACCTGCTCTGCAGGAGCCTTCCCGTTCTGCTCTGTTCTTGCAAGATAATAAAGATTCCCTTGAAAAATGTACTGTTGATTCAGTTCTGTAGCTTTGGTTTTCCTCCCACTGCTTTTCGTGTTAAATTCAAATCTGATTCAGATTATTTTCCCAAATGTTTGCTAATTACAACCAAAGCTAACAGTGAAGGACTACTGAGACTAAAACATCTGCCCAACAACACGAAGAAATCAAGTGAATGTTACCTTAAAGCTCATAAATATGGCCCAGGAATGCCTACTTTTAACTTAAAACTTCTGCTGGGTAAACAATGATCTGCAGATATTATTATTTCCTGCTTGGCTTATGTTACATTACAATGTAAATGTCATCTCTGAAGCCTGGTTTCTAACCACATATCTCTGAAATCGCAATTGGTTTTAACCTTTGTTGCCATCTCTCTGAGGCCTGAGATGCTCCCGTGTGGCCACCCAGGAAGGTGGCCCTACTCAGTCCTAGAGGCCCACATCCGTCTTTTCCAGTGTAGCAGTCCTACAGGGAATAAGGATTATTATTCATCAATTCCTCAGGCACCAGTGTAGAGCAGAGAGACTGAGAGAGAGAGGGAGTCCAGCTTCACTTGATTTCCCAAATGTACGGCTTAAGAAGTGTCTTCAGATTTACCTACCTACTTCTCCACTAAAGCATTTCCTCTGCAAACTGCCCCAGTTCCCTGCCTTTACTTGGGTTCTGCACCTGCCTGCCCGCTGGACATCTCTTGGATGTCTCCCTTGTCCATACACCTCCATTCTTCCCTTATCTCCATTGTCTTTCTTTTCCTTCCTCTCCATCCAAATACATCTTCTTCTGGTTCTTGAATGTAATCCCTGCCTGTCTTGAGAATATTTTAGTATAGTTTCCTATCAGGATCCAGAAAGGATTGGGGTTGACTAACAGGGTTTATAGAGTTAGCCCCAAGTCTGCAGTTTTATCACCAGGCACAGCACGCTCAAAAGCAGCAGTGGAATCAATTAGGCACATTCAGTTCAAGCTCCTCCTACTTACCCTGCTCTGAAATCAGACTCTCCACCCCTTCAGAGCTCTGGTCTCACTAGGGTCACTCTTTTAAATAACAAACCAAGCAGCCACACCATTTAGCCACAGCAGGAAATCTTTGCAAATAAAATTGCTGCAAATGGCTGGTTGTTTTATAAGGATGACTTTTCCTTTGGCCTGCTATTCTCCTCTCAGCAACTGCAGTAGGGAGGAAGGCTCTCTGGGAGATTTCTGGGAGTGGCCCAGCCCCAGCATGACACTAGGGATGTAGGGTTAGGAAAGTGGCTTCTCCTCTCACCTTCTGAAAAGGCAGTAGCATTCATAGGCCCCTTTCCCTGCTAGAAGCATTGTAGGGGGAGGTACAGGTCTCATGCACACCTATCCAGATTACAGCTTTCTTTCCACGTGGGGAAAGTTCCTAAGTCTACACTTAGGGGATGGAGAGAAGAGGTTATATGATATACCTGAATCCCAAAGAGAGACATGTATTTGAAGTGATTCACTTGTTAGTTACCAAAGGAAGAATATATTTTTATGGCATAAAATCCTTCTCAGGGAGGATCCTTAAATGCACTATTTCAATTCACTATCAAATGAACATTACTTATCAGGTGTTAATCCAAATTCCTCACTGATAACTTCTTAACTCCTTGAAGCTTGGCCTGTTATAGACTTAGTGATTATCTCCAGATAGATTCTGGGTTGCCTGGAGGAGGCATTTTGCCAGGGTTGCAAGAAAAATACTTAAGCCAAGTTAAATTTGAATTTCAGATAAACAATGAATAATTTCGTTAGCACAAGTCAATACTAAATATTGCATGGGACATATTTATACCAAATGAATATTTGTTATTTATCTGAAATTCAGATTTCATGGGGCTCTTGTAGTTTTATTTGCTAAATCTGGCAACCCTACTTTGAATACATATAAAAATTAATTTTCTGTTGGAACTTCATAGCATTCATTTGTGCCTTATTAATAAATATAGTACAATGCCCTATACTATAGCCCAAGACATGCTAAGAGAGTTTTATTCCAACTGATAACTTTATTTGATTGAAAGGGCTGGAGAATTTCTTATGCTATATATTCTCTAAGGGAAGAATTTTCTTGGTTCCTGAGAAAAGTCTAAAAACGTTTTGGTACCAGATGATCTGAAAATGTTTAGAAAATGATTAGGTAAGTTTTCCAAACCCATCTTCATTCCCCTGAGCTGGGAAGAAATTGTGAGTTATTAGGAGGCACCCGTCTACATTTTTCATTTGTCATTTCTCCAAGGAGCAGTTAGTGGTTATTTTCCTTCTCCATGTACTCTGTAATCTCTGATGGTCTGTTTCTGTCACTCACGTGATGGTACACCTGCCACATACCTCTGTGCTCTCTTTCTGTCCTGAGAGCCCGCTGCTTCTCTTCATACAGAGCTACTTTTGGAACTTGTAGAAAGAACGGATGCTATTTGAGATAGATGGATCTTAATATAGCAAACCTCTTATGAATCTTGCCTAATTACTTTTCCCCAGTGTCTTTAGTTTTTCTACTCAACATTTGTTTCCTCCTTCCCTAAATTCTTCTTTCTTAGTGAAAGTTGCCATCTTAAAAGGCTGGATCGTCCTGGCCCAGCCTTTGAGGGATGGGGAAGAGTGACTTTGAATAACTGATGTGAAAAAAAGTACTTTCTTAGGTTCTTAATGAAAGAGCTGTGATAAGCTCAATCTTCCTACAACCTTGAGGCAAATTCCCCATCTTTGGAACCAATGTATGAGCCAGATTGTTCTCATGGGATCCTCATTTGACTCTTGGCCTGGAAAGTGCTGAAAGGTTAAAAAAATAAATGAGGAATTGAGTCAATTAGTTTTTAGGCATTATGGGCAAGAGCTGCTTGGTCATTACCCATCTTTTATTTGTTATTAAATGTTCGATGAGTGCCAGCACAGGCAGATTTATGGTAAGGCAAACGCATGTTATAGGTTCACTTCACTTAATCTAATTTACAGTGAAACAACCAAAAGGTTACATGAATGCATAGTAATAAGCGGTATAGCTGGCACAGTGGCTTTTCATCTTATTAAAGAAGTGCACCAGAGTCTAAGGAAAGCTACATTTTTATGTATATGCACAAAAATGCACATTTTAATGCAAAATGTTTAGTAAAATGACACACACCTGTATATAGAGGGAGGGAATGACTTTATCTGCTCAGTAGTGTAAAAGGATATATAAGTTGGGAAAAATAATCGAAGAACCTAATAACCTAAAAGATACATTCAATGCTTATTGTAGTTCAGGCATAACAATGCATGTGTTAGCTGTGTACAGAACAATCATTGAATGGGAGGACGATTCAAACTCTTCTGTTTTCCTCTAGTCTTTCACATTCCTCATATCAGACATATAGATGGTCATTTCAGTAAATGATTGTTGCTTCTTCTCCCTGAAGTCAAACTTGTGAAAGGCATTTTCAAGTATTTTTAACACTGAGACCCCCTACAGTATTCTTTCCTTAATCACTAATTCTGCGGCTGACTTCTAAGATTTAAAACTCACCCATAATATAGGTGGTGTTTCTCTTCTTTGTCTCTTTTTTGTTATTCTTCCTCTTTCTCCTCCCTTTTATTTTTCTCTTCGCCTTCCTCCTTTTTGCATTTCGATAAAGTTCAAAATGGATTCCTATAGTCCATTCTGCATTGCTCTAAAGGAATACTAAAGGCCGGGTAATTTATAAAGAAGTTTATTTGGCTCACAGTTTTGCAGGCTGTACAAGAGGCACGGTGCCAGCATCTGCTTCTGGTCAGGGCCTCAGGAAACTTCCACTCATGGTGGAAGGTGGAGGGGGGCCGGCATGTCACATGGTGAGAGAGAAAGCAGGAGAGTGAGGGGAGGAAGTGCCAGTCTCTTCAAATAACCAGCTCTCACATGAATTAATAGAGTGAGAACTCACTCATGACCATGGGCAGGGCATTAAGCCATTCATGAGAGATCCATGTCTGTGACACAAACACCTCCCACTGGCTCAATCTCCAGCATTGGGGTCACATTTCAACATGGGATTTGGGGGGGACAAACATCCAAACTGTATCACTCCTTTAAAAAATTAGTGTGATTTGGAGGAGAGGGCAGGGGATACAGAGGGTGAGTGAGTGGGGAAAGAGTTACATTTAACTGAGGACAGTGAGTGGGGTGGAGAATGCACATCTGTGCAGGGGAAGAAGATACAGACGGAATATGGTCTATGGGAAGGAATAGGATGGTCTTGAAGGCAGAAGCAAACCCGAGAAGGTTAATGGCTCTCAGTGGAGAAAGCAGACAAGCCTCATTCTGAAAACAGATTCTGCCTCAGAAAGGACGTGGGTTGGTGACAATGGCATGGGTTAAAAAGCGGGTCATAGGTATATATTTAAATCAGCCCCAGTTGTCAGCCAGGCTGCGAAAGTTATGAACTCCATCGTTAGTTGCCTTTTTGAGTACTTACTGCATCCCCAGCGCTGTGCAGTTACCTAATTTGATCCCTGCAAAAATCCTGATGCAAATGTCCTCGAGAGACATTCCCTGATCACTCTGTTTAAAAGGGCAACTTGTATTCCCCACCCTCCCAAGCACTCTCTGTCCCTTTCTCCTGCTTTATTTTTTGACATAGCACATATCTGATATACTGTATAAATTATATTTAAAAAATTTTTTTTGTCTCCCTCCTCCCAGCAGAATTCATGCTCAATGAGAGCAAGGTGTTTTTTTTAACCTTTGTATTCTCAGCACAGTGCCTGATAAGTAGGCAATTGATAAATATTTGTCAGATTAAAAAGCAGGAATGAAAAGACAGGAATCATTATTCTCATTTTATATGTTTTTAAGGAACCCGAGGCCCAGGGATCCCCAGCTCAGGCTGTGTGATGCCAGACTGACCTGATCTGCCTTAGGGGTCCTGGATTTCAGCCCCTCACTGTGCAGCACATTAAGGAAGCTTTAAAGAAAGCTCAGCTTTCCTTAGCATCAAAGCATTAGAGCTGGAAGAGTCTTTAGTGCTCATCTAATCCAACCCTTTCAATGCATGTCTTCTTAATGAATAGATGGTAGGATGGAATTTACATATGTGAAAACACAGTCTCAGAGCGGTCACTCCTCTGTTGGAGGCTGGGCAGGCACAGAAGCCAGGTGTCCTGATGGCAGGAGCGGTGCTCTTTGCTAGAGCATGCTACCTCTCCACTGCTTGGCCATGTCCTCAGAAGGGCAGGCTGGCAGGCAGCCAGGGCTTTGCTGTTAACCTTTGCCCTGGCCTGCCAGCGTCCCCAAGGCTCTTGCTCCCTTGGTTCTTACCTAGACAAGGATGCAAATTCACAGTTAATGGGAATTGAAGCTGGTATTATTTAGGAATTGAGTGGGAGTCGTTTCTCCATCTGCTCTCTCTTCCCACCAGAGGATAAAGGCTGCCTGGGTGGGGGTAAGGATGGGGATGAGTTGCCAGAAAGCTGGAGTGCTGTCATTTCTGGTTACAGACATGGACTGGAAGCCTGAGTGAGGGCTGGACCACAGCTGTGCAAGGTCAACTTAACTAACATGAGCTTCCCGAGAGCAGAGATGGTTGTGTGGCTTTTATATCTACATGAGATCTTGCACAATTTAAATAGATAATGGTTTGAGTCTTTCTCTTCGTTTCCTCTCAAATGGTGCTGTCAGGGATGCATAGGTGGTCATGTCCTGGAGAAAATTCTCCAGGATCTGATGTGGCCGATAAGGATTTGGAAGAAGCAGGGCATTTAGGATGACTACTGAGGGATCTGAACAGCACTGTAGATAGGGCACGGGAGAAGCCAAGGAAGATATGTGGCAGGAGCTAGCAAGAGAACCTTCCCTCGGCTTTCAGAAATTTTTGGTGGCGCGTCCTCTTCCGGGAGGACATGGTGGGGTTAGCTCGCCCAGACTGGCACCAGTCTCCAAGCTGAGCTGGCTGGTCACACATGAAGGAACTGCTGCTGACAGATTAGGGCTTCCCGCTGCTGAAATCTGTTCCCTCTTGTCCAGCTTCCAGCAGCAGCAGCCGGCCGGGGGCTGCCTACAGCTTCCCTCAATGCCCAGGCCTTTTCTTTCCCTCATTCATTACTGCTCCACACCCCACCCTCTTTCTTTCTTTATTCTTTTCTGTCTCTTTCTTTATTGGGTGTTTTGTTCATTGATCTTTTGCTGCCCCTCTCTTCTTTAGCCAGCTTTCATTTAAAGCTTTTAAAACCTTTCTTGCCTTTACCTTTCTATGTTCATAAATGACCGCCTGTGGAATTCTTGCACGCACACACTCATATTCATGTGTGCATGTATTCCTCATCCAGACAGCACCTATTTATGTATATTTGCATTTGTCAAGTGAAGAGAGAATTAAGAAAACTGGATAAAACACTTTTATATGTTACATTTCTCTAATGCTTTCTATTGCTGAGACTATTTAGATGATTACATGAGAAAGGTTGAATATGGGATAGAAGTTGGGAGGAATTCTTAAAAAATGGCTTGCCTGGAATTAGCTCTGATGAATATCAAGTAAATATTTCCTTCCAATCTGATTCCATTGTTAAAGTCTTGACGGCTGTAAGGATGGTCGCTAAATATCCCTAGCACATTTATTGTTTGGGCGAAGGAGGGAAACTTAGTAGTCAAGTGGTTTTATAAATTGTTGATGAGCCTATAAATGAATCTTCTTTTTCTAAAGTTAAGTTCTCCCCTGACAAGCAACAGGAATAGCCATGGAAACCACCCTGTGACAATATGGTATTCATTGTAAGTGGTCCTTTTCACAATTTTCCAAAAGAGATTATAGATGGGGTCCAGATGGAGGTAGGTGTCAAAATACATTTAGTGTTAGACAAAAAACCCAATTATCAAAAATTTCGTTGTTCATCATCATGGCTAATAATGATGATGATTAAAGTGAGGATTTTCATACAGATAATCTTCTTGTATATCGTCTCACTAAATCATTATAACAAACATGTGAAGGCTTCTTTTATTCACTGCAAGGATTGGCTGCGGACTTCAACAGAGAAACCTCACATACTTGCTTCCTTTTTGTTTTCTCAGAGGTATTTCCAGACACTCCCATTGACTTTCTTCCTCCCCTGCTTGAAAAAAAATCTTTCAGGCACTTTTGTTTAGGCAAAACAGCACAATAGAGCATTATTATATTACAGTTCACTATTACACAGATCTTAATAATGTGTCAAATTTCCCTCATTATTGACTATAGAGGACAAGGTGTGTGTGTGTATGTGTGTGCATATTAGAGACTATGACTCAAAATAGTGGACTCCACAGGCTGCACGGGGTCATTGTCCTCACTTCTGTCACACGTGCTCACATGTGTTCACATGGAGACTTGGCTTTTTTACCTAAAGGACAAGAGGTCACATATTCAACAACCTGATGTATCTAGAACATAACCAACAGTCATGAAGAAAGCAGAAAAGGGCTCTGAGCTAAAATCCCTGACACAAAACTCTTGCCCTAAAATGACTGCTGTTTCTTGTCATACAGAGTGTCGCTCAAAGCACGTTTACTCTAATTTTACACATACTTCTAAGAAGCTTGTGGGCAGTTGGGTTATCTATGGTGTGGAGTCCCAGTAACCCAGTTTAAATGAGATATGTGAGCATAGTTAGGTGGTCTGTCCAGAGCTGGGATGACAGCTGCATGTCATCAGGACTCAGATGCCTGCTAGCTTTCCACTCTTTCATCCACTGGGTATATCCTTCATCCCCATGCCTAAGATGGCTGCTGGAACTCCAGTTTCAAGCAGCAGATTGAAGTTAGAAAGGAAGGAAGGTAAATCATTTCCCTGTTTAGGAAATTCCCCTGAAGTTCCACACTTTGCTTATAGTCTGCTGGTTGGAAATCAGTCAATGGCCACACTAGCAACAAGCAAAATTGGGAAATATAGCTTAGTTTAGTTTTTAACCTGGGCAGTAATGTGCCCAGTTAAAAATCAAAGTTCTAAGCCGGGCACAGTGGCTCATGCCTATAATCCCAGCACTTTGGGAGGCCGAGGCAGGCAGATTACCGGAGGTCAGGGGGTTGAGACCAGCCTGGCCAACATGGTGAAACTCCATCTCTACTAAAAATACAAAAATTAACCAGGTGTGGTGGTGTACATCTGTAATCCTAGCTACTTGAGAGGCTGGGGTAAGAGAATCACTTGAACCTGGGAGGTGGAGGTTTCAGTGAGCCGAGATCATGCCACTGTACTCCAGCCTCGGCAACAGGGCGAGACTCTGTCTCAAAAACAAAAAAACAAAGTTCTGTTAACTAGTGAGAGAGGGCCAAGGCCATATCTTTGGTAGACAACTTTGAGATATTTGTTTATATGATTTCCTAGATAACAATAGCTTAGGTATAACAGACATGATGATGAGGATCAGATAGGCAAACCAACAGCATTAATAAATAACAGAATGGAAAAGAGTGGAAGATATTAGAAAAACCCAGCAGAAAACCTTGAAAAGCAGAGTTGTATAACACCATTTGGGGAGAAATGTCATCTACGCCCCAGAAAGCATATACCCTGCATAAAAATCCCTGTATAGCAAAAAAGCATAGTCATTGTTAAGTCATCAATAAGAGCTTAAATTATATCGATTATCTTAGGTATAAAAAGTCAGAGAACTCTGTAATGCCTTTCTGAAATTTTCCATTAAAATGCTTCCTATAATCAAGAAAAAGCCTGTACTTTAAAATACTAAGCTTCAGCAATTTAGAAAATTTATTTTTAAAAAAGATTATTGAGTGAATACTATGTGCCAAGGGCTTTATATAGCATAATTTAAGCTTAAAAGTATTGTACAGGGATATGATTGCCTCCAATTTTTAGATAAACTGAGATTGCCTGAGTGAGGTGGCTCACACCTGTAATTTCAGCACTTTGGGAGGCTGAGGCAGGTAGATCACTTGAGACCAGCTTGGGCAACATGGCAAAAACCCCGTCTTTATAAAATACAGAAATATTAAATTAGCCAGGCATGGTGGCATGCACCTGTAGTCCCAGCAACCTGGGAAGCTTAGGTGAGAATCACTTGGGCCCAGGAAGATAGAGGCTGCAGTGAGCCATGATCATGCCACTGCACTCCAGCCTGGGTGAAAGAGCAAGACCCTGTCTCAAAAAAATAAAACGAAAGCAACAACAAAAAACCCCAAACCCCCTGAGATCCAGAAAGATTAAGACTTTTGCTTACTTTGTGTTTCAAACTCAAATTTTTATGAATTCCAGGCGTACTTTGCCCCAGGTTATCCATCTTTCTATGTCCTTTGCTAAAGAGGTTGAGTGAATTAGGAATGACTCACATGTATATAAACATATCATTAACCTGTGGGACAGGGTGGTTTGGTAATAAAGAGTTTCCTGTCTGGGCGCGGTGGCTCACGCCTGTAATCCCAGCACTTTGGAAGGCCAAGGTGGGTGGATCATGAGGTCAGGAGTTCAAGAACAGCCTGGGCAAGATAGTGAAACCCTGTCTCTACTAAAAATACAAAAAAATTAGCCGGGCGTGGTGGCGGATGCCTGTAATCCCAGCTACTTGGGAGGCTGAGGCAGAGAATTGCTTGAACCCGGGAGGTGGAGGTTGCAGTGAGCTGAGATCACACCACTGCACTCACAGAGTGAGACTCCATCGCAATAAAATAAAATAAAATAAATAAATAGTTTACTTTCTTGGATTCTCTGCTATTTCTTGCCCTAAAGACTAGACCATGACACATCTAGAATCAGCCTGGGAGTGGCATCCAGGACACACATGGTAAAGACTTCCCACACTGAACCTGCTCATCTCACTCTCTGTCCTGAAGTGTGCCCATCTCTACTTGCTGGTCTTGCTCTGATCTTGCTGATACCTCCCTTTTCCTAATGGGAAGGAGGATTATTTTTTCTTATCCTATTCCCAAATCCTTTAACCCATAGAGGAAAAAACAACAACTTGTAGTCTTTGCATACCTGAAAAATCCTTGGAACTGAAGCGGGTGGAGACTTTCTGGTCTACAACCTGCCAAGGTTCAGGGAGATTACAGATGCATTGAAAATACTGTCAGGGACATGCAATAGAACAAAACAAGACCTTGGCCTCTGCCATGATTTACAAATGTCCTCCAGTACCACTATTCATTTTTGACAGGTCAGATAAATTTGGATTTGTTTAAGCCTTGTATTCAGCTGGAGATTGGAGAAAAGTTAAAAAAAAAAAAAAAGAAAATGCTATTAGAAATGAAAGAAACGGGACATGTGGGGCCCACTTTTCTGCACTTCACAAAATTACATTCATTCTTAATTCACTGAGTGACACATCCAGTAGGAATGTGGACCCCCTATTCTGTATGTACTGAACCCTGTGCCGGATGCCGGGAATACGGACAATACATAGCATTCATCTGATTGTCTTCACAAGGAGTGGAGTGTCCACAGATGCTTTTAGTTTGCTGTTTAGACTTATTTTTCTTGAAATATAAAGTGAATTGCCTAAAAGACTAGCAGAATGAGCTTCAGGAACGAAGAATTTCAGAATGTTAGTGAAAACCATCACGAATTTCCTGGTACCTCTGATCCAAGGCCATGGAGGATCCTTTCTGATAGAGACTAAGAGAGTGGAGTTCAGGAGAAAGGAACCATTCCAATATAGCTGATTCTAGTTTGATTCTCTAATCTCATTGTCTCAGTTTATTGGCCACCTGCAAACTCAAAACTTCATGAAAGAATATTCTTTAGGAATAGACCAGAGTCCCCTTCCCCCACGTGCATACACCCACACTTTGTGGGCTCACTCACTAAGTTTAAAAATAGGAACCATGGTGTTGCCATGACGCCCGGTGCTACTCAGCAGCGTTCCTTTTCCCTTTGATGTGATTCCTCTTCATAGCATGATTTAGTGAGAATCTGGCTCAGAGCGGCCTCTAGTGGCTCAATCCTTAGGGATGCGCTTCCTTCCCCAGCCCAGTTCCAAATTCAGCCCAGTTCCAAAATTAACCACCTTAGCCAAGTTGGACACTTGTGTGTTTAGAACCATTCTCCATGCAATCAGCTATTTTTTTTCAGAATCTTTCTCATCAGCCACAAGTATTACACCGGGGAGTACCTACTGAGTGCTCAGAAGTGTGCGGAACAGCCCAGGTATTCACCATCTCTCTGGCCAGGAGAGACCAGCATTACCCCAAACATTTGGTGAACAGTAGAGAGCAGTGGCAGGGAAGCTATGTGGTAGAGGCAGTAATGTTGAATAAAGTAATCCCAGTAAAATAGGTTGGTTAGGATCATCAGAAGTTAGCTTTTTTTTTCCTTTTCTTCTTTTTTTTTTTTTTTTTTTTTTTTTTTTGAGACGGAGTTTCACTCTTGTTGCCCAGGCTGGAGTGCAATGGTGCAATCTCAGCTCACCACAACCTCCGCCTCCTAGGTTCAGCGATTCTCCTGCCTCAGCCTCCCAAGTAGCTGGGTAGCATGCACCACCATGCCCGACTAATTTTGTATTTTTAGTAGAGACAGGGTTTTTCCATGTTGGTTAGGCTGGTCTCGAACTCCTGACCTCAGGTGATCTGCCTGTCTTGGCCTCCCAAAGTGCTGGGATTACAGGCGTGAGCCACCACACCTAGCCACATTTTTCTTTTTCAGATACAAGAGTCTTCTAAAGTGTATCAACTGATACTGACTCAACAGCCTCAGGGATGTATTGATGTGCTGACTTCCTCCCGTGCTGTCTTCACCATGTTTTCATTTTTCTGTGTTTTGAGTTCCTTGTGTCAGTGCTTCTCAGTCATGACTGCATGTTAAAATTTCCTGAGAAGCTTTAAGAAACTGTATACAGACCCCAAGGCCCCACCCAGCACACATTCTGATGTAGCTGCACTGGAAGAGGGTAAGGGCCCGGGAACAGACGTGTATTAAAAGCATCCAGGTTGATTCCTAAGGGCAGCCAGGAGTTGTAAATCACTGTTCTCCAGTCTCCTGTCATTTTTTTTTTACCTCGGTTATCAGAATAGGGTAAAATGCAATGATAGCATTCACATGCATTTGAACTTGGTGCTCTTGAAAGAATTCCTTCCTTTCATTCTTTCCTGACTAGTCTGAAAATTGTGATTTCCACTGGTGCTATGAACTTCAAAATTTGGAAAGGGTACAGGATATGAACATTTCATCATGGTGATCCTCTTGCAGGTGGTCATGATTTCCTAATTTGGTTTCTGTTCCTGTTGCTGGTACTTCATGAGTCTATTTTATGCAGAGGGATGAGTTTTCATCAGTAAAACTGGCAACATGAGCATCAAAACAAATTTGACTTTAAACAGCATTTCAATTCCTCTGTACATAGATTATAAACCCAAAAGAAACAGAACTTTGAAGTTTCAAATTTGATGTGTCGGCTGGCCTTGATGAGAAATTGATGCTTTGCTAAATTTTGGAGTACACAAGTGGTTTTAAAAATGAAAGTTATTAGCACTAGAAAGTGATGTTCTTTGTATTACTACACTGTTATTATATTTAATGAAATGGCTTTCTGAAGTACTGCAGATAAAAGGAAAAGCAGTGTTTAGAATAAGACACACAGGGTAAGTGCCAAGGTAAGAAAAGAAATGGTGGGTTGTCTTTATCTTACAGTGTTTCTCCTGGAGGCTGGGAGAGTCCTCCTTCAGGGGAACCAGTTGAGATGGAAAGGGTTTGTAGGTGGATGTGTAATGTGTGGCATTTTTGTGGTTCTGACCGAGCCCAATCTTGGCAATGTCTACTGTGGACAAGCAAGGCCAAGGTATAGCTTTGAAACTGTATTAAGAAAGAACATAATTTTTCAGAATTATGGGTAGGGTAATGTAATCTATCTGATTAAACACTTGGAAACTTTACGTTTGTCTAAAGGAATAAGAAGAAGAGGAGAAAGAAATGCTTATTACTATTGTTAAAGTGCTTTATGATTTCTGAGAAAAGAACCATGGCAGAACCTCCAGGTACACTTAACAAGTAGGAGATTATTAGGTAATTTTTATCATTGGCTTCAATCCCTTTCTTCCACTCATCCACCTATCTCTCTAGCATTTATCACAAAGGTGCCTGGATGAACAGACACCATTTTGTATCACGTCCTTAAGGTCATCGGACTTGAGTTTTGTGGAATGAGCAGGAAGAAATCAATCTAGAGTGCCTGTTCGCCAAACTTCAGATTTCACATTTAAGATATTATATGAACTTTCAGCCGGACACAGTGGTTCAAGCCTGTAATCCCAGCATTTTGGGAGGCTGAGGCAGGCAGATCACAAGGTCAGGAGATTGAGGCCATCCTGGCTAACACAGTGAAACCCTGTCTCTACTAAAAATACAAAAAATTAGCCAGGGGTGGTGTCAGGTGCCTGTAGTCCCAGCTACTCAGGAGGCTGAGGCAGGAGAATGGTGTGAACCTGGGAGGTGGAGCTTGCAGTGAGCCGAGATAGCGCCACTGCACTCCAGCCTGGGCAATAGAGAGAGACTCCATCTCAAAAAAAAGAAAAAAAAAAGATATTATATGAGCTTTCTGGAGTCTCTTCCCCATAAGTGTAATATGAGGGAAGAACTAATAACTATTAAGAAGCATTTATTAATTGCCACATAATGCATGTTCCTCTTTTGGGCTTGACAAGGAATTTATTATATTGTATGTTGCATGTTCTTTTTCTTCTTCTTTTTTTTTTTTTTTTGAGATGGAGTTTCTCTCTTGTTGCCCAAGCTGGAGTGCAATGGTGCAATCTCTGCTCATTGTAACCTCTGCCTCCCAGGTCCAAGCTATTCTCCTGCCTCAGCCTCCCAAGTAGCTGGGATTATAGGCGCTACAGGCACGCACCACCACGCCCGGCTAATTTTTTGCATTTTTAGTAGAAATGGGGTTTCACCATGTTAGCCAGGATGGTCTTGAACTCCTGACCTCAGGTGATCCACCCGCCTTGGCCTCCCAAAGTGCTGGGATTACAGGCATGATTGGCCCGGCCATATATTGCATGTTCTAATATTGACCTGGCTTCTCAAGGTTTGATTGCAAATATCTTACGTAGGCAGCTAAATCCTTGTTTTCCATATGAACAATGACTGATAGTGTAAGTGAGATTATGTGTTTAGCTGGCTTTTTTTTTATTTGAAAGTAAATAGACGTTTTTCTGGATTTCATATCACCGACACACAAAGCAATACTGAGTTCTGCATTTGAGGTTAAGGATGGGTGAAATGAGATGTAGCTACTACATTGCATCCTCAAACAATTTAAGACCTGGACATTTTAGTGGGCAAGAGTCTGTGTCCATTATTAATGTTCCTTGCACTTGACAGGGGTTTCCTTTCCTTGGTTGTCATTGTTTCCATCTTGCCTGAAGTGATGTCAACCTCATTTCATCCTGGCTATTTGGTGTTGTCTTGAGAACCAGAAAGGGAGAGGAAGAGGCACCATAGTTAATCTGCCCAGAGTGCCTGACTGCACTGGCTGCCATACTTTAAGGGTGACCTAGAAATGCCATATGCTGTCCTGGAGGAGCAGAGGAGCTGAGGGTACATCCAGGAGTTCAGTGGCCACCTGTTTATTCCCGCCAACCCCCCCCCCCCCCCGCTTTTCTATGGGAGATGATAGTTCATGTTTCTCAGTGTCAAGGAAACTGAGAAATGTTTCTTTTTCTATTTCTATTGCAAAGGTAAAAGTGAGAAGTGGGAAAAGCAAGCAAGCCCAGCATTCAATTCAGCCTTGGAAATCTTCTGAATCCCGTGTAAAGGACACACATGCTATGTCTGTCAGCCCTGGCAGTGACACGTGCTTCAGATTGAGGTTATTTTTTTCCAAAAAAAAAAATCCTGTCTTCCATTCCTTCCGAACCCTGGGAAAGGATCCTACTTCTCCACACTCGGTTGTCCCAGCTGTCGTATCAGTCATTCTGGTTATTGGTAAGCAGCAGGGAAATATGTCTATAAGAAATTGACAGGAGACATAAAGGAACAGGATATATCTGATGAGAAGGAGGGATTTCAGAAATAAATAAGATTAGGGCGTGATCCTGTAATGCCCAGGTGCTTAGTCCCCTGAGCAGAGCCCTGTTGGGCCAGCATGCATTGCATTGGCCCATTCTGATACTATTGAGATTCTGCTGAAAAAGCAGCAGCATCATGACAGGAGAGCAGTCTGCCTTAACATAGCAGCATTATGCCATGAGACAATGAAAACCCTGCTTTTATGAATTTAATTCAGGGAAAAGGAGGTTGACTCCTTGTAGGAGTATATGCTTAAAATTTCTCAAATACAGTATGCTTTCCTTCACAAAGGAATGAGACCCAAGGCTTGACCAGACATCAATTTCAAAGGCATGACAAAGACCCCAACAAGCATCTTCCAGGAAGCTGATGTCTAGTCATCGCATTGGATGATAAAAAACCTATCACCTTCATGTCTGCACTTTTTTAGATGGAAACATTATCATTGAAGACTTCAAAGTGTCTATAGTAGTCTTTCTCAAATCAAGTTGGGTATGAGAAAGAAGTTGTAACCATGTTTTATTGGCTCAAATAAGATTTCTGTGTGCTGCAAATAATAAAGAATTGGATATCTAGAGCAGAAACCTAATTTCCTCACAAATCTCTGATGACTTATTTTATCCACTGGATGTGGTCCACATTTCTTGGCAAGCCATAAAAGACCTTTGAATATCCGGCCTTAACCTTCATAATTGGGCTTATCTTATTTAACTACCCTCTCCTCCAACTCCCCACCTTATGCCAACATACACTGCTTGTGATCTCACAACATCAAATAACATTACTGGCCACTCTCTTAGTATGGCAGTCTTTTACCCCTTCATGCATTTGCATAGGCTGTTCCTTGTGATGCTCCTCTCTTTCAATTTCCCTGGAAGGACATAGGTGTCCTTTAAGATCTGACTCAAGTGTTGCCTCCTCTCTGAAGCCTTCTCTGACGATTCCAGGCAGAATTAGTCATTCCTCTCTTTGTGCTCCCATAGCCCTTTGTTCATACCTATGGCATAGCACATAGATGTGCAAACAGTTCACATTAAAAATTCATTATGGTATCCACCCTAGGATTCATGGCACAGTAGACACAAACATTTTCTATTGAATGAAAATGTGAATGAATCCATAAAGAAATAAAAGGTGGGGTTTGTGCACGTGGAGTACAAAACCTGATTATTATTTTTAAAGATTAAATATGCCATCTTCATGTGTGAAAATGACTCTTTGGATTCATTGGCAGAAGCAGTTAGGCTTTGAACTAGTTTTCAGCATTTGCTATGTGCACATAAAGCGTTCCCATGGTCTCGGGCTTTATAATCAGTAACGTACTTGGAAGGGATTCCTCACTGCTCTTTATTCCTTTTATATCTGCATCAGTCAGACGCCCATCACCCTGCACAGTGCCCCTAAGTTAAGTCATCCTTTCTTGCCACCTGCAGAGTCACTATCCTCATTAGCTTGTGCCTAGATTTCTATAACAAGCTGCTCTATTTCCCATATCTTGAATATCACAAAATCATCTACTATGAATTTTGTATTTTTCAAGTATCATTTCGGTCATTTTACTCATGTGATTAAGTACCTATGGGGGCTTCATTTAGCAAATTGAAACTTAGAATGGAAATTATCATCCCTAGATATCATCAACTTGATCTCAAATTACTTTCCGAAAGGAACTGTTCTCTAGGCAGACCCTTCTCTTTTCCCTCCAGACTGTATGGTATAGTGGCAAGAAGCAAGAGAGCATGGTTCTTTTCCCAGCTTTGTCACTAATTTGCTGTGTTACCTTAGGCAGGCAAGTCATTTTACCTTTTCAGACTTTGATTGGTTTTCTTCTCTGTAAAATAATGTCTTACAAGAGATGCTTACTTGGAAAGAAAGAATTTAGAAGACGTGAGCCCTACGTTCCTTCTGATTCCAAAGTTTTTTGATTTTTTGATTATATGAGGTATTGAACTTCTATGTTTCTTTCCAACCCTGTGATCAATGAAGAGGCTTGAAGAGATTTTAATCCAGAACGCTGGCCTCATTTATACCACAATATTATACAGCAGCCAACAATGTCTCAGAGGGGGAGTGAAGATTAAGAGCCTCTACGCAAGCCTACCTCTTGCATGGATGTATACAACACCAGGAGCCATCCTCTTTTAGATTGGTTTTAGGTTTTCATTTAGCCAAGCTTTTGATTCACTTGATAAAGAGAAATAAATAGGCCAGATTTTATTTTCTTTGATTGAAAAGATTTATTTTATATTCTCCTTGCCTCAGTGAACCCTAACCTACCCAGTTAGTTTAATTACCCAATTCTGGGCTGTCTGAGTCCTTGATTCTGCTTTCCTCTTCTCAGGCCTACTTGGTAGAGCTTTTACTTTTGGGGAAGTATAGGGTGTTTATGACAATGAATAGGGTAAAGGTCAAAAAAAAAAAAAAACTTGAAACCATTTTGGGTCAACTTCTTTTACCTAATAGGTTCTGCTAATGGAATTGTTCAGCATGCCCAAGGTTGAGTTTTCCTGATATACCCCCATAAACCTTGTCCTCCACTGGTTTTCTCCAACTCAGGGGAATGGCATGGTTATCCTTCCTGTTGCACGTACCAGAAATTCACAAGTTATTTTTTATTCTTTCCTGGCCCTCACTCCTTTCCTTTAATCATGTATCCCAAATCTGTTCACTTCTTTTCATGTTCTCTAGAGTCCTGGTTAAACTTTTAATATATGTGTGTGTTCCTCTAACTAGACTGTTAGCTCCACGTTGGCAGGGATGTGTCTGTTTCACTCACCATTGCAGTTTAATGCTTAGCACTTTAATGAGCTCAGTGCAGGCACTCATTATATACTTGTCAAATGAGTGAATTAACTTAAGCTAATTGTGAAATTAAGCTTGATTTGTCTATGGACTTGATTTTCTCTGGGCTCTTGGATTACCTATTGAAGATTTTGTTTCAGATTCTATTTTTAGATTCTTTATATTTTCAACAAACGGTAAAGTACCTACTTTGCAAAGAGCTATACTCACTGTGAAGGATAACACAATAGAAAAGACATGATCCAGCTCACTTAAGAAGTTGAGTTTAGTCAAGAAGTGAAGTCCCCATACACAAAAATGTTGAGTAAACATGAAATAATATGATTACATGTCTCACATTGGTATAGTACAATTCAAATGCTATAGTAGAGGGATATTGTCTAGGTCGGCTGAAGTTACAGCCTTGATACATCTTGGAGGGGTTGGAGTGACACTTGACCTGGATTTCAAAGAACGTAGAATACAGAGGCCCGAGGGAAGGAGGAGTTTCTTCAAATGGGAATAATAGCATGAACAAAGATTTGGACTTGACACTGAATGTTTATGTGAGGGTTATATTGGAATCAACTTGACCTGAATGGAATTGTGAACAAGTCATGGGAGATAAATGTGGTGTTTACAAGTGGAACAGAGTTGTTCTTTTGAAAGGCAACAAGCTATCATCAGAAAGGTACCATATTGGGAGTTGGCATGGAAATATGTGATCTTAATTAAGTCATTTATTTTCTCCAGCTCTGTTTTCTCATCCAAAAAAAAAAAAAGTGTGGTAATGAACATGCAATAGTAAAGGGTTGCATTACATTAAATTTTAGCTCTTATATGCTCTCATTCTGTAAATGAGTTCAACTAGGCACCATTAGTGTATTTTTGTTTTAAATCCTTTCTCTATGAAACAGCCTAGTTAGTTCTTGAATCTCTACCCATGGCTGAATGAGTGTTACTATTAACCAATAGGTCATGGAGAACCCTGAAAGGTAGATTAATGTCATTTAACTTTACTCTGGAAGGTAATCATAAAAAACACTTGATGAAATGGTTATGATAAATGGTTATTTTAAGAAAATTAATCTCATTATTACTATATGAGAGAATGGGGAAAGAGTAAATCAAGATGGGGAGGCAAGTCAGGCCTTTTTCAAATTCCCCAGATGTGAGGTGATGAGGGCCAGAATTTTGGTGGCCATTGGGATTGCAAGATAATTTTGAAGGACACTTCTTTAGGATCCAGTAATGTCCTCTGTAGAGCTAATACAGGGGACAAAATGGTCAAAGCTGGGCTTTTGGTTTCTTTTGTTTTTTGCTTGTTTGTTTGTTTGTTTGAGATGGAGTCTCACTCTGTCACCAAGGCTGGAGTGCAGTGGTGCAATCTCGGCTCACTGCAAGCTCCACCTCCCGAGTTCATGCCATTCTCCTGCCTCAGCCTCCCAAGTAGCTGGGACTACAGGTGCCCACCACCACGCCCAGCTAATTTTTTTTGTATTTTTAGTGGACACGGGGTTTCACCGTGTTAGCCATGATGGTCTTGATCTCCTGACCTTATGATCCACCCGTCTCAGCCTCCCAAAGTGCTGGGATTACAGGTGTGATGGCTTTTGGATTTTAAGATTGAAGGGATGATGATAGATTGGTGGAAACTGAGAAGTTGGAGTGGGAACTTGCTTTTCACAGAAGCTGCATCAAATTCTGAACTGAGGGCTGGACACATTAGTGAGGATGTCTTGTAGTGCCTACAGCTATGCAGTCTGGAACGTGGAATTACAGATTTAAAATTTATCAGCATAGAGTGGATACAACTGTCAGTGGCCCAGCTGAGAAAAGCTGAGTTGTCTCAGGAGAAGAGTATCTAGAAAAAAGTGAGCTATGGACTGAGCCTTGAACATCAGCTATAGTTCCAGGGCAGGAGGAGCCACAGTGTTCAGTGAAGGACACAGGCCTGGTGGAGACAGGGAAGGAGGATTGTGGTGGTCAGCTGTATAGGTGCACGTGTTATTAAAGCCAAAAGAAATAACCATTTTAAGAAAGGAAAGGGGTTTAGTCATGTCAAATGTGGTAGAGAGGGCAGGCATTTGTGGGCCAACCTTACCTTTTATTTCCCTTTTTTTGTACACTTAACTACCATTAATCAGGGATTAATTATTTAGTTTTTTAATTATTCTGCTCAGTTGCCTAATGTTTGATCATTTTATAAACAGCATAAGGAAGAAATTTGAGGGAAGGGAAAGATTCAAACCATTTTCCCCCTATTACGAGGTGTAGGAAAAATTTGGTGGGGAAGAAACTTAACACTCACTATCGCCTACAATGAGATTTGGGGCCCTTGACACATGATTAGATGCCAGGGGTCTCTCAACATCCTGGCCCGTATACTTGTTAGCTGAATGACCATGGCCAGGTTCCTAACCTGTCTGGGCTTGCTTCTTCATCTATAAAAACGGAGGCAACACTAAAGGCTTTGTACTGTATTTGTGCTCGTTAAATAAGAATGTATACAAAGTGCTTAGCAGGGGGCCTGGAACAAAGAGTACCAAAACACAGTCAGCTTGTTTGGTTATTAGTATCTAATTTTGCTTGTTTTATTGGGCTATCCCTGCTCATATTGACATTAATTATTGATAATTGAATAAAACATTGTATTTGGAAAGTGTAATCATTAAAAATTGTATTTTCTTTTTCTCATTTTTTGAAGACGAATGGATTTCTTCCATTATAGTTTTATAAGACATAAATCTATATGAAATCTGAGCAATTCCTTGTTCCTGAATTTTCCCTGCCAAGGGACCCCAGCCTGGGGATGGCACCTTTATGAGGAACAGTGAGGAAGTGGCCTGGGGATGCTTCACGATAGGAGGAAGGAAATTATCTGAGTCTCTCAGTCTGAAGTGTTTTACTGATGTTGGAATGGGGAATCATCCTGAAATTAAAAAAAAAAAAAAAAATAGGTGTATATTTCTCAGAGCAAAGATACATGTGCTGACAATTTAGATTTTTTGCCCAGAGATGCTGGCATTTTGTTTCTGGGGGCGGTTCTTATGTTTCCAACAGTGTTCCCACTGCATGCCATGTTCTCTCCTCCTCACCCTTATCCTCCCACCCCCCTCCCCATATGGCTTCCTCTTTGTCTCGCCCACCCTACTCCTGGTTTCTTTCTGTCTCTCTCTTCTCCTGTAGTTATTTCCTTTCGGCAGCAAAATGAATCCTTCACAGAACAGAGTATGACTTTCCTCAAACCCATTCTCCATCTCTTTCAGCTATTTCTTTTCTGGAAGTTCTCGAATGAGCAAGATATCTGGGAGACAGTCTTTCCTACATATTCTGTTGCACTTCTCCAGTGATTCTCTTTCCTCTGGTGATTCATTTGGCTCCATTCTCTGCCTCCATCTTCCCCAAGCTTTCTCCCTAATGACTCTTCCTTCCACCCGCCTCCAAGACTGTCTCTCCATGAACAGGCTACACCCAGCCCAAGACTTAACCTGGCCTTGAAAATCTTCATCATACAAAAGCTAAGACAGACAGAGAGCTACATAAAAACGGGAGAGACAGAAGGAAGATAGGACTCTGAGAATGAGTTCGGACATGACTAAAGATGACCCAAACAGCTGGGTGCAGCTGTGGGAATGGCAGTGCATTATTTGTGATAAAGAGTTATGATTGATAGTGCGGTACACAAGGACTTATCTACATTAACCTCCTCCCCGCCACTCCCATGCTGGGAATAAATGTTAAGTTATTGTTAGCATATTTTGTTTTCTTTGTTTAAAGCACAGGATAGCTAGTGCTAAGTAAGAAAAAAACAGAAAAATAAAACATCCCTCTTAGACTTTAACTCTGTCTCTGACTTCATCTCTTTCTCAGATGGAGACACAATACCGTAAGTGAGAATACCATTGTATTATGTTGTGTGATTTGTGTGAGAAGATACTTGTGTATGGAGAGAGTTTTACTGATGGGTGCTGAGGGAGGTAAGGGTTTCTTTTGAATAATTTAATAAAGAACAGAAAATAAGTGAATATTAGTTCTGTGTGAAGAAGAGTCCAGAGGAAATAAATGAGTAAGAAAGTGATTATCAAACTGGTAGGTTATTTGGGCATTCTGACTAGAGTTAAACAACTTACAGGTGACTGTTGGTAATGCTGGCAATAGCAAATTATACTCCCTCTGTGCATCCATCCACCCACCAATCCTTCCATCCATCCATCTAATTTTCACTGAGCATTGGCTGTGTGTACAGTCAGTGATAGATGCTGTGGGAGATCTATCAAGTTTACACCTGGTTCCTGCCATTAAGGAATCTTTGATATTGAAGCACACACAAAGAGGGTGTGAATTGCCATCTCCCCTCTTTGGCCTTTTTCTCCATCCTTTCTCTCTTCCAGTCTTAAAAATCGTCTCTGAAGCCCCAAACTACAGCTCTCTGTGTATCTCCTTAGGTATCAGATTACCTACAAAACAAATTTCTTATTTTTAAAACATATATAAGGAAAATATTCTGATGTGTAGGGAGTTGTGGGCATCCTTTGGTGGCTGGATGATGAAATATTAAAGCACTACTAAACAGTGGTTCTCTAAAACTGGTTGAAAAAAATTTCTAGCCTTCAATATTCTTTTTCTTCTCCCTAAAAGTTTATTGGTTCCCATACCCCAAAGTTAGTCCTACCCAACCACAACCCTGGGAGGACTACTCAGTGCATGAATCTGAGTCGTGGGCTGCTGAATGAAAGCAAAGTGATTGCAATCTGAGGAGGTCATAAAATCGTGCATTCATTCATTATTCAACCACCATTTCCTGAGTGCCAACCATGTTACTGGCTTTGTAAATACAGAAATAAAAGACCAGGGTTTCTGCCCTTGAGGGGCCCACAATCTCCAACAATGGAGGTGGCTGGGAAAACAGCCAAAATACCACATGTGATCAGTTTTACATAAGCTTTACTCACAATGCTACAGTAAGAGCTACAGTGAAAGGGTCAATGATGCATGCTATCCATGCCCAGGAGAAGGGGTGCATGCAGAGGTAGGTTTCCATGACTCACAGTATCTCCTTTATTGACAGATTTACATTTTACCCCACAGAGCTATTATCCAGAGCTGTTAATAAGTAGGAACATGGTTTGCATAAGTAGGAACATGGTTTGCATTTCCTAGCTTTTACTCACAGCCTTCCCTCTTCCCAGCAGTGATCACAGCATCAGGTCCTCCCACCTTGAGAAACAATGACCATCTGAGTCTCTATCCCTGTCACCATTTCACAAACTCTGCAGAAATAATGGGTAAAACATTGTGCTTTTAACAGGACTAATCATCATCATTGTTGTAATAACGGGATTTATATATTTCTTACAATTTGCAGGTCCCCTCAGCTGTAACAACTAGATTTCCCAGAGAGTTAAAGAACAAGCTGTGTCACATCTAATGAGGGAAGAGCTAGCATTTGGATCACCCAATGCTAAAGCCCCAAATGACCAGGTGTAAATCGTTACAATCTCAAGTGCTTTTTCTATACAGCCTTGATAAAATGAACATCCTTTGTGAAATTGTAAATCTTCAGATCAATTCAAGAACTCATGGGAAACCACCAGAAAACATAGACTAGACATGAGAACTGTTGTCTGGAACCAAGGCTGTGTTGTATAGCAACAAAAACATTAAACTGGAAATCAGAAGACTTGCATGGCAGTCCACACCCTACCTTGTCGTGGCATATGTCACTTAGTTTCTTTGTGTCTTACTCTCCTTATTTATAAAATGAAGGGAATGGGTTAGACAATCCCTAGGGTTAAGAGTGAAGAATTTGGAGCCTCTTACCTATATTCAAATCCTGAGCTCTGCCGCTTTCTGGTTGCTCTAGTTCTTTCCATTTCTTACACAACTTGATTAAATTACTAGTTATTTAATCTTGTTGAGCCTCAGTTTCCTCATCTGAAAAAATGGAGATAATAACTGTTCTGTGAAAGGATTGCTCCGATAACTAATTAGTTAATAGTTTTACTCAGGAGTGGAAAACCAAACGGTATGTTCTTATTTATAAGTGGGAGCTAAGCTATGAGGATGCAAAGGCATAAGAATGACACAATGGACTTTTGTGGACTTGCGGAAAGGGTCGGAGGCGGGTGAGGGATAAAAGACTACACATTGGGTACAGGGTACATTGCTCAGGTGATGGGTGCACCAAAATCTCAGAAATCACTACTAAATAACTTATTTATGTAACCAAATACCATGTGTTCCCCAAAAACCTATTGAAATAAAAAAGTAAATTTAAAAAAATACATGAAATTATAAAAAAGAAGAAAAAGTTAATAGAAATAGTATGTGGCTTGAGTAAATGTTATATATTTATATATATATTTATAATATATAAATATATATATATATTTCTTTCTTTTTTTTGACAGAGTCTCGCTCTTTTGTCCAGGCTGGAGTGCAGTGGCATGATCTTGGCTCACTGTAACCTCCACCTCCTGAGTTCAAGTGATTCTTCTGCTTCAGCCTCTCAAGTAGCTGGGATTACAGGTGGCCGCCACCATGCCTGGCTAATTTTTGTATTTTTAGTAGAGACAAGGTTTCACCATGTTGGCCAGGCTGGTCTCAAACTCCTGGCCTCAGGTGATCTGCCCGCCTTGGCCTCCCAAAGTGCTGGGATTACAGGCATGAACCAATGTGCCCGACAATTTTTTTTTAATTAAAAAAAAATATTGGCCCCTTCACCTCTAGGCTATTATGAGTCTTTGAAGCTTTGATATTTCTGGAAGTGGAGAAAGAATATACAATTTACAAAGTAGCTAGTTTAAAGAAAAATGCTGAAATGGCTAAGAGGTATGACTATTTCAGCAGGAAACTCAAGAAAGGATACAGTGGAATAAGAAATTAGCAATTTCATGGATGTAGGTAGAAATTCATGGGTAGAAATCTCAGTAGGGAAGCAGAGGGAAGTGATGTAATGCTCTGGACCTTCCAGAAATAAAGCAGAGCAGGTGAAGATCTGCAAGAAACTCCAGTCTGGTGAAATCTCCAGGAGAGTCATTGTGAAGTTCATTTTGCAGTTAACCCCATGCGCTCACCTCTCTGCCCATCCCTGTGTCCTGCTCTGATTTCTGGGCTCCTTCATTCTGGCAGCATCAGAACTTAGGGTTCAGTGAAGTTGGGGTTTCTCTTCACAAAACCCTGGGCCCTCTTCCCTGGAAATTGCTCCATTTCTTGTTAAGCAGAGGGAAAATGAAAATATTCTAGCTGTCTGTATTCTATAATAGTTTTGTGATGCTTTTCCATAAATTGGTATAAACAAATAAATACAAGCTATAAGAAGGCAGAAGTGTAAAGAGTCTGTGTATCCGATCTGCTTGGTTTCCCTCATTCTTGATCAAGTCCTGTGTCTTGCTCATGCTGTGGCCCAACCTGTAACTCCTAGCTGCTAATTTAGCTGAAGAATCGGTTGTTTAAAACAGGGACCATATGCCTTAGCTTCCCCAGCTGTATGACTAGGAGAACACCTTGCAAATGTATTGTGATGCTGAAATAAAATAAAATGTGTGAACTCACCAAATACAGTCCTGCCACCCTACTGCCTGACTCCTCCTCTTCCCTCTTACCTGCACATCCTCCTCCACCCCTCCTCTTCCCCTTTCTTTCCTCTCATTCTTCTTTTCTTCCTTGTATTCAAAATGACACAATCTGGTGACTAATTCCTGATCTGCTCTTTGATTTCCCCAGAGGAAGAACTGATCCCTCCAGGGGACACTATTATCCTGAGGCTAGATAGTGACAACGGTGTGCTGAGAAATAAAGAGCAGAGATTTGCCCAAAGAAGAGTGGTTTCAGGAGGGGCTTTTGGTAGGCACAGAGCACAAGAGTTTGCAATTGCTATACAAGCATTATTGCTCTGTCTCAAGGAAGTTGTTTGCCTTTCACTGACATCTGAATTTACTGTTTCAGATGAAGGGGGAAGAAAAGGAGGAGCAAATTATCTGCTGGGGACCTGCTATGTCCTAGACACCATAGTAGAATGCATCTGGCAATAATTTTTGGAGGTAGTGGTAGGGCCCTGTGCAGTCCCAGGATTATTTAGCTTGCCTAGAATTTCTACTTCTTAGAAGCAGCCTGTCTTAGCCTTTGTGCAAGGAGTTTATATGGGAAACAATC
Source organism: Homo sapiens (assembly GCF_000001405.40). Classification (NCBI taxonomy): domain Eukaryota; kingdom Metazoa; phylum Chordata; class Mammalia; order Primates; family Hominidae; genus Homo; species Homo sapiens. Next base: position 13,724,783 of record NC_000012.12, on the reverse strand, counting down.
TTAGGGAGCAGAAATTAGGGAGTAGGAGAGTGAATGTGGAAGGGGGTAAAGCCAATGATAGGAGCCATATTGAGCTGAAACCCTGTGAGTGACAGGTGCTGGATCCCACAAGGGCATCCTAGGAGAGCCTTCAGAAATGCATCTTAGGACAGAGTCAGGTAATCAATTTTCAGTCTCACATAAAATTAATACTTCCATTTTAACATTCCCACCTTCTTAATCTTCTGATCTCTTTTTCAATATTTTGCCAAAGTCTTCCCATCATTTGTCACCTCATCCCCTAGGCCATCAACCCAGGAGTATATTAGGAATGCCTATAGGCATCTCTGCAAGGAGTTTGAATATCATTTCACAAGAAAGTGTTGCTGTGCCAATAAATTCTCTATCCCATTCTACCTCCAGTCTAACTTCCTCAAAGTTCACTCCTACATGTGCTTCCTGATTTCTGCAAACCTGTAATTGGCCGGGCCTTTCCATTGCAATTCCTTCAGTATGTAAACTATTTCCTCCTAGATATTCATCCCTTCTAGGGACTGTATTTTCCAGCTGTAGTTGTGCTATGACCTGGCTCTAGTTATTGGCCTGTAGGGACTACAGAGAGATGGGGTCACATATTGAGGACAGGAGTCAGAATGAGAGGCACCTGCTTCAGATGTGTTCTTTACAGTGTTTTTAAAGGCAGACTTATTTCCTTTGGCAAGAGGGGAGGAGCTTTTCTTGCCTTCTAAGAGGTTTCAGGAAAATCCTCTCTTACTGTCTTCCTAAGTGTACCACGTGGGTCTCCAGGTCCCATTCTTTTCCTATTGGAATTTCCTATTAGAATTTCCACAAAGGAGGAATTCCAAGGTTATGCATTTAGTCTCTTTGGTAGCATTGCCACTATTAGTTTTTTTCCTCTGGATCGATCTGATTTTCAGCAGGATTTCCTGAGTTGATAGTCAGTTCATTTGATTCTTCCAGTTTATTTTTTTAAGACTTGAAAATGTATTGACAAAGCCAGCCAACTGCTCATGTATTTTTCAAATACCAGAGCCACCACATAACCCAATACGTTACCCTCTACCACTAGCTTATCCCAATCCACCACAGGTAAGAGTGTTAGTATTTGTGATGCTAAAGAATGAACATACTAGGAATTAATACTACTTCACTCACCTGTAGCAGTGGGGTCTTCACTGAATTCCACAGTCCCATCTTGAGAAACTGATTTCTAAAGCCACTCCTAATGCCAGTTATCTTACCTGAGTTCCTTTGATGGCAGAGAATGAGGCACTAGCTTATATGCAAGTGTTTTTTTTTTTTTAAGTAATTCTAGGGAGCAGGGCTTAGGGACTAGAACAGTGAGACAGGGAAGGAGAGAAAATTGATACAAGGGTACATTATCTGGTTGAGCATTGCTGACAGCAAGTGGTCATTCATCCTACAAGAAATGCTCTAAGAAGCCTTAAGAAATGTGTCTTAGAACTGTATACTAAAAAACAAAAGGTGGGGGGCTAGGGGAGGGATAGCATTAGGAGAAATACCTAATGTAGATGATGGGTTGATGGGTGCAGCAAACCACCATGGCACGTGTATACCTATGTAACAAACCTGCACATTCTGTACATGTATCCCAGAACTTAAAGTATAATAATAAAAAACAAAAAAAAAAGGTGTAAGCATTTATTCAGAGGCTCCCTTTCAGTCTGCTGTATCTCCGGGTTGCATATATGCACGTCTCCAGCAGTTCCTTCACTAGTGTCCTGCTTCCTGGACACGAGTGAAGGAGAAACCCCAGGGCAAGAAGCTATAGCTGGACAGTAGCTACAGATGAGGTGCTCCGTGAAGTTGGCTGAAGCCAGAGCAGAAGTGATCACCAAATCCATCCCTGGAAGAGCAGGTGTGGTGAGACGATTTGAAGTGGTGCACAGTGGTGCCTGATGAATAGCCTCAGTTAAACAAACTGCTCATTTCTTGCTTGTCTGGAAGCAATCAAGCAACTCCAGTTTCTTTTCTGAACTGGAAAAACACAACCATGATGATGAAGCCACGGATCTCAAATCGTCACTCGAGTCAGCCCAGCACTCCAGCTACATTCCTTACTATGTTAACTTTCTCCCACTTCAAAATAACTTCGCACTCTCTCTTGTCACTCTGAGCCTATTACATATCCTCTTTTCTATAAGTAGCACTCTTTGCTGCTAAGTCTGCCTCATAATTCATTGAGAAAATTGAGTTATTCTGCCAGGAACTTTCTCATTTTTATACTACCAAAGTTACCAGCTTACCTGCATCGGTACCCATGCCCTCTGTCTACACTCTGGCTACTGTGGATGAAGAATCCCTGCTTCTACTAGAGACCAATTCTTACAAATAGCAAAGTCCTTGAGAAAGCAAAAGATCTTGAATTTCGCTTTTTTGAACTCTTAAATTTTGGATCTCAGGCTTTTTCCTTTTCAAGGACTTTGCTATTTCTCCTTCTCCACTATATTATTTCAAGTACCCACAAGTAAGTTCTAGTACATTCTATATATTAAAAAACCCCTGAAATCCTTGACCACACGTCTGCTTTTGCCTATTTCCTTGTTTTTCTGTTCCTCTTAATAGCAAAACATCTTGAAAGAGTTGTCTATAGCTGCTTTCTCTACTTCCTCACCTCTTTCACCCTCCTTAACCCATTTCTTTCAGATGTCCATTCATACTGTGTTAATGGAATGGTTCTTGTGGCTCTTGCCAAAGTCACCAGTGGTCACTATGTTACCAAATCCAATAGTCAGTCTACTATCATCTTGTCCCCTCTGCAGCATTCGATGAAATGACAGATTCCTTACTGAAAGATTTTCTTGATATTCACGAAGCTACACTCTTGTGATTTTACTCTCATCTTATTGGACAGTTTTTCAATCTTCCTTGCTATCTCTGTTCTTTTCTACCCACCACTAAATGTTCGCGGCCCAAAGGGCTCTGCTTGAGCTCCTTTATTTATTTATTTATTTGTTGAATTTACATAACTTTCCTAGATGACTTCATCTGGTCTATGGCTTTTACATATCCTTTATAGGTAATGACTCTCAGGTACACATCTACAACTTGGACCATTCCTCAGAACTCTAGACTAGACTCTCTAGTTACCTACTAAACATTTCCGAACGGTGTCTGTGAGGCACCTAAAACTTAGCATGGTGAAAATGGTAACTTTTTTCCTTTTTCAAATTGCTCCTTTTCTAGTCTTCCCCAACTCAGTAAATGGTGAACTAAGGTCACCAAGGCAGGTTTTCCTTACTTATTTTTCTTACACCGATATCCAACACATAAGTCCATGCTATTGAGCCTGTCTTTTCATCATCTCATCTGCTCTCCTTTCTGCCAATCACCCTAATCCTTTTCCAGGATTCCTGCAAGAGTCTCCCAGTTGCCCTCCCCACACAACAACCAGAATAATTTTTTTTTTTAAGGAAATCAGATGATCACATCAAAATTTTTCAATGGCCTCCTGTCACACTTAGAATAAAATCCAACACCTTCCCTGCCTTACTTTTTCTATTCCCCTTTGTCCTTGGCTGCTGTCTTCTGACTCCATCAGCTTCTTTCCTTTTCTTCAAATGTGCCAAGCTTCTTCCTGCCTCAGGATTCTTGAACATGCTTCCCTCTCTCCTTGGCATGTTTTTCATATTGCCAGCTCACTCTTGCCATTTAGGTCTCAGTTTAACTACTATTTGCTCAGAATGGCCTTTCCTGCCTACCCAATACCAAGCAGCTTCTTGGTCACTATCTATTGTACGGTACTAATTAATTCTCTAAATGGCTGCTACCATTAGTTAATATTTTTATTGCCTCAGTCTTGTGGTTGTAGTTTATTATCTCTCTCTCCCTTTAGACATGAGTATCATGAGTCCAAGATCTGTGTCGAATTTGTTCATATAAGTTTCTAAAGTGCTTATCCCAGTATATAGTAGGCAGTATATGTTAAAGGAACTGATTAGTAAACACTGTACTTACCCTGCAAGAGCAGCTCCAAGATGTTTCCTTTAGTCTTGCCCCTTAAAACAGGTTTCTGCCTCACACCTCCACTCAGGCTCTTTCTATATAGAAGTTCTGGAAGCCCCTCCTATAAATAAGGTGTTTGTTTAGTACTTTACCAAACATGGAGAGGGCAATAGAGGGACTTTCAAGAGCAGTGATAGGATTGCCATAAGATTGAGGCTTACTCTAGACTTTTCTAGCCCTTTAGAAATCTGCTGGTAGAAGGAAGCCAATAAGGGACTTTTAGTTCATGTTTTTTGACAGACTAGACTTTGCTTTTTGAAACTTAGCTTAATGCACTGTTGGTGAACAGTCACAAAGACATAAATCTGCCGCTGAATTAAATGCTTTCCTTAAAAACCTTCAAGATGACGTTTGACCCTAGCCAGTTTTATGTCTCAAGTACATTAATGCTACCCCCTTTCCATCATAGTAAGTCCTGTGCACCAGTGTAGACAGTCTGACACAATGCTAGAAAGGGCATGCCATTTTGTATTGGGGATGTAAGAAAAAGACTGCTTGGTTGAATATGCCAGAACTGAGGAGCCAGACACCCTGTGACAGATGCCAGGCCACAGGTACCTGGGAAGTGACACAAGCCAGGGGATTATCCACATGAGAAGCTTATTTTTTAATTAGACAAAGCCAGGCTGACTCGACATTCCCTACATCTCCATTAGCCCAGGGAACTGAGACTCTGGTTTGCCGTTTTGTTTCTATCATGCTCCCCTCACACTGTAAGTGCATCATGCCATCCCTGGGGCCAACCTTTCCCAGCCTTGCACAGGTCCCATGGTTTGGGATAGTTGTTCCTTCTGTCTGTTTAAAGGCTTACAAGGTAGCTGGACTGGAAGTTTTTCACAATCATGCAGTACTGTTGTGATAAACCAGTTTTGGTATTTGCAAGCAGAGGCTCCAGAATTTTAATGGACAAAAGCACCAAGTAACGAGAGTGATTGCCCTAAAAATTGCCTTTCATTTCTCCGAAATAACGAAAGAATTTCCTCCTGACCCTGTGGCCTTAAGACAGCTATACTTCCAAAGGGACAAGTTAGCATAAGAATGGTTTTCTGAAACAGACTCAATGTAAAGATGCAAAAAGTAGCTATGTGAATTTGATATCTACATTTTGGGCTTATCACAAGTTTCATGTTCAGTGAACAGAAATGTTGGCATGGCTTTACAAGAATCCCTGCACATTGTACTGTGATGGTCTCCTATTCAGGTACCACCATGTAGCTTCTCATGGTGGTAATCAGTGTTACCACCATTTTGGTTGTTAAGATGGACTTCTCTTGTTTGGAGTTTCATACCACAATAAATGTTTGTTGAAATTTATTGGAGACTTTAGACTTTTTTTTTAAGTGATCCTACTTTAGAGTTTACAACAGAGTACAAGGGATGATTTATCTAATTAATAAATCTGGTTAATGTGGATAAGTGAATTAAGGAGTAGGTTTACACTTAAGTGTTTATTCAACTGGGAAAAAGCCAACAAGAATGAGTGACCGAATGCACTGTACATATATTTATAGAGGGGACTGATTCCAGGAGCAAGTGGCTCACTGTGCAGGAGAGAAAGTAGTGGTGGTGAGCTTGCGGGAGTGGCAGTCTACTCTGTTGGATACCAGGTGTAGGTCATCCCCTGGCCCCTGGAAATGGAAGAGAGTGCGTGGTGATGAGTTAACTGAGTGAGATTTCAGTGTATGAGGAGCTGTTGGGGAGAATTCTTGTGACAACAGGCATGTGGGTGGGTGGATGATGGCCTCTTACCCATGCTGTGAGTGGTTGAGACTTAGCATGTGTCTCTTAGCAAAGTAGGTAGGTCAGTGCTTTGGTATATTTTGGCATGAAGCGTTGGTCTACAAAGGGCATCTTTAGTCCCTGTGCAAGTGGTGAGTTGGAGAGAGGTTGCTCATTGATGCATATCTTCTCTGTGTTTCTACTTACAGCGTGAAGGGAGCCAGTCATTATATCCCCTTTTAAACTAAAACACAAAAGTCACATAACCAGTGATAGCCCTGTGGTGCATTAACTTTGTCATCTCTACTAAGTTCAACCTTAGGTGACAGAGTTTGCCCACCAGGGATATCATGTGATTGTCTAGAGGGCTTCCAGATCCTCTTTAGAAGCTGCTGTGCAAGGCAACATTATAGTTTCTCTTATTTACATTTTTTTCACCTCCAGTTCCATAGGAATTTCCTAGAGAAGCTTTCCAACGCCATAAAAATGCTGTAGGGCAAAGCACACAATTTACACTTGGGTGTAAGCCAGTAACAAGTCCGGCTTCTCCTCACCCCACCCCTTCATCTTTGGAACTGCCTCGGTCCAGTCCGGGTCTTGGCTCTTTTTTTCCTTGGTACTTCCTCCGCAGCACTTGAAACTATATGTGGACTTTCACAGCTCTGAATCTCTCCTTAAATACTCCTGGTTAAGTTTCTTGACTGATCAGGCTGAGATGCTTTGTCTCCTCACCTTGAAGGAGGGAAAAGGAGGAAGAGGAGCAGCATGTATGTGGCATGCAGGCCACTGAGATGTTCTTGGAACTGAAACTCACATGTTCTTCTGGAGAATTACATGGGAGCTGCAGCAGCCAAAGCATGCTCCAGGTTAGAGAAAAGTGAGTGAGTGTGGCACTGGGGGAGGATGTCTCAGAATAGGAGACTAGGGTCACCATGTCAAACATAATCATGTCTGTGAGAGGCAAAGACTTCCTTTCCATAAGGAGATGCAGGGAATGAATCATCATTATAGATCCAAGAGACAAAGGAGGTCATGGAGGAGAACGAAGAGGAAAGACATTAAAGAGAAAATGGGAGAAAATGCCTGACGGAGCATCCTCAGTGTCTGACCTTAAGCCCCCATGTTTCTTTTGGGATTTGTTTTCCTTTTCTTGTTCTAAGGGTGGCTATAAGGGAAGCCACCTCAGTAGACAAACAGAAAAAGATACTGTGATTTGCGGCAAAAGAATGAGTCCATTTTCCGTTTTGGATCACCCAGACTGTGCCTCTACTTCCACCTCCAGTATTTTGTATCTTTTTACTTTTGCTTTATGACAGTGAAGGTATAGGTAGTGTGATCTCTGGGGGTGGGGAAGGGATAGGTAATCCTTAAAAATAAGACAACCATCTGTTATGATTTTGTGAGTTCTTGTGGGTTCTCGCGCGTCTACTGCATTATCATTCAACAAATATTTACTGAATGCCTACTCGGTACAGATTCTGTGCCAGGAGCCCTATTGTATAGGCTACTGGGTTAGGCACATTCACAAAGATTATCATATCTAGTTCATACTGCTGTGTTGTCGGGTAGTTCTTAGGCCATTTAACAGAGGAGAAACTGTGGCTAATGGAAAGTAATTTGTTTAAGGGTTGATGATAGAGATAGTATTCCAAGCGGGGCTGGATTTAATTCTAATGATCTTTTCTTGTTATTCTGCATTGCCTTGCTTTTATTTTAAATCAGAATTGTTTTTTTATTACCCAGAATTGCCTGTTTTCTGAGCTGCAGTATATTTTAGAGTCGGCCAGACCTAGTTATGAATCCCAAGTCTCCTGGGATTCATAACCACTTAGTAGCTATTTAACTTGTGTAAAACTGTCCATACCTCAGCTTTACCAACTGTAAAAAGGAGATATAAACTCCAAAATTTAAGGGTCTCTGTAATGATTGAGTGAATACACACACACACACACACACACACACACACACACACGCGTATGGCATGATACAATGCAAACATATTTATTACATAGGAAATGCTAGTAACCTTTCCCTCATTTCCCCTTCTGTTGAGAACTGACCGTTCTTATTTTCTGGGTTTGCAGAAAATTTAGTAGTTTTCTATAGTTCTTGCATTAGGTCAAAGAACTAAGTCCTTGCATATTTAGTCACATCAGGGTAGTCACCTTAGGCAGAGGTGTGAATGAGAAGGACTTTCTCAGTCACAAAGACCAAAGATTATGAAACTAACACTACTATATGTGGACACGACAGGAATGGAATGATAGGAACATTTGGCAGTGCGAAATGCCCTCTATTTTGTGTTTTCCTAAAGATCATCATATGACATTAACTCTCAGAGGACAGATTAATCCTTCAACTGGAAATGTGGGAAAGAAGAATTTCTTTCATTGAAAGCATTTCTTTCCTTCTTTCTTTCTCACCTTCATTCCATATCCCTGTCTTCCATCTTTCTTGAAAAATTCGACATCAATCTCGTATTTCACTTGCCATCATCCACTGTGACAATGAAATGCATGGCCCATTTAGGTAGGGTTCTTCTCAACGGTAAGATATTCAAAGTCAGAAATACCCTGTATAAGGTGCCACTGTGAGATAGCTCCACACCCTTAGAGCTTAGTGCTTTTTCATTTTAGATGCTTAGATTACTACTGGCTCATAGCACAGCCATTTATTTCAATATATTATTTAAGTCTGTCATCCTCCGTGAAGTCTGTTCTGACTTCACCTCCCTACACTATACTCTCCTGTCTCTAAATTTGCACAGTATTTATTTCCTATTGCATCACCCTAGTCCCATTTCTGCATTTAATCAATGGACATTTATTAAGAGGCTGTTTTATGCAGAACTTACTATTAAGTTTGTTGTAGATACAGAGGTATTATAAATTGGGGATATTCTTATCCCCAAGGAGTTTTCAACCTGGTGATGTTTAGGTCACCAACTATCCATTGAGACTTTCTTTGTAGGCTTTTAAAAAATCCTGCAGAAAGGATTGTGTGGCTGTTAGCTCAGTGATTTTTGGACTTAGATCATGAAGGACAGGATAATGATTTGTAAATAGATATTATGGGAGTTGTAAGCAAATGCTGGAAGAAACATACCTCCATCACCACATCCCATAGAGATAAAATTCTACTGCTTCTACAGATCTTCTGGTTAAAATTCTGTGGAAATTGACATGAAAAATTATAATGACCTAGAAAAGGACTTGCTCTTATGACATCATCATGACTAGTTTATTTTGTTTTATTATCAAGGGGTTATATTTTGCAGTAAGCTTCTGAAGCACATGTACAGTAATCTTAAAATACTCATTTGAAAGATCAGAGTTTAGGTTCTCTGAGATCATTCTTTCAGAGGATAAGCCCCAGATTTCTTACGATGTGATTTTTACCTGCACAATCAGTAACTATTCTAAAAAGTAGAGAGATATAGTTCAATGAGCCATTTATTCACTTACCCACTCTTTTGTATATTTATCCATTTATTTATCCAATCATGCATGCATTCATTCAAAATGTTACTAAGTGTTTACTGCATGTTACTTTTCCTAAGAGTTAGGAACAGAGACAACTTTTTACCTTCAGAGCAAGACTATTCCTGAAAAACCTTATATTGTTAAGAACTTTTATAGTTATCATTTTATTCTTGCCAGAAAGAAAAACATTTCTCAGCCTAATGGTGCAATAAGTTTAATTTGAATGTTACTAGCCAGACTCCTGGAATTCACTTTCTGCCATGTCTGCACTATTCTAGGAGAAGTGAATATGATATGGGTGATGATAACGGAGAGGCTTCAGAAAAGTGAATGAAGGAATACATACATAATAATTATTCCCAGAATAATTCACCCTGTCAGGTCATTTTTAAATTTGGCTTCATCTTGTTAGCGAACATCATTGTCTTCTTCATTATTTCATACATCATCGTCATAACTATCACCACCACCACCATCCATCAACGTTTAGCACCGTTAAGACCCATAATACTCCAGCAATGCGCTAAGAACTACGAGAAGCAATCTTTTACTGAAAAGATTGGCCCACTCTCTTCAGGTGGTTGGCACCTAATTTTATCTGAATAATGAAGTGATAGTACATAAACACATATTTCCCAGAGTTTTGAAATTTCTTGAGAAACTCTTTACTTTGGTATATGACGAGAAAAGAGTTAATGGAGACAACATATGTTATTCAGGCGATAGATACCCTAAAAGCCCTAACTTGACCACTACACAATCTGTGCATGTATCAAAACTGCATATGTACCCCTTAAACTTGCACAAACAATAATAAAAAAATTAGGTGATTTGTATTATAAAATATATTCTCAGAACATTTGACCTTCTCAGGCTTTCTTATTCTTTTTGGCATAGGTGGAAGGCTGGGTAACCAACCAGCGTTCCCCCTTTGGGCTTAAGATTAAGAGGCAGCATCAATATAATTTATCAGAGTTCTGAACCCACAAAATGCTTAGGACTCAGCAAGACTCTGTGGGATGGGGGCATTTTACAGGGGAGATATGACCTCCTTTTTAAAAAGTTTGGAGTCTGGGTCAGGTTTGAATCATAAGCATAAAAATACAGTATTTCTTAGAATCCTCAAATCCCTAGGGAAACTATTTCTCTCCAGCTTTGCTAAAGAAAGAACTGTTCTTTGTCTAAAAGTCTCCTCCATATCAAGCCTCTGTCATGGACTATTTTTTCCCCGCTGTATCAGAGGAAGTATCTTACTGAATAGATCTGCTTTGCTCCTGTTTGCTGAGACTTATTAAAAGAGCTGACTGCAAACAGATTTTTACTGCCTCAGTGTGGACTTACATCAGGTAGCACCCAATAAGACTTGACAAGCTGACATCTCCAATCCATCAGGAGTGGTGGGTGGGGGAGGGAGGACAGGAAGGAGAGAATCTTATGCCCTCCCACTTCCTGAGAGACAGACTTTGGTTGAGTGATGTAGGGTACATTTTTAGAAATCTATTTAATTTCTGAATTGGAGTTTTAGGGATTTTGCTTTTAGAATACAGGGCTAGAAACAATACTCATCTTGTCTATGCTAAACAGAAACTGAAAATTACACACCCTTAAGGTCACAAAGGAGCAAAGTCCTTAGGAGTAAGAAAAAAAAATCTTTACAAAACACTGGTAACAGAGCATCTTAAACACTCTGCATTGTTCTCCAGCCAGGCAGACTAAAAGCTCTAAGTGGTTGGTAATAATGGCAAGCTTTTGTTCAGAAGAAGGAAACATCTTGTAGACACAGATTTCTAAATATGCAAGCTTTATTGTCTCAACTTTTGCCCCACTCTCTACGTACTTTTCTTAAGCATTAGTGACCCTGATAGCAAGAAAAAAAACAGGCAAAAATAACAACCAGATTCTGAGTTGTTCCCTTGTAGAATTTTTGTTCACATGTGGAATGACGTATTGGTTCATGTGACTTCTTGTTCTATTAAGAACGTCTTACCAACACTGATGGCTCATCGCTAGGGAAGTATTTCATGGCTGCTCTTTTATGGGATGAATATAGGTACTGATTTCTGCTTAAATAATTTTCAGAATAATTAGATTCTGTGATTCATTTGAAAAGAAGTTGGTGCCTCTTTAGAGGGAGTCATACTGCCTGTCTTCGTAAGATGGGGACCTCTTGAATATGGGAGGCTTAAGCCACTAAGGTCAGTGTTCTTTCATGATCACTTGCTAAAATTATTAGGGCTAATAGGAATGGAGATTTGGTGGAATGACATCATCAGTGTCTGCTAATTATGTCTGCTAGGAGCATAAAAGGAGAGCATCAAGTGGACCAAGAGTAGGGGAAAAAAGTCATGTTGTTAACTTAAAATGGTTTCAACCAAGGATGTTAAAAGAAATACCTAACGTTTCTTAAATGTACTGTAAATGTTTCATGTCTTGTTGATTGTGTATTACACTCTTTAAAATTACTTCTATCCTGCCTATATTTTAATTCTTTGGTATCTCATCTTATGCTTGGTGGTAAGCATATTGAAGGAGGGACTAAATGCTATCTATCTTGGATTTCTTGCATCACTTAGCACCTTGCGTTGTATATAGTTATGCTCGGTAATATTTATTGAAGTGAACTAAATTGAGATCAAGAAACATTTTCACTGTCACATATTCTGAATATAAATTAACACCAAGAGAAGCTATCTCCAAGAACTGTTTGAAGATGTGGGGGTACCTAGAAACTTGGGAGAGAGATATTGACCATATTAACTTAGGGTTTAAAATTTTGAAATTAGAAAACATACGCCCTATACTTTATAGCAATGTATTTCAAAAGTTGATAGAAAAGATTGGCTTTCCCTGATAGTCAGAGACTTTATAATATTCTCCAAAGATAAAATTCTAATGGAAACAAAGCACACTAGGTGTTTCAACATTTATCTTAGGTGCCTATTCAGTGAGCTTTCACAAATGCCTTCATGGGTGTAACCCACACCTCTATCAGTATATGGAACATTTTTATCACTAGTTGTGTCTCATGCCCCTTCCCAGTCAATACTTGTCCTCTCCCCACTCCCAATACACATCTATACACAAAGGCGACCACTGTTTTGATTTATTTCACCATAGATTAATTTTGCTTTTTTCTTTCATTAATAATATATTTTATTTTATTTTTATTTGTTTTTTATTATACTTTAAGTTTTAGGGTACATGTGCACAACGTGCAGGTTTGTTACATATGTATACATGTGCCATGTTGGTGTGCCGCACTCATTAACTCATCATTTAACATTAGGTATATCTCCTAATGCTATCCCTCCCCCTTCCCCCCACCCTACAACAGGCCCCGGTGTTTGATGTTCCCCTTCCTGTGTCCATGTGTTCTCATTGTTCAATTCCCACCTATGAGTGAGAATATGTGGTGTTTGGTTTTTCCGTCCTTGTGATAGTTTGCTGAGAATGATGGTTTCTGGCTTCATCCATGTCCCTACAAAGGACATGAACTCATCATTTTTTATGGCTGCATAGTATGCCATGGTATATATGTGCCCCATTTTCTTAATCCAGTCTATCACTGTTGGACATTTGGGTTGGTTCCAAGTCTTTGCTATTGTGAATAGTGCCGCAGTAAACATACATGTGCATGTGTCTTTATAGCAGCATGATTTATAATCTTTTGGGTATATACCCAGTAATGGGATTGCTGGGTCAAATGGTATTTCTAGTTCTAGATCCCTGAGGAATCGCCACACTGACTTCCACAATGGTTGAACTAGTTTACAGTTCCACCAACAGTGTAAAAGTGTTCCAATTTTCCACATCCTCTCCAGCACCTGTCGTTTCCTGACTTTTTAATGATTGCCATTCTAACTGGTGTGAGATGGTATCTCATTGTGGTTTTGATTTGCATTTCTCTGATGGCCAGTGATGATGAGCATTTTTTCATGTGTCTTTTGGCTGCATAAATGTCTTCTTTTGAGAAGTGTCTGTTCATATCCTTTGCCCACTTTTTGATGGGGTTGTTTGTTTTTTTCTTATAAATTTGTTGGAGTTCATTGTAGATTCTGGATATTAGCCCTTTGTCAGATGAGTAGATTGCAAAAATTTTCTCCCATTCTGTAGGTTGCCTGTTCACTCTGATGGTAGTTTCTTTTGCTGTGCAGAAGCTCTTTAGTTTGATTAGATCCCATTGCTCAATTTTGGCTTTTGTTGCCATTGCTTTTGGTGTTTTAGACATGAAGTACTTGCCCATGCCTATGTCCTGAATGGTATTGCCTAGGTTTTCTTCTAGGGTTTTTATGGTTTTAGGTCTAACATGTAAGTCTTTAATCCATCTTGAATTAATTTTTGTATAAGGTATAAGGAAGGGATCCAGTTTCAGCTTTCTACATATGGCTAGCCAGTTTTCCCAGCACCATTTATTAAATAGGGAATCGTTTCTCCATTTCTTGTTTTTGTCAGGTTTGTCAAAGATCAGATGGTTGTAGATATGTAGCCCTATTTCTGAGGGCTCTGTTCTGTTCCATTGGTCTATATCTCTGTTTTGGTACCAGTACCATGCTGTTTTGGTTACTGTGGCCTTGTAGTATAGTTTGAAGTCAGGTAGCATGATGCCTCCAGCTTTGTTCTTTTGGCTTAGGATTGACTTGGCAATGAGGGCTCTTTTTTGGTTGCATATGAACTTTAAAGTAGTTTTTTTCCAATTCTGTGAAGAAAGTCATTGGTAGCTTGATGGGGATGGCATTGAATCTATAAATTACCTTGGGCAATATGGCCATTTTCACAGTATTGATTCTTCCTACCCATGAGCATGGAATGTTCTTCCATTTGTTTGTATCCTCTTTTATTTCATTGAGCAGTGGTTTGTAGTTCTTGAAGAGGTCCTTCACGTCCCTTGTAAGTTGGATTCCTAGGTATTTTATTCTCTTTGAAGCAATTGCAAATGGGAGTTCACTCATGATTTGGCTGTCTGTTTGTCTGTTATTGGTGTGTAAGAATGCTTGTGATTTTTGCACATTGATTTTGTATCCTGAGACTTTGCTGAAGTTGCCTATCAGCTTCAGGAGATTTTGGGCTGAGACGATGGGGTTTTCTAGACATACAATCGTGTCATCTGCAAACAGGGACAATTTGACTTCCTCTTTTCCTAATTGAATACCCTTTATTTCCTTCTCCTGCCTAATTGCCCTGGCCAGAACTTCCAACACTATGTTGAATAGGAGCGGTGAGAGAGGGTATCCCTGTCTTGTACCAGTTTTCAAAGGGAATGCTTCCAGTTTTTGCCCATTCAGTAAGATATTGGCTGTGGGTTTGTCATAGATAGCTCTTATTATTTTGAGATACATCCCATCAATACCTAGAACTTCATATAAATTCAGTCATAAAATATATCTTACTGTATGTCTGGCTTCCTTTGCTCAATATAATGTTTTGAGATTCACTCATGTTGTTGCATTTATCAACAGTATGCTCCTTTTTAAAGCTGAGTAATATACCATTTTATGAATATAACAGAATTTATTGTTTTCTGTTGATGAACATTTGGGCTGTTTCTAGTTTTTGGCTGTTGTGAATAAAAATGCTCTGAACATTTTTGTTTATATGCTTTTGTGGACATATGTTTTTATTTCTCTTGGGTATATACCCAGGAGCTGAATAATTGGTTATAGGATAGGTACATGTTTAACCTTATCAGATATGGCCAACCATTTTTCAGAGCGGTAGTATCATTTTACTTTCTCACCAGAAATATATGAATGTTTGTCAACAGTGGGAATGTAATATAGGAAATCAGACAGCTGGAAGAATGAAAAGGGAATGCTGAGAAATAATACCTGCCGGGACTTCGTTTTAGAGCTGGGGTTGTGGTTATTAGAATTTAGAAGCTCAGAGGTAGTGACCCGTGGATCTGGTGCAGTACTTAGAGCCTCAAGGAGAAGGTACTGCTCAGCTATACTTGTTACCTGTAAGTTAACTGACTCTTTCCTCTATTACTAACATTTTGGTCACTGAGTTCCATCCAGCAAGTATTTTTTATATTAACCATTATATTGTTTCATTTCTAAAATTTCTGTTTGGTTCTTCTTTCTATCTTCTGTGTCTTTGCTGACGCTTTCGATTTTAACTTGTTGAAAGCATGTTCATGATTGCTTGTTTGAGTATTTTTATAATAGCTGCTTTAAAATCTTGGTCAGATAATTTGAACATTTGTGTCATCACAATGTTGGGGGCCTGTCAATTGTTTTTTTCTTGTACAAGCCGACATGTTATGGTTCTTTGTATGCTGAGTAATTTTGGATTGTATTTTGGATATTTTAAATATTATGTTATGAGTTTCTGAGCCTTATTTAAAGCCACTCAGTTTGGTGACACTTTGAATTCTGGTGTTCTTCTCAATCTGCCTGTTGATATTTTATTCTCAGAGACCTCAGATAGGTGTGCCATGAATTTTATCAAGGTTTCATAGTTGTGTTAAGTAGGAGAAAAAAATTGGCATGTGTTCACTCCATCTTATCTGGAACCAGAACCAGTAAGTTTGGATTTTGAAGACATACTTCACAAGATGAAAGAAAAATCACTTCTTTATTTATGTAAACCTGGGTTTCTCATTTATTATCTATTACCACCATTAGAATTTAAGCTTTACAAGGGCAAGGATCTTTGTTCTATGTATCCCAGGTACTGGGAACAGAGTCTGGAACTAAATAAATATTGGAAGCACTCAATAAATATTTTCGAATGAATGAAAAAGCTAATAAACAAAGAAAACACTAGTGTACACTGAACAGTACTGCAAGAAGATAGTTAGAATTACCGATACCTGTCACCTTGGATAAGTTGATTAACCTCTCTGTGTATGTACCAGTTTTTTTCTTGTATGTAATAGGAAAATGATATTTTATAGAAAGAAATGATATATGTAAAGTATTTAGCATAAATAAGTGCTCAAAAAACCCCACAAATTCAATGTCTCCTCTCCTCTTCAAATGCCAAAATAATAAAGATAACTTTTAAAATGTGGAGCAAGAATAACCAAAGGATAGACTTATTTCATGGGGCAGTTGGTCTTATGTAAACAGATGATAAATGAAATCAGAAATAGTCCACCTCTATTTTAATTACATCTTCTCTATTAAGAAAAATGATCTTCGTATGGAAAAAGGGAGTTCATACATAGGCTTTGACGTTAGAGTGGCCTCACTGGTGACTTTTCTTAATCTCTCAGGTCGAACTCAATTCTCTCTGTAAAATGGAAATAACAATGCCTACTCCCACAAAGTTGTTTTAAGTGTGACAGAATAAAACTTACGGGAAGCGTGGGGGAAGGAGAGGACATAGCCTCTCCTCATTACCCAGCCTCAAAGAGAATCTTATAATTGCCAGCTCATTTCCAAAACTACTTCTATTGGGAAGTGGTAAATTCACAACCTTTATTAGTTTTGCTGCTGTTCACCTTTTGGTCTGGGATAGCTGGACTAAGTTCAACACAAGTCTGTACCTGCTGAGTCACAGCCCACTCTGCCTTATTGCCTGTAACTCCCCTGTTCCTTGAACAAACTCTACATGTATCAGGCTTCTAGCCTTGCTTAGACCTTCAGCTTGGGTCCAGCAGATCAGCTCTCTACAAGAGCTCTGTGGGAGACCTAGGAGCCTGTGCCTGTCTCTCTCACCATGATTGCCCAGTAAACTTGCTGTATATTTTACGTGTTACAAATTCTCAAAGAGATTTGTTGCTTTCATTCCTTCTTTTCAGGCATTGAATAGAAATATTCCAATAGGATTTACAAAAATTTAAGTTAAATTTTTTTTTCAATTTTACTGTCCACAAAGCAGCCGTGTTTTGTATATCTGCACATTCTCCACCTATCTCAAGCCCTGTACCGAATAGGTGCTAAGTGAAAATCTCAGATTTTATAACTGCTGTTCACTGGTGCAAGAGATCTGATAAGTGTTCAAAAAATGCATTGATTTCCCTGATTTAGTTGTTTATTGATATAACACTGTTTAACTTTTCTTTAGATAACCACAACATTCCAAAGACCCCAAGAAAATAATGTTAATCTTTTGGAAACTACATAAACGTATAGCAAATGGGCATCTCTATGAGTATCTACCTCTGTTTATAATTCTTTGGCATTTAGCTATTGAGTTCAGGAAGAAGATATAGTGATTAATATCACTGAAAGGGAATCAGAGGCTTCTTCTCCTGAGTCACAGGCCATCTTTCATAAAATATCCGTTAAAGAGTTGCAGGAGACCTACTTGTTTGGGCGTTTTCCCCTGTGAGATCTTCTGAGATGCAACCTGATGCTGGTGTAGATCTGTTGTTCTCCCTTGAATGAATTGCTGGAGTGAAAGAGAGACTACAAGGCCTTCATTAATGGAGTAAGAGCTGACAGAATTGACATTTGGTAGGCTCTTGATTCAGGAATAAAAGCAAAGTGAGATTTTCACTTTAATTACGATCTTGTGTTTTTTACCATTCATGCTCATAGATTAAGAATAAGACCTTTAAACAGAAAAGAGTTTACATGCTGACCCTCATGAGCAGCGAGAAGTGACGGGTTGGAAAACCTCATTGCCTCTCTATAGCCAAGCTTGGGCAAAGAGATTTTTACAAGGGATAATAGATGGGGTGGCTGTTCCTGAGAGGAGGAGGAAGGAGACTGTGTCTGAAAGCCTGCATCAAAGGGAAAGAAGAGAACCATGGAAGCTCTCTGGGCCTGGGAAGATGCCTTGGAACAAGGCAGGCCAAAATGTCTCCTGCTCCGATTTACTTTGTGAGTGTTTTGTCCCTGTAGCTGTGTGGAGCTGAGGCAAACAGGACTCACACAGTTCTGACATTCCAGTTTAGGAGATTCAAAAAATCTTCCTAGGGCAGGTGGCATCTGAGCTTGGGCTTTCAAGGTGGTTAACGCTTTGATGGTCAGACATGGGGAGGTTGGGAATTCCATGTTCAGGCTACAGGAGGAAATGTGTGAGATTAATTTGGGGACTACTGCTGTCCATACAGCAACATGGCATAAAGCTGGGGCTTTAGATCTATGGGAGGCATGTCGGTGTCCTGGAAAATATGATTAAATAGTGAGTCTACTTTGACCTTTTTATTTTCTCTGCTGATTGAGTTCTCCTTAGGTTGCTGGAAGATACTTTATTTTATTTCTAACCATTTAGTCTCCCACTGGGAAAGTATGAGTTTATGCATTTTTCTTTCGATCTTAACAGAGTTAGAATATGATCATATTGAAGAATGGCATTTCTTATGTCTATTCAGTCCTTAATTCTCCCACTAATCCCTGCTGTTTTCCAGCCTTATTGAGCCTCAGTGTTTTGCCAGTTCCAGTGTATTTCTGTGACCCATGAGATACCAATAAGCACTGTAAGAGACTCATCAAATCAAATAGGTGGAGGGGACCTCTAGAGGTCTTGGTGGCATAGCTAGATGATTACCAAAGCCTGCCAAGGTAGAGAATTGTTTACTGCCTCCTTGAAGCACTCCAGAGATGAGGATGACAGTCTCTCTCAAGGACTTTATTCTACTAATTAATCAGCCGGGAGGTTCTTCCTTATGTCTAATTGAAATCTTTCCTGATGTAATTTAATTTGTTTGCTCCTGTGTTGTCTACTGTGGGCATGGATAGCAAATGATTACTACCTCACTAATAACAACCCTTCATTAATGTGAAGCCAAACTCTCGTCACCTTTCTGCGCCTGCTGTCTAGACTAAACAATTGCAGTTTCTTGCACTGTTCATCAAAGGGTTTATTTTAATGTCTTTAGCCATCTTGATTAAAGTTCTCTGAACTCTTGAGTATCTCTACATTATTTAAAAATAATTATTATAGTAAAGAGAAATTTAGACTAAATTCAAAGTAACTGCTTTGGAGATCTCATCAATGACTTTCAATGTGGGGAAGCTTGTGGACTATTTTTGGTGAAAACAAAAATGACTGGTGTTACAGCCAGGTCATTAGACAGGGCCATGGGTGATACAGTGCATTTTTTGTTGTTCATTAATGTGTTAACAGACATAATCCCTTTGTGGTATACAAACACATTTTGGGAATCCTTATGAACGTATATTTGTGTGCCTCCTGCCATGAAAGTTCAAAATATAGTATACTTTTAAATTATAAATCTAGATAATACAAGACACTATGCCTTATATCATCCATGCCTTTCTAATCTGATCATCTGGGATTATTTCCTCTAGTGTCTCTTAGAGTGCCTTGTCCAGAGAATTTGAAATAATAGACATGATGATTACTACAAGTAACTGTGAGATCATATGGCATTTATTTCCTCATAAAATGGCTTTGTGGTTTATGGAGAAGTTAGGGAGATAATGGGTAATAGGGAAAAGCTAAGGCAAGAGAGCAGGGGAATCAAATTCAACTTTTGTTAAATACCTCCTATGTGTAAAGCACCTGCTAGGGATGGTGGATATATGAAAATGAGTATGCACAGCAAATCATTATCAGGGGGAAGGAAAAAAGAATGGATAGGATTGTCAAATCCAGGTATGCTTATATGATGACACAAAGGTACCTGGGAATTGGAGAAGGGGCTGCCTAAGGATGTATTGGTTGTGAAGATATTCCACTGAAATCAGTCATGGGGCATTAATATTTTAGGCAGAAAGAAACCGATTCCTCCAAATTAGGGCTCAGTAAAAAATGAGGAATAAAAGTATCAGTGACATGTGTTTTATTTACAAATGAGAAATCATTATAATAATGGTTAACATTTTTGAGCTTTGACAATGCCTCAGGCAAAGGACTTAGAAGTCCTTTTACCTGTATTAATTCGTTTAGCTCTCACAACAATGCTGTGAGGCAGATGCTGTTTTATCTCATTTAACATAGATGCAGCCATGGGGAGAAGAAATCTCATGGAATTACATGGGGTGCTGGGTCTAACTGGCAAGGAAGGAGTTCACTTGGAGATGGTGCCAATAGGATTTGGGGGGCACTAGATTAGGTGGGTATGTGGGTGTCTCCTAGAGATTGGGATGGCACTGGGGGATGGTGTGATGACCAAGAAGAACTGTAATGCTGTGGGTGTTATTTCAGCATATTCTGAAAATAGATGAATGCAGAGTTAGAGAAATCTGTTGGTGTGTCAGGATTTGGTTTGAGTCGTTAAAAGATACTGGGTAAAATGCATGTTCAAGGATTGGCCATTCAAGCAGTGTGTTTCACAGGGATCAAATCCTTCTTCCTTTCATCAGCCCATGCCCTTCTCCTCCATCCTTTCCCTTTCTCATTGAGAGTTTTCCCGCAAGCCCTGGCATTGGCTCTGCATGGTGGTGGTGTAGCCCCCATCTGGCTAAGTCCTCCTCATGCATCCTACCCTTGAGCATCCATGTCACTGTCAGCCTCCCGGTCTCAGCATCAGACTTTTCCTAATTGATGACTTTGATACCTTCTTCTCATAACTGGAGATGCCAGCCTCATGACCACATTACTATTTTCTTATCTCTCTGATAAATCTCTGACTAATTTTCATTTCTCCCCAATCTTCAGAACTCCTCTGCTATCCTGTCCCTATCTTCTTGCAGCCATAGCCTTATCCTAGCCTCTTCCTCTCTTTTGATGACAGAGACAAGTGAATGTATGAGGAATCTGTATACTGGGTATATTTCTGTATGAGTTGAGTTTGAATCTGCATGTCATTGTGAGTGAAAGTGACTATGTGAGATTACATTTGCTGTATGTATTTTTATGTTTCCCAAGTGGGAAGAGGCAGTTGGGAATAAATGGATTGAAGTTAAAAGGATCCCATGGTGGTCAACCTTACTTAAAATAAGGAAAAGGTTTATTGCACAAAGATATGCCTATGAGGGTGGTTATCCAGTTTTTGTGAATTGAAAACATCCTAAATTTTCATGAAGAGGGGGTTGATTAAATTTTGGTTAATAATTCAATGAAAGATTATGAATTTTTAAAAATATATTGCATATTTGTGTGTGTATGTGTAGAGAGAGAGATTAAAGTATTGAATGAAAATAAAACATTACAGCAGTTATGTATAATTGATATATATTTCTGTTGTATTTGCATATTGATGCCTAGATGTTTTCATCTGGGAAAGTTGCTAAAATAATAATGTGGGTTGTCTCTACAAAGTGAAATTATTATTATTTTTCTTAACTGCATTTTTTCATTTGCTCTAATGAACATATAGCATGTGAGTGATAAAAAATATAAAGTTGTGAGCTGACAATAGTATTTCAGGAATAACACAAATATGAAGAGTGGGCATCAGCAAGAGGTCTCTCATTATGCCCAAATAAGGGAGGGGTTTAAAGGCCTGTTATCTTTTCTTTCCCTCCTTCTCTAGCTGGCCATATGGGAGTGAAATCACTTAAAGAAAAGCCCAACCCTTGCATACAATCTTTTTCTAAAAACCCTCCCCAATTAGAAATTTATTTGAGGTAATAAACAAGTATCCCTGGGAGCATAAAAATGTAGTGGTGATTCACAAAACAGTTTAACCCACATGGCACCTTTGCACAAATTTTTTAACGTGTCCATTCCTCCAAACACTTTCCTGCCATGTGCTGGGAAATTGACATCATAAAAATGCTATGACCGATGTTCATGTTATGATGACCCTCTTCTAAGTTTGTGCAGTGCCCTTTCTATACAAACTTGTAAGCAATGAGTTAATTTGGAATGCATAGATTTATTTCTTCCTAGTCTGACTGAGACTTTAGCTGTAAGGAATGGGAGTTTGACAAGCACATAAACATGTGGTATGACAGGAAGGGAGAGCAAATGATAACTTAAAATTTTTAATGCTGGCCTGGGGTCTCCTGTTTGCATGAGAGCCCTGGAAAGCCACTCTTTAACTCTTGTGGGGTCCGTCTTTATGGGGTATTTGGAAGTGAGTTGAATCCCTGGTTATAATGGAGCTGGCTCTCAGGGATGGATAGACTTTCACTAATTGTGTATGGACCCCCCGGAGGGCGGATTAATGGAATCTATTCTTGTGTTCAAATCGTAATGCTTATTTAACAGCTGTGCTTCCTGGTTTAGTTGATAGCCGCTTATCACAGTTTCAATCCTAGATCTTTTCATTTATCACTGATACAGAGACATTCCCTAGTCTACTGAAGTCAAGAGCATAATAAGGCCAGACCAGAAAACCAATCAATCTCTGAGCAAACAGATGCCATGTACATGCTCTGACTGCTATGTTCTGTTATGAAGTCCTCCTTGGATCTAGGTAGCACATAAAGTTATCAAATAAAAATTAAATACCTTGAGATTCCCTCTTTAAGGGAAAGATCCTGGTGAACATATTTTTAATCAGTAAACTTATGAATATTTTCACAATTATAATTCTGTTACTCTGGATGTGATGGTAGTAGCTTGGAAGGAATCAAGCTAAGGTCCTATGGGAAATACTTTCTGAGAATGATAATGGAAGAACAATTACGTACATGAAAGAGATCCATAAATTATAAAACACTTATACAAATCTTAATTAATGTGATTATTTGTCGGCAAATTGCTGAAGTTCTGTTATTGCTGAGATTATTCAAATGTAGAAAGAAAAGACTTCTTGGAGTTTGAATTGACAAATACTGATTTGTGTAGCAAAGACTCAACTTACTTGGTAGAGGAGTTGCATATGAATTTTTCAACAGGCCTTCAAGGATTCTTCTCACAGCTCTTCTGAACCTCTGCTTTGCTTTGTGTTTGTCTTTTATCCAAAGAACACTGAAGTAAGGCTGTGTTCAGGAGGATTGGTGGAGTTCTTGTCTGGATCTTTGAGTGCTATGCTTGAAGCAAGCCAAACTGAACTGACAGCAGTTTAACACACATTGTAATGCATAGTCCTGGGCTTCTTGTGCTAGTCATCCAGTCTTCATCATCAAAACAAAACCTTCCATTGTGATCTTGCCTGGATGGTGCAGTTGTAGTTAATTCAGTTAGAGCAGGCACTGCTTGTTGTAGTTGGAGGGATGAAATTAGACATCTACTAGACCAAGAACACTGTGGTGGCAGGAACTGTCTGTTTTTTTTTCTTTTTTTTTTTTTTTTGTGCCACTGAATCCCTAGTGCTTCACACATAATAGTTGCTTGGTAAGTATTAGTTAAATGAATTTTTTGAATATGTTACAGAGGGAGACCAATGTGGTACTTTAGGCAGAAGTCAAACAAAAAGTATTGCTTTGACAGGATTATGACACCCCATGAATTTTTAGTCTTCCAATCTCAATTTCATAAGTTTCTTAGAGTTGGTCAGAATCAAGGCAATAACCAACCTGATATGGTTAGGCTTTGTGTCCCCACCCAAATCTCACCTTGAATTGTAATCCCCATAATCCTCATAATCCTCATGTGTCAAGGGAGAGGCCAGGTGGAGGTAACTGAATCACTGGGGTGGTTCCCTCGATGCTGTTCTTGTGATAGTGAGTGAGTTCTCTTGAGATCCGACGTTTTATAAGTGTGTGTTAGTTCTTCCTGTGTGCACTTCTTCTTCCTGCTGCCTTGTGAAGTAGGTGCCTCGTTTCCCCTTCACCTTCTGCCACGGTTGTAAGTTTCCTGAGACCTCCCCAGCCTTGCTGAATTGTGAGTCAATTAAATCTTTTTCTTTAAAAATTACCCAGTCTTGGGAAGTTCTTTATAGCAGTATGAAAACAGATTAATACACCTCACCAAACTCATCAAAGACTGAAATGTAAACCAGTTATCATTTAGTTACACAGTTTCCATTGTGGATTTTTCCATAGCAAATCACCTCCAAACTTATTGTGTTAAGTTAACAACACTTATTTATCTGCTAACAATTTCACAGTTTAGGAAGGACCCAACAGGGACAGCTTATTTTAGCTCCAAGTGGCATTAGTTAGAGTGTTTGACGAGGGCTGGAGGATCCACTCCCAAGGTGGGGTACTCATATGCCTGGTAGACTGGTACTAGCTGTCACCTGGGAGTCACCAGGACTCAATTCTCTTCCATGTGGGCCTTTCCACTTGGCCACTCGGGGTTCCTCAAACATTGTGACTAGTGCTGCCTGGCAAGTATCACTTCTGCTGTATTCTCTTGGTCAAAGCAGTTACAGCCCAATCCAGAGTTAAGGGTAGTGGGGGTATGGGGGAAGATAGAAGTAGACTACCTCTTGATGGAGAAAGTGATAGAGAAATTGCAGTCATTTTTAATGAACTCCAAACATTCACTGAAAAATATCTATTAAAAAGATTTGTCAATCACCTCAAGTTGGTTTTTCGTTATGTTCTCATTGTAGTAGAAAAATTCCACAGTTAGCGAAATTACATAGGCCAAGAGGAGGGGGATGGTATTTGACCTCCTTAAAATTGCCATCAGTTTCTCTTTCAAATCCTGGAAAATAGGAATACAATGAGAATAAAACCAGTGTACTTACTGTGCAGATGATGTCTCAAGAAAAGTCCCAGGGTACTGACATCTCCCATCCCACCTCCCCACAGACAGACAGCGTATTACTGCCCTTCAGTCCTCTTTTGTTGAAATTCTGGAGCTGCCTCTGCCCAGTTACAATAAAAAGATTCCCTGGTAAGTTTAGAAAGAGAAAAAGGAGTGAATTACGTGGTCTGAGGGTCTGGTGTCACTGAAGTTATAATCTTTCCATCTCAACTAGATTGTTATCTGCCAAAGGTATTTATTTAGACAAGAAAAAAAAAAAAAAGGCTGGGTGCGGTGGCTCATGCCTGTAATCCCAGCACTTCGGGAGGCTGAGGTGGGCGGATCACAAGGTCAGGAGTTCAAGACCAGCCTGGCCAATATGGTGAAACCCCATCTCTACTAAAAATACAAAAATTAGCTGGGTGTGGTGGCAGACACCTGTAGTCCCAGCTACTTGGGAGGCTGAAGCAGAAGAAATCACTTGAACCCAGGAGGCGGAGGTTGCAGTGAGCTGAGATAATGCTACTTCACTCCGGCCTGGCAACAGAGCAAGACTCCATCTAAAAAAAAAAAAAATTATTTTTTTTCCTTTCAGGTAGGTTTCTCCTCTCCAAGGTGCTAGAAAAGTCACTTTTTTATACATTAATTCTTCTTTTGTAGGTTTTCAACAGACAAGTTTCCTTTGCCAACCCTATCTTTTTTCAGAGATCCCTGTTAAACAAGTGATACATGTTAATTCTTGTGATTCTTTTGCAGATTTCTTATACTATTTGTAATACCTTGATAAAAGTTCCAAGCTTGCTTACTGTACTTCCATTTAGGAGACCCTAGTGGTCACCATTTATTAGTTATCTATTAGTTCCAGAAAGTGTATATGTCCTACTTTGTAGCACAACAATGCACTGCAGGTATTGGGGAGATGGGACCTCAGAGAAGCCAACTTTCCCAAGGCATATAATACGTACACAGCAGCAATACGAAAATCAGAACAGAAGAAAGTTCACTGATATTCCCACCATCCTAACATAAGTATTTTAATTTACTGTAGCCTTTAACCTTATGCATGCTTACTTTTATATAGTTGTCATCATAGCATGTGCCTAATTTTTATTCTGCTTTTTTAGACAATGTTTCAATGGATGGTCACCTTCCCAAGTTTCTACATGTTATAATAATAATTTTGATTTGGCCGGGTGCGGTGGCTCACGCCTGTAATGCCAGCACTTTGGGAGGCTGAGGCAGGTGGATCACCTGAGGTCAGGAGTTCGAGACCAGCCTGAGCAACATGGTGAAACCCCATCTCTACTAAAAATAGAAAAGTTAGCCTGGCATGGTGGTGCGCGCCTGTAGTCCCAGCTGCTCAGGAGCCTGAGGCAGGATAGTTACTTGAACCCAGGAGGCAGAGGTTGCAGTGAGCCAGGATCGTGCCACTGCACTGCAGCATGGGTGACAGAGAGAAACTCTGTCTCAAAAAAATAAAAATAATTTTGATTTGTTATGTAGTACTGTATGCGGATGATCAAAGTAGATCTTCTTTGGTTTTTAAAATATATTTTTTCTGTACATAAAAGTAATATATGTATACACATTGTGGAAATATTTGAAACAATTATATAATACACTGATTTTTATCACACACAAAGATGTAATACTGTTATATTTTTTGAATATTTTCTGCCAGGCTTTTCAAAATCTGTTATAAATATATTTTGTTTATTCAGACACAAGTCATTTTATCGTATACAAAATTGAAATTATACTATCAAAGCAACTTCAACTAATATTTACTTGTCTCCACAAAAGGAACATTTTGAGAAATTCCCTACTGTCTTGCTTTTCTATAGGGGCTCTCCTTGTGGAGGGTTTCATTGTTTCAACAAGGCAGGGATTTGCTGGGATTTGGAGACGTTCCTAAATGTAAAATCATTCCGCTCCCCGCGCCCCGCGCCCCAACTCCACCGCATGGTATTGCATCAGTATAGAACAGCATGCACGCGCATCCCTCAGCAGTGTGTGTTATCCACTCATTGCCTCATCAACCTTGGAGCACGGCCTGATAATGATGTGGGGAGGTGACCTCCAGCTGAATGCCGAAGCTGGAAGAAATAGTGCTGTTCTGTGCAATGGTAGTTGCATCTGAATAATGTCCCAGCTTCTCATTTAAGAAATGCTACCCAATGGAGAAGAGCAGGTGGGGTCTATTTATCATTCTACATGTCAGATGCAAAAGTGATCTTATCTGTGACTTTGGTGCAAGTTGCAGTGTCACATGTTGGATTGAGCAAAATGCACTCTCAGGATCAACATTCTCTGCTTAAGTAGTGAAACAGTAGTGTTGGTGCAGGTTAACTGTTTTTGTGTGTGTGTGTTTTATACAGTGAAACATTTTTAATGTGAAATTCTTGAAATGCACACAAAAGTACAGAAAATGCTAACTTGGATACCATGTTTTCACGCACAGATTTAATGGATGAGGTTATATTGCTTCTGATCTCTTTAAAAGGCTCTATTTCATTGGTAGGGATATTGTCCCTAAGTGCAACCTTGGACAAAATGTTTGGGATGAGGAACATGGAGTAGAGCCTCTTTGCTGAGGCTCCTTCCAGCCCCCGCACTCTAGTTCCTGCTTTTGGAATGTCACTGTCAAATAAGAAGTCTCCTTCTAGTGACTGTAGCACCTACATAAGAGAGAACAGGGGATAAGAATACAAGGGGAGATAAAGTCAGGTGTTCCCAAAAGCTAGTAGGGTGACAAGGGAGAAATGGGGTAGGGATACGGACTCAGCTAGATGTTAGTTGCACCATCTGTGAGTGTGTCAGAAGCCCTGATAGACTCAATAGACTGTTCTGTTTTTTTTTCTAATCACATTTAGAGACAAGCTGCTTCCTGAATTGGATGAATTTTAAGGTTATGGTTGCACATTTAAAAAGTGAAAATTGAGGCTTTTCCCATTCTTTGCCTCTCTCCTGAGTTGTGGGAGTAATTCATGGCAACTCAGAATTTACATCTTAGAGCAAACTTGCTGGGTGATTTGTCTTCATTGCATTTTGGGGGTGGGGGAATAAACCTCATCAAGCAGGGCCTGATTTTCCAAGAGCTCATCATTCAGGCACTTATTACCCACTTTGTGCAGTTTCTAGGTCTTTTGCTTTTCACCCTTTCCCCTCCTGCTGGGTTTTGGTCATTTTGCTGCTTGTTAGGACTTCCACCAGCTGATATGGAGAAGCATAAAGAACGGCTAAAGCATTATTAAGTTCTGCTTCATGGTAGGAGCTCTGCAAAGGGCTTGGTGGGGGAGAATTTTGAACCCTTTGCCTACAATAAGTTTTGGAGTTATCTGTTGATTTTGGTTAGGTATGCCCTCCCTGTCCTCCATTAGTACTGATAATGAAGAGCTCACTTACAGGAAAACAGGATGAAAGAGGATGGCAACATACAGCTGAGAATCACAGTGAGCCATGACTTAAACATGTTCCTGTAATATGATGCCGTAATGAGAGGGAGCCCAAGTCCATATGAGTTCATTGAAGTATCAAATTGGTGTGCAATCTTTCTTCTCATTCAGCATAGGTCTGGCACATATTGGAGTAGAAGTTTTTAGTGGCGGTGAGACTGCATGGTGCAGGTAGATTCTAGCAACTTTTTTATTCCTGGGGCAACTTTTTCAAATGATATGCACTGACATCTCTGAGATTTGAGAGGACATCAGGGTGTGGACTTTGGAATAATTACTGAAGCAATCATCTTATATCCCACCATGCAAAAGAGATGTTGGTGATTTTGAGAAGGCTGAACAAGAACAATGAAGATAGTTAAAGAACTCCAAGCTAGTATTCTCATGTCTGAAGATAGGAGGGCTCCCAAGGTAGTTACACACCTTTTGTTACATATATAAAAGTTTACTTGTGGGATGCTGTTTCCCTCACATCATTCTGTATACTCATACTAGCTCAGTCTTCCAATGTGCAACATGATTATGCTGCACCCCTTCTTGGTCTTCATTAATGCTCCAGGCTTCCTTTCCTTCTTGACTCCCAAGCATTTCTTCTTCCTTTGCCAATTTTAATAAGAACCAGTCAGCTCACCTTTGACCTTGAAGTCCTAAGGAGGTTGTAGTTATAGTAAGAAAGATCATAAATACAAGGTGTCATACCTTGATAGTGTCCTGCAGAGGTCAGAGCTATACTTATTCTCCCTGCAGTCACAGGGAGCAATTGATGCATTTAAATCCACTACATTTCACATGTCACATCCATCCACTCTTCACAATAGTCTCAGATTATTCTCCAGCATGCAATCATCATTTCCGCTACTGGGGTTCAGGTTTGCATTGTTTCCCTTATCTACACTATGAGCCGCTTAACTTGTCTTTATGCCAACCACTATTTTTCTTAACAACAATGAAAAAAATTAATTAGAAAAATTAATTGGATCACTTATCTGCCCTGTTTGAAAACTGTTCTTGGGTACTTATTTATAGGAATACAGCATCCTGTTCAAAAGCTTCACAATTGGCCCTGTTTTCAGCCTTATTTCTTCCATTGCTTCTGCCCACCCTGACTCCGTTATTCTCTTTCCTCCCTCCTGTCCTGCAGCTATACCTTCATCATTCCCATACTCTTCTTTGTACCTGACACACTCTCTGGACTCTCCATTCTTCTCTTCTTTGCCAAGTAGACTACTCGCTCTTTCAGACCCAGCTAAAATAACTCCCCTGGTGAAGCCTGAAGCTTGCTCCCCAC
Source organism: Homo sapiens (assembly GCF_000001405.40). NCBI lineage: Eukaryota > Metazoa > Chordata > Mammalia > Primates > Hominidae > Homo > Homo sapiens. The sequence goes on along the minus strand of NC_000012.12, from coordinate 13,695,426 downwards.
CAGCTTCTTATGTTCTTACTTCTCTATAAAACAAGCATAGTCTTTAAACCATTGTTTTCATGGGGTTTTCCTCTCCTCAGCTTTGCTGCCTTGACTCAGTTATTGCTAGGTCATACACCTGAGAGATATGACAGTGGCAGGCCAGTGTTTGGCAAGGTAGAAGGGAAGGAAGGGGATAGGTGAGCGAAAGATGTAGGCTTTATGCACTGGTTTCCTATCCTGTCTGTTTTCTATATGATGGTTAGGATACACCCCAAAATACAAATTCCTTTATTTTCTTGACAAAGACTTCTTTCACATCAGTTTTCTCTCTTTGGTGAATTGAGTGGGACAATGTAGAAAGCTTAGAGATCCCTTTGCAGCTTTCCATAGAACAGCAAACTCCTTGTTCCTTGTCATTGACACCACTTTAAATCCTCTTAATTCTTCAGAGTCTGTCACTTCTAAAGTAGGAGCACACATAGCCTCAAGTCTTATGAAGAGGGAAGAATGAAAGAAAAGGCAAATGAAGGCCATAAAAAACTTTGTAATCCTTTACTTCATTCACAGAGACTTTTCTTCACTTTCCCCAGTCCTGGAAAAAGTAATGTGAGTAGTGTCTCATCTCTTCTCAGAAGACACATTCTTTTTTTGTCTCATCATATTTCCATGTATCCTTGGTGCCTGTTTGAGGATTAAAATAGAGGAGAAGAGTGGATATGTGGTGACCAATATTAATTAATTTATATATATATATATATATATATATATATATATATATATATATATATGACATTTTCTTGCACAATAGACTGGGAAGGAGCTACTGTAGTGGACTTAATGAAGTATAATTTTGGGGTAAACCTCAATTTTAATTCCAGTCTGTCACTTACTAGCTGTCTGACTTCAACAAAATGAGTCACCTTCTGATCCTTAGTTTCCTCATCTGTAACATGGGATTATATTAGGTAACATACATAAGACACCTGTAACACAATCAGTGCTTGAGAAGAATGATGACTTTTCTTACTTATCCCCATGTTCACAGTGCCTGACACATCATAGGGTTCAATGAGCATTTGCTGCATAAACTTGACACTGCCTTTGTCAGATGCCTCACCTGGTTAATTTCATTTTTTATACAATTATTTTGTTTTGGAAGAGCTTCTCCAAATATACAGTTGTATAAATCTAAACCAGAAAATGATGGTGTTCTCAAACAGTACGAGAGCTGAGTGTTGAGCTGTGTGATGTTCAAGGGCTCTTTTGACTTATCTTTAATTTTTCTGGCAAGGCTATGATGTAGGGAAGTACTTCTGTGCATGGACAGGAGAAAAAAGAGTGTGCTTATTTCTCATTCAAAATTTGGCTGTTTATTGCACCTTAAGACCTAATTACTCTCCCTTGCTGACTCGGTCCTCTGGTGGAACCTAGGTTCTCTTTCTTCCTAGTTCCCCTCTATCCCTTCCACCCAGAATTTATAGGAGAGTGCATCTGAGAGCAGACTCCTCTAGATGGTAGTAGTTGGTGACCAGAACTGGTCTAACTCATTTTTCAGTGCAGAAGGACACTTTTCTGGTCTCATAAGTGCCCTGGGAGCAGCTCTCTAACAGGTGTGATGCTGCTGTTCCAGAGGCAAGGAAAAGGTTCCTCACCACTGCTTGGCAAGGCAGAGAGTAGGGGAGTCACCGGAGAAGGGGAAGGAGGGATGTATGCTTCCTCTGATGGTTTCCATGCCTGTCTACACAAGACAACCACCCAGGGAGATTTAAAATGCATACTATGAAGCAGGGATATTGAATCCCTGTCTTTCAAGTGTGGCCCAGGAATCCATATTTTTAACAGGCTCTCCAGGCCAATGTCAGGGACCCAGCTCAGCCTCTGGATGTAAACCTGTGAGAAGCAGCCCTGGGTTGCATGTTATCATGGGCTCTCCACGAGTGCTGCTGGAAGGCATAAAAATACTGGAGAGCTTGCGGTTCTTATATGTGATGACCTAAAGGTGTAGAGGAAGGGCTATAAGGTATATGCCATGCTTTATAGTTTTTCCTTCACATATATACATATTTTGATATTTAAATATAAAATATATAAATGTGTATTTACTTTATATTTGCTGGGTAATTTTAAATGTCCCAAGAAACATGCAATAAGTCTTCACTTAACTTCATCGATAGGGTCTTGGAAACTGCAACCTTAAGCGAAATGATGTAGAATGAAACCAATTTGACCATCAGCTAATTGGTATAAAGACTTAAGTTCCTATAGTATCTCTCTGGTCACAAAAACATCATCAAACTTCTAAATAAAGACCTAACACACTTCTAATATTAAACATTAAGATAAATGTGAGCTATATGTATACTTAAGAAAGATTAGAGGCTGGGTGCAGTGGCTCACGCCTGTAATCCTAGCACTCTGGGAGGCCTAGGCAGGCAGATCACCTGAGGTTGGGAGTTTGGGACCAGCCTGACCAACATGGAGCAACCCCATCTCTACTAAAAATACAAAATTAGCCGGGTGTGGTGGCAGGCGCCTGTAATCCCAGCTACTCGGGAGGCTGAGGCAGGAGAATCACTTGAACCCAGGAGGTGGACGTTGCAGTGAGCTGAGATGGCACCATTGCACTCCAGCCTGGGCAACAAGAGCAAAACTCTGCCTCAAAAAAAAAAAAAAAAAAAAAAAAAGAAAAGAAAGATTAATGAAAATAAGTAATGATTACTACCCAACTATTCGAGTTCAGGGTCTCGGGTAACCAGAGACTACCCTAACAGCTGAGGGTCAAGGTGAACACTGACCTAGGACAGGATGGCATCCCATCACAGGGCACATTCACACACACCCATACTTGCTCATGCTGGCACCATGTAGACACGGCAGTTCACCTAACGTGCACAGCTTTGAGATGTGGGAGGAAACCAGAGTAACTGGAGAAAACCCACACAGATGTGGGGAAAATGTGCAAACTCCACACAGACAGGGGCCCCACCCAGCCAGAAATCCATTTTTTTCTCATCAATGTAAGGAAACAAATTGAACAAAAATATGTCATTTGAGGACCTGCTGTATGTATTCTGAGCACCTATATTCTCTAGGGACATCTTGACTATACTTTTAATAGGATTCTCCCTGTGTTACAGGGATAGATTTCACCAATGGACAGCCTGGCTCCCTAACGTATGAACTTGGTACCTATCTTCATAGTTTCCATTTTACCTGCCCAATAATGTTTTCATCAACTTTGTTACCCCTCCTGAAGCCACCTGGAAAATAAAAAAGTATATTCCTTCTGTGCAAGTTGCTGAAAAAACTTGGGAAAGTGAGTTAATTGCTACAGGGAAATTATTTACCTCACTTAATGATTTTTCTCTTGGCTTCAATCGGGGGCTTTTTAAGCCTCATTCATGTCATCCTGAGACCTTCCTGAATGATCTGGATTTGGCAGCCTCGACACTTTAGACACATTCTCACTCAAACTAGAGCTTTAGGTGTGGTTAGAAAAACAAATGGGAAGAAGAGTTAAATTCACAAAGATAATTCATCTCCTCTAGGTGGTTTTTGCCCATTGCTGAGTGCTTGTCTTCTCTTTCCACCAACACCTACTTGCTTGGATCTTGACTTATTTTGGCAGTTCTCTGTACATGTAATGTGGTTGCCATGGAGATGTTATCCAGCATGCTGCATGCTGTTTCATCTCCTCTCCATCTCTTCATTTCTCTCTAGTGTGTGCTTGTTCTCTCACATTTCTATCTCTTCTACACTCACCCCAACCCCCTTTGTAATTGAAGACATCAAACACTGTATTTCTTCAAGCTATTTTGCTTCCTTTCCCCAATCATATCGAATGTGTTTTTAACTTAATATAATCAAAGCAACCTGGTAATGACTGGAAAAGGGGGTAAAGAAATTGACTGAAATGCTAAATTCCTGTAGGTTATGCTAGGATGCCCAAGAATTTGAGGGAATTCAAGCAAGTGGTAATCAAATTAACTTCCTTTGCTTTCACAGGGATTAAGTCTTTACTGTGGTTCAGAGAGACTTATTCATAATACCTTTCTGATTTCCACCTGAACTACTTCATCATGTCCTGGTGTTATCTACAAACAAGAAATTTCTGAACTATCCTCAACTCTTAATTTCCCAGCCATGAAATATTCACTTCAGGCATTATTTGCATGGACCCACAGGGACTCTCTGAAGATACTGACATCCTGGGTTATTAAGAGTTGGGCCAAATGTAGAGAAGATCTTAGTGTGAATATCAACTATTCACCCTCACCTTGCTGTGATGTGTGTAGGGAGTGAGGAGTGGGAAGGAGTGAGAATGGGATTTTGTAGTTATGTGCACCTAACCATGTGAAGATTGAGAAAAAGATTATTCCTCTTCTCCACTGAGGATATTTTAATTTTCCTCAAAAATTGAAAAGTACTAGAAAAAAATAATGAATAAATGTCCCTTTTGTTTTTCTAGTTTCTCTTAAAAGACCTCCTCATCTCAATGTTATAAGTAAGATGAATTTGATTTCATTTCTTTCCAAACTGACAAAATGATTTACGTTAGTAAAGAATATTCACATATTAATTTTAACATATATTTCAGATTCCCCCAATGCTTTGAGTTTCTAAACTAAAAAAATCATAGCCACAAACTGCAATATCAAGAAATTTTATTTATTTTTCTTTCTTACGGAATAAAATATTTCAGAAACAAAGAGAAATCGCTTTTGATTTCTCTACCGATCATTAATTATGTTCACTCCTGTGTCAGCTCTCTCCAAGGGCACAATACCATGGAGAGAATAAGGATTTGGGTAGATTACATGATCCTCACAGGCAGATCTATGTTTTTATGGCAGTGTAATGAGAAAAACATCAAAAGGGAGAAGTTTAAAAAGAGTCTGGGCAAGAATGAAGTCAATCCAAACTTTCATCTCATTCTTTAGAAAAGAAAGATTATAGATAATATATTCTTTAGAATTTATTCTTTTTTTAAATTAATAATTGGAGGAATTACTTTCTTCCACAGGGAACCAGTACTCAATGCCAGTTGCATGTGTGTGTGTGTGTGTGTGTGAGAGAGAGAGAGAGAGAGGCAAAAAAAAGTATTTGTAAATAGATTGTGCGTGTGCATGTGTGTGTGTGTGTGTGTGTGTGTGTGTGTGGTGTGACATAGAAGGGGTGTGGGTGGGAATGAGAAGTGAGGAAGTAGCATGGGAGGATTTCAACACTAGTCTTCTGCAAGTGAAAAACAAATCAATAAGTATTATTGAATACTTACCACAAGCAAGATACTAGTTTGGGTTCTGCAAAGGATAACAGAAGGACGAGATTTGATTTTTACCTTTAAATAGTATGTTGTCTATCATGGAAGACAAGATACAGACAAGTAAAAAATTAAGTAATAAAAGGGAACAGAACAAGTCAAGTGAACAATAAATGAAATGTTGAAATGTGGACTGGAGGCAAGATAAGACAAGAGGAGAGAAGAGGGGAGAAGGCCTCAGATTGATAGGAAAGTGTAGAGAGAGGATAAGATTTGATCTGAGTCCATAAGCATGAGCAAGAGTTGGATTATGCTCAATTGAGAGAAAATGGAAGAGGCAGAAAGTGTAAATAATGTTTGTCAGGGGACAGCAAAGATGGTTCTTGGCTTCAGCAAGAGTTCATGTAAAGATGAGAGAATTCCAAACAGGTAGAAGGGACCAGGGTGTAGAGATCCTTTGCTGAGAGCAGACTTTGGCTCTAGGCAGTGCGGAGCCATTGGAGATGTTTGAGCAAGTAGTGATGTGGCACTAAGAAATCTCACGGTAAGATTAAATGGGGATAGTATTGGGGAGGGTGGCAATGATATAAGGCAAAGGGCCCAGGAGGAGGCTGTTGCAAGTATCTGGGTATGAGTGGATATATGCCTGGTCTAGGGTAAACATTTAGGGAGTAGAAAAGAAGGGACAAATGTAAGAATCATTTTGTAAAGAAAGGGAAGTTTTGGAGGATGGATTGGGCATGGGAAATTAAAAGAAAAATGTTGGAGACAGCTGGAAGATTTCAAGACTAAAGGAATAAGGCTAGTTAATATTTACTGAGTGCCTACTATGTGCCAGGCACCTTTCCAAGTGCTTCATAAGTTTTAACTCATTGAGAGAGAGGAAGAATTGAAAGTCAGCTATTTTGAGAGCAAAGATAAAGCCAATCAATTTCAGGCACTAAGAGTTTGTAATAGGGATAAATGCAAGTGGAGATGACTGGCAAAGGATGGAAATGGGGAATAAGAGGTCAGACCTGGAGGAGAAGAATTGGACTAATCCACTTAGAAGAAGAGTTTGTGCCATGGGAATGGCTGATATCTGCATAAAATGAGAAATAAACAGCCTGTTTTGAATTTCCTTTAAAAAGTAAAATAAGAGAAAAGATAAAGGCATCCAGTAAAGAAGGAGAAATCACAGATGAAGGAGGAGAACTAAGATAACATAGCATGGTAGTATCTAGACAGAAAGCAATTTCAAAGGAAGGAGCTATTCTACGGTGTGAATCTGTGGAGAGATCAAACAGGGTAAGTACTGAGACTAATTTATGTATTTGATTGTCCAGATCATAAGTGAAGATCAGCCTGTCCTATTGAGGGCAATTGAGAGTTGACTATAGCTCCAAAGAAATACTTTAATATTGTATTTTTAAGTCCAGAGAGAATTTGGATATTCTGTGCCAAAGCAGGATAAGTTTTTGTCACTATTAACCAAACCAAATAAATATTCTAGCTCTTATTGTCTGCCTTTAACAAGAACTCCAAGAATTCAGTCTTAGACTTTCATAACTGACTTCCTTCCAGAGCACGATCTAAGAATTAATTCCTCTATAAGTCCAGTCAAGCTTACTGCTGTGTGGTTTTTCTCCTGTTTTTTTATAAGGCAAATTCATTCAATTTCTTCACTTTTTTGGGTTAGTGCTTGTGAAATATGACAGATTGACAGCCCTTAGAGACTGGGGTTCTCTAATTATCCTATGAACATAGCTCCTTACCAGTAATGTGCCTCTGGTCTCTCTTAGGGCTGTAAAAAGCCTGTGTGTTTAGTTGACTTTCCTGTAGGCCTCTTTATGGTGATGGCATCAGGGACAATTTAAAACAACTGATGGACCACTGGTTGGTGTATAAATCATAATCAAGAGCCTAGGGCTTGGAGCCATTCAGATCTGGATTTGAATTTTAGTTCTACCATCTTAGAAGTTTGTGGCTTCTTTCTTTTCTTCTCTACTGACCATTGCTTCTCTTGACAACATTGTTCTTAGCGTGGGGCATTGGAAGGAAAATGGGCTTTAGAATCATTCAGAAGTGGATGGATTCAACTCCCAGTGCTCCCAACCTTGGGCCTTCATTATAGTATTTACCTATTATTTTATATCATTGATGTGAGAATGTAAAATAATGTAAAGCACCAAAAACAAGGCTAGGCATGTGCTCAATAAATGGTAACATTGTTGGGTTTTTTAAAAAATTGAGCAGCCAGAGCAGAAATAAGACTTCCAAGCAACTTCACTTATAGATCAGAAAGCTATGAGATTCATTTACCTTGTGGAGACAAAGTTCTGAAACTATGTGCTGAAGAGGGGAAAAATGTCAGTCAGCATATTTTGTACATGAAGCTAAACTACAGTTGACTTTTAATTGATTTGATTCATCCTGGGAATCCAGTGCCTAAGAGCAGCCAGCTAATTCTTCCTTTCATTCATGTGTTAAAGATGAAATTATAACAGAAAGAGAGAAGACAAAGCTGTAACAGTTTTAAAGCTGTAAGTGTGGTGGTCTCATTGTCTAAAGACACAGGGGAACCTGGCTTGGACTTGGTCATGTTAAGTTTGATCTGAGCATTCAAGTAGAACATTCCAATCAGAAATATTGAGCTGAAGGTCAGGGAATTGGTGGAACCTATGATAGGGATTTTGGAGACCTTGGCATGATTGTTGATGTTATGGCTGTGAATGCATCTCAGAGGGAGACAATATGGGCTCAAAACTGAACCTTGGCATACCCCCAAATTGGGGAGTTTCAAGTCAAAGTGGAGAAAAAATGGAGAGATGACTAGCCTGAGTTGTATAAGGAGAACCAAGATATTATCCTACTTTAAATAATAAAGTACAAAAAAGGGACTTGCTAAAAAAAACTGGGAGTATCAACTGTTAGAGACTATAGAACACTTAGGAGAATGATGATACAGCAAAGGCTACTGATTTTATTTTTGTTGATCTTTGTCTTAGTTTATTTTGTGTTGCTATAAAGAAAACTCAAGGCTGGTAATTTGTAAAGGAAAAAGGTTTACTTTTTGATGATGCTGATGGCTGGAAAGTTCAATATTGGGCATCTGCCTCTGATGGGGGCCTCAGTCTGCTTCTACTCGTGGGGGAAGGTGAAAGAGACACTGCATGTTGAGAGATCACATGGTGAGAGAAGAAGCAAGGTCGGGGAGGGGGGTGCACCCAGACTCTTTTTAACAACTGGTTCTCATGGGACCTGATAAAGAAGGAACTTATCCCCAAGGGAGGGCATTAATCTTTTCATGACCCAAACAGCTTCCATTAGGCTCCACCTCCAATATTGGGGTTCAAATTTCAACATGAGGTTTGGAGGGGACACACATCCTTGCTTGGATGGACAGACAGCCAAATCATATCAACCTTGTTTGATTATTGATGATTTTGCAGCTGTGATAGTTTCAGTAGAAAAGAGAGGCAAAAGCAAAGATTACAAGGGTTAAGGAGTGAAGTCTGGGGAGGAAATAGGGTCATCAGGCGCCAATTACTTTTTTAAAAAGTTCCCAGTAAGAAGAGATAGAAAATAAAATTACTTTTTCATAGGGGTTGAAAAATCTCTTTGTGATTTGCCCTGGTCAAAAAAGAGTTAATGGTATAAATGCACAGTAATTTCAGAAGCATTAAAGAGCATGTTTCCATGGAAACATCAACCTACAGAGGGAGAGAAAGAGCTAGGATCCCCTGACAAAGAAGGAACAGCAGAGTTCTAGCCCCCACACAGTACAGCAGGGAGAGATGATTACACGTTTCTTTCAGCTTCCCAGTGAAGATGCAATTGGGGTTCATGGTGCTGTCCTCTTGAGGATGAGAAAAGAAGGAAATGGGGTTTGGTTTGAAGAAACTCTTGGCCTCATCTTGCTTGAAATTCTGACTCAAGGGTCAATCTCATTTTAGAATATTGGAAAAGATCAATGGATATCTTTAACTAAATACATAAATAAATTTGATCTTCCCCAACCTCTTTATTCTAACCTGGTCTAGAAACAGTGCCATAATGTACTGCGTTAGAGTGAAACTTAAAGAAACTCTAGAAATATAAGATGTGGGTTTGACTGATAACTTTTGACCAGCACTTTTGCATTGTGGTTTTTCTCATCTAGATGTATTTTCTTTGATTATGTACACATTTGGCTTCACAGTTTTCAGATCCATAATATCCCTTTCACTGCCATCTAGTACAAATTTCCTGTACCCTTAAAACCAACCCTACTGTTAGAGACTGTTCATCTCACTGAACTGTAGCCCAGAAAGCTGTTCTCCAGAATGTGCTACAGGAACCACGTTAACAAACTCCTTATTGCAAACAAATCTTCCTGTCAGTTCACTTTCTCCATTCCCAGATTATATTCCACTTTGCATCTCTCTCATTACTCTGGTCTTTCCTTGGGAGAAATGATTTCGTTCCCTATGTGAAAGGATTTTATCTGTATGGTAGGTGTGGTTTATGACTGGGTTTTCTGAAGTCAGAGATATGTTTTTGAATGAGTCAACAGCTTCCACCACTCTCTCTGTCTCACATACATAGCATGACATGCCTGTCTCCCCTAAAGACATAATCTTCACCCAGGCATCTTGAGTCTTCTCTCTGTTGGAAATGTCCCCTTGACCCTGGAAGATCCTCCCTCCTTTGACCCTCTCCTCCTCCCAATTCAACATAATCACTTCTATAAATCTTCACTTGAAGAACTCTGCCAACCATTACTGGAAAACTAAATTATAACCTTCTTTTTCCATGAGTGACAATTCTTCATAACTTCCACTCTCCAGCCCTGTAAGTGAAGCCATCACCAACTCATCATATATTCATCTACCATTTTGCCCCCTTTGGCAGAGCTGTTAGAGGGAATTGTGAAGTCAAAAATATGGTAGCTACAGATGGGGCAGGAACTGTGTGTATGGAGATATTTCCTGTGTGTTGATTTTGTTGACCACCCAATGTGTAAGAGGAAGTAGAGAGAGGCTACAGAAAGGACAAATTGAGGAAATGGAGAAAGATCAAAAGGGAGAGAAAAGCCTTCTTATTCTTTTCCGTTGATATCATACCTAGGTCACTTTAGGTTCTTACCCAAGGGCTTCTTGAGTACATATGCTCAGTAGGCCTTGAGTACATTCTTTCAGTAGGCCTGAAAGTTCACAGGAAGGAAAGTCTTCCTGCCATAGTTGAATGTCCTAGAGAAATCTTTGCCAGTCATTGTTTACATAGCCCCTGAATAGTTTTTCCAGCCTGTGAGCTAAAATGGATGTCAGAAAGACAAGCCTTCACCTTAAAATTATTAATAGTCACAAAAAAGAGATAACGTAGTCAGTGATCAGCTAGCCTTTGATCTGCCTTGGTATTTTCTCTGGGAAGGTCTCACCACTTAGTTTTGATAGCCTACCTACTCTGGGCTGCATTCCAACATACTGAACACCTAATCTCTGGAAGAAGAAAGGAATTTTATTCAGTGTTTTAAGAAAGTGATTTTAACTTATATACAGCATGGAAATATGAACTAAAAGGAAAAATAATCCAGTGACAGTAACATTATGCAGAAAAGCTACTTGGTTTCTTCTCTCTGGGGATTTCTACCTTTCTAGCATTGTCTAATAAGTCTGGCTTTCCTGTAGCACCTTACCAGGTCTCACCTATAGTAGAGGTGACTAAGAGTCGTGAGCATGAGCACAAAGAGGAATTTCATTTTTCATCACTGAGTTCTGTGCGTAGAGCTAAATGAGAAGCAACTTTGGTATTCTGCACATTTGATTAATTGGCATCAAAAGGCAGCCTCACTAGTTCCCTAAGGAAGTGTGGTACCTTCACACATAATCAAGAATGTGTTCTCTCCAAAGGGATTTTAAAGAGAATTACATAGTGTTCAAAGCAGGGATCTGGGAGGTCAGAAGGGGGATCATTTTGAGGAATCATTTATTCTAGACTAAAATTATGGAGGTATGAGCACATCTTTTGCCTTCCTTGGAAAGTGAACTTTATATTGAAGTGGTATGATTTAGTGACTGCCCACTGCAAAAAAACCTCACAGGGGTAACTAATCATAGTAAGAACAAAACAAATATTCCCAAGCCTTAATAGTTTTGGATGTTATAGGAATGAGAGAGAATATACTGAACTGGTAGTATTATGGAAAAACAGAGATCCAGGAATTAGGAGACCCAGACTCAACTAAATGGGCCAAAGCATGACATCATTGTCCCAAGCTTCAGAGTGTTCAGCTCTAAATATGAACAGTTAGACTGTGATCCAAAAGTCCCTTCAAATGCTAACTCCCCTGACACCCAGGCAATGTAAAAAATAGGTAATAATAATAACAACTAATACATAATGCTTACTCTGTGATAGGGAGAATTCTAAGTCCTTTATATATGTTGAGAGCTTGTTTGGAGGTTCTAGAATGGAAGCCCAGCTACTCACATACCCTTGACCGAAGACCGGTCCTCCTTTATTGGGAATGGTCATCCTCTTCCACTGAGCCTGCAGCTTAGGGACGGATGCACATGGAGTAGTGAGGGAGGAAGGGGACACCCGCCTAGCCAGCCAGATCAGCTGAATCAACCCTGGCAATCGATGGAGTGACAGATGCCGCAGCCAGATCACCCTCACATCCCCTTTATATATATCGAAACACAACAATCCTATGAGATAGGTAATATTATTATTTATATTTTTTATGGTGAAGAAAATAAGGAAAGAGAGGTTAAATAACTTGCAAGACCACACAGCTTCAGAACTGGTGGGTGCAGGATTTGAATGGAGACTGTGACTATTACACTGTTTAAGAACTGTGCCCTTGTTCTTAAACACCTCGCTACACTGCCTGTTGCAGTATGAGTGTGTACGTGTGTTATATACACTGTATTCTTTCCCTCTTTAGTTACTGTTTCTCCCCTTTATTTTCTTTCTATTCACCTCTCACCACTAAGCATTTTGGGGCATTGTCCAGATTTTTTTCATTCATTTGAATGAGAATATCTTACTAATGAGAATGAGTTCCTCCATTTCATCCCAGATGGACCCGTAGGTAAGTCTAGAGAGCATTGTTCCCTAGCCATGGCCTGCCACATTGACCCTGCTTGGTGAAAGGTGGCATAGATAGGAGGTTATCACAGCTGGTGACAGAACTCCTTAAAATTCTCATTGCTTTGATAATTGGCCAAAGACAGCATCTTTCTGGAGGGAGGTTAATGTTCTCTACCTTCTTATATCAGTCCTCCTCTGTTTTCTTTCATTGCAGATTAAACTAATTCATGGTATTCAGTTGTGAAACAGAATCCAGGTAATAGCTCTCTGAAATTTTTTATTGTTAGGCCAAGGGGGCTGAAAGCACTTTTTCTTCATAATAGATGGTGAATTTACACATTGCCACTTACACCTCTCATGAATTCAGTTCAGCCCAAACTACTAAGGGGCTAAAGCACATTTCTCACCACCAGTAGGAGATAAGAGGTATATTAAATTTGTATCAATCACTGTTCAAGATACTTTAATATCTCATTAACTTAACACCACTAATTTAGAATTTAAGATACTTTAATATATCTCATTAACTTAACACCACTAATTTAGAATTTAAATAACTGTGATATGAACTAGCCCAAACTTGAACATTTTATGATTTGTGAAGAATGGTTTGCAAAATAAATTAATGGTATAAACACCATTTCAGAGAAAATGTGTTATCCACTGGAAGACAAACTATTTTTAACCCATCTCAAGTAAACATAAACTAATATTACAGTCTGCTCTTTAAATTAGTTATTCCTGAGCTTCTCTACAAGGTATCATTTTGCCTAAAAGAACAGCTTAGGAAACTGGCATTTCTAATTATATTGTCCAACCACAGAGTTTAATATTTTTATATATGACATATCTCAAAGGAATCATTTAAAACTTCTTCAAATCCTTCTTCCTTAAAAAGAGGACATTGTTGACCAGATTGTAATAATCTTGCCTGCCATGTTGACCACGCTAAACTGGATTAATCATTTTGGATTTATTTTGATAATTATGAATTTCTTAGCTGGGAAAAATTCAGAAATTTCTGTTTAGTCTATCTAAACTAGAACACTGAAAATCTAATTTTTAAATATCTTTGCCTCTTTTCTCCAATACCAGTCTGTAATTAGGTAGCTTTTAAAAGTTTTAAGTCCACTATTTCTAATCCTTTGGGAAATTGTTTCTACTATTTCTAGAGGTACTGTGTATAAATAATCATAATTTCTAAAAAGAAACTCTAGTCTTTCAAAAGAATTGTGTTTTTTCCATTCACATGGTAGAGAGTAATAACAGCAGCTAATAATAACAGAATTATAGCAATATTACTAAGAACAGTATTAATCAGATGAAATGTGAGGTGATAAGTTAATTTGCTTCACTAGAGTAATCTTTTTTACTATCTATATGTATCCCATAAAATCATGTTGGATACCTTACATATACACACTAAAAACTATGTTTAAAAAAGAAGAAAAGAAATGTAGAGATAAACAACAGGTCAAAGGATCCTCCCTGTAGCTTCTCACACCAGACAAGTAAGATGGTATGAACCACCTGTTTTATAGATGAGGAAGCTGAAGGCTTTAGAAGGTGACACATGCATGATACAAAGTTACAGAGTTACAGCTTTTCAGAGCCAGAAAATTGCAAAAAAAGAGGGGGTCAAGAATTTGTCCCTTGCCTGGAACTGTGTTCTTTTATCACTTTACTTTTAATAGCTAGAGAAGGAAAATGAGAGATATGAAAAACCGCCACTTTTTAAAAGCATGGTGGCACATGGAAAGAACACCGGACTAGGGGTTAGGACACCTGGGTCCTATTCTCAGCCTTGTCATCTAATCACAAAAGCCCTGCTGGGCTTTGTCTGTTTCATCTGAAGATGAAAAGATTGGATGAAATGAGATGCTATCTCTTCTCTGATTGACACATTAGCAGATATTAATTTTAAAAATCTAGTGCTTGTAAAGACATGCGGGGTAAAGTAAGTACTGTAGTTCTAGGGCTGTTGGTTGGCTGGGAAAATTCTGGTAGAGCTCCTTCGAGTGCCTCCCACTCAAGGTATGCCGCTAAATCATTGCTGTGGGTATCAACGTGGTGCAGTAGATGAGCTTGGAGTGGCATGGCCAGAGTCAGAGAGGCAGAAGGGCTCTTTAACCTTAGCCTGATCCCATTAAGCTCACTGTGGTGTGACTTTGGCCATATAAAGCAAATGTATTGGCTCTGAGCCCATCAGGATTCTGAGGCTCTTTCTCAACAAGCAGGCAAGCAGGTAGATTAATCATCTAAGATAGATTTTGTTTTATGCAGTCTGTATTAGGGATCTATATAGTCCAGGATGTGCCATGTGATTCAAGAATGCTAAAATGCACATCTGGAGCTCTGTGGAACTGATTTTACTTCACTTGGTGATCATGGAAGGACCCTGAGCTGAGAGTCAGAAGACTTAAGCTCCAGTCCTGAACAGGCAGGTCACCTTGGCAAAGTTGTTTTGCATCTTGGGACCTATTTTCTCCTCTCTAAAATGAAGGTTCTCTATGGATAATTTCTAAGTTCTCTCCTAGTTTTAGCAATGTGAGATTCTGTGTAATATTAGAACTATATGAGGCAGACCATCTGGTTTCTTAAGGTTCAAACTACATTCTAGAGACAAATCAAGCAATTTAAAATACACACACACACACACACACACACACACACACACACACACACACACACAACCTTGATGGGACTTCCAGGGGATTTGAGTCTCATGGGCAGAACTTCTGCATTTGGCTGCCACTTGAAGCAAAGCTTTTTGACTGTGTACTTGAGGATGACATGTTTGGAGAGAAATAGAATAGCTATGGCATCTCTTAATTATAATTTAATCCTTTACCCAGGATTCACACATGAACGTTTCGAGGTTCTAATTAATATTAAAAATCGACAAAGTACAGCCAGATCCAAGGGTAGTTGGATATTTTCAGGTCTTATGGAAAGTTAAATTGATTAATATAGCCATTTGATCTAGTTTAGCCTCCATATGTAGAAGCCAATCTCCATTTTTCAGATGTATTTCATTGATAATTGAGTCTTGTTAAAATGTGGTTATCACACTTATTCACTGAGGTTTAAAATCAAGCAACTTTCTTGCCTTTAGACTCTCAAATTATGCTAATATATTCTTTTTCTGAATTTTTCCTATTAAATAACCTTATATTTGTATCATATTTTATATAGTTTTCCTATCCACTCTTTCATTTGGTCATCACAACAGACTTCTCTGATAAGCTGGAAGTAAAATGATGTCTCCATTTTAGAGAAGAATAACTGAGATTCAGGTGCCAAGATCACATGTCTAGAAGTGACCACACCCCCAATTATTTTTTCACACTTTTCATTACCAGTGAATGGATGGGTTTGTTCTGCTATTCAAAGGGCATCTTGCTCAAGGCTGATGTATATTTGCATGCTCCTCAGTAATGGCTAAATGTTCTCACACCACAAGAAATTACTCATGAAAACACAGTGTGAATGATTAATCTATATGCTGCTGACAGATATGAATGATGAAAGGATACTTTGGAGAAGAATATTTTGTATATTGTCATAAAATTTTACTAATGTTTTTGATAAGTGTAAAATATGTGAGGAGTGCTTAGGTAGATAAAATGAACTTAGAGCTGGAAGAGGAGGAGCACCCCAGAAAGAGAACAATTTCTAAGGAAAATCAGAAGGCGCTGGAACAGGAATAGCCAGAAAAATTTACAGACCAATTACATTGCTCATGAGTGTGATTTATTTTCTGCAAGTTCAAATTTCTCAACTTGTACACCTAATTCAATGCTGTCCCCTTCAAAGAAGTCATCTTGAGAGGCTATATAGTTATTCCATTGATGTTGCTTATTAATTGAATTATTTTTGGAACTTCTCTTTTGTAATTGCCTTCTGAAATAGATACTTTCCTTTAAATATTCTTAATGGTGTTTTAGCTAAAGGCAGAATTATTCAGCACAGTGTCTGATAACAAGGTGGATGCTTACACCAGATAATTTATTTCCCTCCTATCCTTCTTCTTCCTTACCCCTCTCTCCTCCATCTCTCTCTTCCTTCCTCCTTTTCCTCTCTTTCTTTCCTTCCTCTTTCCTTTTCTTCCTTTTTCCTTCTTTCCTTCCTCTTTCCTTTTCTTCCTTTTTCCTTCTTTCCTTCCTCCTTTCAAAATAGATGAGACCAAATTGTTTTACATGTCTCATAAACTTTATTTGAAGACTCCAGAAATTGTTCAGGGTCTTTGTAGTAAGAATACATTTTCAAGTATATTATATTAGTGCTTATATTCTAGTTTGTTGGTTTAAAATATCCTGTCTCATGGTTTTGTAATTATATTCTATGCAATGAATTCTTCAGGGCCTTTGGTTGGAGTGTTAGAGTCATTGCAAACTATAAGAGACCTGAATATTACCTTCACACTAATGATGGGCTTGGGTGAGCCGCTCTGGGCTGAGAGCTGAGGAACAGGGCAAGAAGTGGAGCAGATTGAGCATTGAGTTGTGTTGGGGATGCTACATGTCACTGAGTGGAGGTGTCTGGAGAGAGCAGCCAAGGTGGGATGGTAGAAAACACGAAGCCATGGCATATGAGGAATATGTAAAGGCCTTGGGATGCTAAGTCTGATGTTGTATATGAGAATCAGGCTGGTGTCAGGAAAGGACATGAAACTGGAGATATTGCTTAAAATGTTACTTCTGCTCCCAATTAGCTGTGTAACGGTCATACTGGACCCTTGTTGACTCCAATAGCGATGGCACCATATCTGAAAGGCCTAAGAAGAGACCCAGAGATAATGAATGAGACATAGGATTTACTGGGGAAACTTACATACAAGGACAATCCAGTGGTGGTGGGCTGGACAGGAGAACTGCTACCATTTGTAAAATGCATGCAGTTTATATAGCATTTTCACTTAGCAATGTTCACCTAAACGTTCATTTAACCCAAAACAAAGGGCTCTGATTCCCTGTATGGCCTGCATTCCAGCAGATGAACTGGGGGTTTAGATGTCCTTCATAGATAAAAAGTGAATCTCTGGGTTGGCTATTCCAAGATTTCTTAGCTTAGGACTCTGAACATTTTTCTTAGACAGTAGGGTCATTCTCAGGGTATGCATAAGTTATTGCTGTCAGGTGCATCTGCCATACAATAACATTGGAAAATAATTTAACCTCCTTGTGCTTGTTTTTTAATCCATCAAGTTAAAATTACGGAACTAAAAGAGTTTAACAGGTCTTTAAAGAGTAAAATTGATTTCATAAGGGATGTATGATAAATGTCTTCAAATACTTGAGAAACTCTCATGTAGAAGAAGGATTAGACTAAGACTGTAGAATCTCTAAAGAGGAAACATGTATCAAAGGGTTGCAGGGGAGGAGGTTTCAGCTTTAAGTAAGAAAGAACTAAGTAGCCAACACCGAGATGCCTACCTTGAGCCCAGAAGGTGCCATTAAAAGTTCCCCATCAGTGAAAGAATTCAAGAAGAGCTAAGAAGACCAATATTATGATATAGAAGGGAAGCATAAACTGTAAGAAGTGGTAGGCTAGTTGATTGTGAAAATCTCTTTCAATTCTAAGATTCTAGGAATCGCTACTCCTTTGGGATCTTCTGTGTTCTTGATTGCATTTGTGAAGCTACACAGGACCAGGGAATGACAGGCTTAAACATCCCAGGTAGTTCTGGAAATGAGAAGTGATCCATGAGGGTTTGATTCATGCTGCATAAGCATCATTAGAATCACCAGAAGAATATGCATCCTAGCAACCTGGTTGTTTAACCTAATGTTACCTGGAAGAATCAAAGAAGACCTCCCAGTTTCATTGAATGAGAGGAGTTAAAAAAAGAGTCTTCAAGCTGCCTCCTTTAGCATCCTCACTGCAGTTACAAGATACCCCTTTTGCTTCTTAGCAGGGACATGGTCTCACAAGAAACATTAAGCCCAAGGCTCCAGAGTAACATGTCATATGAACACAGAGCTAATCATTATTGATTCCTTGGGCCATTATGGTAAAAAGACATTAATTACCATCAGTGCAGTTGCACTAATGCAGTTGTAATGAGCATGCCTTTGGGAATTCCCAGTGAAGGGACTGCTCATCAGATGACAGCAGCCAGAGGGGAAAAGGGTGGGCTGAGGTGAAGGTGTCCGGGAGGAAGACAGTTTCATTGGTCTGACTCTAGTTACCTCCAGAGTTTCTGCTAATCTATGCACAAGTAACCAGAGCACTCTGTGAAATCCCTTTCCCACCTTTTCCCATTCCTTAGTATTTTCTGTTCCCTATACATAGTGTAATAGCCCTGATTTCCAGATGCATCCTGTCATATCAGATCCCTGCTTACTGTACTCATCTCACAACTCTTAGAAGTATGGGCTTGGCAAGACCTTAGCAAGAGTTAAAGAGTATGTGCATATCTCTGGGATAGAGGGAGACTCTAGGCTCCTACATGCCACCTCTGTTAGCAGAAAGTTGTCTTGGTACACTCCTACTTTCATTTCTTATCTCCACCACTTCCAACCTTTAATCCACCTTTGTTTTTTGATAGCAATTGTTAGCACTTAATGAGACTCTACTATGCACCAGGCCGCATGGTAAGTGGTTAACCTAAGTTATCCCCTTTAAGCCTTACAAACCTAATGAAGTAGGTCCCTTTATTAACCTAGTTTTCACTGATAGGGAAAAACACAGAGGCTCAAAAAGGCTGAGTAATTTGCTCAAAGTCATACCTCTAGGCTGAACTTAAACCAAACACCTTTTTAAAAATTTTTATTTTTAATTTTAAGTTCTGGGGTACATGTGCAGGATGTGCAGGTTCATTTTATAGGTAAACTTGTGACATGGTGATTTGCTGCACCTATCAACCCATCACCTAAATATTAAGCCCAGCATGCATTTGCTGTTTTTCCTGATGCTCTCCCTCTCCCCACTTCCCTGCCTACAGGCCCCAGTGTGTCTTGTTCCCCTCCCTGTGTCTATGTGTTCACATTGTTCAGCTCCCACTTGTAAGTGAGAACATGCGGTGACCAAACATCTTTTATTTAAAATTTTTATATTACTTTTTCATGTGATTCCTACTATGTGAAAACTTGGATGACTCTATTGCATAATCAAATGCGAGTTCAAGAAGTACCAAATTTGATAATGGTATCTGTATTTCTATTTACTTGTCTGTCTCCAGCCAGCTTTCTCTCTATATACCTGACTGCCTTGTTCATGGTATACCCTCTTCATACTTTTAATCTTCCTTTTATTTTATCTTTACAGGTATCTGATCAATGTCACTTTTGAGGGGAGGAATTTGTCCTTCAGTGAAGATGGCTACCAGATGCACCCGAAACTGGTGATAATTCTTCTGAACAAGGAGAGGAAGTGGGAAAGGGTAAGACATGTCTTTGACAATTCTTGAGCAAAGTAGAGTAGAAATGTGAAATTTTGCAACACAATGAAGGAAAGTAGTCCTTTGGCTTTTGTCCCTAGACCTGTGGAGCAAGGGATCAATACCTTGATACACAGGAGAAGCCATTTCTCAAACTTGCATGTTCATTTACTTGCTATTTTGGTTAATCAAGGGATTGTTTTCTTTGTGTATTACCATTTATTGTTGATAATTGCATTGCTGTCTGAATCTTGACTTTGTTTTTGTGGGAGAGTATGTGTGTACAATATAACATAATTTGGTGAAGAAACTGAATTAGTGGTATAGTTCAGGAGTTGTGTCCTAGAGAGCATCTGGGAAGCTTATAAAGATGAATTTATGAGAAGAAAGGTTTAGACTTATTGTGATTGAAGGATTCCCATGCAAGGCTCTGCTCAATCTCTCCCACTGCCAGTTGATCACAGTGTTTGAAATTCTACCATCAGAAATTAATTTCTGTGGGCACCAGACTGTCTAGGTCCAATTCCCAGCTCTATGTAGGATCTTAGACAAATCTCTTCACTACTTGATGCCTCAGTTTTCTCATCTAGAGAAGGAAAATAATAATAATAGTACCAACAGGTATAAGGATGAAGTATACGTAAAGTATTTAGAAAGTTGCCTGGTTCATAGTAAGCACTCAATTAGTATTACAATTTTTTATTATTCCAGATTCCCAGTTGAATACAAGTATTCCTGAGAGTAATGTCATCACTGATTTTTCTCCAAATATGTTCTGCAGTGCTCTTGTCTCTCAAGACATTTTGCTGAAAAATAGCTTTACAGATACATAAGGTTGGGAGATGCTACCTACTGTTTCTCACTCTAGGAGAGTCTTGGAACATACTAACCCTTGGAAGTTCAGAGGTGTCTTATAGCAAAGAAACATCTTTACTTTTATTTAGAATGGAATTTCCTAAAATTATTCTACCTTGAGACCCCTTTGTTCATGATATTCATATTCTGTGAAAACATGTTGGGAAACTGATTTAAGACAACTTCCACAGATTCCATGGACCAATTGGCTGAGAATGGGCTTCAAAATGTTAGCATAGTTCTGCCTAGAATGGAAATCCAGCTATATATTTCTAGAGAGAGTTACCAGAAAATGAGGCCAGAGATAAACTTCTTGAAATTCACAACCTCATCACAGAGAGCCCTGGACAGCTAGTTATGTGAATGTGTGAATGCTCACCCGAGAAACTAGGCATGTGTGGCTCAGGCAGTAGAATCCAGGATCTAATTCTTCAAGTTGAAAGACCTCAATCTATCATGCATTTTCTCTTGTCAGATAGGGCACAATTATAAGGCTTAAATTATGCCAGCTTTTTATTTAATCTTATTCTTTTGAGACAGGGTCTCATTCTGTCACTCAGACTAGAGTGCAGTGGTGCTGTCATAGCTCACTGCAACCTCAAAATCCTGGGCTCAACCTGTCCTTCCAGCTCAGCCTCCCAAGTAGCTGGGACTATAGGTGTGTATCACCATGCCTGGCCAACTTTCAAATTTTTGGTAGAAATGAGGTCTCACTATGTTGCCCAGGCTGGTCTTGAACTCCTGGCCTCAAGTGATCCTTCTGCCTCAGCCTCCCAAAGCACTGGAATTACAGGTGTGTGCCACTGCGCTTGGCCTGCCTGATGTTCTTGATTAAAGTTGCCCTCCCTCCACTGAGTTATCATTTGTTCAGAAATGGTTGTTCCCTGGGCTTCTGCTTTTCACTACAATCAAGCTGCTTTCACTGCTGCTGTAGAGATGTCATAATTTAAGAAATGTTCTGGGTTCTTCATGTATAACAGGCACTTCTGTCTGTCTCTAGAAGAGGAACTATTAATAACTGAGGCTTCATAGGTAGCTCATAAGATGTACAGAGGGGGCAGCTTTCTTTGCAGTAGGCTCACAATTACTGTCTCAAGCAGGAGGAGGCATCTCACAACAGCCTTTTCTTAAAGAGACACCACTCACCATCAGGTCATATTGACTCCTCTTCTTGAGTCCAGAATCTGAGGCCTGCATCCCCTACCCCTTTCTAGAACTAGACCCTACTTCCTAGGGTTTGGATCCCTTCCCTCACCAATTCTATTTTTATTCTAGCTCTTGAATTTATTCTTTACTTTATATATGATCCAGGGACTATGTGACAATTTTTTAAATGGGCCTCCTTGTCCCTGGTACCTGCCTTTACTCCTTCAGATTAGTCCAAAATATGGCTGCCAGAATGAGCTTCCTGAAGCACAATTCTGACTGTGATGTTCCTTCTCTGCCCAAAGCCAACTTGAGCCTTCTATGGTTTATGGACTGGGGCTAGACTTGATCTGTTCTTGCATTCAAGGCTCTGGTCTGCCTTCCAAGCCTTTATTCTCCTCCTCATGATTTCCTGTCTCACAATTAAGCTACCCTGGGCTTCTTCTTGTTCTGAGAATGTGCCTTTGTAGGTCCCGTCCCCTGTACATGTCATGATGTGTCTTCCTAGAATGAATTATCCAATTATATAATCATAACCATCCTTTGAAACCCAATTAAAATGTTGCAGCTTCCTCCCCTCATCTTTGACTGAGATAAAATCTCACACTCCCTTGTCCCCTATAGATTTTGTCCATACGTCTGTGGTAGCACCCATCACATCTGCCTCTTGTTAGAGTTGTCCATATGCAAGCTTCCAAAGGGCAGAGGCTGTGTCTTTAGCTCAATTGTGTCCTCACAGCAACCTGTAAGGGCGTATTTCATAGAGCAGTTCAATAAATATTTGTAGCATGTATGAGAATCATTACATAATAAAAGAATCCCAAAATCTACCATTAAGAATCCAAGTTTATGTTGTTGCCCTTGATACGGTAGCTGTTGTTTCATGGGGAGGGGCAGGAGAAAATATTTGTGTAGATTGAATTTTTGTAGATCATACTTTACATGTACTAAAGGAAGTTGCTGTTTAAAGGAATTCTGTGGTTAATCTTTTTGTAGGGCATTTGGGAGGGGTTGAGATAATAGAATAGAACATTTTCATATCGACTCAATTAACCCAGGGAACACTTTGGAAGATAGATGTCTAGTGTTCATTGAGGTCATAGAGCCATGTAGCTCCCCAACTTGAAGGCTTCTATTAGGGCTCACCTGTGGGCAGGGAGGATGGCAGGAGCCAGGTGTGGCTCCAGGGAATGGCTGGGTTGTGGTGAGATTGCATCATGGAAAGTTGTATTGGTCCTTCCACTGTTATCCTCGTCCCCAGGACATCATCCTCAAGACGCCTAATGCTGCTTCAGAAAGTCCCCTTGGTCCAGGGAGGATTTAGTGTCAGTGGACTCCAGGGAGGCAGGCACCAGGGTGAAGATTCTACAGGGAGGATTTGAACACTGGACAGATAAGCAGGGGAGGAATGTGGGTTTGTGGAAGAAATATGGGCTACAGATAGGACTGTCAGCCACTGGTCAGGCCACTAACTAGCCATAGGACCTGCTTTTTTCACTTTTCTACATTTTTCTTTTCTCATCTCTAAAATGATGGCATGGGACTAAGAAGACTTCTTGGGTCCTTTCTAGTGCTAACTTCTGGGACTGCAAAATCTCCTTGCAAATAAATAGCAGATTGGAAAAGAAATTGGGTGAGGGATGGAACACACAGGAACCTGAGCTTGTTTTGAAGGGCATAGCTCCTAGGACATATTTGTCATTCCTGTCATTTAAGTAAATATTTCTCCAGAAAGGCCCTCCTAATGACCCATGATGAGGTAGTCACCCCGTCACACTGTCTAACAGTAGATTTTAATTTTCCTGAATACACTCATTATCTGGCGTTTTGCTTACTTGCTTGCTTGTTTGTTTATTGCCTGCCTCTTCACACCAGGATGGATGCTTCCTGGGGGCAAGGACCTTGCTCACCTCTGTAATTCTGACCCTTCAGAAGAGTGCTTGCCTTCAGTGTCTGGACCACTCAAAAGATAATTGCTAAATAAATGAAGAATCTGTATGCTTAGGAGAACTAGAATATTGACAAGCTATTTCACTTCTACCCTGAAAATCTCCCATTTAGACATAGAAGTTTACTGGAGACAGCATGGGAACAGGTAACTTCCCCTCCTCTGGAGTGAGCACCCCAGTGCCAGGGAAGGACTTGGGGGGAATTGTCAGGGAGGCCCAACTCCCAGTGGAGTCATACATGTGTGACCAGCTTTTAACAAGGCATCTCGGGTCAAGGAAGATTAAGTTGTTGGTGTGAACCATGTGATACGACTTCCCAATGTTCCTTTAGGTTCCTAAAAGTAGTCCCAATGCTACAGTCTTACACATTTTGTTCCCTTGGGAAGACTTGAAGTCAACACAACATAGTCTGTGGTTTTGGAAATCAGAACTGAGTTCAGTTCTCCATGTTGCCATTTATCAGCTAGTGATGGATACTACCTGAGTTTGTAACATAGGGTTTTACATAAGGCTGTTGTAAAGATTCAAAGAGGTTTTACAGTCAAACATCAGTGAATAGTCACTGAAACAGTCAGTCTCCAACAAATGTCAATTGGTAGTCAATACCCTTCTTGTGTAATTTTTAAGGTAATATTTGCACATGGTAAAAAATCAAATGGCACAAAAGAGTATCCAGTAAAAAGAAAGTCCTCTTCTCATCTATGACCCTTTGCTTCCCTCTCCAGAGCAATGCTGTTCCCAGTCTCTGGAATCCTCCCCAGAGCAATTGTTATTGCCAATTTCTTATGTACTCCTCTGAAAATACTCCAAACATTTACAGATTTGATACATTTACCCAACTACTTTAATAAAAAAATGAACAGTATCTGCTCTTGTGAACCTTTAATGGGATCCTATGTAAGGAACCTCTTGGAGGCTTAGGGGGCTAGAATAGCAAAGAGATCTCTGGATCAGAATTTGATTCACAGAAAGCCAAGAACATCTCCCTGGTATGTAGGAATGTGGAGAAGGACATTTAAAAAGAAATATTTTACACACACATATGCATGCAGACATAGCATGGTGAGTTGGAAAGGGTAGAAATGGTGAAAAAAAAAATCATTGTGTGCAGACTGGGCTCATTTGTAAGGCTCCTAAGTGGGGGACAGCTGCATAAACTTGCTTTAAAAATAGTCTGGCACAGAGATGCAGTTCCAACAAGCTTTAAGGCTTCTGTCTCTATCAGAGCCTCTCATGATTTGCTTCATTGCTACTGCTCTCTGCTTCCATTTAATCGTTCCTAAAATGGTGATAATAAAAATGAAATGCAGTGGGGGTGTGCTCTGAGTAATGACTTCAAGAAATGATGATGGTGCATTTTTGGGCTCTGAGATGTAAACAGACCTTAAAGGGACTGTCTGGGTCAGAATTAAAGGAGAATATGTAAGATTTGCATCTCTGCTTATCTTTTTCAGAAAGAGACAAGAGGGTGTTTTATAAGCCCACTCCCTCTTCCCTGCCTCCACCTACCAGAAAACTCCCTTCCTTATGTAGATTAAAAACATTTTCAGTTTGTGTAGATCGTTCTCTGGACTCCCCAAACCTGTTTCCATCTATGGCTTTCAACTCTGAGATGTCACAGCCACATCCACCAGTAAAGGAGAGACTAGAAATGAAAGTGCATGGCACACAGTTTTGAACCCATGATAGTACTCAGGAATTAATGGATGGATCAACTGGAGGGAAGGAGTGCAACCAAACCGAGAAAAGGGAGACCCCCACAAGAGCTGAAGCAATGAAAATGTAGTAAAACAGAATGCTCTGCCAGTATCTGCAGCCTGGAATAAATAAGACAGGCTAAGGGACGCTGTGTCTCTGGTGACCTCATGTCCAGGAGGTAGCACCAACTCCAGGGTGTGGGGGCTCTGTGATCCTAGCCCCTAAGGACTATGGTGATCATAGTCCACAATGATCAAATCAGTGTTTATACAATAGAGGTCAATCACTACCTCTATTGATATTACTTGAAAGCTTTTGACTGGCAAAATAAAACAGCTCCTCCATCCCCGCTCATACATATTCACTCACTCAGAAGAAACTGGCACATCTGTGTGCCTCTCCACTATACCTCTGTGCCTAGCATGGTGTGAGACATCACTGAGCAGGCCAGTAAGTGCAGTGTTGGTGACTGCTTGGGCACAGCTGGACAGACTTTGTTCCACCTCCCAGCCTCAGAGGAGAGGCCAGGGGATATTCATGCTCTCTCCAGGCTCTACAGAAGGCATCTAAGGGGGTGAAACAGAAGCTCCTCATGGCAAGCGTGTTTATTCAGGATCTCCTGATACCACCGTTTGACAACATGCTATTTTTACTGACTTTGAACTGAGTACTAATATGCATCATTGGATTAAGGGATTAGAAGACAGGATCCATGGAGAAAGGCTATGGGAATTGGGGTTGTTAAGGGAAAGAAAAAAAAGGCAATGAGGTGATGACTTATTCTCTTTAAATGTGTGAAGAATAATTGTACCAAGTGTGGAGATCAGCTGTTCACTTTCTCCTCTGAGACACAACCAGAGTGAGTGGGCTTAAGATCAAGCAGAGAGGGTTTATATTAGCTAAAGGGAGAATTTCTTAACAGAGAGAAGTGTTGAGTACTGGAACTGTTAACAACACCAGGGGATGACTTTGAAAGTCCTCAAAATTGTATATGTCCTTGTCTCTCTGTAATGTACAGTCCCGTGCAAGCAACAATGCGTGAACTAAATGGCTTATCCTCCCTATCTCCCCACCTCCCCTCCCTCCCCTCCCCACCTCCCCTCCATTCCCTCTCCACCTCCTCTCCCTCCCCTTCCAACCGCCCCTCTCTTCCTTTTTACTTCTCCTTCTTTCTCTTTCCTTTTCCTTCTTCATTCCTTCTTTCCTTCTCACACATAATTATTAAGCACCTATCATGAGCCAAGGACTGCCCCCACAAATTTGTATCATAGCTTTCCTGGTGGCTGGGAAAAACAAAACAAGTACATTGCAATAAAAAAAGTGCTTGTTGTGATGTTTAACATTTCTATAAACTAAGGTGATTTTTAAATCTTACTATTTGATACCATCTAACATTGGGTTGATGTTCATTAGTAAAGACTCCATTAATGTGTGTTTTACTTACGACAATGACACGGGGCCACTGGATTACATATTTTGTTGTGTTTTTCTGAGTTGTGATTAGTGCAGACCCTCACATCCAGATGTTTCCTTGTTCACTGAGCTCCAAGAGCCCTGGCCCATCCTGTTTGACTACACCATTCTCCAGGGTTCCAGAAAGAGATTACAGGAGGCAGCCATGGAGAGGAGGAGGTAGAGGTGTGCTGTTAATCCCTAAAGTCTCAACACTGCTGTAGGCTCAGTCCAAAATGTCAAGCTGCTACTCCCATGCACATTTATGAAATAATTCAAAGAGAAGAGCAGGATGTATTGGGGGAATAGACTTTGGAATATCATTTCAGAAAGGCTGGTTGCCTTCCAGTGCTTGTCAACAGCCACTGAATGAAAAGGATAAAAGAACAAGATAACCTTGGTTGACTTTACTTTTGAAACCTGTACATGCTGATGGACAGAGAAAGCAGAATTGAATTCAGAGACTGAAGAAGTGCTGGCCTAACCTTGGCTTCAGGAAAAACAGTGAAAAGGAAAGTGTTCCCAAAGCCAAAAGATGGCTTTCATCCATCTCATTTAAATGTTATTGAGATTTTTGTTTCATGACAGTTATCTGTGGTTTGTCCCTGAGTCCTCTAAACAATTTTTTCTAATTTTTATTTTACAATGCTTTTCCAGTACTGGTGTTGAAGAAGAAAGAGTGGTAGAGAGATGAGAAAATTCTATGTTTATATCTAGGTTAAAAACAACATTTATGATTTTCTTATTATGTAGGTAATTAATGTTTATTAAAGACATTTGAAGGGATAAAATAAAATTTACCCATATCTGCACCTACAAAGAATTAGCAGTTATATTTTAAAATTTCTTTCCAGTGTTTTTTTTCTGTGCATTCTGTGTGTACACTGTAATACAATACAGAATAATACAACAGAATTGGCATCTTAATGTATGGATAATTTGCAATCTACTTTTTTCTCTTCCTAGGATATTGAGGACATGTTCCCTTTTTATTAAATGTTTTTCAAAAGCATGAAACTTAATGCCGAATATTACACTGTGAGAATATAACATGCTTCTTCAAACTGGTTCCCTATGATTAGACATTCATATGCATGTTAAATAGAAACTCTGGTTCTCATATGAAAATAATTTCAGAGTTGGTGGTCTAACTGTGATGCCATAAGATTGCTTTTTAAAGTGAGAAGATTTGTCCCCTTTTTTTTGTATCCAATGTCCCTAAATGTTAAAAATGAAAACCCTTAATTTGGGAATTGGTTTGTTTATATCGATTCTGGAACAATCAGGGGACACATATGCAGTCTGGTGGAAGGCTGTCCTTTGTTATTTCGGGTCTGCTAGGAGTCCCAGAGGGTTTTCTCTTTTTGATCTTCTCATACAGTGCGCTGCCTTCTAACTTTGTTGAGATATGTATTTCTTATCTTTGGTAGTTACATCACAGAGAATGGGGTTGTCCATGTGTTCCATGTCTGTCTGCATTTTTCATCATGTTGGTTTCATTTTCTTGAAAGTTGAGGGCTTGTAAAATTCAGACTCACGTTCCCAAGGAGTCATATGACTACTGCTCAGTATGAGACCCTTTCCAGCGCTGTTTCTATTCTGTGGTTCATACATGACCCAGAAGGGAGAGAGCAATGCCCTTCTTTCACCAGTAGGGATAGAACATACCTGACTTGCTGCTATAGCAGTATATTATAAAAATACCTTTACATATTTTTCACCAAACAAGCTACTTTGTGCCTATATTAATAGCATATTGACTTTAGCTAAGACCTGAAGTTTGGCATTAAAGCTAAAATACCTGATTGTCCTTCATATGCAAACATGCCTTTATTGATCTAGCACCCGAAGATCTTATGCGTTGAGTTTTTCCTGCAGTGATGATGGATTTGTACCAGCCATGCACAGGCTGTATCTCCACAATACCTATTTATGAGAGCTGGCCAGAAACAGGGTAGAAATAATTCATGTATACAGGAAGAGAAGCTCTGACCTTGGCATGTTAACTCTGCCAAGCAGCCTGTGGTACAAACATTTTAAAGGAAGTAATAGCCAACAACAACAAAAAAATAAAATTTAAAAATAATAAAAGCTCTTAATAAAAACCATGAACATAAATTTCCCACAGCAGCCATAGCATTCAGATTATTCAGGGTGATTTTATAATTTTCTCTGTTAGGGTTATTTCTGCTCATAATTTGGTGAACCTTTTAGTTTATCCTGACAGAGATGTCTTAAGGTGGCTTGCTTAGGAGCTTTTCTACTTTCCTTCCACCCTCCCTCTCTCTTCTGTGGCCAGGTGTCCTTCGCTGTCATAGAGGTGGCCCATTGCTGGTTTTACAGGCGTTCCAGGTCTTAGTTCTGTCAGCTAGCTGTTCTGAAGGTTTAAACTTAAAGCAAATCTGTGCCAGGGGAATGGTGAGAAAGAAAGTATGACCCTGGAAGGAGAAGAGTGCACATAGAAGGCAGTCACTGGGGAGGGAGTGATGGACCTCGAGGGGAAAGAAGCCCGTGCTCCACTGCCCTATTCTCCAGGTGCACACCACATTCCTGCTCACACCAAACTTCTGGTGGATGCCTTTCCATGTTTTTCTAGCTCAAGCGTTTGCTGTCAGATGTCTTCTGAGGTCATCATCTTTGACTCTTCCTGAAATAATATGTACTCGTTTTTCTTCATTCATCCCATAGGAAAGGAAGTTTGCTGGCAAAGGAACAGAATATTCCCTTTGAGGTAAAATTCATAGTGAATATTTAAGGCACCTCAGCATTCTCTTTATAGAAAAGTGAACACAAAATTCCATTTTCCCTATAGGATCTGGGAAAGACATATAAATGATCAGACAGTCTAGCCTGGAATTAAGGGACATTAGGAAGATTTGGCCATGAATACATCTGACTTTTATGTAACATGTTATTAGCAATGTTATTAATGGACAAATTTAGCATATATGATCCCATTTTGATTCCTATTAAAATGTTGAGAAATACTTGTACATGTAAGTAAATTGAGGATCAGAGGTCACATGATTTTCCCAAAGTCACATAGCTAAGGAGTGGCAGAGCTGGGTGTAGACATTTACATCTAGCTCCGTTTGTGTCCAGTGTGCTTTTTGCCTCAATACATGGAGTATAAGAGTACAACTAGACTAATGGGATCCAAATGTAGCAATGTCAATGGGGATAAATTCATAGACAAGAGGACAAGTCACACTATAGAAATGTGCAGACCCTGCTACTTGAGTTTTAAAACTACGTGTTAAGAAATGGTCCAGCATCTGGGGTGGAGCTGGAGGTGTGGAGGCTGGTTAGCCCAGACTGTGACTGGCTATTTCAGTGTAACATTTTTCTGTGATTAGCAAAAATAGAAGGAAGAAAGGAAGGAAAGGAGAGAGGGAAAGAAAGATAAAGGGGGGAGAAAGCTTTCTTGTATCTTTCTATACTTATAATTCCTGTTATCACACACACACACACACACACACAAACACACACACACACACACAAACACACACACACCCTCTCTTTTCAGTTAGGAACTCAGAACCTATCTCCTCAAACTGTGAGGAAAGAACATGTTTCTTTGAATTACAAAGGCCATAACTACCTACAGAAACAGCTGTCTAGGTCCTCATTGCATGGAAGGGATTTTCGAGGAAATAGTCATCTTCTGAATTAAAAGCTTTTCTAAAATCAACCATCATGGCAGTGGCACCGTATCCCTGCAGCCCCATTGATCAGACATCTGTTGGAGGTGCAGAGAAATGTCAAAACACTGAGGGGAATTTAAAATAGCTGACCTACAAAAACAGCTCTTAAACCTTAGTGGGACAGTAACATGAAAATTTAACTGCTTTATTTGAAACACAAGCAACCAAATATTTTATGAACTCAACTAGCTAAGGGAGAGGAGTTTTGAGATCTTACATAAAATGAGATAAATTAAACTCAATTAAGTTAAAAAAAAGTATAAGAAAGAAAAAGTAGGAATAAAATTCAACAATAAGAACACTGATCTTCAAATTCATCATTGCTGCATCAGTGTTTCCTCACATGTGGCTGTGAATTTCAACTGTAGTATTTGAGTTAATTCAGAAGGGATGAGTATTTTTTTGTTTAAATAATCATCTATTTTTATAGTTATCTTCTACTTTTGGGAAGTGGCACAACTTACATTTATAGTAATGATACGAATTTTTTGATACATATATTCTTAAAGATTATTTCAAAAATTAGTATAGGTGGTATACAGATGTGGCAAAATTGTTACAGTACTACTTGAATGAATGAAATTTGGGAAACATTTCCACAGGGCAAAGTGTTCTTCTCCCCCACCCCAGCCCCAAAATCATGGTGTTTGAGGTTGACCCACCTTCCCTTCCTTTTCCCTCCTCACCTCTCTGCATTCAGCCTCCATGCCCAATAATTGCAACTAACTATTCTCCAGCACCTCTTGTGCTTTTATGCCTTAAGCCCTGTCTTATGCTTTTCTCTTGACCTTGGATTCTTGAACTTGTCTTTTGACACACAGTTCAAAAACCAAGAGAAACCATATTTTGGTCACCTCTGCCCAGTGCAGTGATTTATCTAAATAAATTTAAATAAATATTATTCCCCCTTTCTGTGCCTTTGTTTCTTCATCTGTAAAATGGGGATTATAATAGCACCTACCTCAAACTGTAAAGTTTTAATTTTGTTAAAACTAAAATTATAATTCATGTAAAATTCTTAGCACAATATCTGACATGTAGCAAGTGCTACTCTCGTGTTCACTATCATTTTACTTGAACACATTTTAAACCAATGATAATACAAATGAAATTAGATTCTAGAAAACAGGAAAATGGAAAAATTGACCATACTTAACTACACAAAGACACACACAAACTAGTTGGGTTTTGGCCTTAGTCACTAACAGGAAGAAACTAGAAAACAGTATATAGATTTTTGATGTGCCTAGTTATAAATTTGAAATGAGCAAGCTTTTTTCCTTCATTCTAAAATGACTTTTTGCACAGGGATTTTTAAAAGGTGAGTCTTAATTAATAATAAAATACTGACAAAGTCTACAGCATAGCACAGCAGCCCATGCTGGGCCTATCACTCAGAAATCAGGCAATTAGAAACCCCTCAGTTTTGATATAGCACATTGTGGGTTCTCAGTAACCATTAAATTACAACCAAAACACATTAAGCAATAATCACAGTTTATGAAACCTTATAGTGTGTCCTTGTGCTATTTGATCTACTTGGGTGTTGTTTCACTGTAATAAACCACCATGTTGTGGTTGATCTTAAAGAATTGCCAATTTTCCCTTTATGTCTTCCTTATTCTGCAGCAGATAGATTAGCTCATAACCATTAAAAAAAATTCCTTCTGCAAGGGAAAGTGGTTTAATGTCAAAAGACATGCCCATAGTCATGGTTAGTCATAGTTGAACATAAAGGGGATGGCGGTGAAATGGTAGGTGAGGGGAGTGGTGAATGGTCTTAACAACAGACAACTGAATAGCGTTTCACAGTTTACATCAGAGGTTCTCAAAGTGTGGCCCCTGGACCAACAGCATTAGCATCACCGGGGAACCTACTAGAAGTACAGATTCTCAGCTTCTACACCAGAAGCTCTAGGGATGAGGCCCAGTAATCTGAGTTTTGACCTATAAAACATAAG
This sequence comes from Homo sapiens, assembly GCF_000001405.40. Taxonomy (NCBI): domain Eukaryota; kingdom Metazoa; phylum Chordata; class Mammalia; order Primates; family Hominidae; genus Homo; species Homo sapiens. The sequence goes on along the minus strand of NC_000012.12, from coordinate 13,662,982 downwards.
GGCCGCTGATCACAGACATTTCCTTTTCACAAGGAGAAGTATCTGCTTAATAGATATTTAAGGCTGCCACTCTGTCATTGTTCTCTGTTCTCATTTTATTTTCCAGCCATTAATTTTATAATAAAACTGAATCTTTATCCTTTCATAAAGTGGAGGACAGAGCCAGTAGCCCAGTAAGAAAAAGTTAAAGCCTGCCCTACTCACTCCAGAAGATTCTTAATTACCTGATATCTTCATGTAGTTGCTCAAGACATTCCCTGACACGAGGCCGATTGGGTTTATGCATTTGGCGAATATTTTCCCGAGCCCCTACTAAGGGCTGGGCACTATTCTAGGTGCTGGGGAAACAGTATTGAACAAGACCAACAAGTTCCCTTCCTCAAGGAGCCTGTGTCTTGGTGAGTGGGGCCAGACAACAAACATATAAACAAATCAATACATATGATCATTTCAGATAGTGCCATATACGCTTAAGGTGGTAAGACAGGGTGCAGTGGCTGTCAGACTCTTAAGGCCAGTCTCAAAGGGGCTTTTGATAGATTTATCATTTTAAATAAGTTGCTAGTTAAATTTCTTCAGAGTATGTTCAGCAGCTGTCATAAGAAATTTCACTAGCAACTTATGTAAGAACTTTCCAAATTATGTCCACAAGTCCTCTGCCTAAATTGTATACAGATTCTGTGTTGAGGCTACAGGCCCACTTTGAGGCCACAGGAGAAATATGAGTAGTATTTTATCTCCCATTTTTTTCTCGCTGCTAGATTTTAGAGAATGGGTATGGATTTATATAATCTGTCACATCAGGCTATGAACATTACAATATTTATGCTTGATTTTTCCAAAAAATCAAGAAGCATTAACCTTCATTGTTTAATAAGAACTGCATTTAGTGAGTTACCTACTCTAGCCTACTGTTCTAAGTGAGCATGGCATCTTTTGGCTTTCTTTCACAGCTGTTACGGAAATTACTTCACTTCCTTGTCTCCAGTTGACCCTGTACCATCGAATGTGACACAACATGGGACCTGGTGAGGGTGTATAGGAAAGGTCATAAACTGGCAGTCAACAGACTACTTTTGGGCCATCGACATGTTCTATACGGCCTAAAAGGTATATTTAAAGATTAAATTGGTTTCTAAAATTTAAAAATTCAGATTCCCATAGAACTCCAGATTCTGGATTTCCTGAAAAATCAGAAGATGGGCAACACTGCGTTCACATTCTGCGGGGCCGCCTTTGGTTGGAATACATGCTGTCCAGTTCATCTCAGCCCCCTGCAAGTGTCCCACCTCTTTCATTAATTATCTACCTAGCCCCTGCAGACACTGGAGTTTGCAACTCCTAGAACACGGATGAGTTCGAAAAAGAGTCATTCCCTGCTTAAAATCTAAAATGGATACCTTAGAAATGGGTAGATTTAGGATTAAGGGATTGGGCATTTATGGAGCTGACACAGCCTTTTGATTGCTCCTGCAGTTTACCTTGGAGTCTCTAGGGGGCAGCTGCGAATTCTGAGCACTGCCTTGGAAATGCAAGCACACGGAGCAATTACAGTTCTGTGTTGCACGGAATCTCCAGATGTACCCTGGAAGTGTAGAAGGCAAAAGGCACTACTTGTCTGAAGGGGGTTTTCTGTTTGTCAGACAATGAAATACAGAAATATCGACTTTTAATGCATTTAAAGGTTTTAGGCACATGAGGAGTGTGCATTTGTCTTTTTTCTTGGCAGAGTAACAAATAATCCTAACTGAAGGAACACCCGGAATGGCTTCACAGGCATGAGCTTTACAGAGAATTGGAGTGATCCAAGGGCATTTACCTAGCAAAGAAAGGAAGGCTTCAACAGAGAAAAAGCTCAGCTAGAGGACTAGGAGAATGAAGGAAAGGGGCTGGGTAAATGAAACATGTGAATATAGGAAAAACTGAAATTAGAAATGAAGGCAGGGCCAGAATGTTGCATCTTAAATGTAAGAATGGAAAACTGACAGCAATTAAAAACAGAGTGATATAGTCTAAAAGTGTAGAGAGAAAGCTTGATGATTTTAAGTCATGCTATACTGATTAAACTGTGGAGAGAGAGGAGGAAAAGCAGAGTCAAGAAAAGATGAGGTTGAAGTTGTCAAAGCAGAAGAGCCGTACTCAAGAGGCTTTGAACAGTCTGGCTAGAAGCGAAGGGAAGTTAATAATGACAATAATTACACGTGTATCTTTATATTGTGCAAGTGCTAAATAAGGATGCAAAGGAAGTGCTTAGTCTCTTTTTGGCGATTTTAGATCCCTTCATCCCACCCCAGAAGTTAGAAACACTTCATCTCAGAATGGAATTTCCTAATATTCATAGAACAACATTGACCATATAGCATTTTTCTACTCCACAAAGCTCTAGTGAACCTCTTCTTCTCTGATCCCCAGTGGTGTTTCTGCTTTTCATGTGAAAGCAGATTCTCAAAGTCCACGAGAAGGAGGCATTGCTTTTGCTGCCTGTATCCAGAGTTAGCACTTTTATCAATCAGTTAGCTTCAGTTCAATTCAACAAACCTAAACTGAAGGGCTCTTCTATGAAGGACTCTGTGCTGGGTGCTAAGAGGAAAATATAAAGGTAAATAGACACCCTGTTCTCAAGAAATGTACCCTTTTAACAGAGGGGTTAAGAAAATCACACAGGTATGATGCAGGGAAGAATATGATGTGGTAGGCAGCCGCTAAGATGACCCCCAAAGATTGTACTTCGTGTTATTCATGCCTGTGTGTGGTCCTCTCCCCCAGTTATGGGCTAAATTTAGCAACTTGATTATTTGGAAGAGAATAGTGAAGTGATGAGATGTCAGTTTTGAGATGTGCACATGAAAGGACTAGCTTCTGTATTGGGGCCCTCTCTCTTGCATCCCTTGCTCTAAGGGAAGCCAGCCACCTCGCTGTGAGCAACCCTGCCCAAGTGACAAGGAACTGATGTCCCTGAGTAGCAACAGATGAGGACTGGGGCCTGCCCGCTGCCATACAGCCCTGTATACAGCCCTGAGCCACAGGACCCAGCTAAAGCGTGTCTGGAAGCTGACCGACAGAAACTGTGGGATAATCAATATTTGTGCTTTATACCACTAAGTTTTATAACTTTTTACACAGCAATAGATAACTAATAAATGATAAGACAAAGGGGCTTATAAAAAGAAATTACATATCTGGTTAAGGGAATCAGGAAGGGTTTTGAGAAGAACATGATTTTATTGATAGGCTTTAAATGATAGGGAAGGTTTTAGAGGTGAGTAATATTGGAAGTGAGGATGATATTTCAGGCAGAGGGAGTAACAGGTGAAGTACAATATTTGTTTATTGAATAAGAGTTTTTTTTTAAAAAAATTGTCTAGGTGATAGGTACAAATAAGGGGGTAGAGAGACATCTTTAAGTAAAGATTGAGCTTAAAGAGCATTAGAAGCAAAGATAGTTTGAATTAACTCAAGAAGCAATCGGAAGCCATGAAATGTTTGTGAGTGGGAGAGTGATGTGATTATGACTTCTCTTCAAAAAATTCATCCAGCAGCTGTGATGGGGTGTAGGAACTTAGGTGCCTGCAGGAATGCCGCAGTCATCTTGGGCCTGAATGAATGTGGACAATCATGGAGCAGAGGTGGCTGCGAGAGTGATGGCAGAGGTGGAATAAATCTGTAACCTACTGGGAAAGATGAGACAATGACCACTGAAGAATTGAACTTCAGGAAATGGGACATTTATGGGACACTGGGACATCAAAACAAGGAACAAAATTAGTGACGGGGAAGCAGTTTCATGGGTTCAATTTTAGGATTTCTAATTCTGAGTTACTGTTGAGTCAGGAGGGAAGTAGAAATGTCAATTTGTGGTTCTGGTGTGAAGATACCACTAAGAATGCAGACTGAGGGATGTTCTCCACGGAGGGGATAATTGAAGGCTAGTGAGAAGATGAGTTTCTAACGAGAACAGAAGGAGAGGGAAGAGGACCAAGGACATGGGCTACAGGACATGCCTCTGGGTGGGTACAGGGTAAGAGGAGAGAGTGGAATCAGCAAAGGAAAGGGAGAAGTAGTCACCACCCAAGAGGTTGGTAGAGCCAGGACAGCCTGACAGCAAGGTGAAGGCAGGGGACTTTAAGGAGGAGAGGAGGGGATGAAGCCTGACTTCTCGGTGGTTCTCATTCATGCATCATTGGGAAGAAATGCTTCACAAGACCCCACCCCATCAAAAACAGACCATGCCAGGCAATCACAGAACAATGTAGCTCTGTTCTTTTACTCATTGTTTAAAACTCAGGCATTAGGGTTTTTCTTGACAATTTAAGGAATAGATGGACACAAATATTTTTACCCAAATATAAATTCTTATTGTTCTTCAGTGATGGATCTGTGCTCTTCAAAATCTATGTTTTTATTCTCCAGCTGAATTATTGGCCGCTTAAAAGACTCTTCTTAAGTGTAAGATCCTAAAGAAGGAAAATACCTTAAACCGTGGTCTTAAATGTATTCCATCTAATTATGAGGATCTCTTTTTCAGAATCTGAGGAATCCTGTTTCGTTTTCATTTCTCTTTTATGTAACGATATTTTGTTATTTGTGTCTGATGTCAAAAGTATAGCAGTCGTTCATTAAGGAAAAGTTAATTAGAGAAGAGCATGAAGAAAATAAAATCCACCCCAAATTCAACCACCCAGAGATAATTTGTTTATATTTTGATTTATATCATTTTAGTCCTTTTATCTTTATATTATAAATGTGTGGGTTGGCTTTTTAGCTTTTTTTTTTTTTAGATGGAGTTTTGCTCTTGTTGCCCAGGCTGGAGTGCAATGGCACAATCTCGGCTCACCGCAACCTCAGCCTCCCGGGTTCAAGTGATTCTCCTGCCTCAGCCTCCCGAGTAGCTGGGGGAGTACAGGCAGGTACCACCACGCCCAGCTAATTGTGTATTTTTAGTAGAGACAGGGTGTCTCCATGTTGGTCAGGCTGGTCTCAAACTCCTGACCTCAGGTGATCCGACTGCCTTGGCCTCCCAAAGGGCTAGGATTACAGGCGTAAGCCACTGTGCCCAGCCTATAAATGTGTTTTATAAAAACATGTGGGAATATTTTTATAAAATTGAGATAGTATTATACATCCTGTTTTATAATCTATAATCACAATATGCTGTGAATGATGTCATAAATATATTAAATCGTATAAACTAACCATTTATCTACTATTAAAATATATGAAATATCTAATCTCTGTCCATTATCTATTTAGATTCATGTATTTATCCCATGATTTTTAAATTTCTGCCCCTCTGTACTCCCCTCTTCCCTGCCCCCCAACACAAGGGGCAAATCTTGGTCATAGCTTATTGGTCTGAACGTGTTGTATTGATAGTAGGAAGATCTGGCATTTGTTGGCTTTGCCTTCTGCATCACTCACTTTTTAGTGAACTGCTGAAGAGCACACCAACAGGTGTCAGGGAACACCAAACACCTGCTTGTGTTGGCTCTTCCCATATCGCTAACATGAACTCTGCTCCTTCTCTAAGCAAGCACTGCCCTCCTGGGATTCCCATTGCAGCTACAAATCTGTCTCCTGGTGCTTTCTCTTAAATGCCTTTTTAAACATGCTTAATAATAGATGAGCACCTGGGCCCTTCTTCATGAAGGGGAGCTCTAGCAGCTTTTAGAACATGGAAAAGCTATTTGGCCCTTAAAAGCTGATTCTTGGAATATCCCCAATTCCCCAGGACACCATTCAGTAACCACGTGCTCCAAGACAGGAAGTGGTTTTCCTAGTGGGTTTTATTGCTCCACTTCCCCTTCACCTTACTTTTTCAATCCTGAAGATAACTTTTATTGACTCTTTGCAGTCAGTCAGCTGACTGGCAGCAAAGCAACTCCCAGGCCCCTCTCCTGCTCTCCTTCCCTACTCTGGCAATCCCATGCTGTGTGACTCAAGCAGGACATCTGTACTTGACTTGGTGCGATTGATCCGTTTTCTGAGTCCTAGTATCCCAGAAAGAAATGAGTCCCTTCCCCTTGGATTATCATGTCTTGGCTTTGCCATCCATCTAGTGGGTGACCTTGGACAAGTCACAAAATGTCCCTGGGCTTCGGTTTCCATCCATATCTATAAAACAAGAGGGTTGGATTAAATTCTTATGGTCCATCTAGTTCAAACAATCTGTAGTTTTAAGTACAGTTTTAGATTTTCCAGTGTTCTGACTATGGCGTATTTTTAGTGACATCTATTTATTCATTAGTTATAAGAATAGCTTATTTTTAGAACTTCATTTCTTAGATGGGGCAGCTCAGTCACTTGGTTCCATGGTCTTTGTTAACAGCTACCTTCCTGGGAAGGATGCTTGGAAGGGAGGTTGAATTTTTCCACTGTCCTCTTTCTTCTGCCTTTTTAGTAAAATTTAGTAAAATTCTCAGTAATAACAACCTAGAGCAGATTTCTTCAGAACCTTGCGACCAGCGATCAGAGAAAGACCTTTGACTCTCTTTGCTTTGTGCAGTTGACTTATTTGTGTCTCCTTCCTGGAAGAAACGTTGGTGATTCGAGTCAGGCTGAACTGCCTGCACATTGGTGTGTCATGGTTACGTGCACACAGAACACCACCAGTGTTCCCTACCCCACTGCAAAACAGTCTCTTTTTGTTTGTTCGTTTTATTCTGTGATCCTAGATACTGTTTTACGTGTGACCATTTGTCTCTTTCTCTGTAATCTTTTCCTTCAAAATTAGAAACAATTTATAGGGCACAGTGATGCTTTTTTTCCTTTTTATATTTTGAAATTATTATTGTATTCAGGAACTGAATCATATGTTCATGCTTTGGTTGACCATTCATTCAACAAATCTTTAATACGTTCCTACAGTGTGCTAGATTCTGTTCTCCAAGGAAGGAGATTGAGGAAGATGAGTGGAGAGAACTGACAGGCAGAGAAGCAAGAGAACGGAGAGGGAAAGGTAAAGAAAAACACTACAGGAGAAGCTAGAAGGGAGTGGAGGTGGAGTTTTCTCAAAAGAGGTAAGGAACAGCACAGACTCCATCTAAGGCAGAAGGCAGAGGAAATGAAAGTAAGGAATCAGAAAATTTAGGGAGTGTCAGCCAATCCTTCTTGTAAGACAATTCTCTCAAGCAACTGGAGCCCTGATTGACAGATAACAAAGTGTTAGTAATAGCTAACACTATAATATGTCTACAGTATGTCAGTATTTATAGGTCAGGCACTGTTCTAAGCAGATCACTTACATTAACTCATACAAATCCTCACAACATTGCTATGGAGTCAATATTTAATATGACAAAAACAAATATAGGCCAACAACATGAGGCCCAGAGAGGTTTAGTGACTTTCTGAAGGACACAGCTAGTCAATGGAAGAGCCAGGCGTTGGACCATGCAGTCGAATTCCAGAGACTATGCTGACCTCCCATGCACCACTGAATGTAACACAGAGAAAGGTCTGGTCCCATTCTCATTCTATTGAGGATGCAGTGGGGATTAATCTGCAGTAGCTTCTAAGTGTCCTAATGCCCATTTTCCTTCTCAGTCAATTCTTACCGCTGTAAAATTCAAGCCTCATACTTGATGTTTGCTGACAGCAAGAATCTGGCCAGCATTTTTGCTTTAGCCTTAGGCATGGCTTGAGTATCATCATGACTGGTTGGGCTGGGTGGTTCTATTCTGGGATGAGGTAGGTTAGGAGAACAAGCTTGAAAAGATGTGGCTTTTGACTCACTGGTTTTCTTGTACATGGAAAGAAGTATAAGAATTTTACGGCTTTTGAATGCCTTTGGGTAATCTTGTGCTCGGTGGGTTTTTTGGTTGAATGTTGATTCTCTCCAAATGATATGCAACTACCACCCTACTAAGTCTTAACTTCTCTGGGTTTCTCAAAAGTGTTACACTGGCCCAACTCAGGGAATTACTAATTCACTTCTTTTACTCATAGGGAGAAGGCTGTGGAAGACTGACATTTTTCAATTCCATTTCTTCCGTTGAAATATTGTTTTTTGTTCTCCTGGGTTCCTGTCCTTTCTAACAGGTGTAAGCCTGTTTCTCCTGCTTGTAAAACCTTCAGTGAAGTAGCCAGAACCTGAGACAGAATATTATCCTCACCCTGAGAGCTGTTCTGAAACCTTAGAATGGGCTTTGCAGAACTGGAGGCAAATCTAGCTTTTCCTCATTGTAATTGCCATTGTAACAGGTGAACAGAGATGCCAGGACCTGAGTTATCTGGACAATACCACCTGAGAAGAGCAAAACACACCAGCAGGATGGCCAGAACTGGACTTTGGGGCTTTTAGCAGTTTCATCTATGAAAGAAAAACAGAGTCAGCACTTTTTGTATACAGGAACTCAGTGAAAGTAAATTGTTGGAAACAGAACCATTTGACGCATTGGCAGCCAGCAGTTTGGGGGAGCCAGTCCTAAGACTGTTCTGTATATCATTGCATTGGCATTAACCTGTAAGGCTATTATCTGAAGGTTTAAGCAGAGACCATCAGAGTCAGCAATGGGTTTCTTAAAAGATGTGCTTCCTGTCAAGATTTTCACTTTGGTTTTTCATATACAAACAAGCAAACAGAATTAGTTAACCATTGTTGGGGTCTTTCATTCTTCTGTTTCCTGCCACTTCTCAACATGCACACATTTTCAAATATTTTCCTAGAGCTTCTTTGCAAAGAGCCCAGGGAAGCTTTTCTTTCCCTTGCCACCTCCTCCCTTTTCTTCCTATCTGGCCCTGCAGTGAGCTTCTCATTACACCTCTTATCATAATAATTCCAGAAATAACATCTACCTTTTCTGTCATGCCTTTCATCGGAGGATTCCCATTGAGCCACTCTAGCAGTGAGGGCTATTCAGCAGCCCACCCCTGGCACAGCATTCCTCTGCTTTTGGGTCACAGACAGAAAATACTGGAAGCATAGGTACAGCCTTTTTGGATTTTGAGAGTCAGAAGGGAGTGCAGAAAGGAGGTAGCAGAGTTGCATAACATTTTTTTGTGATTTTTGACAAAAATCAGATACTTAGTCCTAAGACTGGCTCAACAAATAGAAATTTTAGTGTGAACCATAGGCCTGTACTGCAGAAAAGAGGAAAGATGGACAATTAATGTTACCAATTAGTGGTTATAGATGAAACATGCCTACTGAAAATGGGTAGAGATATACTTATGTGAAATAGTGGATGTAAAGCTGTGGTGTTAGGTGAGCTCCCACCATATACACTTGAAGAGAATGAAAGTCGCCTACTGAGTTAATATTGTACTGTGTGCTTCCATTATAATTGCCCTTCCTAATGCCATTTGTGATTTCTTATGTGTAAATTTGTTAACTTACTGACATCTCTCTGACATTTGATACTGGGGACCCCTATCTCCTTGCAACTCCTCCTTTTTTTCTGTTTAAGTCTCTCCTTTCTCTGCTGGCTTTTTTTCTCACTCCCCCTCCCCTTACCTTCCATCTTTACTCCCACTCTGCCTTCCCTTATTTATTGATGTACTCCAGGGTACCGTTTTTGATCTTCTCATCTTCTCAGAGACCCATCTACACAGACTTCATGAAAAATGCCTGTCTAAAAGTAATGCCTTTCAAATCTGCATAGCCTGATATTTCTCCTGAACCCAACTTAGATGACCAACCCCCTTCTTTTAAGCCTTAACTTTTATGTCTCACAGAGACCCCAAGCCCACCAAACTCAAAAGTTAATGCCCCATTTTCTCCCCTCTCTTTCCAACATGCTTCTCCTCTTGTATCGATGTTGGCATCACAATCTACTTAACTGTCCAAGGTAGAAAGCTGGGACTTGCTAAGTGATTCCTCTTCCTCATCTATCCATCTCTTTGATCTACCATCTCTTCTTTATTTTCTCTTTTATCGCCTTTGTCATTGATTGCATGAATTACTGCAATTTCCTTCTTTCCTTGACTCTAATCTAGCCCTTTTCTAATCTATCCTTCACACAGTGTCAGATGGATCCTCCTAAAACATAAAATTATTCATGTCAGTTCCCTGACTAAAACTCTGCAATAGTGCTCCAGTGACATCAAGATGAAAACTCAAAGCCCCGCTAAGGAGCTTCCATTTCTATTTTCTTTGTTAACAGCTACCTTGCTGGGAAGGATAGTTGGAAAGGAAGTTGAATTTTTCCACCGTCTTCTTTCTTCAGCCTTTTTAGTAATTCTCAGTAATAACAATCTAGAGCAGCTTTCTTCAGAATCTTGCTACTGAGTGATCAGAGACAGACCTTTGACTCTCTTTGCCTTATGCAGTTGAACCATTTGTGTCTCCTTTCTGAAAGAGACATTGGTGATTGGAGTTAGGCCGCCTGCCCATTGGTGTGTCTTGCTTGCCTCTTCCTTCTCTTTTTCCATAATTTCTTAACTTATACCCATGCATAATAAATTGATTATGGTTCTTTGAATCTACCATACCTTCCTCACCTCCTTGCACTGCACATGGTTTCCGCTTTGTCTAGAAGGGCCAATATTCCTCCTCCTACATCAGACTGTTAGCACTTGGCTAACTCTTCACAGTTCTTGAAGGCTCAGTTCAAATGTTGCCTTCTCTGGCAAGCTTTTCCTGACTTCTCTGCGGCCTCCATTAGAAACAGATTAGGTGTTTCCAAACTAACCAACACACTTCATCCATGCATTTATTACACCATATTGCACTTGCTCATGTTTACTTGTACCTCTTCTCCAGAGGATACAGAGAGCCTCTCCACAGAGGCTGCAGAGAGGTCAGGAAAAGCTTGCCAGAGAAGGAAACATTTGAAGTGAACCTTCAAGAGTAATGAAGAGTTAGCAAAGTGCTAAAGTCTGAGGTAGGAGGAGGAAAAGTGGCCCCTCTAGACAAAGCAGAAACCATGTGTAGTGCAAGGAGGTGAAAAGGGTATGGTAGATTCAGAGAACCATAATACATTTCTTATGGATGGGTATAAGTTCCCTAGAGTGGGAACTGACTCTTTAGTCTCTAGATTCCTAGTGCATGATGCAGCCTAGAACACAGTAAATGCTCATTAAATGTTAAATGGATGAACAGATCAAATCCTGTTCTCATTTAATTCTCATAACTCATCTTACTGGATAAATATTATCCTAGTTTTATAGATGAGGAAACCAAGATCTGGAGAGGTTAGATGACTTTTTCAGGATTACGCAAATATCAAGTCAGAGAAACGTGGATCTGTTCAAACCTCATGGACATTTCGCATAGACCACTGGACTAATTTCTGTTTACTGGCACTAGAAAACAACTTCTGATATAGGCTGTTTTCTAGCTTAGTTATGAGACAGGTAGAGAAGGGTTCATATTAAGGAGTTAGGGTTAGAGTTACACTGAGTGGGAAATATCAGCAATGGATTCTAAGCCCAGTAAAATGGATGGACATTATACTTGCCACTATTTCACTTCCAGAATTTCTACAAATGCCTATAAAATCAACACCAGCCAATCAATCAGCTAATATTCATTGAGCCACCATTTTATGCTGAATATAAAGGTAGTGGTGCTATTTTTTGACAAAGTTTACACTGAGATATTTTTCTTTCCCGTCTCATCTCTGTTTCTTTTCCCAAAATAATTAAACTTCTTTCTAGATTCTTGTCCCCACTGGGTTGGGGACAGATGTTGGAGGCCCCGCTGTCTACACATGGCTGCTGATTAATTTTATTGACCACATGCCTGGTTTTAATGCAGGACAGACTCCACTATCAAAGACCATTCCTGGGCCCACATTGCCCTTGTCATTTCTTCTCTTTTCTACCATAGGCCATCCCTGCCTGAGGTACTAGACCTTGGGAAGATATAAAACATCTTAGGCCTTGGCTTTTGAGACAATCAGATGTATTCTTGCTATCTCTCTTGCCCCTTTTCTTCTAGCACTGGCAGGTATGCTTCAAATTGGACTTCCCTCTCATTTAGTGGAAAGATCCCAGCACAGATTTGCAAGGTAGAAGAGCAGAGAGTAAGAGGCCATATGAAGTCCTTTAGGTTAAATGGTATTCTCTAACTCAGCTTTGACCAGAGAGTTCTGCATTCATTTATTTACTTAAAAAAGTTTGTTCAGCACCTACTATGCACCAGGAACTAATCTACTACTCGAGCACCAGGGTTCAGTAACAAAAAAGACAAAAATGTATGCCTTCATGGAGTATTCATTCTAGCAGGAAAGATAGAAAATGTTGGGAATAAGTAAATTATACAATATAATTATACATCATACAATTTGTTAGACAGAGATAAGTGTTGAAGAGATAAAGCAAGGGAGGAGGTCTGAAATGTTACAGGGAGTGTGTTGACATTTTAAGTAAGGCAGACCTCATTGAGAAGATGGATTAGGAGTTACTGAACTGAATGAGGTGGGACTTTTTTCCCCCATTTGCCAATTGATGTTCATGGGATATAATTTCTTGTTCAGAACTCCAGCAGAAAGAAAGGGTGGCTGGTCGTCCTGAATCTCTACCTTTTAAGATTTCATGGGTAAGATAAATCAACACACATGTAAAGGGGATTTTCTATCATCTTAGTGAGAAGGCACACACTATGGTCTGCTGAATTGTAAGTGAGTGAGAGAAGGTCCCTACTATGGGGACAGGGCAGACTTCCTGTGATCTGATTGGTGTCCTGAAAGAAGAGAATTTACATTGACAGAGGGGAGGAAGGGGACAGGTTTCAGGCAAGATAATGCTGCGAAGGAAGGAGGGAAGCACATGACTGGGCATGTGGAGAAGGCATGTGGAATACTTTCATATGAAGGGAGTGTCCACATGGAGGAGAGGAAGGAGTGAAAGACCAAGGTTGGCATAATTATTGGGAGATGAAGAATATCAAATGCCTAGACTCTGGAGGGCCTTGACTGCCAAGCCAAAGAGATTTCTTCCTCTTTCTGCTTTGTTCATAAGGCAAACTCTTCCAGGAACCATCAATCGAAGGAGCCTGGGCAGTGCAGGGCATCTACCACACAGCATGGTGTATAGTGGCTGCTCAGTGAACACCTCCGAAGCTTCTGTTGAAGTGAATTGCTGGTTCTCTAGAAGGAACATAGTAATGTGTATAGTTTTCAAATTCTTAATCATGTAGTTTATGCTCACATAGAAATGTTAAACTGTTAGCGCTAGAAGGGTACTTAGAATATGTATCTTCATCCTTCTATTTTGCACATGAGAAAACCAGGGGGCCAGAGGTTTGAATGATTTAGTGCAAGGTCATACCACTTAGTTATGCAGAAGATGGGGCTCATCTTCCAGATTATTTTCCAAGCAGCTTCTTCTGGGGACATTTTCCCAAACAGTCTGGTGTCCACTGGTATGATATCTTGATATAAATATCAACTTGTATTCAATGGACCCTAACCCCATGTGATCTACAATGAAAAACTGGTTTCTATCAAGTTAACTTGGGAAATGCTGTCTATTATATTATCATCTCGAAGAGTTAAAATGCACATTAAAAAATGTAGGCTCTAAGATTCCTGTAGTAAAAAAAGTTGCTTAATTTCACTATAGCATTTATCCAACATATTTTACTATGATTTAATTTTTTCCCTGAATACCTGTAATCTTGTGGAAGTGCTCATAGGAACCAATTGTAAGCTGTTCTCAGCACCAGTTGACCTCTTGCTAAAAGGAAAGAAGAAGGTATATAACAGAGAAGCTTCAGCCGAAAACCTAAAACACTCAAGGAAAATAAGGCAGTAGAGAAGAGCGAGTCCCTCCCACTTCTATCTTCTGTCTTCTCTCCCTGCCTGCCTTTGTTCCTTCCTTTGATAAATTACTTTTGAGCATCTACTAGATGCAAATCCTCATGCTACCGGCTTCACATACATTATCTTGCTTATTCCTAACAACCCCTGGCAAGATCAGTAATATTCCCTCCAAATGAGGAAGCTGAGCTCAGAGGTAGCAGGGAATTGCTCAAGGTTTCACAATTACACTAGTGGCAGGGCCCAGATTCAAACCAGTGTGTGATTAAAGCCAGTATTTTTGTCCATTGTGCTATTTTTTCCCAGGCTATTTCTTCTTATCCCTCTTTCTTCTCCTTCTCTCCCTTGTGATGTCAACCACACATAGCACATATGTTAAAACCAATATCCTAATAAATTAAAGAAGATACTGGACCCTCAAGGAGATGTAACAATAAGGCTCCTACAGCTCCTATGCCTCTTAGGTATTTAATTTAGCATGTAATTTAGTATTCCTTAACTAGATCACAAGATCCTCCAGGGCAGAGATTTGTTATACTTATTCTAAAGTCCTCACTCCACACTTCCTGTGATTGCCTTCTGCTTGGAAGGTGGAGATGATAAAATCCAGAAATGTTCATTGAACTCATGGTCCTTTCAACTGGACCCTGCCTATTGTCAAAGGCGCTAACTGCAATAAGGTCTTTCATCAAAGGAGAAACTGCTTTCTCTGTGGCAGTGGGAGGAAATTTTAAATCCTAGGACTTCTTATAGCAAGTGACACCTTGCCCCTTAAGCTTTTCACACCTGCTGCCTGGTCTTCCAAGTGACTTAGTGTCACCTACTTGGCTGCGTTAAAGCCAGTGCCAGCTGTGCCCTTCATCATTGCTTGCTCCAAAGAGGCTAATTCCAAATGTCTGTAAGGTTGTTTAGTTATTAATGTTTATACTTCTCTATGCTACTGGATTAGATACTCTAGGAGGGTGAGAGCTATGTAAAACTCACCCTGTGTTTCCCTCACAGCACTCAGCCCTGGGCCTGGCATGGAATAAGTTCTCAACTGTCCGTTGAGCTTTTTCTGAAACTGTGCTTTAGAAATTCAGCAATATGATAGACTAGATAGAGCTAGGGTTTATACTACTCCGTATGTGCTCTCATGTAATTTGGCATGTCAATATTTTGATACACCTAGTTTATTACTGTTCTAGTGATTTAACTGTGGCCCATATATAATACAGTCCAATTTGGTCCAACAGCAGACAGGCCCAGCCAAGCCTCACCAATGAATTTTCAGCCTTTATAATCCACATCAAACAGACAGCCCCTAAGATATCTCAACCAATGCTCTCTGACTCGTCAAGCTCAAAGTCATCCCACTGCCAGCGTCCTTTCATCCAACTGAAACCAATAGTATTGAGGAGAAGCTGCGGGATTCATTAACCCAGAGCATGGAACCTTATTCATAGGCCCTAGGCTTCTGCCTCTGGGGTATTCCTGGTGAGAGGCTCATTATTTGTGACCCTCAGAGCTTTTTCCTAGGTGGAGCAGTTATCTTTTGGAAGACATTCACTGAATTCCCCTTTTGAGTGGGTGTGGACCTCTCTTCAATGCTAGTCAGGCTACCCCTCTATTCTATTCAGCCCCTTTCCTCTCCTCCTCTCCGCTCTTTCAGGGGTAAGAGGTGGGCAGCATTCCTTAACACGATGGCCAGGGAGGAGGGCATGGGGAGAGGAACAGACTACTTCAATTATTTTTAACTTCAAGACCATATACATTATGGGTTCAAAATCACCAGAAGTCATATTGTAATCCATACATAGTTATATTCAGTCAACAATGAAAGTTAATGAGAAGAGAATTGTGGAAAAGCAACATGGTGGATTGGACAGCATTTAACCTTTGGGCTTCAGGAGGACTTAAGTTTAAGTATGAGTCCTGTTGCTTTATGGGTTGTGTGACCTTGAACAAACTTACTCAAATTATCAAAAGCTCACATACTTAAGTTCTCCAAAGCTTAATTTCCTCTTCTATTAAAAAGAGATAACAATTGTATTAATTTTCTATTGCTGCATAATAAATTTCCATCAACCCAGTGGCTTAAACAGCACATACTTCTTATATCACAGTTTCTGGGGGTCAAGACTCCAGGCATGTCTTTAACTGGATCTTCTACTCAGGGTCTCAAAAGATGCAACCAAAGTGTCAGCCCTGCTATGTTTTCATCTTGAGGCTTGAGTGAGGAAGATGCTACTTCTAAGTGTCTGCTGCTCATTGGCTGAATTCATTTGCTTGTGGCTATTTGGCTGAGGTTCTTACTGGGTATTGACTGGAAACAACCCTCAGCTTTTAGAAACCACTCACAGCTCACAGCTCCTGGCCATGCGACCCTCTTCATAGGTAGTTGACAAATGGCTGTTTACTTCCTCAAGGCCAAGAGGAGAATCTCTTTCTCAAGTGTGTTAAGAAGAAATTTTGTGGCTGGGTGCAGTGGCTCACACCCGTAATCCCAGCACTTTGGGAGCTGAGGCAGGAGGATAGTCTGAGCCCAGGAGTTTGAGACCAGCCTGGATGACATAGTGAAACCCTGTCTCTAAAAAATGAAAATAAATACGGAAATAAGAGAAGAAGGAGAAGGAGAAGAGGAGGAGGAGGAGGAGGAAGAAGAGGAAGAGGAAGAAGAAGAAAGCGAAAGCTTATATAACATGACATAATCATGGGAGTGACATTATATCACCTTTGCGATTAAAACATAACCTAATTAAGGGAGTGACATTGTATCACTTTTCCATATTCTATTGTTTAAAAGAAAGTCACAGGGAGGGGATTACACAGGGCAGTAACCCAGTGTGGTCCCCTTTGGGTGTATCCACAATAATATCTACCACTTTTTATTACAGTGAGGATTTAAACAGCTGATGTATGTAAAACATAAAAGGAATGTCAGTGCCTTTATTCCTGTATATGGGAGACACACTAAGGCAGGTATTCTTAAAGAAGAGGAGTCAAAGACAGTAGATAGAGTTGGAGGAAGAGAAATGGGTAATAAAAGAAAAGCTTAGCAAGGAGAGTGCAGATGCTTCTATTCCAAAGCTTGTCATTAGAAATGTTGCATATATGTCTTTGAATTACTTTTTGTAAATCAGGGAGAGAAACTTCCTATCACTACCTCTCATATCTGCCGCTGTATCCAGCTCTTCGTTTTTGTTCCAGGTAGCAGCTGTTGTAGACTACTTACCAGTGAACACTGTCTGGGGAGTTAAGAAAGAAAAACTTTCAGTGTCCAAGGTGACTGACTAGAAGAATATAAATTTATGTGGTGAAATGATGCCTTTGAGTTTCTTCTAATCATTCCTCTCCAATTTACCTCTTTCTCTTTACTCTTCCCCAGATTCCACAACTAAGTCTTTAAGAGTCACCCCCTTCTCTTTCTGTTACTTAAACATTTATTTATGTAGAACTTGCCTTGAGGGAAAATGCGAGTGAATCAGAGAAATCAGTGAATTGGACAGGAGAAATGCTGAAGGAGGTCAGGGAAAGGAGTTGTTGACATCATTCCCTCTACCTAGAGGCCTAATCCCATATCAAGTGGGAAAGAAAATGAAAAACTAGGGTTTGGAGAGAAAAAAAAAAGGAAGAGGAGGAGGAGAAAGAAATTGTTTATTTCTCTGAAGAAATTAGCACAGGCACACCTGGTTTTATTGTGCTTCACTTTATTGCACCTCACAGACACTGTGTTTTTTACAAATTGAGCATTTGTGGCAGTCCTGGGTAGAGCAAGTCTACAGCTGCCATTTTCCCAACAGCATGTGCTCACTTCATGTCTCTGTGTCACATCTTGGTAATTCTCACAATATTTCAAACTTTTTCATTATTATTATATCTGTTATGGTGATCAGTGATCTTTGATGTTACTACTGTAATTGTTTTGGGATGCCACCAACCACACCCAGATAAGACAGCAAATTTAATTGATAAACATCTTATGTGCTCTGACTGCTCCAGCAACTGGCCTTTCTCCCATCTCTCTTCCTCTCCTTGGATCTCCTTATTCCCTAAGACACAACATTGAAATTAGTCCAGTTAATAACCCTTCAATGGCCTCTAAGTGTTCAAGTGAAAAGAAGATTTGCACATCTATCATTTAAAATCAGAAGCTAGAAATGATTAAGCTTAGTGAGGAAGCCTCATGGAAAACCTAGAAAGGCTGAAAGCTAGGTCTCTTGTACAAAACAATTAGCCAAGTTGTGAATGAAAAGGAAAGCTTATTGAAGGAAGCCAAAAGTGCTACTCCAGTGAACACACATATGATAAGAAAGCAAAGCAGCCTGATTGCTGACATGAAGAAAGTTTTCATGGTCTAGATAGAAGATCAAATCAGCCACAGCATTCCTTTAAGCCAAAGCCTAATTCAGAGGAAGGCCCTAATTCTCTTCAATTCTTTGAAGGCTGAGAGAGGTGAGGAAGCTGTAGAAGAAAAGTTAGAAGTTAGCAGAGGTTACTTCATGAGGTTTAAGGAAAGAAGCCATGTTCATAACATAAAAGTACAAGGTGAAGCAGCAAGTGCTGATGGAGAAGCTGCAGCAAGTTATCCATAAGATCTAGCTAAGATCATTGATGAAGTGGCTACACTAAACAACAGATTTTCAATATAGATAAAACAGCCTTCTATTGGAAAAAGATGCCATCTAGGGCCTTCATAGCTAGAGAAGAGAAGTCAATGCCTGGCTTTAAAGCTTTAAAGACAGGCTGACTCTCCTGTTAGGGACTAATGCAGCTGATGATTTTAAGTTGAAGCCAGTGCTCACTGACCTCTTCCAAAAATCCTAGGGCCTTTCAGAATTCGGCTTAATTTACTCTATCCATGCTCTATCAATGGAAAAACAGGGCCTGGATGAGAGCACATCTGTTTACAACATGATTTACCGAATATTTTAAGCCCACTATTGAGACCTACTGTTCAAAAAAGGAGATTCCTTTCAAAATATCACTGCTCATTGACAATAAATACATCTAGTCATTCAAGACCTCTCATGTGGATGTACAAGGACATTAATGTTTTTTCATGCCAGTCAACACAATATTCATTCAACAGCCTATGGATCAAGGAAAAATTGTAACTTTCAAGTCTTATTATTTAAGAAATACATTTCATAAGGCTATAGCTGCCATATGTAATGATTCCTCTGATGGATGTAGGCAAAGTAAATTGAAACCTTCTGGAAAGAATTTGCCCTTTTAGATGTCATTAAGAACATTCGTGATTCATGGAAGGAGGTCAAAATATTAACATTAACAAAAGTTTAGAAAAAGTTTATTCCGGCCCTCATGGATGACTTTAAGGAATTCAAGACTTCAGTGGAGGAGTTAACTACAGATGTGGTGGAAACAGTATGAGATCTGGAATTAGAAATAAAGCCTGAAGATGTGACTGCATTGCTCAAACTCATGATAAAACTTGAGGAAATGAGGAGTTGATTCTTACAGATGAGCAAAGAAAGTGTTTTCTTGAGATGAAATCTATTCCTAATGAAGATGCCATAACATTGTCGAAATAACGAAAAAGAATTTAGAATATTACATAAACTTAGTTGATAAAGCAGTAGTAGGGTTTGAGAGGATTGCCTCCAATTTTGAAGGAAGTTCTGTTGTGGGTAAAATGCTATCAAATAATGTAGCATGCTACAGAGAAATCTTTCATGAAAGGAAGAGTCAATTGTTGTGGCAAACTTCAGTGTTGTTTTATTTTAAGAAATCGCCATAGTCACCCCATTCTTCAGCAACTACTACCCTGATCAGTCAGCAGCCATCAACGTGGAGGCGAGATCCTCCTCCAGCAAAAAGATCACAACTCACTGGAGGCTCAGATGATCCTTAGCATTTTCTAGCAACGAAGTATTTTTAAATTAAGGTATATGAATTGTGATTTTAGACATAATGCTATTGTACACTTAACAGACTACAGTATAGTATAAATATAACTTTTATATGCACTTGGAAACAAAAATTTGTGTGACTTTTTTATCATAATACTTGCTTTATTGTGGTGGTCTAGAACCAAACCTGTAATATCTCCTAGGTACACCTGGTACTAAGAATTTGACTTCTTCAAAATTATTCTTTTCCAGACTCAGATTCAAGTATCCTTTAGAAAATAGCCTTTATATATTTCCTAAAGAAAATTATTTACACATTTCCAGTGTAAGAAATTTTAGAATAACTTTCGTCTTCACAGACTAAGTTGATGGTCATTCATCATTGAAAAAGAGACAGTTCTCTATTGTGTGGTGAGGCCTTTAATTGGTTGCTGCTATAATTGATGGTGTATTCTTTTGTGGCATATACTGAGTTTGAAGAATAAGCTAGGTAGCCATGCAATCATAGCATAATGGAAAGATTTCAGAACTCTACGTCCCAAAACCCAAAGCCAAGCCCCAACTCTGCCAAAGCCAGCTCCATGGCCCTGAGCAGTCACTAAACCAGTCTGGGCTTCAGTTTCCTCATTTTTCAAGTGAGAATTCTGAAATATCATATCGGTAGATGGGGACCTCATGAGAAAATAACAGTTATCAGAGTATCTGACACATAACCAGCATTCAAATATTTGAGCACGCACGGAGAAGGAATGCATAAGCAAATAAACATGCATTTTTGGCAAATGAATTCTAGGCAATATGCAAAGCTAGTCTAACTTTTACTTCTTAAATGTGTTTGAAGTTGTAATCTTATATGTAAGTGTCATGGGAATGCTTATAATCAAAGTATACATGTAATAATTAGCCACTGAGAATAATTAGCCCTTAAGAGAGAGTCATAGCTTCTTGGATCTGGAAGGCACATTTGATGAAGATAAGGTCTAGGCTGAGAAAGGTTTG
Organism: Homo sapiens; assembly: GCF_000001405.40. NCBI lineage: Eukaryota > Metazoa > Chordata > Mammalia > Primates > Hominidae > Homo > Homo sapiens. The sequence continues at coordinate 13,642,431 of NC_000012.12, read as the reverse complement.
GTGACTCACCCAAGATCATACGCTGAATAGCAGAGATGGAACTAGAAGCCAGCACCTTGCCTCCTACTTAGTGCTCCTTCAGCAAGGCAGAGTGTGCCCACAAGTGATTCTCAGGGAAGAATGGTGAAAATAGGTACTGACTTTCATAATCAAAATAATGAGTTGGGGTTTTTTTAAGTTACATTTTAGTTTAGTTTAGTTAGCTAGCTTGTTTGTTTGTTTGTTTGTTTGTTTGTTTGTTTTGAGACAGAGTCTCACTCTTGTCTCCCAGGCTGGAGTGCAGTGGCGTGATCTCGGCTCACTGCAACATCTGCTTCTGGATTAAAGCGATTCTTGTGCCTCAGCCTCCTGAGTAGCTGAAATTACAGGTGTGCGCTACCATGCCCAGCTAATTTTTTGTATTTTTAATAGAGACAGGGTTTCATCACATTGGCCAGGCTGGTCTCGAGCTCCTGACCTCAGGTGATCCACCTGCCTTTGCCTCCCAAAGTTCTGGGATTACAGGCATGAGCCATCACGCCTGACCTTAAGGTTACATTTTGAGAATGACTTTGATTAATTAAATTTCACTTGTATAGAAATACAGCCTTGAATTGCCAAAAATGTTAAAAATTCTAGCCAAGTAATTCCAGATGCTGAAGAAGGAGGCCTATATTTTCTAAACTGAACTTCATTAAAGCACCTGCCTATACATTTCCTCTAATGAGTAAACACTAAAAATGGTGCTGCACAGGGCTCAGTCCTGGATTCATTTCTAGTTAAGATGATCATCCATGACTTTGTTACCGAAACAGCATACTCATTAAGTTCATAGATGAGACTGAATTTAAAGTGTAGGCTAAAGTCTTGGGGGATGCAATTAGAATTGAAAATGACCTCAACAAATTGGACAAGTAATCAGAAACTAACAGGATGAAGTTCAATAAAGACAAGGGCAAAAGGAAGTCAAGAACTCAGAGAAAATAAAGACAGAGAAGTATAAGACATGGAAATGGCAAGTCAGGCTGAGAGCTACCCAAAGATACATGGGTTACCATGAACCTCAAATTAACGATGCAAGGCTGGGCCCAGTGGCTCACACCTGTAATCCCAGCACTGTGGGAGGCTGAAGTGGGAGGATCACTTGAGGTCAGGAGTTCAAAACCAGCCTGGCCAACGTGGTGAAACCCCCATCTCTACTAAAAATACAAAAATTAGCTAGGTGTGGTGGCAGGCACCTGTAATCCCAGCTACTTAGGAGACTGAGGCAAGAGAATTACTTGAACCCAGGAGATGGAGGTTGCAGTGAGCTGAGATTGTGCCACCGTCTGGGTGACAGAGCAAGACTTCATCTAATAATAATAATAATAATAATAATAAGCATGATACAATTAAGTAGCAGGGTTTAGCTTATATTCAGAGTTCTATGTTTTCTGGAAAGGAAAACTATGGTTCCGAAGTTTTTATGGAAGGTTTATACCCTAAATGGTTCTTCTCACAACAGAGTTGTGTCCACCAATAAGTAACCTGGTGTAACAACTAATGGTTACTATTGCTCACAAATTTTTAAAAACTTCAAATTTTTTTTAAACCTCATTATCTTCTGGTTACTTGGGTAGGTAATGAGTGCTGTCCTTACCTACTCGACCTAGGCTCCATCTCAATCACACATTTTGGTTCCTGCAGGTACAGGGAAATTTGGCTATGCCTTGGCCCTAAGCTTCTCATTCATAATAGATAGTTCAGAATGGTTCAAAGTATTTAATAGTGTTGTTATTACATTTTTTAGAATCAGCCATCACTGTGATGCTTGAACGTTTTGTCAACATGCAACATTCTGTAATGTCTAGTTATTTCTACTTAAAGCCAGATTCGGAATAAAGGAGCATAGAACATGAGGAGAATCCAGTCAAAGACAAACTATACAATAGAGAGGGGGAATGAATTGGATGCTGAGCCAGGACCAGAGACAACAGCTATGGGGAATAACAGACAGAAGGCAAGATCAATGTGTGAGACAAGATAGGCTTAACAATAGCAGGGCAAGGGGCAGTATGGAAGCAGGGGTTTTGACTATCACTTATGAACGTCCTACTTCCAGATAAAGTCCTAAACTGAATCTACACAGGCTATCTCATTTAATATTCAGATCTACATATAAATATAGTTGATATCTACATTTTTTTCTTTTTGGTTATTTTAGAGACAGGGCCTTGCTCTGTCATCCAGGCTGGAATACAGTGGCATGATCATAGCTCACTGCAGCCTCAAACTCCTGGGCTCAAGCAATCCTCCCACCTCAGACTCCCAAGTAGCTGGGACTACAATCATGTACCACCATGCCTGGTCTTGTATCTACATTTTACGTCTACCAGGGCCTGGTATCCCTCTTCCTCAAGGAAGTGCAGAATAGTTATTTTTCCAATGATACCATAAGTGGAAAAACTAGCATTTGAACCAGGTTTATGTGACTTCAACATCTCTATTTTTTCAACTCAACTGATTTGCCTCTAAAAGTGTAAAAAGAAGAAGAGAAGGTGAAGAGTAAGAGGCGGAGGAAGTGAAAGAAAAGAACATGGGAAATTTAATAAGGGAAAGGGATGGAGAGAGAAAAAGATGAAAAAGAAAATGAGTAGAGGAAGGAGAGAAGAAAAGACAAAAGAAGCAACAATAGGATAAACAGGTAAGAAAGAGAGGAAATAAAGGCTCCAGTGAAATGAAAGAAAAGAAGTGTGGAACCCCAGCAGAGGATGCAGTATGCTTCTGATAAGAGCATTCTGAGTGCTGATCAGGTCATCTCTCTTCTGGGGCACATTATGCTTTTCCAATCTTCCTTGAGTACTGGGTCCTGTTGAGAACTGCAGAATTTTCAGGAGATAAAAAGAACCTTGTGAATGTCTATTGGAAATCAAGAGAATGATTATAAGGCCAGTAAGTGGAACACGTGTGGGAACGTAAAAGGAGATGGGACATTGAACGTTGAGAAGTGACCTATTAATGGTCTTCGGGTATGAAAAAGCTATTAACACAGGGACTGCTGAAAACTGCAGGATTTATCTGGCATTAGAACTGACCTCTTCAGTGTCTATGAACACTGTGACTGCTTTTACTGCCTCTACCACTGCAGAATCTTTGTATTTTTATGACCCATCCAAGCGCTATCTGGCACTAGGGTCTGCTGCTGACTGGTTGCCACAGTCTATGAATCAAGGAGCATTGCTCCTGAAATTCTGCTGGGATCTTTAGTAGAATGGGCATGATCTAAACCAGACTACCTTGCCTGGAAAGAATATGGCTTTGGTAGAGACAATTGGATTTGATGTTTTGACACTGCAACTCATTAGCCCAATGACCTTGGGCAACTCAACTTTTCTCCCTCCTCAGTGAAATGGAGAAAACTTAACTTAGCTCACTGTGTATGCAGGCCTTCCTCAGGGCTTGAGAGATAGGAAGCATTCCATAAATGCTATTTTTCATTTCCTTTTTCCTTCCTCTGAGGTACAACAAACGTGCAAAGAGGGGCTCATCTTCACCATGGGTTGTCATAATTAGGGAACCAGGAGTAAGGTAACTGGGGTAAGAAATGGGGTAATGTCCAGAAAATTCAGACCCTTCCATTTCCATAGATGGAGTAGGATGGAATTTGCCATGCTGAGGTCACCAGGAATACACAGTTCTCTGGGTAACAGGACTTCTTGGAAGCTTCCGCCAACCTTATTTTCCAAGCAGTTTTTTAGTGTCAAGGGCTGACATCTGTGTCCTAATACTTACATTTTGAGGACAGAACCATTTTGAAATGAGAGTTCAAACAGAGATGGACTCATGTACCTCCAGAGGTACATTGAATTTGCAAGTGAAAAAGATCCTTTCTTGTGTTTTGAGTACCAGATGGAAAACTGAAGCCCAGCTCTTGCCTGTCTTTGGAAAGCATGACTTTTCCCTAGTGATACTTTCTACAGTCCATGGTCAGTGCTCAAGGGCTGCCTCTGCCAATAACCCCCTTCTGTTTGCATGGACATTTCCATTCACATTCATTCAGTATGTACTTATGCATTCACGTGGACATGTCTTGGTTTTGGTTTACTTCTTGCAAAAACAAAAATCACTGAGCTCAAAATCCTTTAATTATATGATTGTTATTTCCAGGTATTGTAGGGACTAGTCTCTTATACGACTTTTCTTTCAGTAACCTTGTGAACAATAGTGTGAAAAACAGGGTCAAGGGAGGTGCCCTTGTCTGAGAAGTTGTCTCTTGTGTACTTAAACCATTGGAAATGAGCTTTTGCCCAGTTTCTTTGAGCAGACCTTGTTTGTCTCTTTGTTTTCTCTTATGTTGTCTTTGGCTCAGGTCAAGGAGTACATAACTCTCACCATCTGGGACAGCAGAAAGATGACAGCAGGTTTTTCTGAAAAGTAGAAACCTTCCTTTCCACTTGAGTGAGAAATCTAATCTCGTTTCTTTTAAATCCCCTTTGCCACTCAGACACATAACACTTATTTGCAGGTCAGTAACAGCATTTTGGCCTAGACTCTTAACCAAGCTCTGTTTGAGTTGGTGAAACAATTCACTGATTGTTAGTAAATAAGTAAAGCCTGGGCCTTATTTATATGGTACACAAAGTAGACAGTAAAGGGAGAAGAATGCTGAAATAGTAGGTGGATGATTTGAATAAGTTTCTTAATAGATGCAGTTTCTCTCTATATTCTAAGGGTATAGTGTCCTAAATAGAGAAGAAAACTAGTAAATCTTTTCATCAGGGTCCTGCTTACTATTAGGTTATGAATGATAATAATTTGTTAGCTTAGGTAAGGCCCTGTGTCGTGATTATCGTTATCATTTTGAGAGAATTCTGACTACTCCATGGACTATTTTTTGCTGCAAGTGCAAACTGTATGGAAATTGTGACATTTCCATTCACTGGTTGGTGCCAAAACCTTTACTGGTGATGGAATATCTCACTTAAGAAGACAACTGATATTTTTCTTGAGGAAATGTACACAGGTGTGTAATTAAATTTCACACTGTCCTTTTCTATACTTACATTTTTTAACCTACTCAACATGGGCCATGAGTGTTATGATTAAAAACATACAAAGGGGAACAGTGAGCATAATAACCAATGGAGGTTCATCCTTCAGGTTTCCACTGAAACATCAGTTACCTACATCTAGATTAATTCCTCTTCTTGCATACTACCCTGCAACTCTGCCTATTTTCTCTTTAGCTCTCAAAACTCATATAATTTCTCATCTATTGCCTGAATTTGGCCAATGAGTACAAGATTATAAAATCCAGTCTTTCAACTTGCAAAATATTCTAAATGTCAATGTCTCTCAAATTTGTATCATCAGTTTTGAAGCCCAGACTCTTATGCCCACCTACTCATTAATATTTCTACTGAGATATATGATAGGAATCTCAAACTTACCTTGTCCCAATACAAACTCTTGATTTTCTCTGTGAGTCTGTTTCACACCCTCCATGTTCCTCATTTTAGGCAATATTTATTGAGAGTTTCCTTTACTCTAGATGCTGCTCTAAGTGCTTTACAAGTATTAACTTGTTTAATCTTCATAGCAACCCTATGATTTAGGTATTATTAATATCTCCATTTAACAGAGGATGAAGCTGAGATTCAGAGACAGAGATACAGAGGTCATACAGTTCATCACTAGCAGACCTGGGCTTTGATTTGAAGCTGTCTGGTATCAATAACTGTATTGGCCACAGCCTAATCACTGTTCTGCCCAGGATCTGTCTCAGTAAATGTCACCACCATTCACCCAGTGGCTTGGGCCCAAAACCTCAGAGTTATCTTCGATTTCTCTCTTTCTCTCAACCCAATATCAAATTCATTAGCAAATCCTCTTATCTCCACCTGTCAAACATATCCAGAAAGTGGCCACTTCACACTCCCTCTATTGCCATCATCACAGTCACGTCCCCATCACCTGTTCCCTTGTCTTTTGCATCCACTCTTGCTCCCCTTAGTCAATTCCTGTGTAGCAACCAAAGTGCTTCTTTCAAAATGTAATAGTTTGTGTCTGCTATTTGCTCAAAACCCTGCCATGACTTTCCACCACATACAGAATACCCAAAGCCTTACTATGGCTGCAGGCCCAGCATGGTCTGTGTCCTCCCTATCTCACCAGACTGATTTTCTGCCACTCTTCCCTTGGTTCCCCCAAGGTTCTCCAGCTATACTAGCCAACTTGCTATTCCTTAGACACTCCAAGCAAAGCCACATCAAAAGATCTTTGCCCTTGCAGAGTCTTCTGCCTGAAATCCTCTTTCTTCAGATAGTCACATGACATTCACTTTATTCAAGCCTCTGCTCACATGTCACCTCTTTAGAAGACTTTTCTGAACATCCTGTCTAACTCCCATCACACACCATCCTCTTTCCCACCTTTAATTATCTCAATAGCTCTCTCTAGCTGATATTTTGCTATATATTTGTTTATTGTCTTTCTCCCTCACTAGAATGTTCTGGAGGGCAGGGACTAGTTTATCATCACTGTCCTCAGCACCTAGAAAATTCCTGACTCCTGATTGTTGCGAAATAATACCTGCTGAATAAACGAAAGAAGAACTTATATTCTAATTACACATGTGAATACAGGCAACTTCTGCCTAAGCTTAGGTCTCCATCATAAAATCTGTGAGGTATAAAATACCTTTCTCAGCATAATGTAGAGGAAACTCCAATACACACTCATTTCTTCACTGCCACTAACTGCCTAAATGAAACAGAATGCCTTGCTTAAAACAAGCAAATGGCTAGATTCAGGGCACCAAGTTAGAAAGCCCAGGTTCACATACATGCTAATCCTTCTGTGCTTGTACTCTACCTTTTGATTGCTACTTACGTCTGCTATTTCCAACAGAGACTGCAGACACTGGGTGTCTGTTGATTCCAATTAGAAAATTGTCTTCATTGCAAAGCAGCAGGGGGTTGTAGTCCAGATGTGTGTGGCATTTCCATCTTCCTCTGCTCCTCCCAGGACCCTAAACTAGTAACATGGTGTCTGGGAAAGTGATGGAAGAGTAGTGAGAGGGAGAAATGAGATAAGTATCCATTCTTCACCCAGAGGAGCATTTAAAGGCATCTATTGATTTCCCTTCCTGTAGAAAACAGGAAAACATCAAAAGGCCCCCTCTCCATTTCCAGCTGACTTGGTTTCACCATCTCCCCTTCTCAGTGTGAAGAGGTTTCCTCCCATTTTCCTCCACAGTCTACGTTTCTCAGCCTCCTCTCAGCATTAATATTCCATCAGACCCCAGAATGAACACTCCGAGTAAAGCAGTTTCTGTCCTGCCTTACTGGACCCTCTGTTGGCCCAGGCACCTGAATGAAATCTATCACTCTCTGGGCAGTGCCAGCACGAAAGTGATTTCCATGGATTGGCACTAAGCAGTGAAGTATTGACTAAAAAGAAGAACACAAAGAGGTTAAAGATGCATCATTTGAAGATTGTTACCCTTCTCTTGCTGAATTTTTTCATAGCCTCCCAATAATGCTCATCCTTGGAATGGGCTATACTGCCCAGTCTTCAGTAAAACTCTAGGAAAAATCAAGAAAGTAGCAACGAGTTCAGATAACAGGATCCTAACTATAGCAGGATCTTCAGAAGTTACTGTGATAGTGAGAAACAATGAAACAACACATGTGTAAATAAATAAAACTGTCCCCCAGCCTCACACACCTTCCCCAACCATGCCCAGTATGGCAGAAACTGTTGGGTACTTAACAAAATGTGTTTGTTCACCTTTCTGGGTATACAGATGGACTCTATTTCCCATTTATGGTGAGGTGTGGCCATGTGATGGACCCGTAGCCAACATAATATGGGCAGAAGTGATGGGTGTCACTTCAAAGCTTAGCCCATAAAACCCTCCCCTGACAGCTCAACTACGCTCCTTTTGTCTCTCGCTAGTTGGAATGCAGACACCTCCTAGGGACTTTGGAAGACTCCTGTTGAAGATGGCAGAGTCTCCATTGGCTTGGGTTCCCAAATCACTGCTTAGAAAAGGCTGCCCTGCCAACCTCAATGTGGTTACACGAGCTAGAAATGAAATTCTATTGTGTTGGAATTATAATACATTTCACAGACTATTTGTTATGGCAGTTAGCCTACCATAGTTAATACACTGGAAGTTATAACGTCTTTCTCAATAAGTGTATTTCTCTTTCCTCAGTTTCATTACAAGCTCCTGGAAAGCAGAATCTGTGTATCCCCTACCGTATCCCCTGCAGGATCTCATACAGAGACTGGCACAGGACACATAATTAGTAAATACGTTGGTCAGAGAGATTATGTCTACCTTTTATTCTGGAACATGAGTAGGAACATGGCCAAATCATATGGGTTTTTCATTTTGCTTTGAAATCCATCTTGGGTGTGAAGGATCTTTTATGTATGTATAGCAGCTCAGGACTGGCATGGTCAACGAAGTGTGACACACATTTTTTATTATCCATAAATGGATTATCTGCTGTGACCCAGCTCTTCCATCATTCCGGCACATTCCTCCTGTCAGCAGCTGTGTCGTAGGCGCTGAGAGGGACCCTGAGCCAAGGGAGAATCAGAAACAGGTGGGGTGGGTTTGGGGGTGGGTGCTGGTGTTACTGACTGGGTATGAGTTGTGAATACATCTGCAAGTCAAATAAAATGTTGATTATCTTTTCACTATTATATGCATCTTCTTATTAACTATTATGAGACATAATCAAGAGTTGACAATTGAAAGATATAAGTTAAGACCAGGTAGGAGCAAATGAAACTTTTTCAAGTCAGGAATATATTAGTTTGGCATGAGCTCTCTTTGAGGAAACAAGAGACATTTTATTTCTACCAGCTGGCTGCAGGTCAGGCAGGCGATACCTGGTAAATATTAAAATCTTTGTTGTAGAAGGGGATGAGTTTTACCCTGCATCCTTGATTACTCCAAAGTAAACTTCCAGCCTTTATCCTTAGTGGCACAGGCCAGTATCCTCATGAACACCCCTACCACCATTACCTCCTACTTTTCTCCCTGTCTCCAAAGACTCACTTTTGGAAAATGGTTGTGTAAACCAGCAGTTCTCAAACATTAGCATGCGTGAGGCTTTGTTAAAACCAGATTGCTGGGTTCTGCCCACAGTTGCCAATTCAGTAGTTCTGGAGAGATGCCTGAGAATGTGCATGTCAAATGATGCCCATGCTGCCGGTCTTGGGGCCACACTTTGACCTTCACTGGTCTAAACCCCTCAACCTCATTCTATATCAGTGAAGGAATCTACAAACATGCACAAGTGCAACAGCCTTACAAGGTCAAGGATCCCAGCACCTGGGAGTGACTTTATGTGACTTCCCTTTCCCATGAAGCCAGATTGAGGCTGTGAAGGAGGAGTGGAGTTCTCAGGGCAGCTCAGTGAAATGTCACCTGACAGCAGGGACCCACACAGTCTCTCTTTTGCTTCTCCAAATGTGTTCCCTCATTTCCCCACTAGGAAAATCAATAGGTTGCCACAGATGTGTGGGTCTCAATTCTGGTGCCCATTAGAATCACCTGCTTAGCGATTCCAATATAATTGGTCTGAGATAGGTCCTAGGTATCAGCATTTTAATCACATTACAGGTGATTCTAATATATACACTGGTTGAAAACCACAGACGTTTTCTAGGTCACTTCCAGATCTACCAGTCTACCTGCACACCCTCCCTCCCCGTGGAATCCCACCTTGTCTACCTTTGCTTAGCCCTCAACCCTCCAGCCTAGCTGAACTCTTTGCCCTTACCTCTCTCCACATACATTATATTCCATTCACCCTGGGACACAAAGTTGCTTCAAACCTCATTAACTTCCCTGCTTAGGCAGAGGATGAGTCCCAAACAACTGCAGAAATTCACTGATAAAAATATAGACAACAAAATAGGAGCAGTTCTAGAACCCCTGTGAAAAGTTAACTGTGGAAGCAGTGGGGGAACCCATTCCTGGAAAGTAACTTTTACTCATAAAGTCACACCTGAGCCCGAAGAGTACACATTACACTTAATATTGGCTGCATATTATCTATTCTCCTGGGCTGGCCCAACCCCATTTTGTGGTGATTCCTGCAGATTGACATGTACTTTCTATTTACAAGTGACTCATGTGATAACATTTCTGCAAAGATGGTGGCTTTTGCCTGATAGGAATTCAAGTGCTACCTTAATTTTCTGTTTTACTTATCTTGGTACAGATGTGAACTTACCAACTGTTAGCCTAACTTACTTTCATTTCATTCTCTTTTGTAAACTGAACTGGAAGCACTGGAACCTTCTTTTCTGAACTTCACTTGAAGCTTTGGTTGGTGGAGATTTTCCAGTTGAGTTGTCAGTTTTAATAAGGTTATTGTTTGGGGTTTTGTTTTCTTTCAAATGGCTTAAGTTGGAGGGGAAGTCTAGTAATTTAATTCTACCATGTGGTCTGGCCATGAACCCAAGGCCTGAGGACTGGTGCCTTTCTGCTAATTAATTCTCGATGTCAGACATCTGGAAACCCGCCTTTTCTGCCTCATCTGAGTTGACTAATTAATTAAGCTATGTTTGTAAACAGGCGTTTTCTCCTCAGCACTTCTTTCATCATCTGTTTCTTTAGCCACAAGCTGGCAACCCCATTTAATGGTAGACTACCTGGCCAATAATTCTGTTCTTGCACAGGCTGTGGAGGTTCCTTTAGGAGGCCACTTAGCACTGTGCAAGCAGCCCAGGCTTTGGAGTGAGGCAAATCAGGATTTGAATCCAGTTGAGCCATTTATTAATTATGTGACCACAGGCAAGTTACCTGGCATCTTAACATGTCAGTTTCCCCATTTTCTCCCTGCAAAACCTACCACTTAGCCCAGTGTCTGGCACATCATTTGTTACTCTCTAAACACTGAGTATTTTTCTTTTTTTTCTTTTCTTTTTGGCTGGATGGGAGCATTCTTGCCAACTTCCTTGCCTTTGTCCAGGGAGTAGCTAGTTTCAAGGCACTTCCACAAATATTTTCACCTTAGTTTCTCTCAAACCTATATGAGGGTATTTTGGCAAATGTTTTTACCCTCATATTTTACAGTTAGAGAATCAGTCTCTGCAAGTTTATGTGCCAACATCCCATGGGCAGTCACAGACAGGGCTTGGCCAGGTCTTCATGCTCTTGGCGAAAATCTCTTGCTTTGAGACCAGATATCCGCCTGCCCTTCAGTGGAGGATGTGAGACTAGATTATAAACACTGGGAGGAAAAAGTTGCACAAGATATACTGAGAGCACCTGATATGGTTTGGCTCTGCGTTGCCAACCAAATCTCATCTCAAATTGTAATCCCCATGTGTTGGGGAGGGACCTGGTGGGAGGTGATTGGATCATGGGGGTGGCTTCCCATGCTGTTCTCATGATAGTGAGGGAGTTCTCATGAGATCTGGTGGTAAAAGTGTTTGACAGTTACCCGCTCCTGATCTCTCTCTCCTGCTGCCACGTAAGATGTGCCTTACTTCCCCTTCGCTTTCCACCATGATTTTGAGTTTCCTGGGGCCTCCTCAGCCATGCAGAATTATGAATCAATTAAACCTCCTTTCTTTATAAATTACCCAGTGTAAGGTAGTACTTTTTAGCAGTGTGAGAATATTGCTGTGTAACAACCACCTCGAAACTTAGTGGCCTGAAACAGCCATCATTTTATTACTCAGCCTTCTTTGGGTCAGCAGTTTGAATTAGAATAAGTTTGAATTAGTGGTTTTTGGGTTGGTCTCCAGGGGGTCACTTATCTGATGAGTCTACCAAGGCTGAACCATCCAAAATGGCCTAATTTGTGGGTCTAGTGTTGGTACTGGGGATCAGATGAGCCTCATTCTACGTTTGGTTGTCCTCAAGGAGGCTGGCCCAAGTTTTTTCAGCATTGTCAGCAACATTCCAAGAGGACAAGACAAGACCCACTGACTATCGCTCATCCAAGTCTCTACATGTGTCACATTTTTCGATATCCTATTGGGCAAAGCAAGTCACAAAGCTAAACTCAGAGTCAGTGTGAGAAATGATTGGAAAAGGGCATGAATACTGGGATATCTGATTCATTTAGTTACCACTAATATAAGAATCTACCATAAATGGATATAAAAATAATATCTACCTTATAAGACTATTCTGAAAATTAAATTTCATACTGCATGTGTTTTGCTCAGCATCACCTCTGACATACCAAATGCTCAATAAATATTAGCTAGTATTGGTAGAATCATCATTATCTATTATTAGCTGCCAGGAGCAGGTTCCCCTTTTGAAATCTTGCTGTTATGTGTTTAGCTAACATTTATTTAGTGCTTACCGTGGTAATCTTCCTTATGCTAGGTATTGGGGATAAAAGAAAATGATAATATTCAGTCCCTGCCATTGAGGAACTCATAGTCTACTGGAGGAGACCAGACACATAAGCAGTTAGATATAAGATATCATGGCAAGTTGTGAGGCCGAGATATGCACACGGTATTTTGGCAGTACAAAGGAAGGATACCTAACCCCTTAGTCCAGCCAAGGGGTGTGGTAAGGAAACACTTCTTGGCATAGATGCTACTGAGCCGAATCCTAAGGGAAGAGCTGTGTCATTCAGAAGACCAGGGGTTTAAAATAGAGGATTTTGGCATGAGTAAAGACATTCAGATAAGAAAGAGCATTCTGTGTTATCAAATGAAATTAAAAGGCTAGGAATCTGAAGAGATAAGCCAAAAAAGAAACAAAGGCAGGGAGGCAAGAGAGAGAGAGGAAAAGAGAGAGGGAGAGAAAAGTAAAGAAAGAGGAGAAGGAGGAGCAAGAGGAGGGAAGGAGGGAAAGAGGAAGGGAAAGGAGAAAGGGTGAAACGTGGGGAATAAATGTGTAATTTTCCAAAGTTAGATATTATTCTATAGGTGAATGAGGAGGCCCTGACAGCCTTTGAGAAGGGTAAGGATGCAGTCAGATGTGCAGTTTAGAGCAATCACTCTGGGGGCCAAGTGGAGCATGAATGGAGGTGGGGAAACCATTAGGAGTAATGCAGAAATCCAGGCAAGAGGGAGAGTATCTGTGAATGGAAGTCAAGGTAGGATCCTTTCTATTTCCACCCTCCACAGCTGAAGAAAAGCATTTCCGTGAGAGATGCAATGACCTTGGATATCCTAGTTTGGGAGCCTATAGTCTAGAATATCTGACAAAAAACTATTTTCTTCACTCTTTACAGATATTCTTATCTACCAAATTGACCGTTATTGTCTAGAAGAGTGGTCGACCCTGGGCAATCTTAGAGTGAGTGTTATTGTTAAGTATTTAGTCTTGTTTTGGATGGCCCTGGTGAGGTGTGAGGAAACTGTTCTATGAATTTGACAGGTCACCTTAGAGAGAACAGTAAGTACATTCTTAGACACAGATCCTTCAAGCCTTTTTTTTTCTTTGTGGTCTAGGCTTCTAAAATTATAATGTATTTTAAATGACTTTGACCTCTTCCATTTGTGCTCCCTCATTGCCTCAGTAATTCTTATGTGTCTCTTTAATGTTTATACCTTGTTTCTTTTCATATGTATTCACAACCTTATGTCTTGAATTTCCTGGATGATCACACTTTCAACTACATTGCTTCATTGTCCCAGAAAGCACATTCATAATTATCAGTGTTTACATTCAGATTTGTGGTCTGGAAAATATTGTCATTATACTTATGCAATATGTCCCTTTTCCAGAATGCTTCTCATTACTTTCTTTCTGATACTTCTGTATGGGCACCCTGCAGTGATAAAAGCAGCTCTCTGCAGTCTCATCTGATGATGTCCTGCTCTAGTCCAGCTACATGTTCTAGCTCCAAAGAAATTTGCTTGAGAACCAATTTTGCTTGTTTGATTGGTTTACTAAATGTGCAATGATTTGCATCACTTTTCATTAGTGTCCTGAGCTATATCTGAGAGGGGTTAGTTTAGTATGTCTAAGATCTATCAGTAGATTCCTGCATATTTTCAAGTAAACTTTTCTTTAAACATATTGAAAACACTTGAAATTCAGAGAAGGATCATGAAGAGGGTGTAATGAGACTGATCAGGAGGCAAGGGGTAGAGCAAGCTGGGGACCAGTCCAGTAAGCCTTGTTTGAAGACCAGTATAATCATTTCTGACTCCCAGGGGTCTTCTGCAACAACCTGGTGCCTTCTGCATGGTGGCGCTGTTTCCACTCAGTGTCTTTCATCCTCCTGCTTCTTTGGGCCCCTAGACCATCTAATGCTATGGCAGGCCCAAGGCACACAGAACTGCCAAGGAGAATAGGACAGGTGGGTATTCTAGATCAGCATCATTTATTAGACATTATTATGACATGCCTGATACTGTTCTCTGCATTTTATGTGCCTTATGGCACATAATATTAATATTTGTGGCATAGAGGAGTGGTAAAAAACAAAGCCTTTGGTGTCAGACTGCCTGTGTTCAAATCCTGTTTCTGCCACTTACTTGGTTTGGGAACCCCTAAGTGGGGAGTCTTAAAGGACCCTTCTGGTTATGAGCTCTTAATCCTGGGAAGGGTCTTGTAGAAGGAGTGCATGGGGAATAGAAGAGGAGACGGAAGGCATGCAAATGACTGCACCTAGCAGCAGGGTCTGGCACATGGGCCAGGTGGTAAGAGATGCCAAGTGACCTGCTGAGTGCGTTTGGCTGTGACTGTAGACTCTGTGGCTGTCCAAGCACCCCCACAAGGCCTGAGGGCCAGGAAGAGAATGCAGCCACAGGTCACTAACCAAACAACAGGAACTCTAGCCGATTGGCCCTGCCTGAACCCAAGACTCAAAGAGCTTGAGTGGAGGCCCCCTGCTGCTTCTTCCTTTGGAGAGACACTTGTTTGGAAATGGCTGAGGAATCTGCCTGTCACTTGCAACCCAACTTACTTCTTGGCTTCTGAGATGTTGACAGAAATTGGCGATGATAAATGTCACTACTGCCACCACAACCACTGTCATTTACTCAGGGCTCACCATGCTCCAGGCACTTTGCAAAGCACTTTATGTACATTATTTTATTTAATTTTCATCAGAACCCCACAAAGATAGTTATATTGCCATTTATGAATGAAATACACAGTACATTATGAGAACTGTTTTGATTATAAAGAATAGACACCCAACTTGAACCAGCTTAAGCAAAAGACAACTGTATGATAGGATACTGGATCATCTCAACAGAACTCACAATGGGAATGTGGTTGAGCCCCCAGAATAGCCATAAACCGGGACTCTGATGCTGTCATATATCTTGCTCATACTCTCACTTGTATTTACTTTTCAGTAGCTTCTGCCTTCATTCTTCTCTCCTTCCATAGGTCAGTTTCTCCATAGGCTACAAAACATGGCTGCCCAGGGCTTCTGAATTTTACATATTATAGCTTATGCCACTAGATTGAGACTGACTTAACATTCTCCTGGGTCCTACCAAAAATCCCGAGGATTCGACCCAGCCAGTCAGGTGCCCCACCCTTCAACCTCTCAGCTATGGCTGGGTCAGTGAGTAGACCAGGAGGTGGAATAAAATGGCAACCTCCACAGGATCACATGGGTGGAGTTGAGGAAGGGGCAGTTCACAAGAGGAGGAGATAAAGAGCTATGGTGAGGGGGGAGGGGGGAGGGTGGGGGGGAGGGGGGGAGAGTGAGTCAGAAGGAGAGGTAGGGATGGCTGGTTGGTAGCTCAACAGTAGCCATCTACAACACAGGGTTAAAAAGATTAAGGAACTCATCCAGAATCACATGCAACCAATGATGGAAAAGCAAGGATTCAAATTGGGCATTTCTGACTTCAAAGTCTATGTTCCTTACTAATATGACAAATTAGAATAAAGTAGGGTGAATGAATGAGTTCACATACACATACATACATATTTGCCTGAGTACTAATGAAGACCTTGCCAAGTCAGTGCTCAAATCCAGAGAGTCACAGTTCAGAATTGTCCAACATTACACACTTTTGCTCTACCCTCACAACTGTCATTTGAGAATAAAGGTAGAGAGTAATGACAAGGTAACCTGATGACAAGCAGTATCAGTGATTGCAGCCTGTGGCCCAGTTCCCAAAAGCAGATTATAACAGCATCCCTAGAACCCACCCATCATTTTCAGTCAGCAGTTCAGCATCGCTGCTGAGCTGTGTTCTGGAGCAAGCCAAGGCCTTGGGCATGGTGCACACATGTCCAGGAAGAAGTTGATTTAGAGGGAGTGGTCTGTTTGAGTGGTTCCTCACTGTGTCCTGCATGTCCCAGAAGATGGTTTGGGACCCAGTTTTGTTGTTCCAGAAGACAGGTCTTCATTGGAGGAAGGCACATCAAAGGAGAAGGTAGAGCTCGGTTCTCACTGATTGAGCTCCTATAAGTCTAAGAATAGGACTCTGAGGATTATGGCTTCCCAAGGATGGAGAGTTGTGGCTTGGGAGTTTTTGAGCCCTTGAGCCAAGAGGCATTAGATACTTCAGGAAATCCTGTTGAATCTTTCCACCTATTTGAGCCTGTTTAGCAAACTGTTTACAAAATTCTCTGACCTAAAAGAATTAATGCCCTTTTCTAAAATGGCATCTTGTCCCAGGGAGGGGTTTATGACGAGGCACCACCTCGCTCAATGGGACTCTTTGGATTCAAGACCTTGGGTAAATTCAGAAGGGTACTGGCATTTTTATTCCTGTGATTTCTGTTTTTATTTGCACGTGAATGAAAATAATGAATGAAACCAAAAGAACCTCATAGAGTTCGCCCTGATGTTTGGAAAAAATTGAGTTAAAAGCTTGGGAAGTAGAATTTGTTCAGTATTTCCCCCTTGACAATTGCAAGCCACTTGCACAAAAAATTATGTTTCTGGGAGGAAGTCACATTAAGGAGCTGCACTGATGTTTTCAATTGTAGTAGTAATAGTTATAATGAGAAGGAGGAGGAAAAAATAGCAAATACTTGCAGAAAACTAATGAGCCCGGCACAGAGAGATTAAATAATTCATGCAAGGTCACACAGCTTGTCAGTACCCTGCCTCCCACTGCCACCAGCCACCATTCTGCCTATCTGGCCCCCATTGTGAACTTCGGTCGCCACTTGCCATGAATCCTTTAGACACAACCATCAGGGATCTTGGGAGACTAGGGTGAGCTGAAACAGACTCTTCTACTCTCTTAGATCACAGTAAGTTTGCAAGGAATATAGAGGTCATAAATATTCTCTTGGTAACATAGCGTGGTGAAAAAAATATGAGCTGCTAGAGTCAAACAAATCAGAGACAAAATTCTGGTCCGTCAATGAGCCTTGGGTTTTTTGGTCTATATTGTAGGCAATTAATAATATCCACCTTTTTTAGTGGCATTGAATTGATAGACCTCCACAAGAAGTGCCTGGCCCTCAGCCTGGTCCCTAATGGCTCTAATTACTCTAATATGATCACATCTCCACCCGTGGTGTTATCTGAAATGACCATAACAGCTCTCTGGTGCTGAGAGAATCAACAACTTCTATTCCTGGCAGGTGAGTCTGCTCTACCTCCCCCATTTTCCCATTCCTTCACTCTCCAGAGTAGGAAAGATGGAAGGAGGATAAGCAGCGAAGAAGAGTCACTCAGAGGGCAGTGCCTAGCAGCAACAATGGGTACACACAGCGCTGAGGGGGCCTGGGCTCTCTTGGAGAGGCAGGGCTCAGCCAGGGATAGCATCTGAGGCCCGAGATGGCAATGGATGTCTCAGTGTCCCTGGGAGAGCCATGCAGGTGCCAGACAGGATTGGCTGGATGGGCTTCCCTTCAGCGTGTGTACCCAGAGACACCGGTCCCCAGCTTAGTAAGTGAAGAGGCAGTCATAGGCCAAAGGCAGTCATGGATCAAATTTAAATATGGAAATTATTTCCAAGCACACTTTTCAAAAACTAGATTTCTAAACCTAGATGGCACTGAATATGCAAATAATTAGGAGAAGAAGCATCAAAGCCATGCCAGTGGCCTTTTTAGATACTGCAGCAGATTGTGCCATTGCACTTAGAGCCATTCACATAGAACTGAGTCTGTCCAGGGTAACTTTATAATCAGGAAGGCTGAAGAGAAACAGAATGAAGCAGGCTTTACATCTTACATCCTTTTCATGGAAGAAAGAACACTGGAGGGAGATCTAGTGGAGGCTTTGTGGAGGGTGTGCAGTGACATCAGTCAATAATTTACTGAGAACATAGTTGTTATTCATGCCAGTACAAGGGACAAAAAAAAGGCAATCTAATATAGTCCCTGCCCTCGAAGGGCTTAAGGACCAGTTCAGAGATATGAATTTTGAAATACAGCTAACATTTTAATATGATAGCCAAAGGGAGAGGTTGACCCACAAAATTATTACAGGAGATCAAATAAGAAAGCTCTTTCTCTGGGCTGGGGTGATCAGGGACAGTATCATGGCAGTGGAGAGGTCTGAGAAGGGCCAAGGAGAATGCAGAACATTCCTGAAACATGGCAAGGGGACAGACCTGCAGGCAGGGGAAGGTCATGTGCAACAACAGAAAGCAAAACGGCATCTCTGTCACATGTAGTATAGGAAAAGCTACATGCAAAAGTATACTAATACCAAAGAAGAACACTTTGGGAATGGGGTAGATTGTTTTACAAGTTAGGTAGGAAACCAACCCTCCATTTAAGAAGAATATTATGTTCTACTGCAAAAGAAAAACAGTAAAATTTTGTGCACAGAAAAAAAGACCAGTCAGAAGACAAATCTCAGAGTGGGAACAATATTTCAAGCATACCTGAGAGATGAAGGGTTACTATCATACTACACCAGGAGCTCTTCTCTATGAATGGATAAGAAAGACAAACAACTCAATAGAAAATGGATAAAAGATGTGACTAGATGGTAAAAGAGGAAAATTTAAATGGCTAAGAGATGTGGAAAGGTGCTTGCGCTCACTGTGAGGCAAGGAGATGAAAATTAGAGCAGGAAGATATTGTGTTTCATTCCTCAGATTGGCAAGCATTTAGTAGTGATAAAAACTTAGTGCTGGTGAGAGTGTGAGCAGGATGCGCTCTTGTGCTTTGCTGATAGGAATTTCAATTGTTGCAAACTGTTGTATTCTGGCACCATTGAGAACATTTAAAAACATACATATCCTTTTGTTCCGCCTTTTCATTTCTGGGAATTGATGCCTTAGAAATACCAAGATATGTATTATGTCTTCTGGTTAATTTTTTGGAAATATCATAAATATCAATAGGGCTATGCTTGAGTAAATAAAGGCACATTCATTATTATAGGCTACTATGCAGTTCTTAAAAGAAGTTAGATCTACTGTTGGAAGAAATTCCACACTGAAGTGGGAAAAGTAAGTGGTAGAGAAATGTGTGTATTATGATTTGATTTAGGAAACACGCATACATACCAAGTCACACAAATCCCCTTCTTTGTATATATGTAGATGTATTTTGAACGGATACAGATAATGCAGGGCCATACAGTGTTAGAATGTTCACTTGGTTACAAAGAAATGAGGGGGAGAGGTAGTGCTGTAGTTTGAATGTGTCCCCCAAAGTTCATTAAGTTGGAAACTTAATCTTCAATGCAACGTTGTTGAGAGGTGGGACCTTTTAGAGGCAATTAGGTCCTGAGGCTCTGCCCTCATGAGTGAATGAATGACATTATCAAAGTAGTGGGTTGGTTATTGAGAGAGTGAATTTGTTATAAAAGTGAGCTTGGCTCTCTCCTGCTCTCTCTCTCACACATACTCTCCTGCCCTTCTGCCTTCTGCGTGGGATGATGCAGCAAGAAGGCCCTTGCCAGATGCCAGCACCTTTATATTGGACTTCCCAGCCTCTAGAAGTGTGAGGGATACATTTAAAAAAAAATAAATTACCCAGTCTGTGTGTTTTTTTTTATAGTAGCAGAAAACAAATTAAAGATAGGTAAATAGAGAAAAACAAAGATTGAGCAAAATGAAGTATTATCATATACTCAAACATTAAAAATCCTCAGAGTTGAGTTAAGATGTATAGCTTTGGGGGTGGGGAAGTGAGGGTGTCCTCCTGTCCTCGGATTTCTGCTCTATTCAGAGTCTGAGGCCTGCCCCGGGGCTGCAGGACAGAATGGGATGCAGAATTTAGGCTGCCTTGCAGAGACTCTGCCTCTTCCTTTAGCTTGCTCAGGGAAATAGCATGTAGCTTTAAGTTTCACATTTTAAAAGTCAGATGAAGGCTTAAAATAAGCAGCAAGTGTTTCATGTTACATCCAGATGTCATCTCAAGCAAAAAACAAAAATGCTTTGATTTTTGAAAAATAACCTTTGACGCCTAAAGAGGCTCTAATAAGTGTTTTTGCTCCAGAATCTTAAAAAATGACTTTCTATGCAGACAAGAGAGGCAGCCCGAGGAGACCGATGTCCTTTGCTAATCTATGCAAGGACTGCAGCAGCCTCAATACCCTGCCCTGGTCCCCTCTCCCTTCTTCACAATGACACATTCGCCCTTCTGCTCACATCAACTGTTCATGGTGGGGGGACAAACGTGGGGGCTTTCAGAGAGGAACACAGTCTCTGTGGTCTTTTTAATGTGTGGCCTTGTCAGGGTGCTAATTGGTGCCAATTTCACTGGCAGTAATGGAGGAATCTGTTAGCAGAAGGAAGACTTTGAAGTCTAAAAGCATTACAGATTAGTTCCCTAGAATTTTCCTACGGGAAGCCTTATGAGCCAAGTCCACTCGAAGGTACCACAGGTTTGTAAGGTAGACTTTCCTTCTGAGGAGAAATTCCCAGCTATTCAGGTGTTCAGCCTGTACCAAGAGAACCAAACCAGAAACTCTAAAACATCACTGTTTTTCTGAAAAAAAAAAAAAAAAAAAAAAAAAAACAAAAACTAGGCAATTTTTTTTTTCTCTTGAAAAAGATGATTTTGGTCCTCAAGAGATCTTTTTAAATGTTAGAATGGCAGATAACTGAATTTTTTGTAGACAGATGTTGTGAAATGTGCTTATGGTAATGATGTTTGTTTAGTTACCTCAAAGGAATTCTGAGTGCTTTACAGTCATTTTCTTCATTATTTCTTAAGGTTTTTTATTTTCCTGATCATATTTTAATCTCAAGCATAAATTCTTCATTCAGTTCTTCTCGCTACATTGTCTCTGAAATATCTCCTGTTAGCCTCATGTTCTACCGCTGTCTGCACTTCTAGGATTGTAGACTCACACCACTTCGGACATCCTGGATGCACTTTCAAGATGTTTGCTTGGTGTCTCCGGCTTCTCTTTCTCTATTTACTATTTTTCATTGCTCTTTCAAACTTTTCCATTTATATTTTTCACCATACTTTCTCCCCCTTGAGAGAAAGATTGCTTGAAATACACCTTGTTCTTCTACATAATTTTTGTTTCCTTTTTTGTTAATTTTAGTTGTTTACTCATTTGTAACCTGCCTTTGCTCCATAAAGAATTGGCAGTGACTATCTAAACATGTTCTTTAACATGAACCCTGTTTGTTGGAATTGGGAATCTGATATTCAGATTTTTTTTTTCAAAAAAGTTTCACCTTTCAGTACTCAAGGAATTTAACTTTCCCTCTTATTTTTTTTTCATTTCCTTGAAGAAACGAAAAAAAAAAATAACGACTTTAAGGCAAGCTCGTATTTTGTAGAAACAAATCAGATACTGCCACCCCTTCAAAAAGTAACCTCTAAAAGCACCTCTTCATCGTGCTTTAATTTGTAGGATGTAGAAAGCCCCTGTCCTAAAGAAATTATGATCATGAAATTATGTGGAAGGCACCTCAGAATGCCACACACCTATTTTTACAGATGCAGAAACTGAGGCTCACAGTGTTTTAGAAATGTGTTTACAGTCTCAGAAATACTCAGAGACATGTTTAGAATTATTTTAATTAAGACAATCACTTGGAACATTTAAAAAATCATTAAAGAAGGTGGTAGATACCATGAAATGATGAATGATTGGGTTCTGGGCAGTGGTGAGCTGGTTGACGTTTAACAACAGGGGCCAGGGCTGGACAGAGGGAGCCTGATTGATAGTGTTTGCCAACTTCACGGTGCCCATGCCAGTTTCAAGCTACCAGCCTGACACCCTTGAACAAGGAGTTGGGAAGAGATGAGCACAATCCAGTCAGCTCTCAAGATTGGCAGAGATCATCCGGCTACAGTGAGCAGGCCCGTAAGGAAGAGAACTGTGCTAGACAATTGCTCCCCATGCCTCAGACCTTACAGGTGTGAAAAATAAGCCATTTTCATTTAGCCTCTGCACCACTCTGTTCCCTCACTCTTGCCCTTTCCTTGGCAGATAAATAACTCTTACCTCCTCAGCTATCATTTACGTTTCAAGCCACAGCTCAAAATGAGGGTCTCTGTGAGATTTCTTCTGATTCTTTTAGAAAACATCACTTCTACTCTGAATGCCGGAGTACTTTATTTATATCTTTTATTACAGTAATTACCAAAGCCTAACTTGTCAATGGATAGTGGATATTAGAGTAATTACCAAAGCCTATTATTGTCGATGGATAGTGTCTTTTCCCTCTAGACTGTCCTTGGAGGAAAAGGAACATGTCTTACTCCTTCATTGTCAGAGAAGCAGTGCAGAGTGGTGGGTAGGAGTCCAAGCTCTGGAGTCAGACTGCTCAGCTTCAAGTCACTTACCGTGGGAGCTTGGGCAAGTCATCAAACTCCTCTGTAGCCATCTGTAAAATGAAACATTAAATGTGAGCTTCAATCTCACAGGCTCACTGTGATATAATGAGATTACTAGATATGGTCAGTGCCTAGCACATCTATACCCTCAACAAATGCTACCTGGTATTGTTACCTCTAGCACATAGCCCAGTGCCTGGCACAGAATCGGTTTGCAGTGGTTGGTGGTTGAAATGAATGGACTTGAAGTAAGGATATTACCCAGCTAACTTGGTAGAAGTTGGGAAAGGGTGTGATAGAGGGAACTGCGTGAACAAACTACTGTTGGGGAAATGAGAATGATATATTTAATAAAAATCAGTAGATTATAGAATTATAGGATCAGAACCCAGTTTTCCAGCTGTGGTATGATGAACACAGAGCAAGGTAGGATCATTCGTACCTTCCCTTCACCCCATATGCTAGATGATGTATGTCTATAAATATACCATTGTTATTGCAATAGCTTTTGTAGACTGCTGATTGAAATATCTCATTTTTGATACTGTGCAATTGCTTTTTAAAACATCAAAATGCTAGATTTTGAGTACAAATACTGTTACATTTCATTCAGTTTGGTTCAGTTCATCATTCCAACTAATTCATATCTCCTCCAAACTTGATTCTGCAATGCAGTTTATCTTTCCTCCTATCTAGTTTTCTGTTGTCTGCAATTTTGTAAGCATGACTTGTATTTTGTTTTCTAAAAGACTACCCAGGCCGCTTCTAAGAACAGAGTCCCCTGATATGACACTAGTGACTTTTTTCTATGTTGGCAGTCATTCATTAAACAATCTCTTTTTTTTCCTTTTTGGGTACAGATTTTAAACTCCTTTCAAATCTATCAAAGTGTGCAATATCCTTATTGTTCACAATAGTATCTGAGAAACTCTGCCAAAATGTTATGTCTGTAGCATTTTTTCCCACAGATATAGTAAGTCTATTAGAAAAGAAAATGCAGCTAGTTCGTTGCAAAGTGTTCCTGATTAATCCATGTTAGCTCTTAATACCAACAACTTCCTTTTCCAAGTTGAACTAAGGATTCATGATGTAAAATAGTGAAGTTAACTGTATCAAGGTAGGCTAGACTCAATGTACAGACCTTGACTATCTAGGTGAGAAATTTGGGCACAATTCTGAGGACAGTGAGAGATTGTTGAAATTTTTGAATCAGGATTATATGACAAAATTGTGTTTTAAGAAAGCCATCTGGCAGCAGTGTCCACAATGGACTCTGGGGGGACCCTTAGTGAGGTTTGAAATTTCCTGCAATAATGTCAGAATGGGCCGCTGGGCTATAATAGGCCAGGCTAGTAGCAATAAAGATGGAAAAGAATAAATTTGGATTTAAGAGAAAAAAAATCAAAAGGGACTGTTGAGGGAAGATGATAGGAAATAAATAAATAAATAAGTACTTTAGGGCTTCTCAACTTTTTACACATTATTGAAGGTGCAGAATATAAACCAGTTTGGCCACTAGGGTAAATAGGCCTATTTGGGGAGGGGGTGACCAATGTCCTGGACCCCCAGGACTGAGTCTCTCCTCTCCCAATTCCTACCTGGCCAAACTGGCAGAGGACATTAGTATCTCCACTGGCTGGAGAGCCATTTGGAAATTTCTGTTTTAGAAATAAGTAGTCTTAGCAATATGAGAAAAAACGGACTTGTTCTAAAATCAGGATCAACAGTTCAGAGAAGCCTATACACATGAAGGAAAGCAAACGTTTGGTTCAGTGCATGATTCTGAACAAAGAAGCAAAACATCATTTATACCCTTGAAAGAAAACCAACCAGCATCAGCCAAACAAGGACTGTGTAGGTACCAAATAAGATAGCCTATGCCACCAAGCCACTGCCTGCATTATAATGATGCAGTAACACAAGGGCAGTGGCTATGCAGGCTACTGGACAAAGAAACCAAGAAGGAGGGAGTCTGGGTTTTGCATTAATATGGAAATCCAAGCCGATTTGCTTGAAAATTTATGAAGTCCTACCAACTTGTTGCTTCTTATTGATTTCTGTAGTTAATAAATTAAGTGGTGCTGTAGTTCCTGGTGCCTCACCTGTTCTACTAATTTGCATTGCTGCATGGAGGAAATCATAGATTGAGAAAATGCAGGTGCTTGCAATCCATAATTCCTTACGATAATTGAAGATGCTCAGTTATAGAAAATAAGCAAGTGTTCCCTCTTTCTCCATTAAACTCAATGAGACAGAGAGAATGAGAACCCCCCAACAAAGCCATGTTGATTCCCTTATAAATAGGAATGAGTGGCTCTTCTGAAAAATAATGGAACCCATACATTTCTCAGGATGGTTGCCAGCAGGCCGCCATGTTCATGATTCAGGGACACTGGCCTTTCACATTGGAGCCCATGTGGATGGTGCTCCATGGTGTTGGGGCACTCAGCCTGTGTGGCCATAGGTGGTGGCTCACAGAGAGACATATCTGATTCATCCCAGGGCTTCCACCCAGCCCAGGAGGTGCACATCTGCATTGACCCATGTTCATCCCCAGCCTAACTGTGCTCCCTTCCCAAACAGTGTTAGTATTCTTTAATCCCAATTTGTAATTTTATTCCAATTTAGATCCACCTAGCTCTCCCCACTGGATCTCTTCTACAGCCAAAACACATCATTTTGGCTCATTTGCTCCCATTGTTCTGTTGACATTTCCAAAGCTATCTGCTGCTCTCACCATCATGCTCCTTGTTACAGTTAAATAGAAAAAACTGGCAGCCACACATAATGCGGGAACTCCAGCATCCTCACTTACTACACAGCGCTGCAAGATATTTGTTTACATATCTGACTCCACTCACTGTGAGCTTCATGAAGGATAGAATGATGCTTCTTTGAGCCATGGGTCTTAACAGGGTGCCAGCACATAGTAGGTCCTCATTTAATGTTTGGTAAGTGAGTGATAAATGAATGTATTGCCTTTCTTACATTTGGACACAGTAGTCTCATTTGGGGCACATGATTTAAAAAGTATTCCTATCTCTAGTATGTACAATGTTGGCACTTGTTGGCTTTTGTTCAACTGCTTCCTGGGATTGTTCAGACAATACTGGGACAGGCTGTTTGTTATGTTGTGGCCAGTGGTTTCTGATTCTTGTGTTCATCCTTGTGCAGGTGGGGAAGTGGAAAGACAAGTCCCTGCAGATGAAGTACTATGTGTGGCCCCGAATGTGTCCAGAGACTGAAGAGCAGGAGGATGACCATCTGAGCATTGTGACCCTGGAGGAGGCACCATTTGTCATTGTGGAAAGTGTGGACCCTCTGAGTGGAACCTGCATGAGGAACACAGTCCCCTGCCAAAAACGCATAGTCACTGAGTATGGCATCCTCTCAATGACTTTGGGTGGCATGGGAGAGTCAGCTTTGATGCACCTGTTAGCACTTGGCTGGCCTGAGACCTGAGGCATGAGAATTGGGCACTGTGTCTGATTTCTAGTTGCTTTTGAGCTGTGGGATTACTGGCAGCCCTCTGGTCTGATGTCTCGTTCTGTCCAGCTGGTGACCTGGGAAAATGATGGCCAACTTCCCACGCTAAAGTTTCTTCGGTCTTGCTTGGCCTTAATGATTAGGACCTCAAGTTTATGGAGATTTAAGTTTACTTCTGGTGTTCAAATATGTTTTCTTGGGCCAGCATGTCCCAGAATCTTGAGATTTAGAACCATTTTTTGAAAAATATAAAACTAATCTATGCTTTTAAAAGTCAGGATAATGGTTCTCCTTGGTGTGAAGTGCCTAGAGTGGGAAACAAGAGGCCTCTCTGGTACTGGTAACTTTTCTGTATCTGGATCCGGGTGCTGATTAATAAGAGTTCAGTCTGAAAAGTCATTGAACTGAAGCCTTCAAATATGCACCCTTTTCTTATGTATTTTGTACTTCAAAGGAGAATTAAAATTAAGAGGAAACATATCTCAATATGACGAGATAATGAGAATATTGCAGGTCTGTTGCCTGCTTTATTTCTTCACTCGAGTCTAGTATAAATTGTGCTGAGCTGTGAAGGGGGCCTGCTTTGGGATTGGAGGTTTTTTAATGGCAAAGGGTAATAAATGTTGGCTTTTTGTACAAAGACTTTTTTGTTTGTTTGTTTTTGTTTCTTTAATTGGCTAGGAATAAAACAGACGAGGAGCCGGGTTACATCAAAAAATGCTGCAAGGGGTTCTGTATTGACATCCTTAAGAAAATTTCTAAATCTGTGAAGTTCACCTATGACCTTTACCTGGTTACCAATGGCAAGCATGGGAAGAAAATCAATGGAACCTGGAATGGTATGATTGGAGAGGTGAGTGTCCACAAGGGCTGTTTCCATTTCCATTTTCATTTATTTTCCTTCTTCTAAATATAAGTTTAAAACGTGCTCACTTTATGCATTTCAGAAAATATAAAATGGCAAATAAGATGTATTGTTCCCACTATACAAAGAAAACCACTGATAGGCTGTATTTTCCTTGTGGTGGTCCCTTGCCCTCCTGAATGTTTTAATTGGAGCATCGCGCCTTTCTTTTAGGTGGTCATGAAGAGGGCCTACATGGCAGTGGGCTCACTCACCATCAATGAGGAACGATCGGAGGTGGTCGACTTCTCTGTGCCCTTCATAGAGACAGGCATCAGTGTCATGGTGTCACGCAGCAATGGGACTGTCTCACCTTCTGCCTTCTTAGGTAAATGATGGGTTTGCTGGTGGAAGGAAATGGACGTATGGATGGGGAAGTGAAATAAGGAAAAAAGGAGCACATGGCCAGGCTGTTCCAGCTAGAAGGTGGTTTGCTAGGAGCTCAACTCAGCCAGGGACTTCACTTAGGGGACTTCAAAATCAATTACTCTCAAACATGAAAGCTGATGAACACCCAGAAAAATAGGAAAGCATAATGCCATCTAAGAAAGTAGTACTGGGCTGGTCCTCAGAGGGCTTACTGTAGTCCCATTCCTGCCATTTAGTCAGCATGTGACCTTGAGCAAATTTGCTGTATCTGGGGACTTGGTTTCCTCATCCATAGGAGAAGTCATTTCAACCAGGCTGATCTCTGAGACTGCTTCTTGCCATAATAATTTCTAATTCTGGATATCATTGAAATATCTATTTATTTTTAATTATCTGCAAGAATTGCGCTCAGAGCTACCAAAAAAGATTTTTTGTTTCCACGCAAATTTTCTGAGGCTTTGCCAGATAGAGCTGATCTGATTCTTCCTCCCACCCCACTGCACCCCTCCCCATACCATTCTCTCCAGCATCACTTAAATGTCAAAAATCTCAGACGTGATATAAGACTGGGTGAGATGAGGCCAAGATTTCAATTAGATGAGGTCTTTTGTGAGCTCATACCCCATATTTTTTGCAGGGGCCATGGAATGAGGGGTTGGAAAATAAAACGTCACCTTGAAAACAGAACACTGGGCTAGCAGAAAGGAGACTGGGTTTGGCATAAACAAGCTGTAAGCCCCTGGACGAGTCACCGTCTCTCTAAGGCACATCAACATTTTTTAAATGGGGCTATTACAGTAGACAGTGACTAACATTTCTTTAAGCTCTAACCATAGGGAATTAATTCAATTAATGCATTGCAAAGTGGAGTTATAGGCTCCATAGAATTTTTCTATAAATTACTCAAATTTCTTAGCTAATCTTCTTACTCAGAGTGAAGCAAATTCCAGCCTTGCCAATTTTATGTGAAATGTGATTAGATAGTACACACTGTATCCAGTAATTCTCATAGCTTCTATACATATTTTATTTGCTTTTTTTTTTTTTTTTTTTTTTGCTGTGCAAGGATAGTTGGAACATTAAGAGATATAAACAAAACCACATTCTAATTCTAACCTTGTCAGTATAGCACTACCTTAACTTCTGAACTGGCAGAGCCAGTGGTACATTAATATATCCCTGGAATAGCATAGAAATGTCAGGCAGGGTGTGTTTACGTCTGTATTCAGAGGAGGAGCAGTTAGTTATAGGGATAAGAGAAGCCAACATTTATTGAGCACCTACTATATAATGTGCCAGGCATCATTGTACATCCTTTGGTTATATTAACTCATAAAATGTTATTATACCCATTTTATAGCTTAGGAAACTGAATCTTAGACCTATTAAGCCATTTTCCAGCCGTCTCTTAGCTGATAACTGGCAGCTCTAGGATTAAAATCCAGCTATGGTAGCCTTCAGAACCTGTGTTCTAGTACAAATAAGGCCGTTTCAGAGTTCAGCCCCTAACCCAGGAACCAGCATGGGGGGACAAAGAGCAATGTAATACAATGAAAAAACACAGACTTTTTGGCTCAGTTTGTAAGCTGACCCTGACACTTTCTGAGTATGAATTGGAAAGAACCTTGACCTCTCAGTCCTAGTTTACTCCTCCATAAAATAGATAAGGTAATCCCTAATGAAAGGGCCATTAGAAGGATTATATATATAGTATGTGGTAAAAGTAGTTTCTAAATTGTAAAGACCAAAACAGACGATGTATTTTGTGTATAGAAAGTTTCCCTGGGCCTAATGGGAGGAAAAGACCACAGAGGTGGTGCTTTTACTCAGTTATTCCCCAATCTTAGACAAAAGGGAAATCAGGGTAGAATTGCAATCAATTAGAGTCAAGTGTGCAGAGGTTTTCTCCACACCTCTGGAGAGAGCCTTTGAATTGTACCTCTTACGCTCGCATCTCTAGCTGCCATTGAAAGGTTTTGCATTTCACAGTTGGTGTGTTAAGCACTGGGGCTTTATCAAGATCTTTTAAAAATTGATTAAGTGACCAGGCTTTTACAATTCCTTTGGGAGTTCAATAACAAAGTAGGTTTCAGAGTAAGAAATATATTTTCTAATTTTCAGCCAATTTTTCCCCTTTTTAAACTTCATCTTTATTAATGATTTGGAAGATGGAGAAAACAGCATGTTAATTCACTTAGTTATGAGTTTACAATGTGCTGTGACAGCTAAAAAGGCCAGAACTATTTTGAGACACAATTGAGGGAGCATTGTATCATGGGACAGAATAGTGATTGTCCCTTTTTATAGGCCTTTACAGAGATGGCTTCTGGAATATAGTATCTAGTTTCTGGACACCTCCAAGCCAGAGAGATATTTAGCTCAATTGGAAAGGATTCAGCACACATGATTAAAGATATTAAAGAAAGCATATGTGGAACATTCTTGCTACCTTGCCCAGTCTTGTCCCATCAACCCTATCACTTCATAATGGGGGATAGATTGTAGTTGGTTTGTGAATTACAGCTTAGACATGTTCCCTTGTCACTTGTTAAATTCCCACTGTTGCAGATAATAATATTTAACGTGGAAGGATACTTTAACATTGACTTATATTCTCATACCCTAATGATGTCTGATAACATACAATACATCAAAGTAGGTTGAAAAAGTGAATCTAGGCTAGGAAGTTTAAGAGAAATGATACAAGGGGAAAAGGGGGCTGGTTATTTATTGTACATAATTATTCCTGAACAAATTCAACTCTAAAATAGTAGGTAGGTCTGTTGAGAAAGACTGTATCTGCAAGGTTCAGAAGCATTGGAGAAGGCATTTCCAGGCCTCCATTACATGGTGTGGCCATATAGATGAGAACATAAATTGAGTCAGTCCAATACAACTCACTCACTTCATAGCTAGTGCTTCTTCCAATTGCACCATTTACTGAAATACCCAGATATTGGTCCAATAATGGCAGAAGCTGCCTCTACAACCTAAGAGGCTCACGGGCATGAAGCTGTCCTTCTCATGTATTTGAAGGAAGGCAATCCTTGACCTTTAAGGAAATGGTTCAGTACAATCTAACCTAGGCCCTGGCTTCCTGAAGGCAGACAACACATTGTGGTTTGTTCCCCACCCCCTAAAATATGAAATGAATATGTGAATTAATTCGAATTCTTTTGCTCTCTGTTCTAACCCTGAGCACTGCTTTTTTCCCTTCCTCAGAGCCATTCAGCGCTGACGTATGGGTGATGATGTTTGTGATGCTGCTCATCGTCTCAGCCGTGGCTGTCT
The DNA here is from genome assembly GCF_000001405.40 of Homo sapiens. Taxonomy (NCBI): domain Eukaryota; kingdom Metazoa; phylum Chordata; class Mammalia; order Primates; family Hominidae; genus Homo; species Homo sapiens. The sequence goes on along the minus strand of NC_000012.12, from coordinate 13,611,781 downwards.
TTGTCTTTGAGTACTTCAGCCCTGTGGGTTATAACAGGTGCCTCGCTGATGGCAGAGGTAAGGCCGGCTGGAACCGCTGCACTTCCCCAGTTTTTTTCTCCTTATTTTCAAATCTCTGGACTCCTCATTTGTTATCTGCATTTTCCCTAGCATATCCATTTCTGAAAAGGAACCCTCAGGTGAACATTTCTAAGTCACCAGCTTGGCGTCTCTTTAGAAATACCCCAGTTAAGATGTTAGTTTGAATCTATAGGTCTGCTTTATGCCTGGCCCCAAGCCTAGTTTCACTCCCAAGTAAAGGAGAGGAAAAACTATTGGTAGATATGGGTATAGCATAAACATGTCACAGGAAACTATTTTGATAACCTTAGGCTGTGGGCAGTCTGTTGGAACAGATGTCGCTAACAAGGCAGATTGTACACACATGTTAAGAACAAGAAGAAATGGATTGCCCCAGGATATATGCAGGTGGTTGTGGCTGGTTGAGTTCCCCAGTGCCAAAGGATCACAACTGAGGTACCAGATCTCCAAAGCATATGCCCCTGGTTCAACCCCCTTGCCCGAGAGTATAAAAGTTGGGTGTTGGAAATAAAATGAATGGGAAAGACCAATTCTCACTCATAGCTATTATTGGGTATGGTCCAATTTCCTGGGTAGGTAGACCTAGAGATGTGAGGGCTGCCCATGTGTTTGAGGCATTTATGACAGTTTTTAAAAGTTCACATGATTTCTAAAGGGGACCATGGGATCCTTGTAAATAACTCCTCTAAAACTTCCTGAGAACCCCAGGATTAAGAAATATTCTGCCTTCTCTGAGTCTTCTCCATTCCAGAATGTGAGCTCTATCCTAGAATTAAACCTCCAAGAGGGAAGATTCTTAAACCTGGCTACACATAAGAATGATCTATGGGGCATCTAAAAGACACAGGTGCTTGGACCTCATTTTCTGATTCACTAAGTCTAGGTTGGGGCTTAGACCACTGTATGTTTCAAAATAGTGTTTCTCTACGTTGGTTGCATGTTAAAATAACCAGCCCCACCCTACACCAATTTAATAAGAATCTCTGAGTATAGGGTTTCAGGCAGCAGTATTTTATAAAATCTTCCTCATGCTTCTGTTGGATTCACAGTCTAAGCTGTGAAACAACACTTTACTGAAGTATTTCCAAGTGCAGACCTACCTTTTAATTTGGTTTGTGTATTCTGAGGTGGGAGTTGGGGTGTCTCCATGGCATGGTACAATCAGGGGCCTTCCACCTGTGCTTCATCCAGAAGCCATGACCTATATCCCAGCCTGTGTGGCACCAGTGAGAAGTGGAACATCTGGGAATCACATGAGTATATACTTAGGTTGGCAATGTCAAGAGCTAAAGTCAGTGTGCATTGCCTCTCTCCCTTGAAAAAATAACAGGAGCCGAAAATCCAGATTTGCAAAGAAAGCTCAGAGCGAGGGCTTACAATTACTCACTTTACCAAAGGATGTTTGTCTTCACAGAGGAATTCAACATGGGGCCACTTTAAATATCAAGTCTCCTTAGAGCATTTTACAATTTATAAAGCTTTGATTTATAAACAACGTTTTAGTTACACATCTGTTGCATGAAATAAGGTCCACACGCACAGATGTGTGTGCACAGTTACATATCAGGTTCAACATGAGTTGTCCCTGATGATTTATTTGGCTGAGCAGATGCTATCAGGATCACAGATTACATCATAAGACCTGTGCAAATATGTTGTAAAACTGTGCAGGCAGATGTTCATTTCTGCAGTGGAGGGGCTACATGGAGATTCAGACAACAGGCAAGATTTTACCATCAGCAAATAGAGATTGCAGTGAGGTCACAATACATACATGGGCAGAAGCCCAAGCACTGTCTATGCAAAGGTTAGGTGGGGGGAAATCAAAGTCAAAAGCAGCTTCCTTTCTCCCCTTAGATGCAGGTAGCCAGGCCAGGATTCTATGACTTCCCCTTTGGCCTTCCTGATATTCTTTTTTTTTTTTTTTTGAGACAGAGTCTTGCTCTGTTGCCCAGGCTGGAGTGCAGTGGCGCGATCTCAGCTCACTGCAAGCTCCGCCTCCCGGGTTCACACCATTCTCCTGCCTCAGGCTCCCGAATAGCTGGGACTACAGGCGCCCGCCACCACGCCCAGCTAATTTTTTGTCTTTTTAGTAGAGACGGGGTTTCACCGTGTTAGCCAGGATGGTCTCGATCTCCTGACCTCGTGATCCGCCCACCTCGGCCTCCCAAAGTGCTGGGATTACAGGCGTGAGCCACCATGCCTGGCCTCTGATATTCTTTTACACGCAAGCTTCTATGACAGGAAACCAGTTGGGAAGTGTTGGCATCGGAGTAGGATCAGGGTTGTCTTTGAAACATTGAGTGCTAAGTGCTAGAAGCTAAAGAAAAATCAGGAAAAAGTGCATTCTAAGCCATCTAGCATCAGTATAAACAGACTTGGAGAGGGTTTATGAATGGCAGAAAACAATCTTACCCAGTTCTTGCTGATGTTTTTGGAAGTTAAAATGCATTCTTGGTAGATACAAATATAAAATTTAGGAAAAAATGACAGACATGACCCAAGTGTGACCATAGTGACATAGTTGGCCTGTTTTACTCAGTTTTGATGTAATCTTGAGAGGGTCTTGTATATGGGGGCAGGTTGATGGCTCCTCCAGAGGGGAGTCATGACTGTTAGTTCAAGAAAGACCATCCTACACACACTCCGGGCTTCTGGTTTTTCTCCTAAGGAACCCTCTGCAGCCCTCCTGAGAGTCCCTGGAAAAGAGAGATACACACTCTCAAATTTAAAAGCCGTCTATAAAAGGGCTTGGTTTTAGCGGAAGGGTTTCCTGCTCTGAGCAGGGACTCACCCTGTGTATTTGTAGGTTTCAACAGAACCAGCCACAATGGCTTAACTTTCGTCCTTGTCTTTTTGTCATGCCAGAGCCTGGTGGACCCTCTTTCACCATCGGCAAAGCTATTTGGTTGCTCTGGGGTCTGGTGTTTAACAACTCCGTACCTGTGCAGAACCCAAAGGGGACCACCTCCAAGATCATGGTGTCAGTGTGGGCCTTCTTTGCTGTCATCTTCCTGGCCAGCTACACTGCCAACTTAGCTGCCTTCATGATCCAAGAGGAATATGTGGACCAGGTTTCTGGCCTGAGCGACAAAAAGGTAAGAGACTCATTTGAAATCTCCCGTCTTTCCCTCAATCCTGTTCTCAGCCATACTCAAAGTTCTCATGTACCTGCTTGTCTTCTAAATTTTTGGAATTGACCGTTCTTTCTTATGTTTTCTTGTATTGGAACATGGGAGTAGAAGTCAGTTTCCCTACTGAAATAATATGACTTCATGTTGGCCTCCTGATTCGTGAAAAGTTATCACTAGTACACCCTAGGCTGAAAATAAGGGGCTTGGTATGTTAGCGGCTTTCTGAGTGCATGGTACCTCTTGTTGGATGTGGTTGGGTGGCCTATCTGCACAGGGCTGCCCATGTGGGGTGTTATTAGAGGACCGCCGCCGTGTACCCACACCGAGGAGATGGGCGCATGATGGCCTCCTTTTCTTCCCAGTGGTGTTTGGCTGTGGGCTCTCCCTTGGTTCCGGTGCACACTCGTGTTTCTGGGGCTGAGCAGGAAGAAGCATTGTGTCTTGAAGAGAAGTAACTGCTGTTTAACTGGATGATTTGGATGATTGCCCCTGTGTGGTGCTGATGAATGGGCTGCCCCCTTACTAATTGCAGGCCTCTGCGGGCCTATGCAATTGAGAGAGAAGGGAAAGTGTCTGCTGTTTTCCATCACTGCTGGATGAGGATGTACAAAACCCATTCTAAATACATCTGACCCTCCAGTCTGCCTGAAGCATCACATTTTCCATGGGAGATCTGTCTCCTGAAACTATGTAACCAGGACTAGGGATGGGAGACACTTTCATGGAGTGTCCCATAAAGCTTATGGCCAAAATAATTTTGGAGACTTGCGCTTACAACAAATTTTCTACTCTATTTCCTTAAGATTTAGAAAATGTGATATTTTTCCACTCCCACCCCCACCCCCCCAGGATGAAGCCATGAGCTGCAGATAGGTGTGTCTTCAGACCAAATAGTACTTTGCACATGGGTTAGATTTGCCCAACCTAAAACCCTACACACTTAAGCAAATGGTCTGAGAAGAATGAAAAGGAGGAGATATTCTCTTCAGGGGCTCAGATTCTCATTTTTCCTTCTACATCTCTACTTATCAAGAACATTCAAAAGCATGTGGAGAAGATAAATAGTATCTTGAGAAAAGATACTATATATATTTATTATATATATTTTATATATTTATTATATATAATATATATTATATATAATATATATTATATATTTTATATATTATATATAATATATATTATATATATAATATATAATATATATTATATATTTTATATATTATATATAATATATATTATATATTTTATATTATATATAATATATATTTTTATATAATATATATTATATATTTTATATATTATATATAATATATATTTTTTATATAATATATATTATATATTTTATATATATTTTATATATTATATATATTTTTTATATATTTATTATATATATTTTTTATATATATATATATTTTTTTTGAGTGCATGGTACCTCCTGTTAGATGTGGTTGGGTGGCCTAAATGCACAGGGCTGCCAGTGTGGGGTGTTACTAGAGGGCCGCTGCTGTGTACCCACACTGAGGAGATGGGCACATCATGGCCCATGGAAAATATATACTCCACTGTGTTTACCCCTTTGTGTTATCTGTTTCTCTGATTTGTCTTCCTTTTTGCTTTATTCTTCTTCCTTATTTAAAAAAAAATTCTCTCTCTTGTATTTTTTTCTCTCTTATTTGGAAGCTTTTATTTACTTCTCTCATCTCATGATTTATGATACATTTATTTATATATCATCCATGTATTAACCCATTTTTAAACCCCTCTCTTATTGTTCCTTCATCAACATCTTTCATCACGACCCTAACTAAAATCTGAGTTGCACACCTCCTTTTCCCCCCATTTGCAGCCGCTACCACAATCGCCTTTTGGTGACTGTTTCTGTAACCTGGACAGTAATAGGGTGAAGAACAACCTCAGAGCTCAATACTTGGTTGTGGCTTAGGGTAAGGTGGACCACGCCCACCTCCTATTGTTTGGATGTCTGATCCCTTTAAATCTCATGTTGAAATTTGATCCCCAGTGTTGAAGGTGGGGCCTAATGGCCAGTGTTTGGGTCACGGGGGTGGATCTCTCATGAACAGATTAGTGGCTCCCTTGGGAGGGGTGGGACTGAGTGAGTTTTTGCTTTTTTAGTTCCCATGAGAATTCCCCCAACAGCTGATTGTTAAAAAGAGTCTGGCACCTCCCCTCTCTCTTGCTTCCTCTCTTGCCATACGATCTCCGCACATGCTGGCTCCCCTGCCCCTTCCACCATGAGTGGAAGCAGCCTGAGGATGTCACCATATGCCCAAACTTCAACTTTTCCAGACATCAGAATTGTGAGCCAACTGAATCTTTCTTTTTCTTTATAAATTACCTAGTCTCAGGTATTCCTCTATAGCAACATAAAATGCACTAACGCACCACCCTAAAACATGGATGTTGCAGAAACTTGATGGGCCATGCCCCATGTGTAGACTTGTCAGAGGTATGGCAGACCATGTCTTCACATGAGGCTGTGGCAGAGAGGTAGTAGACTATGTACCACACAGAGTATAGCAGGGCCATGTCACCATGCATGACATGGCAGGGGTGTAGTGTATCATGTCCTATGCATGGTTATAGCACTGTATGGTGAGATCATGTCACCGTGCATCAATATGGCAGAGATGAGGTGGGTCACAGACCTTCTTGGCTGTTAAGTGGAGGATCTGCATGGGTATCAAAATGCTTCCTTCAAATGTCTCAAAAATTACTTGGCATACTGCACTTATCTTTCTCTTACCCTCATGGGCCACGCAGTAACAACTGAATGTTTTTCTGTTTGAACTAAGCATAACTGAGATGGAGGAAGATAGTTTTCTTTTCCATGATTTTGAAATAAGTACCATTTCTAGGCTTCTTAAAGCGGACAGGATATGCACATGTCTGTCCTCCATACCGTGTTCATTATGTTCTAAAAGTTGGATCCCATCAGTTTGTTTTATAGAATGAAGACAGGTGTGTGTGTGTGTGTGTGTGTGTGTGTGTGTCAGAGAGAGAGAGAGAGAGAGAGAGAGAGAGACTTTCAAGACCTTTGCAAATAATTTCCACTGTGACCCCAGCTCTGCAGTCTCATTGGCCAATGCTTGGGTTCCTGCATCTGATATCCTGGGTATCCACAACTGTTCATCTTTTTCAACCATACCTCTATCTATGCATCTGCCCGGGAGGCTTTTTTCCCCACTTTTTCACTCATCAAACTCCTACTGAAACTTCAAAACCTAGATTAGAGATCCCTTTATTTGTGGAGCTTTCCCTAGCTCATCTGGGAAATTAGTCATTTCCCTAGCTCATCTGGGAAATTAGTGCTCTATTATGGCAACTATTCAAATCTTTATTATAACACGTATCTTCCGCATTCTATTACAATAATCTATAGGCCAATACCTGACCACCTATTCCTCTGTCTGACCCTGAACTCCACAAAGTCAATGACCATAAGTTGTTCATCATTAAGACAAAAAAAAAAAAGAGTCTGTGGGGAGAGAGGAAGAGAGGTTGTATTTACTTAAGAGCCCCTGGCAAAAACAACGGACCCAGAATCACAGGCAAAGAAAGCAACAAGTCAGCAAGTGCCCCTTAACAGCTGTTTACTTTGTAAATGGTTTTCTGATACATTTCAGAACTTTGCAGATGACAAAACAGTAAAGTGTAAGCACCCTACCAGAATCTGTCAACATGATTTACATAATTATAAAAAACATTTAAGTAACTAATGACTGCATATCAGTGTCATGGACAGTTATATAAATCAGAAAGAGAGTTTCCTGAAAATATACTTAAAATGTTAAAATTCTTATAGTCTTACTTACTTACAGTCTAACACCTAAAGAAAACAAATTATTGGGACAGGGTATGGTAATGCATGAGAGGAAGTATATTCTGTGAATTTAGAAAAAGAATAAAGACATTCAAACAATAATGTTGAGAAAAGAAATGAGATGATTTTGAAGATTATTTTCCAATGTGATTAGATTTTCATCAAGGAAGTAACATTTAAAATGGAGAAGGGTTCCTAAACTTGTTTTGACTATTACAGATGATGTATCTTCCATATAACTCACATCAAGTGATAAATATCTTGGAGCGATGATGGAAAGATATTTGTAGCCATTCGATTTATAGCTTTTTAAAAAGTTATCTTCAGCTTTATTGCAGAAAAAAATGTACTCAGATTTCATTTGTGTTAAGGTAGAAAACGAGAGTTAAATTTCCATGAAAACCTATTTTTGTACTCCTTTATACTGGAAGGCTTCCATTTTGCGGTAGCACATTACAGTGAATTCAGAATTATTCCACTACATGCTGTACCTAAATATGGGTGCAAGTTCGAACATTCAGCAACCCGACTGTACGTTCCATCAGCTCCCCCAGTGGGAGGAGGGTGTAAGGGAGCTAGTGACATCTTTCTTCTCTTAACAAAGAGCCCACAATGCATTCTCATATTTCTCACCCATCCAGATGGATTTCTCATTTTGCAGTCTGCCAACCATAGTATGAAGGAAAAAGAGCTTGGCCAGTGAGGGAGGGGGACATATTTGCTGGGCACTAGGTACATTTTGTATGCTCTGTGTATGCTATTTGGATAGTCTTCACACAGGTATGATTATTCTCATTTTACAAATAGGAACACCGAGACTCTGGAAAACTAGTAACTTCCCCAAAGTTATACATTATCAAGTGACAGAGCCAAAATTTGAGTCCCTGTGTATTTGGCTCCAAAATCACTCTGCCAGGGTGCTTCTCCTGTAGCTAATCTCAGGGAAAGCTGTGACATAGATAAGGACTGGAATTGACACCCCTGCCCCCACTTTCCTATTTAATTCCCTATCCTTTAATGTAATGCCTTGATTCCACTTAACAGGGCACATTAACACCACCACTACTATTACTACTACTAATAATGATTATCATTGTTATTATTATTAATAATAATATAACTTCAGCGATAACTTCCCAGGTAAGATTTTTTTCAGCTCTTACAAGCCAGGCATCATGCCAAATATATTTCATAGATTATCTTATATAATGGTGCTATTAATATCTTTATTTGTAGATGAGGCAACTGAAGCTTGGTGAGGTTAAATAATTTGCCCTTATGGTGTTCCTGGCTCACTATAGCCCCTGAACAGTGTGCCACCCTGTTTAGACCCTGATGCTATTTGATGCTCTTTCCAGTTATTCACTTTTCTTCCTACATTCCTATCTACCTTATCAATCAAAGCCTAACAAGTTAGATCCTTTCCCCCTACTAACATGTAGCTATCTAATTAATTGAGCCATAATAATTAGATAGATAGTATTGTAACATTTGCACTTTATTTAATAAGCCTTTTAGAGACATTATTTTAAATAGAGAAGAATGGTGATTTCCAGTACTTGGGCAGGCTAATGGCCCTCAAATTGACTTTAGCCTGTGTATAGAGTGACCCTTAGCTTTAAGCTACTGTTGGATGGTGGAGAATGGTGGCACCAGGAGTGAGAAGGGACAGTTAGGGGGTCAGTGGGGTCTGGGGTCAGATTGGAGGAAGCCCACAGGGAGGTGGAGGCTGCTAAAGTCACAGAAGTTTGCTGTTTGACCATTGGGCTCTCCAGGGTATCTGGCTGCAAACGATTTCACACGTTCCTACCACCATTGTGACACATGCCTGAAATATATTTTGCAGCTCTTCTCCTCAAGGAAGTAGAGGAGTTTGATTAACTTTCAAATGTCAAAAATGTGCTCATCTGCTTAATGAGGGTAGCTATCTTTGCCTGCAACACTGGAGGTACAATCAGGATGGCCACGTAACACCTAAATGAATAATGAGTCTTCTGGGTTTCCAAGAAGTCCCATGGGGGTCTGGAAGTCACTTCATATTCTTTTGGGATATAGGAAGGGCATGACTTTTAAATCAATATGCAGGCAAGTAAATAAATATGCGTTCTGGAACAAATCAGCCTGGTGATAAGCAAATTTACTCCACAACTACCCTGAAATGTTGAGTGGTTGTTGAGCATGTGTGAGGAAATGGGGCCATGCTTTCCACTGCACAAATTTATTTTCCTGCCCTATTAACTTTAGGCTGGAAGCCAGCAGGAGACAGCCAACCTCCAGCCCGATCTGTCACACCCTTTTCCTGGCCCAGAACATCTCGCTCAGACCATGGAATACTGGGCTAAAAATAACTTAATTGAGAAAGTAGCAGTCATGACCAACTAGCCAGGGAGCTAGTAATGAGGGCCTGGGTTGGACCTCTAGGTAGCTGAGCAAAATGTAAGGGTATGATTCATGCATGGGAGTCCTCTTGGCCTGTCAGGCAACTATTCTTCTTGGAGCTACTGATCAAGAGCAGATCTGAAAAATGTAAAACTCCCCAAATCCTGGGAGTGTCTGAGGTACAGAATGCACATGAGAGGGGGGAGGACACTTGCCTTTTGTTCTCTTAATTGGCAGAGCCAGTCTGGCCCTTTCCATGGACTGCTGTCCCAAGCGCTGAGCCTCCTTCATTCCTGCCAGGGTGACCTCCATCCAAATGGGTCCAGAACAGATCCCTGGGGCTTGGCTAGCCCCAGGTCTGTCCATCAGGGTTGGCTACCCCCACTTCTTATCTGGCATTATTTAAGAATGGGTCTGCTATATGCCCCAACAGGTATCCCCCAAGTCCTAATTCCTGAATCCATCTTTACTGAGACAAGAGATCCTTAACTTCAGTTCAACATCCTGTGGCTTAGTAGTGGGTCACCCTCCAAGTCCTGAGGGGCAGATGACCCGGAGTTGATGACTGGGTTCCTAGCAAGGCTTCACAGTTGCCTTTTACTCCTTCCCCTTTTGTGGTCCCCTTCCCCTTGAACGACCCTCTTTCCCTTGAACGACCACCTGCTTCTTGCCTTCCTATGACTTCTAACACTGTATTCCTCACCTCTAAGCTCTACTACCTTGTTGGGGCCTGAAGTGGGTTGAATTGTATCCTCCCAAAGATATAGCCACATCCTAACCCCTAGAACCTACAAACATTGACCTTGTTTAGAAAAAAAAAAAAAATCTTTGCAAATGTAATTAAGTTAAAGATCTCAAAATGAGATCATCCTGGACTATCCAGGTAGACACTAAATCCAAAGACAATTGTTCTTATAAGAAAAAGGCAGACACAGATTTGACACAGAAGGGGAGAAAACACACAGATGAGAAGACCATATGAAGATGGAAGCAGACACAGGAGTGATGCAGCCACAGGAAGACATGGAGCCACCAGAAGCCGAAAGAGGCAAGATATGGATTCTCCCCTAGAACCTTTGGAAGAAGCACTGCCCAGCTAACACCTTGTTTTGGAACTTCTGGCCTTCAGAACTATGTGAGAATAAGCTTCTGTTCGTGGCTATTTTTTATGGCTGCCACAGGGACCTAATACAAGGCCTTCACAACTTCTTCTGTAATCTGCACTTTGAGCTCATTGCATCCTTTAGACTTCAGTGCTTCTCCTCTTTGTCCCGATTTGCATTGTCAGTCTCCCAGCCCCATCCTTTCAAAGTGAGTATTTCTTGCAGTGGGATCAGATTCAGTTCCCCTCTCCTTTGCCTGGAAGAATGGATCCAGTTTGCACTGAAGCTTTGCAGAGACATGCTTTATAGGCAGTCTTCTCCTTGCTGGTTAATTTTAGGGAGACAATACAAAACCTGAGTGTCATTGTGTGCTCCCTTTTGCTGTGTCCTTGAGCCGGATTAATGTTAGTTTCTCACAATACGTACTACACTGCTTATGTGCACACTTCCCCACTACCTTCTACGAGGCCTTTTAGTAGTGATGTCCTTATCGAAGGGAATTGAGGACATGTTTCTGTGAGATGTATCATTTTCACAATTCCTTTGTGCAGAAAAACACTAATGCACTCTTCTCATATTCTAGACTGTGCCATGTTGTTTAAATCAGAGAACTGGAAGATACTTTATTTGATCATCAGGCACAGGGAACTCTTTTCTCATCAAAAGCAAACAGGTGTCCTCTCTCTTCTTGTAGCCTTATCCTCCTTGTTACACAGAAATGTACACACACACACACACACATGCACACACACATCCCTACCCTCCAAGACTACATAAAGGTACCAAGATAACTGGATAAATAGTAACTTAGCACTCACAAAGCTGCACAAGGAACACAGGTTTCCCATGTGCGTAGAAGACTTACTAAATAGATATCAGAAAGTTTGTCTTTCTTACCTGGGTAAAGAATTTGGCTTTGTCTCATTCTGCTGATATTAGTAGACTCATCTTTTTGTGAAACACAAAAATGAAATGAAGGAAGGAGAAGGAAGGAGACAGATGGAGAGAGTATGAGGGGAAAGAGGAAGGAAGGAAGGGAGGGAGGGAGGTAATCAGAAGCCAACGCTGTCCTGGATCTGCTCTGTATTACCCTTCTTAGAAAGGTATCCCTATGCAAGATATTAGAGGACCAGAGGCTTCCTGGAACTACGACTTTTTAATGCAACTATGCAAACTAGCATGAGTCTGAATTCACAGTTTTGTCACCTGCATTGAATTGAACTAGGCCCAAAATTAAAGCCAAAAATAGGCAACAAACAATTTTAATTAACAAAAATCAAAGTACACAGCATGGGATGTTGTCCTTTCAGATTTGGAATGTTCTGGATGTGGGAGAGGCTAGTGAGCACTTCTTTTAACTGTTGGAATCATTGAATTTGTCTATAGCTTCCCTATGTGGCCTCTCCCAGTCAGACTGACTCTCCCAGGTGGGGAGGAGCAGGTGGCTCTGAGGATTCCCACCAAATTTCAAATCTATTTACAGCCTAGTCTCTGTTTCTATAAGAGAGCTATTCTATTTAGCTAACTGTTGAAGGCAGTTGCTTTGTTCGAAAGTTTAGTTACATAAAATAGGAGAGTTCCCCAACATTCTTTTCTGATTAATAACAAAAAAATTATCAATGTTTTAGTACGGGGAGGGCTAATCTTTTATAAGTTCACTAAATTGTGGGTTGTGGGTTGAGAATTTATTAAGAATTAATGTTTCACTTCTGAACAACTAAGTTCGAGTCCTTTGAGACAAATTAATGCAGCATGGAAATTTATATGTGGCCAAAAGCATCAAGCCTAGAATGAGTCAGGTTTTAAAGATGTCAGAATTATATTCACAATGAAATTGTGGCCAGGGCTGCTCTGGGCTTTTGTGTTTCAGCCTTGTTGCCTCCAGCTGTAATGGTGGCAAGAGTGGAAAAGGTGTGCAGCCTGCTATATTTTTGGAACCTTTCGGCCTAGCTGGGCATATGCTAGGGCTGATGGGGGCCTGAGACTCCCTGAGGCTAGGGAAGCCCAACCATTTAGTTTACGATTCCACATCGAGATTTCCTGTCCAGCATGGGTCACAGAGAGCCATTTAAAGACCAAGTGGCTGACACTCTGAAAACACTATAGTCTCGGATGTTTCCTCTCCTATTTTACTCCAGTGCCACTCAGGTGATGGCTTTGATCGAGAGCATCAGGAGCATTGGCTTCAGGCCAACATGATCCTGAGAATGGCCAGAGTGGAGAGAAGAAAACGAGCAGGCAAGCCGACTCCCTCAGCACGGAGCAGCTTGGATTGTCAGCCATCACTCCAGGAGGAAGTCAGGAGGAGGAGGCTCAAGACCTCGGGTCCTCACTTTAAAAAGCACATGGCTAGTCAGTACCAGAAGTTGTTTCTGTTTGGGAGTGCACAGGAAGGAGTAGCTGCCAGGGAAGTGGTGGGGTAGAACAGTTCATTGATATCAAAATTATCTGGAGAACCCTTTCAAACCAAGTAGGACTCTCTCCAACCAGCTGGAAATAAAAGTACAGGTGCCAAAAGCTCCCACCTGTGTGGCACTACTCTGCCAAGGAGGTAGCCAGGAAATCAAAAGTAAGAAAAGGATTGTGAGAGAAAACTACTTTGGGGTGGTGGAGGGGGTGGGGTAGCTGTTGGAAGGCTGTGGAATTCTTTTTTCTGTACTTTTTAACCTACTGAAGCTGCTTTGAGGGTGTCATCTAGAGAGCTTGGTATCCACCCCCTGCAGTTAGAATGGAGAAGGGCTGGCATTTGACCCATACCTGAGAAGACTGAAGGTGACAGGTCTTGGTGAGAACTGGTCCCTGGCTGGTGGGCCATACTCCCCACAATGGCCAGATAGATCTGTTTCTCAAGACCAGATGAGGCCATATGGGAAGGAGGGAGTCAGTCTGGGCCTGAGGTCGAGGGAGGTGTTTTTCAAGGCTCCCTGCCCAAAGGCCTTTCTTCCCAAGATAAGGCAACTGCAACAGATAGAGTCAGGAGGGGTGCTGTCCAGTGGAAAAGCTGGAGGGACTGATGTGAGTGACCAGCTGCACTGAGGTTGGTCCAATGTTCTTCCTGAGAGCATCTCTGGGGAGCCCAGAACTTGCCTGGCAAGGAGGACATCTGCCATGCCTAGGGAGTGGCAATGCCAGACCACTGCGGTGCCAGCCAAGGAAGTGCTTTCCTGCCTCTGCATCTCCTCTTTTCCCTGACACCACTGCCTTCCACCCCACCCTAGAGTGGGAGGAGAACAACTAGAATGAATGCAGGATCTGTAAGAGCTGGCATCACGTTGAGTTTTATTTCTTGGCTAGATGATAGCCACTGGGATTCCTGGGGCCAAACCTGCCTATTTCTCTCTGCCCTTATTATTGAACTATGTAATGAACATATATTATGTGCCAAGCCTACTATTAAACTCTTCACATATGGTTCTACTGTTACCGATGGAGGGTCTTGACCAGAAGTTGTCCAGGTCCTTGGTATTTTGAACAAAGAACTGAACAAAGCACACAAAGTAACCGAGTAATGAAACACAGGAACCAAGCAGCAAAAGCAGGAATTTATGAAAGCGAGAAAGCACTCTGCCTGGTGGGAGTGGGCCCAAGCAAGTGGCTCAAGGGCCTGGTTACAAAGTTTTCTGGGTTTTAAGCACCCCATTTGAGGTTCCTATTGGCTACCCCTTGTCTGGATGAAGGATTTGGTCTGTGGCTAACTAAAGACTGAGGTGAATTGGTGCCCTATGCAGATAAAGGGATGGTCCCCGCTTGGCCCAGGGCCAATCCAAGGCACTCTCCCTTTTCCATCTGAGACTTGGTGGAAGGAGGAGGTTGGTAGGGAGAATAGCCTTTGATCCTTTGCTACTGGGAATGGGAGATGGGGTTTTTCCTTTCGGTTTAGCTTCAGGAAGTTTGCGTTAATTGGCTTTAGGTTCCCTGCCCCCAGGCCCAGGTTTTTTCTTTTTGATCCAGCTTTGGGAAGTCAGTGCAAATTGGCCTTAGATTCCGTGCCTCCAGACCTTGATGTTTTTCCTTGATTCAGCCTTAAGTTCCCTTCCTCCAGACCCTATTCTCCTGCCTCACTACTTTTAATCTTTATGTCCACCCTTTGAGATCACCATTATTAACATCGTTTTACAGATGAGGAGAGTCATCTAAGGATTAAGCAAATTCACCTAAGTCACACAACTAGAAAGTGAGGGTTCCAGGATTTGATCCAGAGAGCTGACCCCACAGCCTGCATCTGCCCCTGTGATACTGCCTACCAGAGCCCTGTGTCTTCTTTGTGTGGACACAGGAAAGTAGGGCATGCTTCTAGAGGCATTGGCCTGAGGCAACAGAATCTAATAAAGCCTCTGTCCTGGGGACCTTCTCTGGCCTGGCTTCTTGGATTCTCAAAGGAGTGATAATGGGACTCCAGCCAGAGACCACTCATTATCCAGCTGTGAGTGCACAGGAACCTTGAAGAGACCTTGTTCATTCTAACCAACAGTATTTCCAGCGAAGTTTGTTTTCTTCATTTGTGCACATACAGCCCCTTGCACATTTAAGAACCACTTATATAATGAGAGTTGACTGGATGAATGAATCAAAAAGACATCGAATATTATTGGGTGTCATGTTTTCTCTCTGCTAGGCAGTAACCAGTGTGTTTACTTAATCCAGCTACAAAGGAAAAGATCCCACTCTCAGCAACCTTCCCTTTATGGGAAAAGTAGAAAAGGCAGAGAGGGAAGAAATGGAGTGGAGGGAAGGACACCCTACTTCACCCCTCCATCCTCATCTCAGAAGGGAAATAGAGCAAGAGCAGTGTTTAGTTTCTGAAGTACTTGTGACAAGAAGACCATGAGTAGCTTAAGGCTATAAACCACCTTGGTATTAATTTCCTAAATGCTTAATTCTGTGAAACTCCTCTACACATCTCCCAGCTTATCACTAGCACCACAGTTTTCTGAGTAAAGTATTAGCCAGCTGTGTTTCTTGCAAGAACTGATTGCCAACAGACCCTGAGGCAGCTGGGACTCCACCTTTTTTGGACTGGGTACAAAAGAGATGTTGAGCTGGGTGTTATCCTGGTACTGAAGAAAGAATACTGTGATTTCTAATGATGTCTGTGAGTGGCCTCAAATACAAATTGAACAAGATGGCTAACAGCATTGTGTCATGAAGGACTCTGCAGCTGAGGACCTCTGGGGTTCAGGAACCTCTGGGAAGTGAGCCTTTTTTTTTTTTCTTACAGAAAAAAAATGCACTTGAACACACAAGGTTATTAACTCACATGCCTTTACATGACACACCCACCCATCCCTGCAAACACACCAGCACATACACCACATAGGGTACAGATGTGGTTTTGACTTGGAGCACTGAGCAATTTTCTGCTTTTCTTTTTATCCTTTTAAAAGCACACCAAATTAATTGTGGCCAACTACCTATAAATCCCTTTCTCTCTGCCAATCAGGGCTGCCTGAACAGGCAAGAGGCGCTCTCACCTGCCTCGTTATGCAAATTGTATTCAAGTGCTGAAGAACAATGCAGCCTTCAGCACTGCAATGATTCCAGGTTGCTAATGAGGAGAGGCTGCTGCTAGAGGAATTGTTTTAACCCTCTGATGCTGAGGCAAGAAGGCTGAGAAGGCATCAAGTGGAGATGGAGGCAGAGTCAAAGTCAATGCCAGTTCTCAGCACCAGACAGGGTGCTCCCAGAGCACCATTACCTGGTGCAACTTGGCCCCTGATATAGAAGGTCACCCCCGGGTCTGACATAATTTGGGATAATTTGGAGTCCAAACAGTATGGGCAGAATAGCTTGATTTCTTAAATATCCCTGTGGTCTGACAACCATAAGTACATTTTTCAGGTTATGGTGGACATCTGCAAGCACAGGGTCTGGCATGGTCACAAATGTATCGATCCTCAGAATACCTGTAGTCAAGGGCAGGCAGGATCCACCAGGCAAAGGGCATGAGAACGATCAACACACACACACAGGAAGAAATCAATGGACACTAAGACCTCACATCATGAGATTAGTTTGAAAAAGACCTGTACCATTCAGCCATTCATTCATTCAGGACCTGCTCTATGTGGAGCAAGAATTATTTCATTCTCCAGTAATCACAGTTGTCAGGACTTATTTCTCTCTTGACTGCTTCACCCTGTTACCTTGCCCCAACATTTCAGAATCTCCTCTTGGAATTTCAATCTCACCTCTCAAACCCAGGTAATCAAAAAGGGGCTTTTAACACAATTATGTAATTGTCATGCTGGGACTCTGTGTGAGCCAGACAGTTTATGCAGTAGTAAGGGGCATTTCCGCTAGGCAGCTGTGGTAGCATTGCCTTGGAATGGGGCAAAAAGGAATTTGGTATTGGGAAGCACAGCAGTTCTCCAGCTCCTTTTGAAGAAAGTCTTTATAATGCAACTTCAACTCTCAGTTGGAAATGCCCTGAAATCACACGTTATCCAATACACCCATGCTCCAAGATGAGTTTCCCCAGGTTACAGATGGCCTAGACAAGCAGCCACTCCACTTCTGCCCTTCCACTTGGCACTACTGGCACCTCCATGTGAGCGGCTTTTTTTTTTTTTAATACTTTAAGTTCTAGGGTACATGTGCAGAATGTGCGGGTTTGTTACATAGATATACACATGCCATGGTGGTTTGCTGCACCCATCAACCTGTCATCTACATTAGGTATTTCTCCTAATGCTATCCTTCCCCTAGCCCCCCACCCCCTTACAGGCCCCAGTGTGTGATGTTCCCCTCCCTGTGTCCGTGTGTTCTCATTGCTCAACTCCCACTTATGAATGAGAACATGTGATATTTGGTTTTCTGTGCTTGTGTTAGTTTGCTGCGAATGATGGTTTCCAGCTTCTTCCATGTCCCTGCAAAGGACATGAACTGATCCTTTTTTATGGCTGCATAGTATTCCATGGTATATATGTGCCACATGTTCTTAATCCAGTCTATCATTGATGGGCATTTGGGTCAGTTCCAAGTCTTTGCTATTGTGAACAGTGCCACAATAAACATAGGTGTGCATGTGTCTTTATAGTAGAAAGATTTATAATCCTTTGGGTATATACCCAGTAATGGGATTGCTGGGTCAAATGGTATTTCTAGTTCTAGATCCTTGAGGAATTGCCACACTGTCTTCCACAGTGGTTGAACTAATTTACACTCCCACCAACAGTGTAAAAGCCTTCCTATTTCTCCACATCCTCTCCAGCATCTGTTGTTTCCTGACTTTTTAATAATCACCATTCTAACTGGCATGAGATGGTATCTCATTGTGGTTTTGATTTGCATTTCTCTAATGACCAGTGATGATGAGCTTTTTTTCATAAGTTTGTTGGCTGCATAAATGTCTTCTTTTAATAAGTGTCTGTTCATATCCTTCACCCACTTTTTGATGGTGTTGTTTGTTTTCTTGTAAATTTAAGTGCTTTGTAGATTCTGGATATTAGGCCTTTGTCAGATGGACAGATTGCCAAAATTTTCCCCATTCTGTAGGTTGCCAGTTCACTCTGATGATAGTTTATTTTGCTGTGCAGAAGCTCTTTAGTTTAATCAGATCCCATTTGTCAATTTTGGCTTTTGGTGTTTTAGTCATGAAGTCTTTGCCCATGCCTATGTTCTGAGTGGTATTGCCTAGGTTTTCTTCTAGGGTTTTTATGGTTTTTGGTCTTACATTTAAGTCATTAAGCCATCTTGAGTTAATTTTTATATAAGGTGTAAGGAAGGGATCCAGTTTCAGCTTTCTGCATATGGCTAGCCACTTTTCCCAACACCATTTATTAAATAGGGAATCCTTTCCCCATTGCTTGATTTTTGTCAGGTTTGTCAAATATCAGATGGTTGTAGATGTGTGGTGTTATTTCTGAGGCCTCTGTTCTGTTCCATTGGTCTATATATCTGTTTTGGTACCAGTACCATGCTGTTTTTGTTACTGTAGGCTTGTAGTATAGTTTGAAGTCAGGTAGCATGATGCCTCCAGCTTTGTTCTTTTTGCTTAGGATTGTTTTGGCTATGTGGGCTCTTTTGGTTCCACATGAAATTTAAAGTAGTTTTTTCCAATTCTGTGAAGAAAGTCAATGGTAGCTTGATCGGGATAGCACTGAATGTATAAATTACTTTGGACAGAATGGCCGTTCTGATGATATTGATTCTTCCTATCCACATTATCCTTACAGCATCTGAAAAATTAGTGGTTCAGTAAAGAAGGAGGAATGACTTAAAATAGTTCCCAAGGCAATCTGTAAACTGGGCCTTCATGACCCATGTAAAGTGGCCTTCATGACCACTACATTTTTTTAGCATGCTTTTATGTATTTAAACTTCCAGTTTAACCCTTTATATAAACAACAAAAACAATTTTGGGGAAGTTGAATGCTTGTTTAATCACACATCAGTAAGACATTGTTTTCAAATTATCTTCCTTTTAACACCTAGATGTCATCACTTAGACCGAAAGAACAGGGCTTTTGATTTTGTGGATGTGAAAATAGGGGGTGTCAGGCTTGGATGCCCCAAAAGGAGGTTAGGAAAGCACCAGAGCTCAGCAAGTGGAGTACAGGTATAGATAAATGAAGTATGGGGGCCAGCTCTGAACCCAAGCAAATGCAATTCATTTTCCTTTCCTCCAATACTTCATTACCCATTTCTGGCCTTTGTCACCCCCATGTCATGGGTGCAACTGGCTAGGGCTACATCACAGGTGGTAAAAGAATTTACCAAGACAGTTGTGGGTAAAGAAAGGCAGATTTATTAGAGAAACTAAGAAAGGTGCATTGCAAGAGTGCAACAGGCAGTACAGCAGAGAGAAGCCTGTCTGCCAAGATGCAGGGGATGGAGGGGAGTTTTATAGGGTCATGCTGGAAAGGCTACTGCAGATAGGTTCATGCTGCTGGGGCTGTTTGGAAGGAGGTATTTGGGAACAGGATGTTTGTGGTTAGCCATTTCTTACAACAATAGCTTGTTAGCCACTTCTTAGAACAATGGCTCTCTTCTACCCTCATTCCTGTTCCTGCCAGCGAGGGCCTCTTTCTTGTTTCTATCAACTTATCAAGACTCCACACCCCAGACACCCACCCCTGTCCTCCTACAATGGCCCAAACACACCCGTCACCCTCCACTAGAATCATTGAGCAAGTGCTCATTTCCTTCACTGAATCATAAGCTCCTTGAGGCAAGAGACATGCTTTCAATAATTATGTCTTTCCAGCTCCTGAGACAGTACCTGGTACATTGTAGAAGTTTATTAAATGAGTAAATGTTCCAAGAACATAAGCTAATAATATTAACACAAAAGTTCTGCTCTCTTTTGGATTAAATTGGCTTTAATGAGCCAACCACTTATAGTATTGTTTCTTGGGGGCAGCATATTTCTGTTTGTGAGCAGCTGATTTATAAATGAACTATTGAGGACAATGTGTTCATAGGTTGGAGTCTGCCTATTGAAAATTGCAGTCCAAAGCCAAAAATATATTAACCTTTGTATTATGTGTTCTTTTGCAATATTAGCAACCATGGCCCTCATTCATGGTAATCACATGAAACCACATCAATAGTTACAGTCTCAGAGAGCATACCTGTCATTAGTGACTGCTGGGTGGCATTCTCCAGGCTAGATGCTTTACATTCTTTGACTCATTTGCCATCTCCCACTTTTAGGTAGATGCTACCTCTACTGTGCAGTAGAGAAAACTAAGACAAGAAGCTATGTGATCTGGCTAGGTTCCTAAACCCTTCTCATGCCTCAGTTTCCTAATGTGTAGAATGGGGATTAAAATGTTACCTACTTTATAGCTGCTGTGCTGATGAAAGAGTTACTCTTTGTAAAGCTTAGAAGAGTGCCTCAAGCATGCTAAATCCTCAATAAATATTAGTGGTCACGTCCTACATCCACCCAGGGTTCGCTCCTAAACCCAGCTCACAAAGCCCACGCTGTTTCTAGCAGATGATTAACATGTGCCCTGAAAGCCACAAACTGCTACAAATACACCCAAGAGCCCACCACTCAGCCCTCCTTCCACCCTGCTTGCCCCAGGCACTCACTTGTTTCAGTGAGATTTTGAGGTGGGAGTAGGAGGGCTGGTGGAGGGAAGGTCAAACGTCAGGGCTAAAAAAGATGTGGAAGGGGCAGCAGGCGAGTTGCAGTGCTTAGACCCCTTGAAACTAGCTCTGGCTCCGAGGATGCCTGGATGAAGAGCATCTTCATGGCCCTCTCAGACAAGAGGTGCCTAGTACCTCTTTGCAGCCAACCTTGTGGGTCTTTTGAAAGCATGCTCCCAGCATCCTCCTAGGCACATAGTAAGGGCTCAGTGAGCATTTCTGAATCTGTGTCTTTTGCCCATCTCTGTGGTAGAAAACAATGACTTCAAGAGTGAGCTTCAACTATGATTCCACCTGACTACTGGGCTCTACCCCAAGGAAATGGTTTCTCACAGGAGTGGGCAAATTATAAAACTGGTCTTTCCCCAGCAATTCCATTGCCGGGTATATGCCCAAAGGATTATAAATCATTCTACTATAAAGACACATGCACACATATGTTTATTGCAGCACTATTTACAATAGCAAAGACTTGGAACCAACCTAAATGCCCATCAATGATAGACTGGATAAAGAAAATGTGGCACTTACACACCATGGAATACTATGCAGCCATAAAAAAAATGAGTTCATGTCCTTTGCAGGGACATGGATAAAGCTGGAAGCCATCATTCTCAACAAACTAGTGAGAAACTAACACAGGAACAGAAAACCAAACACCACGTGTTCTCATTCATAAGTAGGAATTAAGCAATGAGAACACATGGACACAGGGAGGGGAACATCACACACCAGCACCTGTCGGGAGTGGGGGGCTAGGGGAGGGAGAGCATTAGGAAAAATACCTAATGCATGCGGGGCTTAAAACCTAGATGGGGAATTGATAGGTGGAGCAAACCACCGTGGTACGTGTATACCTATGTAACAAACCTGCACGTTCTACACATGTATCCCAGAACTTAAAATAAAATAAATAAATAAAAATTTAAAAACTAGGTCTTTCTTAAGGCCTTCCCTGCTTGCATGGCATATATTGCCAAAGAATTTTCTGTTCCTTCAGACACTCAGAAAAAGTAAACCTAATTTATTCTACTTCAAGCTCTCTCAGAGACTTAGAGAAGAGCCTTAGTTTCATTGCAAATTATTGATGCAGCCAGATAATTTATAACATTTCTAAGTTTTTAATTAATACCCATTTTGACTACTGTGTTTAGCAATAAAGTTGTTTTTATTGCCATAGTTGATAGTCTATCATAATCTGTCCACTATTAAAGGAAATACTCTCTCTGAAGGCCCCTTGCCATTTGGAAAATTCATAGTAATTTCAAGTTAGATGTGAGTTTGGGAGAGGCCGAGTCCCAGTGGTTTTAGTTCCTGAAGCTCCTCTTCTCCATTCCCAGCCCAGAGAGCTTGTCTTCCAACCTCTATACCACATAGGGTTTTTCCTGGCAAATTCATTCTTAAAGCATACTAGCTATTAATGTGACTTATCCTGTGTATCTGTTAGTTGCAAGTAGAATGTAATGATGTTCTCTAAATGAGGGATACAAGTCAGTTTCATTGCTTTTCAGTCTCACCGCCTACTTTTCATTTATTCATTCATCAGATAGATTCTAAATACTACATAGCACTTACTGGAATAGAGTACAGGAAAATCAGAACAGCTCTGCATAAACATAATCTCTGATCTTTTTGTTGGTACTAAGGTTAGTGTCCAACCACCTAGTCTATCTCAGGAGTCCTTAGCATCTGCCAGACTGCCTATAGCTAAGGCCTAGAGGCCCTCAGAATAGAAAAGATCAGTAGCTCTGTTTTGTTATCTCAAAGTCTCTAGAAACTGCCACCCTCAATCACCTTGTAAGCCCCTTGTTCAACTTGGATTCTACCTGTTACCAAAATCCTGCTCCTGTCCTCATTTCTTTGAATTAACTAAAGCCTCTGTTGTATCATCTACCTGGCTTTTAAAAGTTACTATATCCTCTGCATTTAAAATAATACCTAGTATATAACAACAATTAGCTTAATCGTTATTGAATAGTTACTAGTTAATCTTTGAATAGAGCTAACAGATTTAGCAAATAAGAATACAGGACACCGAGTTAAATGTGAATTTCAGGTAAATTGTGAATATGATTTTAGTATAAGTATGTCCCAAAATGTCATGGAAACCCTACCTTGTGAGACGTTGGAGATATGCTGAAACAGCCCTACTCTCAGAGTCTAGTGAGGGAGGCAGACACTTCGTTCTTAAAAAATAGGATGGTAAATACAACAGAGGAATTTCCTCTTTTGCTCCTTTCAAGGCTAAATATAGTCTTAATCTTTTACAAGAAGACTTGCTCCCCTCACTTTTAATCATTTCTGAACCTTCTGCTGTGAGTTATGGAAGAGAACACACGGTGGTCAGAAGCCCTCCTACTGGTGTATAACGCAGCCTGACCACATCCATTCCACATATTGCTCTTTAGCGTCCAGTGACAGGCTCTTTATTTTAAAAAAGCAGCACTGCATTATGTATGCATGCAGTATGTGGTCAGGTAGAACTGCATGATTTTTCTTGAGCATGCATTTGACAAAGCCTGTTCCTGTCCCTTCTAGTTCTAGTGCAGTGTGGTTTTACATCCTGTAAGAATTATTTTGTATGCTTCCTAATTTAACTTCATCCTTTTAATATCTTCTTTTGTCAGGCCAGACTTACTGTTTTGATGTTTAATTCTATTTCTCAAGTAGCCATCCATCCAATCCAATTTGATGCCTACAGCAGGTTTAAAGAGCAGGTTTTTTCATCCTGTCACTTAAGTTATTAAAGAAAACAAGACCCTTCCCTGTGTGTTTAATAAGTTGCCCCACACTCCCAACAACTGGTCATGTCTATCCTTTCACTAAGTATCTCACCTGCCTAGTGATGGAGCCTCTTATTTGAAAGAGAAACGTTTTATTTTACAGCATTCTTTGCTGTAGGTTAGAAACATTTTCCATTTGTTAATTAGCTCCTGCCTTGGAATTTCAAGAATTTTGAAGTAGGCTACCTTCTCTGTAATCCATTGACAAAGAGAACATGAGATGCACATTTCAGACCATGAAAAGGATTCAGTGGCCTGGTCTCATGATAGAATTATCATGGAGTTCAATAAGACCATTTGTGAGTAACTTCCCACTAGGTAGGTGAGGAAGTATCCCAATTAGTGAGTCTGTTTCCCTCTAATTTGCATGTTTAAACTATATTAAGGCTGGTGCAAAAGTAATCGCGGTTTTTGCCATTCGGTTTTGTCATTAAAAAATAATTACTTTTAATGGCAAAAACCACAATTACTTTTGCACCAACCAAACAGGTGTGAAATTGACTCATCGAGAATATTTCCCCAAATATCTGTTACAAATCAAAGGCAAGCTATTATACCAGTAATACTATTTCTTCAGCCCATTTGCTTACTCTAGAAAAAGTGTCTGCTCCAAGCCTGGGATGAAACAGGACTTCTGATTTTAAGTGGAAAAAATAAATGTTAATATGTTTTTCCGACATAAACTCGAAGTTGTTCTTCTGAAAATTCAGCTGGGTGTGGTGGCTCATGCCTATAATCCCAGCACTTTGGGAGGTTGAGGTGAGAAGATCACTTGAGCCCAGGAGTTTGAGACCAGGCTGGGCAACAAGACAAATATCTGTCTTTACAAAAAAATTAAAAATTAGCTGGGCATGGTGGAAAGCACCTGTAGTCCCAGCTACTTGGGAGGCTGAGGTGGGAAGATCGCTTGAGCCCAGGTTAAGGCTTCAGTGAGCTGTGATTGTGCCACTGCACTCCAGCCTGGGCAACAGAGCAAGACCCTATCTCAAAAACAAAAACAATACAAAAAAAAAAAAAAGAAATAAAAAGAAAAGAAAAGAAAATGTACATCAGGCTAGTGGGGCTAGACTCAGAGAGGAAGATGCTTACGAGTGGTATATTGTTAAAGACAAGGGTTTCCAGGGAATGACCAGTCTAAGTTCAGGCCACCAGATGAGTATCTGATCTAAAATTTGGAAGAGGATCTAAAGAAAGTTTACTCTTCTCTGTCCTTCCATCTTTTTATATGTTAATAGAATTTATATGTTGTATGGTGTGATATATTAATATTTAACATATTTATAATATTTAATTGTCTCTTCATACTAGACTGTAAACTCAATGAAGGCAAGAATTTGTCTGTTTTGTTCACTAATGGATCTGCAGTAATTAAAATAGGGTCTCGTACATATAGGTGCTCACATATTAATAGATGAATTAATTAACCAACTAGTCAATGAATGAATGAATAAGAAGACAGTTATGTAATTCATATAGTGTCCACAGCATAAGGCAGTACTTTTCACTCTTTATTAGCCATGTGAATTTGAGAACAGTGAAAGATAGTTTCATGACCAATGGTTGAGGGGGAAGGAAGAGAGGGTAATGTAGATAAGAAATATTTGACATTTAGAATCCCAGATAGAATTTTCTCACCTTGTGGTTTCTATGCCTGTCACACCATCTAAATCGGGCAGGTATTTCAGAAGAGAACTGAGTAAGTGAGGTCTCCAACTGTGCTGCTATGTGGCTTGTCGGATCTTAAATTATAAAGTTCTTTCAGGACCTATTTGGCAATGACTTCTTCAAAGCCCCTGATTATTCCTCGGCTCCTGTGTGAGACAGGCACAGGAGTCCCCTCCTTGTATGCATGTGTTAAGCCTGCCCTGTTCTTTGAATGGTGAGGCATCGGCTTCCCAGTCAGCCAAGTGTTTGCTGAGAACTTTCTATTTTCATAGGAAAATATCGCTTCTGTAACAAAAAGTAACCAACCCTAAAATAACTATGTCCCCTTGCCACTTTTAGAGGGGAAAAGATATAATGATAACAAAGAAAGCTTATATAAAGAAATTATTAAAAGTAATGACAGTTTCTAGGATATTCCTGGAATAAGTACATAGTAAACATAATGTCCTAAACCATGTATGGTCTTTTGTGTCTTAATTTCTGTATATCATTTACCTCCCTGTATCATGACACATAGCAGATGCTCACTGAATATGTTTGAATGACTATAGTTTAGAATGATTTTCATCAAAAGGGTTGAAAGTAAGTTTTTTGGCTTAACCCTTAGTCAACTGGAAAAATTGAACTTCATTTTTCTACCAACATGGTTATTGATATTTCACTTTTGTAGCAGTCACCTTATAATAATTATGTTTGCATTATAATTGGAGGTCCATTAAGGACAACTGAAGTACACTGGCATCCCATTAGTCCTAAAAGCCTGAGACATGGAAATGTCTGCCGTATCTTGCTGTCGACTGTTCAGGGCAGCTCCTGGTGCAGAGTAGGTACTCAATACATGTGTGGAGACTAAATTAAAAACAAAAGAGATGGAGACAGAAGCAGACAATGGCTGTTTGGTCTTCGATAGGTAATGAATTTCCCAGGCCTCTGTTTCCTCCTCTGTACAGGCAGAAAGTTGCTCAACTGGCATTTCTCAAACTGTTTCATAGCCTATGAGTGTTCTGGGAAACATAATGGCTATTCTTGAGAAAAAGAAATCCATGGGAAAATAAGTTTGGGGAAATGCTGTGTCAGGGTTACATAAGTTTCTTTACCAAAGGATTGTTCGAGTCCTCTCCTGTGATGGTCCGTTGTGAACCCCGAGGGGCATGCAGTGTGCGTGGTGGGATCGCCAGGCTGCATCCCAATACTAACATTCCATAAACCGGAGTGTCCCTCGCATAGGGCTGACTTTATTGACCAAAGGAAGAAGCTCTGCTGGG
Source organism: Homo sapiens (assembly GCF_000001405.40). NCBI lineage: Eukaryota > Metazoa > Chordata > Mammalia > Primates > Hominidae > Homo > Homo sapiens. The sequence goes on along the minus strand of NC_000012.12, from coordinate 13,585,432 downwards.
CTGTAAGTGGGTCACAATGTGACAGTAAGTACACATGCTGGCATTTCCGTGCCTCAATTTGGAACTGACAGATCTGATTGATTGCCAGGAGGGCAGAGACACACCTGTCCCCCTGCCTTGCCTGTCACTGGATCCTCACTCACCCTGGCCTCCGCCTGGCGGAGGTCTTTGACATTTCCGCCCCACCCCAGCTTCATGACTCTGAAGATGCTGATACCGTATTAGAACCTCAGGTGATTGTGCTAATAACTGGAGAACCCTAAATTCATTGGGAATCTTGCATGTGGAAATCTTGGTAGTCTTCTTTATCTTCTTTATCTCCTCCAAAATTTTATGAGCTGCTGAAGCTCCTGGTACAACTTCAGAATCCCAGTTTCCATGGTGAATCCATCTGTCTTCTTTACTTGAAAGCTTCTTTAAAGGCCATTTCTCTTTGCTAGCACCCACAGCTTTTATAAAATATCTGGAACAATCCCTTGTACCCTCCCAAGTTGGTCTGTGAGGTAGAGTGCAGTGGACAGTAATAACACCTCTTTGTAACAATCTTGTGTAAGAATAGGTTGAAGGAGCTCAACGAAGGCCACCTGTCACACACAGGATGACTTAAGGATAAAACTCAAATGCCTCTGTCCTTATGCCTCTGTTTCACTTCATCTCCATGTTATCATAATCATCTCTAACTCTGTCACATTTTTGGTGCCAAAGAAATATTCATATGCATTGTCAAGTCCTAAGTCTGACAGGCTCTTGCGGGATTTCAGATCTGATATATTTTGTGAAGGAAAAATGGAGAAAGTGCCAGGAAAGATGTCCTTGACTGGCATTAGGACACATTAACTCCTTATTCACCAGAGATGCTAGGCTTGCCCTAGATCTGAGGAATGTTAATGCTCAACTGTGTGTTGCATGATAATGTATCAACAGCTAAATAGTGCACTTTGAATGGAGTTTTTCATATAATAAATATATCCACATGTGCGATTCAATTCATTCATTCTTTAAATCACTCATTCATTCATATTGAGAGCTTACTAAGTGTTGGATGCTTTTCTAGGCACTAGAGATACAGCAGTGATCAAAACAGACCAAAACTGTGTCCATTATATTACATTCTAAGGAGGAAAGGGCAGAAAATAAAAAGGCAATTAAGTCTGGCCCAAAGTTAGTGAGGGATCAATATATGTGGATATCCAGGGCTTTTGGGGCAGAGAAGAGCATGTGAGGGTAGGAGCTTGCCTGGTGAGTTTTAGAAACTGCGAGGAAGCCAGTGTGGCTCCTGAGGAGTGGGTGAGGGAGGAGAGTGGGAGAGAAGGTGGTGGGGATGAGGCTGACTCTGCCGCTTCCTCTCCTTCGTTCTTCTGAATGTATAGGCAGACTTGGATTCAGTCAAGGCTTCCACTCTGATGTCTTTCTTTTTCATTTATCCCTCCCATTATTTTCCCTCTGAAAATAGTCCAGGCTCTTAGTAGTTTTCCAGTAAACGTCCCTTCTCTAACCTCTCTGTTCTTCGAGCCATGCTGCTTTAGCTGAACAATAGCTACACCTGAGCACTGTGGGGTTCACAGTGTCCTTCCTCAGTCTGACCATTCGGTGTGCTCCATGGGATGGTTTCTATCTAGGCGCCAAACATTCCTCCCAACGTCAGTGCAGATGCCATGCTCACGTCCCAGTGCTTCTTTTCTCATGCTATTTCGCTTGCCCCATCACCCTCCCCAGACCTCTTTGCCTGGATAAACTTGGCCAATCTGGAGGAGTTGGCTCCATCTCTGCCTGCTCTGTGCAGCCTCCCCAACCATATCCTTTTGTAATGATTTTCACTCCCTCTAAACTTCCGTAGCCCTTCCTTTCCTTACCTCCCATTGGATAGGCATACTAATTCAGGCACTGGATTCCTTAATCTGTACATTTTCTGAGCATCCATTCTATTTGCATAGAGCCCTGTGGTGTGTTTTACAGTTAAATATGAGTATCCTGCATTTGAATCCTTGCTCTGATAGTTTCTAGCTGTATGGCCTTATTCAAATTACTTACTGTCTGTGCATTAGTTTCCCTGTCCATTAAATGGAGATAATAATGCCTACCTCATAGCATCAATGAGAGGATCAATGAGTTACTATACGTAAATTATGTGACACATGGTGAGTGCTGTAGAAGCATTAGCTGCTGCTGGAATTATATAATTATCATCATCATTATTTCCAGCTAAACTGTAATGGTAGGGATTGTATCTGTTGCCTCATTTTATTTCAGAGCTCAGTGGCTTATATGTGGTTTATGCCCTTTAAATGTGTGCTACTGATGTGATATTTTATGGCCAGACACAAGACTTTGCCAAACACTTAAAACCTCAAGGTGCAGGTTATGATATGTTAAAGTTAATATAGTTAATATAGGAATAAACCCACTTTCTTGGCTCTGCTAACTCAGGGACCAAGCCTCAGCTAGCTAACATGCCATTATCTGATTTTATGAAATATTTCAGGAAATATTAAGGCTTATGTATCCAAATTTTATAAAATACAAAAGAAGTGACTGCCTTATTGCATTAAAACCATCGTTGCGAGGAAAACTGGTAATTAACTAAATTCCAGGAATCTGAAGAACTGGTGTTTTATTTGCTGCAAGCTTTTGTTTCGGCTCCAGCAGGAGGGTGATGACAGGAGAATAAGTTCCAGTCCTCACCACCCCCACCCTTCTAAGACCTATTATAGAACCCCAGCTCCACGTTGAGTTCAGAGAGGCACAAAATTCCTTCCCCAGCAGCACAGCATCCAGAGCTGTGAAGATACAGCCTCGAATGACAGCACAGCCAGAGGCAGGAGAAAGGCCACTTACCAGCCTTCTCACATCCAAGTGCAGGTCTCTTCATATGTAAACTTAAGGGTGTTTGCCACTGTAGGCAATTATAGCACTAATGTTAATAATAAGAGGAAAACAAGCAGAAACAATTAAGGTGTTGAATGCTTATTATATGCCAACTCCCTTTTTGGCAGTAGCAAAATGTCGTCAGATTCATCAGGGGCCCAGGAAGAGAACAGAGTTAATTTGGGCAATTTTCCTATATACCGGTAGCTTCTAACTACATTCTGCAATATTATTGTTTCCATAATTCAGCCATGCCTTTTGAATGAATTTGAACAATATTCTCTCCAATGAACACTTTATAATGAAATATAACAATAATTATTTATTCCTCTTACCTCCATTCCAGATTCTTTCATGGAGGTGAAGGGTTTAACTTTCTAATCTGTCACCATATCCACAGCCAGTTTGTTTTAGGGGTAGGGTCTTGGGGGGCCACTCCAGGCCCCATGTTTTGAGATGGAGGATTTGTAGTGAGATGCTATACCTTATTTCTCCTTTTGGAACATTGTTAAAATTCAGTTTCAAAGCTAAGTGGCTTGTTTATTGAGTCACACAGTTAATAAGTAGTAGAGCTCAGATTTGAACTTAGATCTTTGAGCCCATAACCCATGTGTTTACTTACGTTTTATCAATAAATTGTCTTTTTTTTTTTTTTTTTGAGACAAAGTCTCACTCTGTCACCCAGGGTGGAGTGCAGTGACACGATTTTGGCTCACTGCAACCTCTGCCTCTTGAGTTCAAGCAATCCTCCTGCCTCAGCCTCCCGAGTAGCTGGGACTACAGGCATGCGCCACCACACCTGGCTAATTTTTGTATTTTTAGTAAAGATAGGATTTTGCCATGTTGTCCAGGCTGGTCTCAAACTCCTGACTTCAGGTGATCCACCTACCTCAGCTTCCCAAAGTGTTGGGATTATAGGTGTGAGCCACCATGCCTGGCTAAAATTGTCTTTTCACTGTAAGCACAGATTACCTCCTTTTCACATCTGTCCCAAGCACTTATGGGCCATGGAACAGTGAAGGAGCTCATGCTCTCAGAAAGTCTACTCCTTGTGTGGTCACCTGACCTTCTTCTTCTCCCACTGGGCCCGACAAGGGATTATGGTAGAAGAGGAGAGAGGGTGCTTCCTGCAGCCACTTCCTCCCCTCTCCAGATGCTGCCCAGAGTCTGGAATCACACATACATATCCCTTCACCCTAATTGGGCCATAGGGTATTATTATGGAAGATTTAGTGATGGAAAACATGGTTTGGTGCAACACCCCTGGGCTAAGGAAGATAATGTCAGTTTCTGTACTTGCTTGATAGTTCCTGGAAAAACTGAGAAGATCAAAAGATAGAAGAGCTGTAAAAAACTTTGGGAGCATGGGGCATATGACTCATCCCTCCCACCCCTGAATATTTACCTTAGAAAAATGAAAACATGTTCACTCAAAAACCTGTACATGAATGTTTACAGCTGCTCTATTCATAATTATCTGAAAGTAACTCAAATGTCCTTCAATAGATAAATGGATCAACTGGTGCATTCACATAATGGAATACTACTCAGCAATAAGAAGGAATGACCTACAGATACATGCAAAGGCCTGGAGATGAATCTCAAAGGCATTATCATAAGTAAAAAAGCCAGTCTCAAAAGGTTATGTACTACAGGATTCCATTTATATGACGTTTTAGAAAAGGCAAAACTATGGGATAGAGTGGCTGGAGGTTAAGAGCAAAGGGAGTGTGTGACTTGAAAGGAGTGGCACCAGGGAGCTTTTTGAGAAATGGAATTGTTTTGTGTCTTGATTGTGGCGGTGACTGCAAGATTCCATACCTGGTTAAAATTCATGACAATAAAAGTCAATAATTTAAAAGTACTATTAAAATATAAAATAGGGTAATGACAATAATAACAGGAGGGTGCTGAGTAGGTAAAAATGTGGTGTCTTCAGAATTCTGATGTGCTGCCACCTCCTCATAATTAGCCCAGGCCCAAAGCCATTCACATCTCCTAAGCCTTTCCCACTTTTTCTCTTGGGTGCCTGGAAGGGCTGAGTGGCATTTGGGCATTGATTCTTTTTGTGATGCAAATGTAAAATCAGAAGTAATGGAATGAATATTTATGTGTAGGATTGTCAAGCTTTGAAGACAAAAGCCCCCAGATTCTATATCTCATATGGATGGATCCCTGCAAATAGGATGTGCAATATCCGCCTCTGCAAGGTCACAGCACTGGTTTGTCCTAATCTGCATATGCTGATTGGACACAGACTGAATGAGTAGAGCCATTTTTCAGGGAAGCCAACTACCCAAGAAGGCAGTTCCTCACCATCCTCTTCATTTTAACAGAGCTGCTTTCATTTATGTGCTGTTATTCACCGGATCTGACTCTGATTATTGTCCTTGGGACTGGGTGACAGCTGATCAGGAGATGGCCTTGACTGGTGGTCAGAACGACCACTGCTTTGACACCATCAGTATTTAGGACATTCTTGGTTTTGTTTTCAGAATCTGCTCCTCTCCTGGTGCCAGGACCTTAAAGACTTCTCAACAAGTATGTTTCTTCATTCTCACCCTGGAAGCTAACCAGGTTGGAGGAGTCTTAAAGCAGAGAGTTCCTCTGGTGTAAATTGATGTTAACGCCCCATCGCCACCCTTCCAAAGCCAATCCATCCTCCCTGCCAGCTTCAATTCAGCCTCCTTCTAGAAGCCTTTCAGGAAATTTATATGTCAATGGCGTGCACCTCTGTGGTCTTGTATGTTAGCTAGTAGTGTAGGGAAATATCTGACAATGCGTCTGTTCCTTCTTATCCGACTGTAGCACCCATACCCTCACCAGAGCTCAGGGCCTCTTCAGCTCTTGTCTCTCCATCTTACTCCTTTCAACCTGTTCTGCACACCAGCACCTGGTGACTTTTTCTAACACAAAAACCCAATCTTGTCATTCTGGCAGAGTTCTTCAGTTGCTTCCAATGGCGATGATGAAGATGATGATGACAATGATGATGATAGTAATAATGATAGTAACAATAGCTAACATAGTGTATTTATCAGCCAGGCACTGTGCCAATACTTTGCCCAGATTGACTGGTTGAATACTTAAACTTTATGAGGTAGGTGCTATTAGCAGCCCATTGTACAAATGTAGAAACTGGGGCACAGATAAGTTAAGTGAGTTGATCAAGGTCACACAGCTATCAAGTGGCATAGCTGGGATCTGAATCAGGCAGCTTAACTCCAGAAGCTCTGCTGTTTCTCATCCCTTATATTATGAACTCTAAACTCCTTTGCACAGAATTCAACTTTCTTTGTGATCCAGGCCCTGCTTCCTTCTTCAGCTGTGTCAACCTCCTGTCACCATGGCCATACCTGCTAGGCTCTGGCAACAATAAGCTGCTCGTGGTCTCTGATCATGCCCAATCTTTCTCACCACCTTGTGTCTTTGAACAGACACTCGTCTCTATCTAGAAACCATTTTGCTCCTCTTGTTTAAATGGTTAAGTCTTAGCCCCAGTGCACAGGCTCTGGGACACCATCGAGACAGCCCCCTTGTTCTGTTCTCTCACTGCTGCATGGGCACAGCTGCTCATAGCACCCGCCACATTATTTATAGCCCCTGGTCACACCAAGCTTGTTCCCCCATGTCAGAACCTTTGCATTTGCTGTTTCCTGAGCCTGATACATTTTCCCCCTTGTCTTTGTATGTCTGGTTCTTTCTTATTATTCAGGTCTCGGTTCAGATGCCACCTTCTCAGAGAGGCCTTTTCAGGACAGCCAGTCTAAACTTGTTCTCCTACCAATCACTCTTTATCCTATTATGCTGTTTCAATTTCTTCCTAGCACTTCTTTTTCACTATTTGAAATTATCTGTGTTTCCGTCACCTATTGCTACACAGCAAACTAGCCCAACACTTAGTGGCTTAAAGCAAGAATATTTTATTATATTTTACTGGTTTGTGGGTCAGATATTTGGGTAGGGCTTGCCTGAGTGATTCTTCTACTTCATGTAGCATGACTGATATTCAGTGGGAGGCTGGGCTGGAGAGTCCATAATGGCTTTACTCTAATGCCTGGCTCTGACTGGAATGGGTAGAAGTCCAGGGCTCAGTTAGGACTGGAGATGGGAGCACCTATAGGTGGAATCTCCGGCATGGTGGCCTCAGGGTTTTTGGACTTCTGACATGGTGCACCGATTCTCTCAGAGCGAGGTTTCCAAAGGCCAAGGTGGAAGCTGCAAATCTTCTTATGCCCTTGTCTCAGCAATCCCACAATGTTACTTCTGTCAACTTCTACTGGTTAAGCAGGTCACCTAGGTCAGCTAAGAATCAAGGTAGGGAGGGGACATGGACCTGTTTGTCATAGAGTGGCAAATAATTTCTGGCAGACTTTAGTCAACCGAATGGGAGGCTGAGGTAGGAGGATTGCTTGAGGCTGGGAGTTTAATACCAACTTTTACAACATGGAGATACCTTATCTCTACAAAAGATTGTTTAGAAATTTTAAAAATAAAAAACAGGCTTACTGTTTGCCTCTCTTCTTTATAATGTGAACTCTTTGAAGGCAAGATCATACTCTTCTGCAATACTGCATCTTCAGCACAGGCATCTCCTCTGTACACAATAAACACCAACAAATACTTGCTGAATGCTTATATAAATGAATGAAATCAATAAATACATGAAATGAAAAAGTAAATGGATGAAAAACTGAATGAATGTTTATGTTTCTGACTCTCTGTAATGCAAACTCCTTGAAAACTGGGTCTGATTTTTTTCATCTTTGTATCTCTGTTCCTAATACAGTCTCCTGCCCTAATAGATGCTGGGCAAATATTTGCCAAATGAATGGATGTATTTTAATTATCATAGTTAAAGGAGATAATGTAACTTATACCCAGTACATACATAGGTATTGAATAAGAGTGGCAATTATTAATGACTTACAATGCCTAATACATAGGAAAATCAATTTATATATTAAAAATGGACCAGATCCGTACTTCCCTTACTTGCTCCCCTCTTCCTTTCTTTCTCCAGCAGGCTGTATAAGAAGCTCTCTAGCGGGGAGGTGGCAGCCAAAACAGCCCAGGACCCTAGTGTCTGCTCATCTCTGGGTGGGGGCCTTGACTCCTGGCCCTTGAGCACCTTTCTCCTTGCATGGCTGCTGAGACTAATTCACTTTGAGGTCATTAAGATGGAGGCTGAGATGATCTGAACAGCTCAGAGGGCTGAATTCTGATTCCCTGCTGCTCTCCAGGAGGATCAAATGAGATTACAGCTCTTTTAACATTCTGGCATTGTTTTGCCCTTGTGCAAGTGTGTGCTCACAAGCAATTGCTGGAAGCCCTGTGTTAAATGCGGTGGGAAGGATGGGAATTGGCATTTGATTTGCCACAAAAGGAAGATACTCTATGTGGCCCCACTTACAGTGTGTGGCTTCACTCCCTAGTAGGCAGCAGTAGGACTGTTCAGCTAGCATTTCAGCTGGCAAAAGGAAGGCCATACTCAGGGGTCAAGTCTCAGCTTGTCCTCCCTCTACACTGTGTCTACTGGAACGACTTGATCTCTTCAGGACTTCGGTTTCCTCATCTATGAAATGGGGCCTGTCCTGTCTGTGTTATTTTCCTATCCAAATCTATGTGTTGATAATTCCAATCTGGGTGACTCCTAGAAAAAGATTCCACATTCAAGGAAGCTCTATGACCAAAGGTGATTAATAAAGAGTACTGAGCCCAGCATGGTGGCTCTCGCCTGTAACCCTAGCACCTTGGGAGGCCGAGCAGAGCGGATCGCTTGAGGCCAGGAATTAGAAACCAGCCTGGCCAACATGGCGAAACCCTGTCTCTACTAAAAGTACAAAAATTAGCCAGGTGTGGTTGCTCACATGTGTAGTCTCAGTTACCTGGGAGGCTGAAGTGGGAGGATCACCTGAGCCTGGGAGGTTGAAGTTGAGGTTTCAGTGAGCCAAGATCGCAACACTGCACTCCAGCCTGGGTGACAGAGTGAGACTCTGTTTCAAAAAAAAAAAGAAAAAAGAAAAAAGAAAATAAAGAGTACTATACACATTTCCCTACTTTGAAATCAGACTGAGTTTTTTAATTCAATTACTGAGCTCCCTGATATATTAGGCTTTTAAATTTGTTTAAAAATTATTTTTTCAGGGTCCTCACTGTTCTATTAATGTTAAGACATTCTGGTTCTTGACAGCGCTAAATTTTTCTCGTTCCCAAATTGCCACTCAGGCTAAGCAAGTGCCATATAATGTCTTACAGCTTGGGGTAAGTTTTATTACAAGGGCATTTTCTGGAAGCATCAGGATATTTGGAAATTATTTTTCCTTCTTCCCCACGGGCCTCCCTAAACAGTTCTCCATGAATGTGAATTTTAGTACAGTTCAAGTTCCAATGACAGTATAAAAAATCTCTGTTTTATGTAAACTTCACAGATCTCACCAGGCTGGGACAAGAATTTTCAAAAGAAAAGGCAAACTCACTGCTTTGGCTAATTCTGAGGCAATGTTCTCTCCCTGTTGGCCTCCAGACTGGCCTAGTTTAAGGAACAAATTAGAGAATAAGAATTTTCAAACTTAGGGAACATTGCCTTACATAGGACAATTTTAAATGTTAGAACTTCATCTCCATAGAAGCAACTAAGAATTTTAAGACTCCATCATGTGCCAGGTATTAAGTATTTTTTTTACATATTATCTTATTCATTAAAATAATACTTCCAGAAAAGAGGGTAGGTCCATAAATTTAAGGAACTTGCCCATGTTCATGCAGCTGGCCTGAGACAAAGCTGAAATCCAAATCCAAATTCTCTGCCTCCAAACCAGCACTTCCCTTCTTCCCAGTACTGACTGCTTGGTTTTTCTGATTATTTTGATTATTATTATTATTATTATTATTGTTGTTATCATTTTGGAGACAGGGTCTTGCTCTGTCACCCAGGCTGAAGTGCAGTGGCACAATCTTGACTTACTGCAACCTCCACCTCCTGGGCTCAAGCAATCCTCACACCTCAGCCTCCCAGGTAGCTGGGACTAGAAGCGCATGCCACCACGCACGGCTAATTTTTATATTTTTGGTAGAGATGGGATTTCACCATGTTTCCCAGGCTGGCCTCAAACTCCTGAGCTCAAGCAATCCACCCACTTTGGCTTTCCAAAGTGCTGGGATTACAGGCGTGAGCCACTGCACCCGGCCCGATTATTTTCATTTGAAGGATGCCTTAACTATATAAGTCTTGCTATGTTATTATCTAATTCCTTTAGTGTTTTAATAGCTTTAATTTATTTTCAAATACTTCTTCCCAGTCGGTGGCTTATCTTTTTTATGATTTTAACTGCATCTTTCAAAAAGTTCTTATTTTTATGAACTCCAATTTATCGTTTACCTTTTTTGGTGGATTGTGCTTTTGGTGTTGTAGCTAAGAAATCTCTGTCTAACTCAAGATTACAAATATTTTCTCCTATATTTTCTATAAGTTTTATAATTCTAGTATTTACATTTTAGATATATGATCCACTTTAAGTTCTGTGTATCTTATGAGGTGTGAAATGAAGTTCCTTTTTATCAAACAGATGTCTAATTATTCCAACACCATTTGTTAAAGGCCATCCTATCTCCACTGAATGGCCCTTGCACCATATATGTGGGGCTCTGTTAGTGGGCACTCTATCCTGTTCCAATGATCTGACTGTACGCTAATGCCACACTCTCGTGATTACTGTAGCTTTATAATGAATCTTAAAGTCAGGTAGTGTAAATCCTTTAACTTTTTTTTCCTTTTTCAAAGTTATCTTGGCTATTCTAGACCCTTTATCATTTCTTTAGCTTTTATTTATTCAGGGATACAATTACAAAACAGGATTTAGAAATCTAAAAATAATTTAAAATTAAAAATTACTATATAAAGAGCTGTATGAAAACTACCTATAATGTAGCTTCATCAGGAAGTGAGGCCCTCTGGGCACTGGATTCCATTTAGTTACCATAAAATTTAGTTGCAGATACCTTGCATGGATTGCCATTTTTTTCAGAAAAATTAAAGTGTAATAATTTATACCAGAATTGTATTGGACATGATTGCAATTTTCACTGATGTTTCAGAAAATACCTTGGGCCCTAGAGTATCTTAGTCATTATAAACATCAGTTGTCATTGTCCTAGTATTGTGGGGAATTACTGATTAAAAGGAGTTAATTAGTTGTATTGCTATCTACCATAGTTATTTACTCTACTTTTGATTTGAGGAATATCTTTCTTCAAACATCTGAAGTGTTGTATTTGATAGTGGTATGCAAAGCATTCTGGTGTCTGTCTCTTCCAATAAAGCATATCCCTATTTACTTTAAGCTTGCTATCTGCTGGAGACAGTGAGGAGTGACTATTAATTAGGCGAATTGAGCTCTGATCTGTTAGCTATCAATGCCACTGTGTGATGTGGAGCAAATTACTTACCCTCTTTGGGTTTCATCATTTGTCAAATGAAAGGTTTGGGCTAGTTAACCCTGAGTGGCCCATTTGGCTGTAGATTTTTCTTACTCTTTTGTAGTGTCTTTATCCACTTAAAAATTATAACCCCTTTCAAAATAATCAAACGAAAACTTCTAATGTCAAAAAGCCCTGTGATGAGTCAGAGAGGGAGCTTTCTCAGTCAGGAAGTAGTAGTTGTTTGGTGCATCACAGATTGCCTAACACCACGGCATGACTCTAGTTTTAACCATGGCCAGCACTGAGCAATTAAGATGGCATTTATGGCTCCTGGTGCTGAGATATTTTGTGGCCCATGGAACTCCCATATTCTAAGAAGGAAAAGAATTACTTCTAATCCCAGGCAATCCCAAGGCTTCAGAGTTCTCCTGAGTTGGCAGGTTAGATTTTCAAATGTTTCTCCAAAGTAAATGGTACTATTACTTGAAACCAAGAGGACTTCAAATATCTTCATTGTCGTTCCGATGCCAAAGCACAGCACAGCTACAATGATCATTGCTGTACTAATAGAATAAGAAGCTTAGAGAGTGGGTTTACTAGGAAATGCAGAATAGAGACACAAATTAAAAATAATATAAGAGAACATTTATTGGGCACCTACTGTGTGCCAGGTGCTGTGCCAAGCACTTTATTTTTGAGACGGAGTCTCTCTGTGTAGCCCAGGCTGGAGTGCAATGGCATGATCTCAGCTCACTGCCTGCTCTGCCTCCTGGGTTCATGCCATTCTCCTGCCTCAGCCTCCGGAGTAGCTGGGACTACAGGTGCCTGCCACCACGCTCGGCTAGTTTTTTGTATTTTTAGTAGAGACGGGGTTTCACCATGTTAGCCAGGATGGTCTCGATCTCCTGACCTCGTGATCCGCCCGCCTCGGCCTCCCAAAGTGCTGGGATTACAGGCGTGAGCCACCGTGCCCGACCGCCAAGCACTTCTTATGCATTATATTAGTTAATCCTCACAACATTCTTGAAAATTAGGCATTATCATCTCCTTCTTACAAATGAGGACAGGATGCACAGAGCGTTTATGCTACTTGCCCAAGGTTACACAGTGGTAAGTGGCGGAGCTGGTCTTCAATCCGTATCTGTTTCAATCTAGAGTTTAAACTCTTAATGATGACATCAGAGACGAGCTAGCACATTTAGAGAGTAATTGCATGTGTAGGATTACAGTGATCTAAACAAAGAATAACAGGTTCTGATGGGTCACTTTGGGGTAGACTTGATGGAAGAAAGAATTCACAGAAGATTTCTTGAAGAAATTGTTTTGAGTTTTATTTTGAAACGGATATAAATTGGCCTAGAGAGACAGATGAGTTGGCACTGAGGAGATGGACTATATGAGGCTGTGAAGATACAAATGAACAAATTTTGTGTTCAGGAAGCAACATAAAGACTTACGCATTGCAGGGTGATAGCCAGAAATAAAGCTGATGTCATAGGGATGAAAATCCAAGAGGTTTCTCTTTATTATAATGGGCACTGGAGATGTACTCTCAGTCTCAAGCAAGAAAGGGAACATAATTAAAATTGTCTTTGATTGTACAGTTTATCCTACAACTCATGTGGGATAAATATGAGCTTTCAGTGCATCAGGGAAGGTCAAAAGAAAATTTCTTAGCAAAACATATTTGATACTCAACAAATTATCTTCAGGAGTACCACATAGCTCACCTCACTAAGGCCCTATGGACAAAATAGTGCAATGACTGTGTATTTAGGCCTTTAAGAGGCCTGAATACAGATTTTACATATTTTTTTAGAAAGAAAGGTGACTAGCCCACTGCAATTAAGCCACCAGCACATTCCTTTGGCCCATCAACACTGGTATTGTGTAGTGTACATAAAAGGAACATAGAAGGGTTATAGATTAAAGTCAGGGTTGGGCAAATAGAAATCTCTCAGCAATATGTACTAAATTGAATTGAATTGAAGTCTGCTTTCAGATAGCAATTGCTGCTCTTGAGTGAGGGCTAATGTATTCGGTGAATTATAGTTGGGTCCCTTCCATTATAAATCCACTAATGCTAACTTACTTAATGTCTCTTCACATTTTCTAAAATGACTTTTCTCTCTCTCTCTCCCTCCATCTCCCGCTCTGTCTCTATCTGTCTTTCTCTCTCCAGTTCCAGAGACCTAATGACTTCTCACCCCCTTTCCGCTTTGGGACCGTGCCCAACGGCAGCACAGAGAGAAATATTCGCAATAACTATGCAGAAATGCATGCCTACATGGGAAAGTTCAACCAGAGGGGTGTAGATGATGCATTGCTCTCCCTGAAAACAGGGTAAGAACTGCTTCCAAGCTCAGAGTCCTTGATCTGTTTCTCACATTTATTAAGCATACTATTGAATCACATGCACTAGGTATACCATGCTTGGTATCATAAAATGTTAAAGAAGACTTCATTTGCTCTTTATGGATTTCCAAGTTAAATTTGATCGTATCATTTAGACCAGTGTACAACGATTCCTATGCTATTACTTCTATGTATTTTTTTTACAAATTATTTTCTAGTTGCACTAATGTAACCATGAAATAAGAGTGAAATAAATGTAGAAGTAGGAGGGCAGAGTGAAGGATAAGGTATTTGTGCCGTGTATGTAAAGACCTGTTGTCCAAGAGGTGAAAATTATGGTTCTGGTGTCTTATGGACAAGGGAGAAATAAAAGGGGGAAAGTGTAAATGTTTTTAGATAATTAACAGTAAGAATGCGTTGACTGATCTCCAGTGCCAGCTTGTGTTAACATACTCTGTCCTCTAGGGAGTGTTTGTCCATTCATAGGAGTTCATGACCTACACATGTGTTGGCTTGCACAGTCCCAGCCACACTGGTCCCTTTGTTCATTTGGCCTCCACAAGCCACAGCTATGGAAGATAATGGATAACAGAGCATTATAGATGTTGGGATTTGGAGGTCAAGGGGTCTCGTAGCTGATTTTCTTTGTTGTATGATGACTAACAGCACTTGGACCTTGTCTCAATACCCTTGTAGCTCCAGGTCTGGAAAAGGCACCTAGATAAATGGTTACTTAAAATACTGTTAGATTCTATTTTATCACCATAAATACAGTCACAGAAGATTTCAGAAGATGGAATTTGAGCTTGAAGGTAGGGCCACTTTGGGTAGTCTGACCACTGCTACACCCACTGTTCTCATTCATATCAGGGATTTGGTTTTTTGGTGTTCCCCTTTCTATCGGGTACCTAACAAGGTGACTTAACTAATAAAAATGAAGGGAATAATGGTGTTGCTTTTCTTTCTTGCAGACCTCTCTATTGCCTGTAAGGCTATATCTAAATTTCTTCCTCTACCTTTGATATGTTTAAATGTTGGTTTTAAATATTGATTCATGCCTTCCTGCCCCTACGCCTGGTCTTATTCCCTTTTTTATGTATTTCTGCCTTGCAAAGCACAATACATAAAATGAAGTTCTTATATGTTTAGGAACTATATGCTGTAATTTATGTATTTGAGAGATCTGAATTCTTCTGTATTTTGCTTTCTCTTGTAGTTTCACTCATCTGCTCTTACACAAGCCTGTACTGCCACCACCTCAACCCCTCACCTCTATCCTTGTGTTGCACAACAGAATACTGGAACCTTCCTGACCACAAAAATAGCATTGCACATCTATTGAAACACAAACACCTACACTTATCCCCACTCCAGACTGTAATAAACTGAGAAATGAAAAATGTTATATAAATCTAACCCCATGCTATTTGTTGCTCGTTGCAGTGGTTACTTTTCATTATTTCTGTTATTATTTTTATTGATCCCTTTTTACTCCTTCTTCCTTTCAGACACAGTTTATGAGTTGGCTTCAGGCCCAACTTACATTCTCATCATTCCCAGTGGGAAGAAAAGAACTCCTCCTTTCAACCCAAAAGCACATAAAGAACAGCCTGGGATTTAGGCTTTAGATTCTGGCAGAGTTCCAACTTAAACCTTACTTTGAACCAATTCTCCACATAGTTTTCTGGAACCCTACTGCTTCATATTAATGGCCCCACAGGTAGTTTTGTTCTAAAATTCCTCCATTGGATTTGTTTGCTTTTTTCCTGTACAGGAAACTGGATGCCTTCATCTATGATGCAGCAGTGCTGAACTATATGGCAGGCAGAGATGAAGGCTGCAAGCTGGTGACCATTGGCAGTGGGAAGGTCTTTGCTTCCACTGGCTATGGCATTGCCATCCAAAAAGATTCTGGGTGGAAGCGCCAGGTGGACCTTGCTATCCTGCAGCTCTTTGGAGATGGTGAGTTCAAGAAAGGGAAAGTGCCCATTTGTCCTCTACTGATGGCCAGTCCAAAACATCAACCTTTCCTTTTCTTCCATTTCTTTAACCTGTGCATTTCCGGAAAAGCATTTCACAGTATATTGTGTAGTTTTCGGGTATATATTTGTTTCCTATTGCTGCCATAACAAAGTGCCATGCACTGAGTGCCTTAAACAACAGAAATGTCTTGTCTCACATTTCCAGAGACTAGACGTCTGAAATCACAGTGCCAGCAGGGTCAATCTCTTCCGGGGTCTGCAAGGGAGAATCTGTTTCATGCCTCTCCTATAGTATCTGGTGGTTTGCTGATAATTTTGGCATTCCTTATCTTGTAGAAGCATACCCCTGACCTCTGATTCATGTTCACATGGTGTTTTACCAGTGTGCATGTTTTCCCTCTGCACATGTCTGTGTCTGAATTTCCCTTTTTCTTAAGAATGCCAGTCATATTAGATTAGGGGTTCACCATACTCTGGGATGATCTCAGCTTAATTATGTTTGCAATGACTCTATTTCCAAATAAAGTCACATCCCAAGGTATTGGGGGTTAGGACTTCAACATATATATTTTAGGGGGATTCTATAACATCTTTCAACCCATAACAAGCTGAAAGATGGCAGGGAGAGGATTGAAGCAGTTTGTCAAGGAGGTCTTTTTCTGGGTTGCAGGCTATAATCAAACCTTCAGGGATAAAGTAGGAGAACTGATATTAGATGTTTCATCCAGTCATCTCACATGTGGCCAAAATAATAGATGGAACTGTGGAAGGTCTCTGCTCTTTATGTGCCCAGAGGTAGGGCGGAGAAATAAACTTGCGGCCATCTCTTCATTCTTCCTGCTCTCCCATCTTGCTCTTTCAGCTGGAAGAGGCAGAAGGCAGGGTTAGGGTCCTCAGAGGCAGACACCATCAGCCACTCCCCAGTATCATCCTGGCAGCAGACTGAACCACCAACTTGAGTTGAAAAAAATCTCATCTTCTGTTTCATTATATTCCTGTCTTCTGCATCCCTCTTCACTTTATTGTACAAAGAAACTACTGTTTCTGTTAGCATTACAGAAACTAACTCAGTTGTGGATGAGCAGCCAGACCCTTGTTGGCTTCACCAGCCATCAGCCAAGTGGCTATCTCAATTATGTCTGCAGCTTTGCTGTTAAGGATGAGATCAGAAGCAGAAGACCACAGGTGGATTTTTAGAATCCAGGTGAAGTTGTCTGCTCCACTAGTTAGGAGAATCATAGTTTGATCAAAAAAATAAGGGAAAAGTGATTTGATTAACATTGGAAACAGGAGGATGTTTTAGCTGGAGTGTTACCAAGCCATTTTGGTATAAGAGCTTCTGTAATTTTAGTGTAGCTGTCACTCAAAGGCAATAATGGAGACTGTATCCATGAGAAAGAGATGATTTGCAAAAGTTGCCAAAACTTTAGTCAGATTATGCAAGCAAAGTTCAATTTTTTAGCCAAAGTAGAACTATGGGAATAGGCAATTTTCTCCATGAGATTTTTCAGAATTTTGCTTGTCTAGAATTAGATGCATTCTAGGGCACATGGTTTCTTTTACTTTCCTTTTGTCTGGGACCTCTTCCTACTTCCTCCTACTTCCTAGCATCTGGTGAAGTGGAAAAAGGTCATTGAAATCTGACATGAGTTAAAGTGATCAAAGCACCGTTAAACAATGTGTAAAGAAGGCAAGTCTGAATTTGGGGGTCTTATTTTATCCAAGCTTACTCCTCTTTGCTCTTTATTTTCTTCAACAAGAGATCAGTAAATCTGAGGGGCCCTAGGGAATCAATCAATCTCTCTGCCCATCTCTCTCTGCTTGTCTTCTCCCTACCCAATCTGCTTTGCACAATTTTAAGGGCAATTTTCTGAATCACTCGTTTGATTATGTTATTCCCCACTGTCTATAATATAAAGTACAGAATGCTTAATCTGATACTCAGATCTTCAGCACTCTTACATCACTCTTTTTTATTCAGCTTCTTTTGCCTACTATACCTTTTTCTGTTTGAACTGTTCTGCATGCCTTTACTTAAACAAGCCTTGTGTGTTCCCACCGACCATACTATTCCTGCTGCCTGGAGTGCCTTTTTGTACAATGTAAATTAAAATTCATCCATCCAGCATGCCCACTTCCAACTCCTACTTACTTCACGAAAACCCACTGGCCATGCCATCCACAGAATTACTGTCACCAATTTGGACTCTTGTTACCTGCAGACAGCTTGTCATTGTGATTATTTATATGCCAATTTATACAGGCTAGATAATGGAGAGCGGGAGCAACGTCTCATGTGTTCATATCGCCTGCGGTACTCATGTGAAATTTTTATTGAATGCTTACTAAGTACGTTGATGAATTAATATGTAATGGCATTAATAAGATTACTGTTAACTTTATTCATTTCCTTTCTTTTTGTCTCCTTGTCTCTTTTTCTGTCACGTATCTTTCTCTTTCTTGCTCAATACTCCTCTTTCTCCCTTTTCTCTGCTCCTTTCCTGTCTCCTCTTTTTATCCATTTTCCTTCTCTGTCCTTTCCCCAGGGGAGATGGAAGAACTGGAAGCTCTCTGGCTCACTGGCATTTGTCACAATGAGAAGAATGAGGTCATGAGCAGCCAGCTGGACATTGACAACATGGCAGGGGTCTTCTACATGTTGGGGGCGGCCATGGCTCTCAGCCTCATCACCTTCATCTGCGAACACCTTTTCTATTGGCAGTTCCGACATTGCTTTATGGGTGTCTGTTCTGGCAAGCCTGGCATGGTCTTCTCCATCAGCAGAGTAAGTGTTTTGATTTAAATGCCTAAAGCTTGTTAGGGACAGCTTAGCCTAGCACTGTGCAAAGCAGAGAGAACCAAGAGGACACTATCTCCACCCCCATGTTGCTCAAGCAAGAAACCACATCATGTATGTTTTCTTAGGAGTTTGTGTGATATGATTGCAAGTGGCTCAGAAAAGTGGGTGATACTATATTTCCTTCAAGAAACAGCTTTCTGTGTGGGATTTGGGCAGTTGGTTCTCTGTAAGAACTGACAGATCTGTCAAAATGGAAAATTTGGCTTTTTACCAAATGTCTTTCATCACCATTAGTTGGTTCTGTATAAATTGTATTAACTGTCTAATCCTTTAAAAATGTACATTTCTATTTAAATAATCATATGTAACATATCTCTCTTATTTTAACATACAAAGGTATATTATTAGTTGTTTCACTCTATGTTTTAACCATGTGTTGGTTATGGAGAGTTGAAGAGCTTAACAGAACCTTTAGAAATAAGCTCTGACTCATAAGAAATTTACATTCCAGAAACTTCCCTAGTTGGAGCAAGAGTAAAACTCTTAGGTCATTCTTTATTTAGGTCTCCTCTTCATTCCTAGTCTAAAATGAGACACTAGGAAGACAGTTTTATGTATGAACAGGTCACAGGGAGAAGTTTTTTTAAAAAGTGAGCTTCTTTTGGTTTTGTTAATAAAGTGGAGAGACTAAGTCATGAGAGGTGAACTCAAATGTCCTTTTAGAATGAAGGTCTAGGTTCCAGATATGGCCAACCAACTTTGACTCAAATGGAGTTTTGTATTAATGAGAAAATTGATTTCTCGTTAAATTATTTCATCTTTTCATCATTTTCCTATAGTATTTTACTGATAGAGAACAATTTCTCCGTGTCCTTTCTGGCTGTGAGTTAATTCAGGCCATCAGGTGAGCTCAGAACAGGAGGCTGGAACTTGGGGTGGTGATGATCCCTGAGCCATGTTGCTTCCTTGGTAGCCCTTCCCTAAGATCTCAGATAGGGGAACACCAGAAGCCATGGGAGCTGGTGATGTGTAATAAAAACCCCATTTATAATCCTTTGACATGATCAATGCCTCTATAGAGGAAAAAAGGCTTGGAATTTTCTCTTGAGCTTAATCAGGAAGGGTTAGAAGAACTGGGAAAGTGGAATAACCTTACCTTGAAGATCTTCCATCTTGCTGATGCCCTGTGAGACAATGAGACTTACCTTGTCTAAACCTTTCTTCTTTCCCATTTCGCTACGATTCTTCTAACCCTCTCCCCTCTCATTCCCATCCACGGAGACAACTTCCCTTTCCAAATTAGTCCCGTTCATTATAATGACACAATTCAAACAACCTCTTTTCATATGCTTTCCCTAGCCAGGGAGAAAAGTTCCAAGTTTGTCCACCTTTCCAGGCAGGGAACAAGATGTGAGAAGGAGGTTGGCTTGACTTTAGAATCAAACATACTGAGCCCTCCAGGAACCCAGCCCGTTGCCTCTCCTGCACGGTGTCCTTCAAAGCCCTGTACAAAGAGCTGTACACAGGGAGCTCTCGATCAATACTAATTTGTTAAGATGTTAATTATTGATGATAATATTAAGTGAGTGAGAAAGTATAAGAAGGAAAACAGGAGCTAAAGAGAGAATAAATGAGAGAATTCAACAAGGGAGTTATTTATTCCTATTTAGTACTGGCTGTTTTTCCCAATTCTTCCCTCCCACAGTGTAGAACACAGCAGGAGAAAAATCCTTCTTTGACCCCAGGGCTTGCTAATTCTCTCTTTCTGTGAATTTTGTTCATGCTTGGCTCAAGAAGAGAATTGCTCAGCTGTTATTTGGTGACCAAAATTCTAAACCTGCTTAAAATTTGTCAGAGCTAGAAAAGAGTGACAGTTGTAAGCTACTGAGCTCCCCTGTGCTTTACTGTCAGCCAGGTGTGGCCCAGCCACAGCAGAGCAACCTCAGTGTCCATAGAACATGGCCGTTTATTTCCAGGAGGCTGATGATATTTTTTGCTATGGGTTGATATCATGGCCTCATTTTTAAGATGTGAAAATCTAGGCATAGAAAACCACGGTAAGTCAACAGTGAAGCTGAGGCAAAAATGCCATATCTTATGATTCCAGTCCCTTTGCTCAAGTTACTGGGTGGGGCCATGCCCCCCCCTCTGATGGCCAGGTCACTGACCTCAGCTCACCACATGACAGTCACCAAATTTAGGGGTATAAATTAGGCAAACTTCTAGCCACATCTAATAGTATATTAGACTATTCGCTTCATGCTTTCCCTTTTTCTTATCCAGTTGGAGCAATTATTGGTGGGAGAGTGTTTTTTGTGGTCATTTCTAGCCTCTCTGGAGATCTAACCTGTCCCTCCATTCTTGCTTCAGGGTATCTACAGCTGCATCCATGGGGTGGCGATCGAGGAGCGCCAGTCTGTAATGAACTCCCCCACCGCAACCATGAACAACACACACTCCAACATCCTGCGCCTGCTGCGCACGGCCAAGAACATGGCTAACCTGTCTGGTGTGAATGGCTCACCGCAGAGCGCCCTGGACTTCATCCGACGGGAGTCATCCGTCTATGACATCTCAGAGCACCGCCGCAGCTTCACGCATTCTGACTGCAAATCCTACAACAACCCGCCCTGTGAGGAGAACCTCTTCAGTGACTACATCAGTGAGGTAGAGAGAACGTTCGGGAACCTGCAGCTGAAGGACAGCAACGTGTACCAAGATCACTACCACCATCACCACCGGCCCCATAGTATTGGCAGTGCCAGCTCCATCGATGGGCTCTACGACTGTGACAACCCACCCTTCACCACCCAGTCCAGGTCCATCAGCAAGAAGCCCCTGGACATCGGCCTCCCCTCCTCCAAGCACAGCCAGCTCAGTGACCTGTACGGCAAATTCTCCTTCAAGAGCGACCGCTACAGTGGCCACGACGACTTGATCCGCTCCGATGTCTCTGACATCTCAACCCACACCGTCACCTATGGGAACATCGAGGGCAATGCCGCCAAGAGGCGTAAGCAGCAATATAAGGACAGCCTGAAGAAGCGGCCTGCCTCGGCCAAGTCCCGCAGGGAGTTTGACGAGATCGAGCTGGCCTACCGTCGCCGACCGCCCCGCTCCCCTGACCACAAGCGCTACTTCAGGGACAAGGAAGGGCTACGGGACTTCTACCTGGACCAGTTCCGAACAAAGGAGAACTCACCCCACTGGGAGCACGTAGACCTGACCGACATCTACAAGGAGCGGAGTGATGACTTTAAGCGCGACTCCGTCAGCGGAGGAGGGCCCTGTACCAACAGGTCTCACATCAAGCACGGGACGGGCGACAAACACGGCGTGGTCAGCGGGGTACCTGCACCTTGGGAGAAGAACCTGACCAACGTGGAGTGGGAGGACCGGTCCGGGGGCAACTTCTGCCGCAGCTGTCCCTCCAAGCTGCACAACTACTCCACGACGGTGACGGGTCAGAACTCGGGCAGGCAGGCGTGCATCCGGTGTGAGGCTTGCAAGAAAGCAGGCAACCTGTATGACATCAGTGAGGACAACTCCCTGCAGGAACTGGACCAGCCGGCTGCCCCAGTGGCGGTGACGTCAAACGCCTCCACCACTAAGTACCCTCAGAGCCCGACTAATTCCAAGGCCCAGAAGAAGAACCGGAACAAACTGCGCCGGCAGCACTCCTACGACACCTTCGTGGACCTGCAGAAGGAAGAAGCCGCCCTGGCCCCGCGCAGCGTAAGCCTGAAAGACAAGGGCCGATTCATGGATGGGAGCCCCTACGCCCACATGTTTGAGATGTCAGCTGGCGAGAGCACCTTTGCCAACAACAAGTCCTCAGTGCCCACTGCCGGACATCACCACCACAACAACCCCGGCGGCGGGTACATGCTCAGCAAGTCGCTCTACCCTGACCGGGTCACGCAAAACCCTTTCATCCCCACTTTTGGGGACGACCAGTGCTTGCTCCATGGCAGCAAATCCTACTTCTTCAGGCAGCCCACGGTGGCGGGGGCGTCGAAAGCCAGGCCGGACTTCCGGGCCCTTGTCACCAACAAGCCGGTGGTCTCGGCCCTTCATGGGGCCGTGCCAGCCCGTTTCCAGAAGGACATCTGTATAGGGAACCAGTCCAACCCCTGTGTGCCTAACAACAAAAACCCCAGGGCTTTCAATGGCTCCAGCAATGGGCATGTTTATGAGAAACTTTCTAGTATTGAGTCTGATGTCTGAGTGAGGGAACAGAGAGGTTAAGGTGGGTACGGGAGGGTAAGGCTGTGGGTCGCGTGATGCGCATGTCACGGAGGGTGACGGGGGTGAACTTGGTTCCCATTTGCTCCTTTCTTGTTTTAATTTATTTATGGGATCCTGGAGTTCTGGTTCCTACTGGGGGCAACCCTGGTGACCAGCACCATCTCTCCTCCTTTTCACAGTTCTCTCCTTCTTCCCCCCGCTGTCAGCCATTCCTGTTCCCATGAGATGATGCCATGGGCCCTCTCAGCAGGGGAGGGTAGAGCGGAGAAAGGAAGGGCTGCATGCGGGCTTCCTCCTGGTGTGGAAGAGCTCCTTGATATCCTCTTTGAGTGAAGCTGGGAGAACCAAAAAGAGGCTATGTGAGCACAAAGGTAGCTTTTCCCAAACTGATCTTTTCATTTAGGTGAGGAAGCAAAAGCATCTATGTGAGACCATTTAGCACACTGCTTGTGAAAGGAAAGAGGCTCTGGCTAAATTCATGCTGCTTAGATGACATCTGTCTAGGAATCATGTGCCAAGCAGAGGTTGGGAGGCCATTTGTGTTTATATATAAGCCAAAAAATGCTTGCTTCAACCCCATGAGACTCGATAGTGGTGGTGAACAGAACAAAAGGTCATTGGTGGCAGAGTGGATTCTTGAACAAACTGGAAAGTACGTTATGATAGTGTCCCACGGTGCCTTGGGGACAAGAGCAGGTGGATTGTGCGTGCATGTGTGTTCATGCACACTTGCACCCATGTGTAGTCAGGTGCCTCAAGAGAAGGCAACCTTGACTCTTTCTATTGTTTCTTTCAATATCCCCAAGCAGTGTGATTGTTTGGCTTATATACAGACAGAGATGGCCATGTATTACCTGAATTTTGGCTGTGTCTCCCTTCATCCTTCTGGAATAAGGAGAATGAAAATTCTTGATAAAGAAGATTCTGTGGTCTAAACAAAAAAAGGCGGTGAGCAATCCTGCAAGAACAAGGTACATAAACAAGTCCTCAGTGGTTGGCAATTGTTTCAACCAGTTTGAACCAAGAACTTTCCAGGAAGGCTAAAGGGAAACCGAATTTTCACAGCCATGATTCTTTTGCCCACACTTGGGAGCAAAAGATTCTACAAAGCTCTTTTGAGCATTTAGACTCTCGACTGGCCAAGGTTTGGGGAAGAACGAAGCCACCTTTGAAGAAGTAAGGAGTCGTGTATGGTAGGGTAAGTGAGAGAGGGGGATGTTTCCAATGCTTTGATCCCTTCTTACTTAACCTGAAGCTAGACGAGCAGGCTTCTTCCCCCCAAAACTGATTACAACTGCTACAGAGCAGACAGTTAAGAGAAATGAGCTTGACCTTTAAGAGAAATGAGCTGCACTCCATGAGTGCAGCTCTGGAGGTACGAAAAGAGGGGAAGAGACTTGGAAATGGGAGACGGGGGCAGAGAGGGACCCTCCACCACCTCTTTGGGCCTGGCTCCCTGGGAATGTGACTTGAGCCCAGAGTGAACACTCTTGGTAGAAGCCCTTCTACCTTCCTGCAACACCTTGTTTCCCTCTCAGATTGTACCATTGAGGAATAAAAAAAGATATACATGTATAAAACTCCAGGGATGAGGGTACCAGCAGAACTGATGCTCCCTTCACTTAACATTGGAAAATTGAGAAGGGAAATGAATATGTATCACTGCCGGTCCTGAAACTTGCGGTAGGGCTATTTATTCTATGGGTCAGTTCCACTGTCCTGCCATCCTCCCCTACACAGGGTGGCATCCAGAGAGCCCCAGGTCTGTGTGGAAGCTTGACTGCAGGATCGCCATGTTGCACACAGGACACATAAACCAGAAAGGTGCTCATCCTCCTCTGGAAGGAAGCTGCCATGTCTCTTCAAGTCACTCCCTCCAGGGCTGCTCTTCGCCCCTGTTTGCCCTCACTCGTGACCCTTCCTCATCCCGCCCTTGACTGCTGTCCCCAACCCTCCTCCTTGATTTTTACCTCAGTATCTTTCATTTTAAAGCCAACTGAAGGCCTTGTAAAGCTTTGTTTTCTTTCTAAAATGAACATGGGGGCAAGGGGCTGAACCTCTCACAGATTTGGTGAGAGGAGCACGGAGTGCTTTACCTTAGATAACAGAAAAGACTGAGAGAGGACAGAGGGCATGAGGCACCTCCAGGAGGAAGAAGGCGAAGGGCCACGTAAACACTGCTTCGCCCTGACTCTGTCCAGGGGTCAGGGACTCATCCCCTCATCTTCCTCTTACCTCACCCCTTTCAAACAAAAAAACCAAACCAACTAACCTAGCGAACAGCAATCTAGAACCAAGGGAGCTCTTTCAGTCTCCGCTGGCAACAGAAATCAAGATGGTGTTTATTTCATATGTAAATATTTTGTTTTCTAATTTTGTATAGATAAAGTGTTCTCTTGTGAGTATTCAGGGTGTTGGGCTGGAGGGAGTGGGGTGGTGATGGGAATGAGAGGGAAAAAGTGTTTTGTTATGGGTTTTCATTTCCCATTGGGGGAATTGTTTTGTATGGCTTTTTTGCTTCAGGGTGTCTGGAAAAAGCGAATGCTCATGGAGGCCACTATGGTGAAAAAGCCAGGGGAAAGTAATTGTGTCCATCCCCCCCAGAAAACCAGTCTTCTTACTGGTTTGTGAGAAATGTTCATGCACTTTGGCCAGGGTTTTACATAGGGTTCAATTTGGCTCTAAGCAAACCCCAGGTCTGACTCCTATCTTCTAGGTAGACCCTAGGTTACCACATTCCACACAAAGACAGGCTGGTGGCACCATATTTCCTCTGTCAGTACCTAGGGTAGGAAAGATTCCCAAAAGGGCTTAAACAGAATTAAGGTCAAATTAACTTCCCATTCTTGGCGTGACTGAAAGGTTTCAGGAAGCTCAATCCTGAGAAATCTCCCAGCGGCCTCCTCTGATGCTGAAACAATCGTCTCAGTCATCTGAGTCTTTTCTTCTTTAGGACCTGGGCGCTGACTCACTCCCTGCCCCATCTCCACCCTCAGAAGTCAGCCTGGCAAACACACGTGGAAAAATCTCCACTAACTCTACTTTTTGAAGCATGTGATATCTGGTCACAGAGAGGTAGTGCTGGATATGTGTCTTACAAATTTGCATGCTTTTCTAGAAAAGATGATGGGATCCACTAGAAACTCAGTGGTGAGATGATTCCCTTAGCAAGATTGCTGAAGTTAGGTTTAGACGTGGGAGGGTGGGTATGTGAGCAATGGTGCCAATAGCGGCTCTTTATTTGCCTTGTCCTCATTACTGCCATCAGGAAGGTGCTACTGGCCTCGAGCCAGGTGTTCATAATCTGGCCTTGGGTTAACCAGACAAATAGAACTTCTTTTCCTAGACTGTTGGCTTTGTGGAGGTTGGCAGCCTCTATCACAGGATAAAATTTCCAAATCCATTTACCCAGTATATTCACTACATTTTTTCCTATCCTCCCATCATAAAAGCTGTTAGCTGGACAATTTTATTTTTCTAAACTTATTTGGCCCCAGTTGGTTGCTTTTCTTCAACTGGATATTTGCACTGGGACTAAGTTACTCATGGTCTGCTTAAGAAAACTTAAAGAAAGGAAGGCTGGGCATTGTTAAAATCTAGATGTTACTTAATTCCAGAATAACAAGCAAGTAAAATGCATGAGGAAGAATTCAGCTATAAGCCCAATCTATATCACAGATGGGTATGAAACAACACCCAATCCATCCAAAACTGTGAGATTCCGCAGATACCCTCAGGAGCACCTAATATTCCCATGTTCTTCAGAATCCATGCTTTCTCGCTTTGTACCCTCTATCATTCCCTTCCATTGCAGAAGTGGTTGGTGAGTGTGGTCCTGTATGAACTCCTTTCAGTGGCAATGCTTAAATCTCAGCATTTCCACTGACAATAATCTGACCCTTGAATTTGCCTGAGTCGAGACTTTGCACACCCTTCAAAGTGATGCATGTACAGTGGACTTTGTTATTTCAAAATCTGTCACTGTGTATCCTCAGCCAGAACTTGGGAAACATCCTTCATATGTATTTCCCTGCACTGGCCACAGCCATGTTGTGATTGAGGGGAAAATCCCAAATGATTCCATTAAATGTTGCTGGTGTCAGTAGTGCCAAAAACGCATGTATGACATGATACAGTAGGAGTTGTCTATACAGTTAAGTGACTATCACTCACCCGGTCTTCCGTGGCCATCAGGAGTTGCCCAAGGGAGAATTCTCTGCAGAGTGCTGGTCACCTGCACATGTCACTAAGAACTAGGTTTCTTTGGTTCATTTTTTTTTTTTTTTTGGTCGGTTTTTAGTTAGTTAGTTCAAGATTTACAGATAGAATAACCAGATTGTTTGGGCAATAAGCTTTTGGAAAAACTATTCCAGAACTCACTTTATTCTTTCAATCATCATCTCTCTAAAAAGGCCCTGTCATTGCTTGACACCCTGTGAATGTCTGTTTTTGTATGTTAGGAATGATTCAGATGTGTGCATAAATGATGTCACTGCAGTGATATTGATGAATGCATTCAGCATTTCCAGGGACTGTGGCCATACCTTATGTGCTCTCTGAGCCCAAAGCCATATAGGAAATACATGCTCAGTAGGCTGCTACACACTACAGCAGAGCTTTTGCTTTCTTCACTTGGGTGTCAGAGACTTTTCCTCCTGTTTAAGGAGCTCTTCATGGAGGAGAAGCAGCTGAAAGTGAATAGTCACACTGGGATGGGTCTGGCCTTATGTATGCTATGTGGTCCATGGTGTGTTGAAGGTCCTGAAAAGGTCTTTTTCATTTCCCACCCCACTGCAACTACCACCTTCCCACACAGATTTGTTGCTTTAGCACTGAGCTGAGCTGTCTGTCATTCGAATGAAAGTAATCCCAGGAAAGGTGACATATTAAGCCATATTAGGGATGTATACATTTAATCACCTAATTTACATTAGGAATCTCACTCCTTTTCCTGGGAATAAGTTATGATACAAGAGAAGAGGAAGGGAGCAGAGAGCACTGAGAGCAATAGAGTAGGGAACAAGGATACAGGTTCTAGATGGCAAAGACATTTAAACCATATTTTGGCCTCCGCCTGCTTTTATTTAAGCCTCATTTGACACCTAAATAGGACTCCTGGTTAGGAATTATTTTCAATACACAATCATATGAGTGTATAATTTATGAATTTCTAAATTCAGTATCTTGTAGGGCAGGTTGAGAACTATGATTCTTTCCATAGAAAATAGAAGAGTGATGCTTCTCCTCCATTACATGTTACTGAGTAGGCAGCTAGAAAAATCAAATTGAATTAGTGATACAATAAAATTTACTGTCATTGTCTGGTTTCTGTCCCAGTTTAATTAATCTTCCAATTAGCTGAGTTGGTCTATATCCTATACTTTCCACCTCCATAGGGGGTGCCCTGTTATCTGGTAAAAGAGCCACTTATGACCTCAGGTGCTACTTAACCTGGGGGGCAATTGTTTCTTAGGCCTAGCAGATGTTTGGGATGACACTAAAATGGCAGATTAGTCAGTCTGAGAATGTCTAATATTGATCTGAATCTAGGATTCTATTCTAGTTTGGGGGGTGGGGTTGCAGTATTGTATAAAATCATAGGATATCTGAGAACATCCCACCCTCAACTCATTCCAACCACATTGATTCAGTCACACAGTGGCCCTGTGAGCTCTATGACTTAGAAGAGATAGCCTATCTATTCCTATGACAAAGGCCCTCACCCAAAACCTTAAATTGAAAGCCAGTGCTGCTACTTTCATGCCTTGGAGAGAACTGTGACGTTTAGGGCTTCTCATTTACAATATTGAAGCAAGAAAAAAGAATTTTGTTCAGAGTAATGGGTTAGAATAGCAGTACTGGGAATAAGTAGGGAAAGTTAGAAATCTTCCACATTTCTCTCTACATCTCTCAAGAGCTCTGTACAGTGAGTTTCTGGAGCTGCTTCATGCTTTGAATATAATTGCTGGGGTGATTATGTGGTTAAGGGCTCCTGAAAGAACTGAAGGTGAAAAGCAGAGTAGATGAGTAGAATTCCTC
The DNA here is from genome assembly GCF_000001405.40 of Homo sapiens. Lineage (NCBI taxonomy): Eukaryota > Metazoa > Chordata > Mammalia > Primates > Hominidae > Homo > Homo sapiens. The sequence goes on along the minus strand of NC_000012.12, from coordinate 13,556,722 downwards.
AGAGCCTTGGCACTCTGGTGTGTAGAATCTGTGTTTTGGAGAAGGTGAAAGAACTCAGTGCAAGAATTAAGGTACAATTAAAAAGCACAACACTAAGCCCAATTTAAACTGTTATTTTAAAGATTAGGTTTCCACACTTTAAACCTGAACTCTTTTATCGGTAATTATTTTAATGTTGTGATTTAGGAGGTGGAGCAGATTCTAGTACTATGCAGGAGAAAAAAATAAAAGCTCTCTGGTTAAATATGTGAGTTTAATTAAACCAACGTCTATTGTGCACGTACTATGTCCCTAGGCTAGTTCTGTGAATGATATAAAAGGTTTCAAAATGGAGTATATTGTACTCACGTAGAATATATGAAAGCATAAGTATAAAATATGTAAATGTATGTATAAATAGGTATGCATACATTTGTATGATTATACATGCAAGTTTAATATTTTCTGGTTTCAGGGTAGGAGTCAAAGATATCCATTATGCTATTTGAAAAAACATTGCAGAGATTCAGCTTCCCATGTCATGGCCAGGCCTGGACTTATTCTTTTGAAATTATTACACCTCCCAGAGCTAAAACTCTGGGATTTCCTCTCTAACCACAACCTTGCCTTTTCTATATCTTCCTTCCTTCAAGACCCCTCTGTTGTTCTGGTCCATAAATCCATCAGGCCTCATTGAATTCCCTCTTTGGTCTAACCCTGTATTTACCCACATTAGCAATATTCTCACCGGCAATTCCTTTTTCCTCTTGCCATCTCACTACACCAACCATGCTTAGCTAACTGCATCCCATCCCCTTGTCATTCATTGCATCCCCAAGAAGAGCAAGTCTTAAACCTACGTGAAGAGCACAAATTCAATCAATTTAACCTCACCTGAAGCCTACTCACTTGGACTTTTTAATTTCTCCAATGTTGACTCAGTGTCACATTCTGTGCTTGATAAATTTGTTTTATTTTCCTTTCATGTTCATGTCCTGTCTTTCAACAGGCAATCTTTCCTACTGTGTTTGCAAGAAAATCTGATTATTGAATCCTCACATATGCTGTCCTCTCTGCCTTTAGATTTCTCTTGTCTTTCACACATCTTTTCCATCCTTTCTCCCAACCAAGTGCTCCTCTTCCCTATGCTCTGACCTCTTCTGAGGTGCTCTCCAGCCAATTGTATTTCTCTCTTTTGCATCTTTAATTCCTTCCACACATCTACCTGCAACTATCTCAAAAACACCCGTCCTACAACTATCTCTAAAGACAAATCTCTCAATCCAATTTGACTCTTGAATTTCTGTCCTATCGCTATCTTTTCACTTCCCAACTTCTCAAAAGGGTAGTCTTTCTTTCTCCACTTCCTCACCTTATGCTCATGGCTTCATCAATGGGCTACACCCTACCACTCTTCTGAAACTACTCTCAGGCAACGTTCCAATGAAGTTCTTGTTACAAAAGTCAATAGCCTTTTTTCTTTACTTACCCTGCTCTTCAACCTCATTGACAATTACCATTGGGAGGCAATACATTCTGGTTTTAATCTTAGTTCTCTGGTCCTCTAACCTCATTGGTTCCTGCTCTTCCTCTTATCTCCTTAGCATTGACTTGCCATGGTATATCTGAGCTTGACCCTCTTCTCCTTATCTTAATGCTTCTGTAGCAATCTTTCTGTCTTCTATGATTTCAATAACTCTTTGAATGAAGATGAATCCCAAATCTTCACTTTTAGCCCCTACCTTTTGCTTTTCCTTCATACACATACTTCCAGTCACCTTCTGAACACTCAACTTCATCTTGACTCAAATATCCAAAACCATTGCTGCAAACCAACATAATCACCAACTTCCTCCTTTTGCTTAATGGTATCACCATGTCTTCCGTCACCGAACTCAAGCTTTTCAGGCACTTTTGCCTCCTCCATTTTCTTCATCCTGCATATCTAAAAATTTGAAAAGCCTACTAATTCTTCCCCCTAAGGTTTCCAGTCTTTCCTTTTCATTCAGACCCTTCCTTCTAGTCTGGATTATTTCAGCGTCTTTTAGCATTGTTCCAATATTTTATATTTGAATCTACTCTTGTCAGTACTCACTTCCTACATATAAATCAGATGTCATTCTTCAGATCAAGAAACAACCTTCAGTGGGCTTCACTTGCCGTAGTCTGCCAGCAATAATTTCTTGTTACTTGACTATGTGTGTGTCCCATAATCCAGACAAGCTGAATAACATTTGTTTCACCTTTCCCTACCAGCTTGTTTTCCCACTTGCGTCTTCCCTTAAACTGTTCCCTTTGTCCAAAATACTCTCCTTCCTATCTCCCATCTCACTCCCTTCTTGAATAATATCCATTCCCTCTATATAAGTCTTCAAAGACCAGAACAACTTCTTTATCTTCCATTCAGAAAATAATTTTAGGCATTTTATGAATGCCCATAACACTTTCGTTGTTTCTCCCTAGTGGCAGCTATCATGGGCCATCTTATTTCATAGGTATTTGGTTATACATCTCATCTCTCCTGCTACAGCATAAGCTCCCTGTGTTCAGGGCCATGTATTTTTAAATCTTTTTATCTCCTGTAGCACTAAACAGAGTGCCTTGTATATGAAAGGCATTAGTAAATATTTGATATTATTATAAATTATAATTGAGAAGGAGTCACTTTATTTTGCCCATTTGTATCTGCAGTAGCACCTAAGGATGAATCCCCCCAGTTTCTCTATATATATCTGCACACACAATCACATGTATATACTACATGTATACAGTTCATTATTTCAAATGGAATCTGGATTTTTCTAAGTGCTTTGTCCTTTTTCTAAGTGCTTTGTCCTTTGAAGTTGTTTTGGACTGTTTTATGGTTAGGAAAGTGTACTTGGAACACTACATGTGTTCAAGTAAGTGACAGAGGGAGAAACTATGAAGGATATTGATCAAATTTTAGGTATCAGCTTTTCAGATGCTTTGGGTAGAGCTTGTATCCAGACACTTTACTACCAAGATTGAGTCTCTAATAACCTGATCCATGCTGGGACTGATCTGTGATCCAATATTTAGCTTCTTTTTTAACACTTTCAGCACCAAAAGAACCTTGTCACAGTTCTGGCTCACTAATCACACAGCCTTGTAGACCCCAGGTGGTGGTCCAACAGGACCACTGTATTTCACCACACGCTACTTCCACATTTGTGGCCTTGGGGGAACTGTCTGTGCTGGTCACCACCTTGTCTTTATATTTCTTTCCTGAGTTCTTTGGCTTCTCACCCTTTCTGAGGCTTTGTCTACAGGATCACTTCTCCCAAAGGGAGGATAAGAGTTGAGGTAATTGAGCACTTTACCTCTTATCTGTATATTTACAATGAAAGTAAGTTAGGATTTGAATGAGCTGGCTCAGAGAGAATGCTAGTCTCTAAACTACTCCTTTCTCTGTAAATATAAAGGGATTCATTACCTCAGGGGGAGACAACATCACTTCTGACCTTATGGCCCTCCCTTATCCTCTGGTCCCTGTATTCTTGAAGCCCTGTTAACCCTTCCTCCTCCTCTCTTGGCTCTACTTAGCAATCTATCAATCATTCTTTCTAGCCAGTGTCAGTCTCTGTCCCTCTGAAGAAACTCTTGGAGCTCGTACTGTCCTTTCACTTCAGCTGCTCTGGTAACCGATAATGTTTTCGTTCCTTCTCCCGGCCAGCCTTCTCTGTAAATCTCATTATGCCATTGGCTATGAATTATTCCCCTTTGGGAGGCATCTTCTGCCACTGTGTGCTAATTTAAAGCATACTATAGAGAACTGAACTCAAATAAGTTACAGGCAGTGACAAGTCTCTTTTTTTAAAAAAAAAGTGAAGAAAGTCCACTCTTCATTGAGACAGGAGTGGGTAGGACAATTATTATTGGCAAGGTAGGGCAAAACTTGTGACAACTTGGGAGATACCTAGTGAAAATTAAAATATAAGTCTAGAGAGATAATTTTGCTTTTCAAAAGTCCTATGGGGTCTAGATAGCCTTGCTCCTGAAAATGAGAATAGTTAATATTTTAGAGCAAAACCCATTTCATTATACTATGAGACTTTTTTTTTTAGCTGATGAAACAAATTATCTGGTAAACAGCTGGTGGGAGGGTAGGAAGACAGCCATCCTCATGAAGGACGTTCATGAATCTCATTTGGGCCAATAAATGGACCAAAATTCTAGGCATTTTAGCCATGAACTGTTCATGTCAATTATTTTGCCTACAAATACCCATAAAAGGAAAGGGAGGATATGAGGAAGGAAAAGAACAGGAAGTCTACACTGGAGCTTCCTTTTGTGTCACCAATAAAGCCAGAAGCTGACATGTGAGGCACATGGTTCCCCCTTGGTTACTGGCTTCAATGATAGCTTCGGAAAGTAGGGAAACTTGAAAGAGCAAGGACCAAAGCGGAGATGAGTGAGGAACCTGAATGCAACCTTATGTGTGAGGTCCTGATATCCACAAGGAACCTGGCCCCATGTCATTCCTGCCCAGGTCCTTCAGATTACAGCACCCAAGGAGCCCTTGATCATCACCCTGGGCAGAGGGAGTGACTTATCACACCACCCTTACCCACAGAATTTAGGCCACCAGGCTGTGACTCCATCTGTCCCCCTTGCAGTAAGAGATTCATAGTCTCTGAAATCTGACAGGAGAACAGCATCAGGGGAAGGGGCCACAGGAATGCGAATTTGTTGAGCTGCCTGCTCCTCTAGGATAAGTATATTACCTGTTTCCAGAGGGGATTGTTTTTTTTTCGAAATGAAACAAAACATGCCTGCCTAAAACTTCAGCCCTATTCAGAACAGTCTTGCAGTTAACTGTCATTGTCACATTTTAATTGTAATTGATTTTCTTTTGAAATCCATGGCTATTTTAATGCTCCCTTTGACCATGACATAAGAACCCTCTGCAAACCAGAGACCTGGCCATTAGGTTGCCTCTGGCTGAGTTATACTCTCAGTAGTTTATACTTTGCTCTCAGATATTCACCTGAACAGCACAACTACACAGAATTTGATCTCTTTGCCATGAGCATTCTGATGCCTATGTACCTCCCTAATGCACACACACAATCTTAACAAATAGATCCAAATTTCCTATGTCAATCATGTTATGGTAGATGAAAGTGTTCATTTAGAATGGGATAAAGAGACATATCATAATTTATGCAGCCAGTGTTTTCTCTTTGCTCTACCTGGCTTGTGGATCATTGATCCCTCAAGGTTTGACAGAAATATTCAGGCTTCATGTGAAGGCAGCATGTTCTTTGTGATGAAACAACCTAGTTATCGTCTCCATTTTCCCATTTTACCCTATGGAATCCATGTGGCCTTCTAAGGTCCTGTTGATGGACTGGTACTAAGAGGATGGAGAAGCAGAAGCCAGTCCCCCTGAGAACAGACAGTCCTGTTGCTTAGATACATACATATTCGCACATGTGCCCACATCTCTTCTTGGAAACATCATGAGCAGAGGTGGAGAGGTCTGTTCTCAATGGGAGGAATAAGGGTAGGAGAATTCCTTGAGAATCCCTATTCTCAAGGAATAGGGATAAATGCCTTCACGGATTCAATAATTTATCTGTTCTCTCTCTCCCAGGGTCAGGAGCAAGAAAAATATCAAGGTTTCACATAGGCAGGAAGCAAGGAGGATAGTGAAGCATCTAGGTGGAGGTGGAACTCTTACTGAGAAAAACATGAAGTAGTAAAATCACCCTTTCTTTGATATAAATGCATTTAGAAGTCAATGAGGGCACTTACAGCTGTGTTTCCCTTCACTAACTTTTCATCTCTTGCATTCTTTACTTCTCTTTCTCAATTTATTCATCTTGAGGTATACTTATCCTGAGTTGACTCTGAGCAGCCCATCCTCAAAACACAAACAATGTTAGGATGAGAAGTTGAGTGAGCACAGAGCTCGAACACGTGCATGGTACTTAATGTTTCCAAACTCGAGCCCAATCAGTCTAGCACAGTCAATCCCACTGCATTTTAATGACTAGGATGGGGCCTGCTGTACATAGCTGGACATCTTGGATTACAGAAAAGAGGCTTTATGTGAAGGCAGCATTTTCTTTGTGGTAGAGCAACATAGTTATCCTGCTAACTGTCCTATTTGACCTGATGGAATCCATAAGGTCCTGTTGATGGGTTGGTTCTAAGAGGATGGAGAAGCAGAAGTCATTCTACTGAGAACAGACAGTCCTGTTGCTTAGATACATACATATTCTTTATGACAGAATTCCTCCTGAGACTCTTGCACACCTTCAGTGATCAGCGCATTCACTTTGGTTATTTCTTGGTAACAGGCACGAGAAATGGGTCACATAGAAATCTGAAGAGTCATTTCTCGAGCATTTTTAGCTTATTCCCATGTAAAGAGGCACTGAGCTCCTGCAGTTCTAGCCTGCCTCTGCTCCCCTCCTTGGGGAATGGTGGAGTTTCTAGGATAACCAGCAACCCATTAGGCTCCACCACACTTAGCCTATGGTACATTCTGAGTAAATCACAGTAGTTGGTATGTGAATACAGAAGAATTTACCATAACCACTTCTCCAAATAACCTCCTTTGACTTGGAAATAAGATCATCTTTCAGTTTTACAGATGAGAAGTCAAAGCACAAAATTGGATAATTAGCCAAAAGTAAGATTATACAGAAAATTCTTGACAGAACCAAAACTTGGCTGAACCAAAACTTGTCCAAATTTCTAACTCTCAGTCTAGCTCAGCGAGTAATGCTGCCTGAATTGTCTGCCCCCACTGTAGGTTTTCAGCATCTAGCAGTGGAGAAAAGTCACGAAATCTAGGCAGCTGATTTAGCCAGATCTTATCTATGAAATTTCCCTTTGTAGACACACACACACTCCACATACATCTACAGAGACAAGTCAAAAAGAGCAAGAAGAAAGCAAAAATTTGAAAATCAGAAAGGTTAGAGAGGTTTCCACGGTGAAGAAAACTTGGTCAAATAAAAATGTTTTTGAATTCTATAGGGTAAGATATTGTGAATAATTTTTTATTATTAAAAATTTTTTTTAGGTAGCATGTAATCCACATAAATAAAAAACTCAAGAATAAACTGGGACAGAGGATTTCTTCCAGAGTGCTACATGGCAAAAGAGCCTTCAGGAACGTGTGCAGGGGTGTCATGATACTCCGAAGGTGTCAGTAGTTTTGGTCAGCCCACAGTGAGCAGGGCAGCCTCAAGGGAGAGCCCCTTACATCCTTTTCTGGGCACCTCTGTCTAATTAAGTTCAAACATACAAGCCTGATTCTAGGATTAAGGCATAAGTTAGTTCTGAACAGAAAAATATAAGGCAGTTCACATACACAATGAATTCTTGAAGAAAGAACCTATAGCCCCCAGACCGATAATAAATAATTACTGCCTGCCAAAATCCTGAAGAAAGGGAAGCATGGGGGCTCCAAAATTAATAGTCTCCTGAGAATACTTATGAGACCTTGATTTTGTCACAAGGTTGCAATGGTGAATTATTTATTAAGCACCCGCAGATCAGAGAATCTTGCAACAACCTTCTCTTACAACCCACCTGTTCACTTATGAATGATATCAAGCTCAGGATATAATCCATCTTTCCAAAGATTTTAGTATCTTTAGTTTGGGCTGCAGAAGAAATTTTGGCTCACAGCATTATGCTTAAACCAAAAACAGTGAAAGAGCTCTAGTGTCCTGCTTAATGTAGAGTAACTTTTTTTTTTTATCAGTCCTTCCTAGCCCTAGAGGGAAGATAGGAGAGGAGGTAGGAAGATGGAAAAGTCCTTAGATGAATGAGTGAGGAGACTTCTATACCATCAACTTCAGAGTGTACTGATCCCCGGAGCCTGGTTCAGGAGGCTAGTTTCAGATGATCGGAGGAAATGGAGGAGGTAGCTTTTATTCCCATGCATGAAGATGGGGGGAGGAGGTGGGCACTAGACTAATTTTTTAATCTAAAAAAAATCAAGCCTATTACAAATCTCATTTTTCCCTTGTCCTTTTGCCTCCCAATAATTCACATAAAATCGTGTTATCATAGTAAGCTAAGAGAGAGGGGCAGTAGCTATTTCTACCTTGACTCCGTGGTGACTTCATCTTTTTCATGAGTGTCATTACAGATACCTGGATCATGATGATCCTGAAAAACAGGTCACAGGGCCAACAGCTGATGAGTATTTGGAGCATCTTATTCCCCCAAGATGACCACTCCCTGTCTTCTGCTACACCTATATTCATCGGGGGGGGGAGGTGGGAAAATAGCAGGATTCTTGGGGACTCTGAGGGCATGAATGGAGAATTATTTGATTGAAACCACAGAGCTCTTGTACTTAGTATTAAATATTAAAATAGAAATGAAAAGTTCAGCTTTTCTGAGCTGTACCATAGCGGCCAATGGAGGAAGTCTTACAAAGAAAATCTATATCTGCACAAGACTGAAGCCACTAAACCGAGTATACACAACATAAAGATATCTTCCTATTTCAAGTATCCCTTAGGGGGCATGGGTGCTTAGCTATCCTATGAAAGACAGAGAAGATAAGCTCAATTTTAGAGCCCAGAGCTTGCTCCGGAACAGCAAGATCCACATGAACTTAAACTCTTTCCCACTGAGCCTAGGGGTGGAATGTAATTCCTCTGATGGTTTTGATTTATTTCCAAGCTAGACTTCTCTATTTGATCATTGGCACCTTGGCAGCTCACACATCTCCGTGGTCTCTTCTGTAGCTTTCAGAAAAAAAAAAAAAATATATATATATATATATATATACACACACATACATACATACATACATATACATAACCCTGTTTGGGTAAGGCCTATTGACAGAAGCCAGATATCTGGGTGGAAGTTAGAAGATGGGCAAGGAATTCTTATCTCAGAGTTTCAACACTGCGACAATGTGGAGAGAAGTCTCCTGGGAAAATGCAGATGCCCAATAACTTCCAAAAGAATCAGGGAAGTTGGAGTATTTTTGAGATTTACAGTGTCTTTACTTCAGTAAAACAAGCCATAGCAACATTATGCTCTGCAGAGTCTTCTGTTCACCTTTGGATGGAAAAGAGCTGCTTCTCCTAGGGAGACAACTAAGACCAAGAACAAAACTCCCATCTCCTAGGCCAATTATTGTTTTCTCCTTTCCTTTCTTTTTTATTCTCTTTGTTACATAATGGTGAAATCTACCTGGCCATTGCCAGTCAAACATTCTAATTGCTAAATATCATACAGAAATTCATGAAAAAAGAGTAGAATCAGCAGATTTCATTTAATCCCAAGGGTCTTTGCAGTTTTCATCCTCTCCCTCAAAGTTATCTCTTCTTTGAGACACATGATCACCCCTTTCCTCTTCTGGGTGGCCATGATTCCAAAATGAACTTCAGTGGTTGGTGCTTCACAAAAGGAAAGACAGCTATAATATAAAATAGACCAAAATACTTATATTTTTAGCCACTGCAAAGTGGGTTTTATCGTTGAGAACAACCTTCCAAGCTCCTTACTTGGAAACCCTTCCTCACCTCCCAGCCTCCTGGCAGCTCTCCTGGTTCCCCTTCATGTTTTTGGCTCCCCTCCCCGACTTTCCTTTCCTATGAAAATGGGATATATCCCTTAAACTGTATTCTTATCTAAACTATCAGACTGTTAAAAGAAACCCTTGACAGTAATTTTTCATGGTTTTCTCATCATTTTTTAACTTAGGAAGTTGGAGAAAGAATGACAAGCAGGCAAATGAGGTCTTGTTCCTGAGTGCTTCAACTCAAGATCAAGTGCTGGGATAGTGAGTGGCTCTTAGTGGAGAGGGATGTGCTCTGGAATATTAAGCCACCTCTGAGCATGTGTCCTGGTGCTCTGGTCAAGATGCCTGTTGTGTATGTGGAGGTATTTTGTGGCTTTTCTTGTTCTCTCTTTTTAAATTTATTTCAAGGCACAAGCCCTTTGTGATGGAGGATGTCTAGCTTGAACATGCTGGTAATGTGACACTATCCTCAGCTCCCCTTGGCCCTGGGTTCATAGGAGGCAAGTGTTTCTAAATTTCTCGCCCAGTGAGTTGTTGCATGTTATTTTTAACCATTAATATTGTGTGTCTATTGGAATGAGAAACAGAAGGTTGAATGGGAAATAGATTCAGTGACAAGCAGACAAAAAGCTTGGTTCTGAGAAATGTTCTTCACTGAGTTGAAAAAAAAATAATCTAGAAACAAAGAAGAGGGAAATTGGGGTAGAATGGTTTGGTGGTGAAGAGACGATGACACCCACATCCAGATGCTCTGGTGTATTCCCTCAGAGATTTGTCATTCCCTGTGAGCTCTGGCAGAAGGAGAGGCTGTGCTGCCATTGATGGCTCAGAAATGGTGACAGGCTGGCTTTAGAAAGAGACGTAGGCTTTCTTCCAGACAGACATTGATAAGCATTGTAGCTCGATTCTTCAAAACCTTGTCTACAAACCTTTAGGGCAGCCCCTCTCCAATGATTTCCATTCTCCAGTCAAGAAGATTCTGAGTGGAAGAGCCTTGTGTGCATTGTGATTACATTGACTTAAATTGGGAAGCCAAGGGGCACTGAGAACTGAATATATCAGGGGAATGGAGTTAGCTGAACCTTTTTTTTTCAATATTGGAATGATTTTGGATCACAAAGTTAGGTCACCTCTGAGAGAGAAAATCTGTTAAATAAAATTATATCTTCCCATCTCCAGTGAAATCACTAGGTTGTTAATGTGATTACTGTTTACTTCAGAAAGAAAATTGCTAGATTCGATTACAAATAGGCATTTTACAGATTGATTTAATCCTGAGTCTTACACATATTAACATGGAATTTACTGACTCAGACATGATCTTCTAAGCTATAAAATATTACTGGCGGGTAGTAGATCATATGTTCTAAGCAAACCAGGAAAGCTAAAACGTTAAGTAATCCTCCCAAATATTCAGCGTCTGTGTATTTCACTATAGCTGAAGGGGATTTGGGAGTTAGGCCGCAGGGGAGAGGAGGGACAAAGTGCCATAGATTAATGAAACTCGGAGTAACTTTTTTCTTACCTATTAAAAATAATAATTAACCCAAGGACAATTCTCAAACCAGAAAAATCATGAAAAGTGAGCTCTGCACTTGCCATTGGTTAAAATTTAGAAACACTTAGAATAAATATCCAGGTTTTGGGGGAGGAGTTGTTTCCTTGCTTGCATTGTTTTGTTTACTGGAGCTCTTATTTTGGGGATATTTGGTCTGTGGCTTCAGAGCATGTTTTGGATAAATGACTTATCCATGTTGATATTTATTGAGTGGAAACCCATGCCAGGCTGTTCTAGGTGCTGGAATATAAGAACGAACCACACAAAGTCCATACCCTCTTGAAGTTTGTATGTTGATGAGAGGAAATGGACAAAAAAGCAAATCAATAGATCTCATGTCAGATAGTGCAAAGTGTCATGCAGAAAAATGAGGCAGATTAAGGGGGATAGATGATAGGATGGGTGTGGGGTTGCTATTTTTGAGTAAGCAAAGATGACATTTAAGTAAAGGTTTGGAGGAAATGAGGGAGTGAGACTTGGGGCTTTCTATGCAAAGGCAAAGAGAAAGCAATTGCAAAGGCCCTGCTGTCAAACCAAATGCTTGGCAAACTTGAGGAAGAGCCGGGAGGCCAATGAGGGAGGAGGAGAGTATGAGAGGTGAGGTCAGAGAGGGGGCAATAACGCAAGTCAGGTAGGGCCTTGTAGGACACTGTCAGGATTTGGCTTTTACCAAGAGCAAGATGAGAAGTTGCTAGAAGGTTCGGAGCATAGAGTGATATGATCTGACTTCAGTTGAAGAGGAAGCTTTGGGACTGCTGTGTTGAGAGTATACCCTGAGAGGGCAGACAATGGAAGCGGCTGAAAGACCGGTTAGGAAGCTCTTGCAATAATCCTGGTAAGAGATCATAGTTGCTTGGGCCATGATGTTAGCAGGGGAGGTGATAAGAAGCAGTTGGATTCCAGAAATGTTTTAAAGAATCGATATCACACAGTTTGCTGATGAATTAGACATTGAATAAGAGAAAGAAAAATCTTAAGAATAACCTTAGAATGTTTGGCCTGAGCTATTGAAAGTTTGGAGTTGCCATCAGTGTAAGACAGGAATCCTGCAGGTGAGGCTGACTGGGAAGGAAAGCCTTATAGTTTAAGGTGTCTACAGATGTTGCAAGTAGAAATGATGATTAGGCAATTAGATATATGGACCTGGAGTTCAGGGAAAATGTATAGCCTGAAGATACATATTTAAAATTTGTATGCGTTTGGTTGGTATTTGAAGCCATGATACTGGAACTAGAGAATGAGTAGCGACAGAAGAGGATTCTCTAGACTGAGGCCCAGGGTGGAGGATTGTTCAAAGCTCCAGGAGATGAGAAGGGACCAGCAATGGGAGGAGTGGTTAATGGGTAAAGCAAGTACTATTATTGAGTAGGATAAGACTATCTGGAAACATGGAGGTCATCCCATTGATGACCTGGAAGAGAGCTGTTTCAGTGGACTGGTGGGGGCAAAAGCATGATGGGGTGGATTCAAGAAAGAGGGGAAGGAGAGGAGGTAGAGACAACAGGAATAGGCAACGCTTTAGGAGTTTGGCTGTAAAGAGGACATGGAAATAGCAGATCATAGAGAATGTGACGCCCAGGGAGGGACTTCTTTTTTTAAGATGGGAAAAATAACAGCCCATTTTATGTTGACAAGACTAATCCAGGAGAAAGGAAAAATTGATGATGCCTAGGGAGAGAGGACAATTGCTGGAGTAATGTCTTTGATGAAGTGAGAGGGCATGGGATTCAATACAAACATAGAGGGACTGGCTTCAGGGGACTAACCAGGTTTGTTTGTATTAATAGCAGGGAGATAGTGCATTTGGGCACAGATGCAAGTGGGCTGGTAAATGGGATAATGGGAGTATGCTTTTTCTGATTGATTTTTAGTAAACTATGAAAGGAGTTCATCAGTTAAGAGTGAGTATAGGGGAAGAGTATTGGAGGTTTTGGAAGGAAGAAAGCATGAATGAGTCATATAGCCATCCGGCAGGAAGAGTGAGAACAAAAATGTCGGAGACACCAAAAATATAGGAGACATGCTAGGGGGCATAAAGGAATTATTTGAGTTTTTATGATTATGAGTTTAAAGAAATTTGTTTTCTTCAGTCACCTTCAGCTGCTTAAACAGGGTGGCAAGTTAGATTGGAACAGGGTTGGGGTATAACCAGGTGAATATAATGAAAGCAAGAGATGTGGAGTCAAGGGCAACTGCAGTGTGTTAACTATAATGTTTGGTCATGGAATCTAAGCTGGGTGTAGAGGAAAGTGAGGATTTTTAGGGAAGGAGGAACAATGAAGCATATTAGAGGCAGAGGATTGAGATTCAAGCTGGGATCACTCAGTTAGTGAGTCAGAAGCAATAACGTAGAAATTAGGAGGTGGGTTGGAGAGGTGGATGCTTGAGGTTATGGAGGGCTTGCAGTTATTGGTGGTTTGGGGTCTGTTGTTGGGGTGGTGGGCTGAGATAAGATAGAGGAAAAGGTTATAGAAGGAGCAGGGGTCAAGGAACTGAGAGGCCAGGATATGGGAATTATATAGATATTGAAGTCAACAAAATGTTGACTTCCATATGATAGGAATGTAAATTATGACAGGAATGAGGGAGAGTGATTCGAGAACATTTCAATCATTGCATCAAGTAAGGGGTGCAGCTAGCCTAGTCTGATGTGCATCAAAGCTGGATTTTATGGTTGTTGCATGTTATTTTTTTTTAAAAAGGAGGGAGGATGGTCTGGAATGGCAATGAGGGGCAAGAAGGGCATCTCCACCTCCAGGCCCCAGGGCATGAGGAAGGTGCAAGTGGAAATGCTCACCACCTGGGAGTGATTCAGGGTCCTCAAAGAGGAGCCAGGTTTCTGTAAGAGCAAGAGGAAAGGAATTGCCAGGGTTGTGGCTGGTGATGAACCACTGATTCTTAGGCAGGATTTGGGAGTTGGTAAAGGAAGGGAAATGAGCTGAGATGGGAGATGTGCATGGGTATCTGGGGATGAAAGTCCAAGTGATAAGAGGGACTGGGGGTCTTGGGCTTCTCGTGGTGATTGCCCTAAGCGAGGCTGTGGGCATTTGGGGTTGGCCCTAATTGTCTCTATGTCAGATTGAGGTGGTGATGCTGCAAGTGCCCGGGGCAGGGACTTGATGGCAGCACATGGAACTCTGGTACCTCTTCCTCAGTCCTGATATTTGCTTTTTTAACTTCTACTAAAAACCCCACTGCTAACTGTGATAGGCCACAACATGTTTTTATAGATGTCAACAAATGTTATCCTGGATTGAGACCACATTTTGACTATTTATCCTGGAAAGTACACATTTTCACAGGAAATCTTGTCCTTTCTAAGGTTCCCAACTAAGCTAGTCTCGTTGTGGGGGGGTCATAATTATTTGTTCTTACTTACCTTACTCCTTGTTCATCTTTAAAAAAAAAATCAAATAAAAAGGATTGGAAAGCAACTTTGCTTCTGCCCAATTCTGCTAAATGAAAGTTTTCTCTGACAGATCATTTTGATTTTGTATTTTCTTTTGTGACAGAAACAGTGGGACAGGAGCATGGAAATGAATGAAAGTCTTTAAAAGCCTTGAGAGAGCGTTTTCAAGGATCAGGAGAGGGCTTAGAAAGAAAAGGACTCTGAGTGGGGCTGCATGAAAAGGGGGTAAGTGAGGACTCTTGGGGAGGGTCTGAAAAAAACAAGTAGTTTGGCAAGGAGAGCAGAAAAATAAAATTCCACTGTGTAGGCATTTGGAGATTTAGCAAGAGCAACCTAGAGTCTGCCCCCAGAGACACTGCACGTTGTTTCTGACACAGAGGATGCACTAATTCTATTTCCTGTGCCACCTGAAAAAATCATAATTTGAGAAGAGAAACTGTTAGGCCATTTCTAGTGAACTATTTTTCCAAACCCTCACGGAACCCTGAACAGGGTGTGAATGAGATCACAACTACTGCTGCTGCTGGTTCAGCCTCTCTGTCCACTAATAAAGGCAAACCCTTCAGCATGGTCATATCCTGCCAGCCGTTTTCCCCCAAAAGATTAAATTATGTTCATCTTGGCTCATCTAACGCCACATCTTGAGTTCTTAAGGTATCACAGCCAACTCAGTCATACCTTACTTTATGCACTGAGTACGCATTAAACTCTATTTAGGAAGGAAGAGGGAAGCAAAGGAAGCCAGGGATGGTTTTGTCATGACCTCTCTTTGCTTTCTGACCTCCCGGAATCCACTCTTTGGAAGATGTGCAGAAAACAATGTGACTTCCATTTACCCTGCCTCAGATCTCCCCTCCTTCAGACTGGCTCCCACCCCTGGTTAATGGGGTAACCTGGGTACGCCTATTTGTTAAAGGAATTTGTGGGAAGTGAGGGGCAAAATTGTTGGAGCAGAGGGAATAGATTTATGGGAGCTTTGTTACCCAGTGACTATCCCAGCATTAATACTTCAGAGTAGCCCTGACGCTTGTGGAAACATTTCAAGGGAGCTAGAGGCAATGTTACAGTGGAGATCAGAGAAGGGATGGGGCAGTGAGCTCTTGTCCCTAGGGGAAATCTCTTTTCCTCCACGTGACAGGAGCCAGTGCTCCAACAGCATCAGAATTACACTTAGCCACAATGACTGATGCGTGTGTGTGCCTGTGCACATGTGTGTGAGCGTGTGTGTGAGCGCACGTGTGTAAGGGGGTGATGATGGAAACATGATATGCATCCACTATGGGGTTGCGTTGCAAATTCACAGCTGCACCCCTCCCAAAGTCACATGGCAGAGGGGAAATGGTCATAGCTTTCCTGTGTGATGTCCTCTCCAGGGAGCACCGACGACTCAGGCTTGCCTCAGCTCTGCGAGGCCCAGACTCCACACTCCTCCCTGGGGCCGGCTCTCCTTCCTCTTGACTCTCAGATCCCCAGCCCATCCACCTCCAAGTTCTTTTTTTGTTTATTTGTTTTGCTTCTGTTTTCTGTAAATATCTATTTCTTATTTTGGACATGCAGGGATCAATTGAGATTCTGGAGTGGGGGGAGGGGCGGATGACTGGGTCTTTTTATTTTTTCCTTTCTCTCTTGGATTTTGGTGTTTGAACTTGAAAAAAATAATTACAAGTATATATATAAGCAAATGACTTACCTTTAAACAAAAGAAATAAGTTGATTTCATTCTTTTGATTTATCTTGTTTCTCATTGGGGTCGGGTGGGGGTGGGGGGTCTTTTGGGTGGAGGGCTTTTTTGTGAGCTGTATAGATTTCCAGTTTGGACTTGTTCAAATGATGCAGGAACAAAAATTAAAACGAATTAAAAAAAAGACAACATAAAAAAACAAGAAAAACTTTGTGATGTATAAAAGCTGTAAATAGTCAAAGATTCTTTCTCTTTTCTAATGGCAAATTATTTCTGTCACTTTATATTCAAAAAATAAAGAAACCTACCACAAATTATCAGGGTTAAAAAAAATCCAGAATCAGAGTTTTTTTCTTGGTCTTTGTGCTTTCTTTACTGTGATTCCAAAAAGATTGTTAAAAGTGCTGTTTGGGAAAAACCCCTTGCCCAGTTGGTTTCCAATTGTTGGTAGGAGTCTTGGACTGGCGAATCTACTTGGGTTGGGATCTGTTTCTACTATAGCTGGTGCTGGAGCCCTTGGTTACACTCATCTCCCCCTCATGTATTATTCTGAAACAAATCCCATAATTATATGGTTTCATCTGTAAACATTACAGTATATATCTCTTTTACTAAGGACTCTTTTTTAGTTTAACAATACCATTGTGACATCATAAGGTAGCCATAATTCCTTGATAAGAAATATCCAGTGTTCACTAATTGTCTCAAATGTAATACTGTTTTATGGGGTGGTGGTGGGTTTTTTTCCCATAAGTCATAAGGTCCATACAATTAGTTGCTATTTCTCAAATGTATTTTAAATCTAAAGATTTGCTTTCTAACTTTTTCTTGACATATACTTGTTAAAGGAATAGAGCACTTTATCCTTTAGAGGTTCCCACAGTTGGATTTTGCTGGTTCTTCCCAATATTAATGAAGACAATGTAAATTGGTAATTGTTTTACTCTTTAATGCATACTTCCATTGCTTGGAGGTGTCAGAAAAGCAAACCAGCCCTTGTTTTGCTGATTGTTTCCCACCCCACTCCCAGTCCCAGTCCTGTTACTGGCTTTATATATGGATTCTAAATGATCTCTCTTTCTATACCTTGATTGCTAAATTATCCAAGTTAAATAATAGTATCTCCCCCTTAGCTATCTTGGTAAGAAAATAGCATAGACATATTTAGCTTTTCACATGCCAATCATGAGGCACATTTCAACATCACTTTATTAAAAGCCACATGCTCCTCCTATAGTCCTAGTACTGGAAAGGACCTTCTAGAGACCATTTAGAAGAACTCTGTCTCATGGCCAAGGAGCCTGGGTGAGCTCATGTATGGCAGCCCTGGCTAGAAGCCAGCAGGGCTAATCCCTAGTTCCAGGAATCTCCCAGGATAATGTATTGTTATCTCTTTGAAGTTACTGTCTCAGAGAGATTATCTGTGAGGGTCTCTCTTGTACTTTCCTTTGTACTGAACAAAAATTCTTGTTTCTCCCTGAACATTCCAGAAAGTAGCAAGCTCTAACATAAAGCCAGATTCTTCCCAGATATAGTGATTCTCTTTACTTCTGGAGATACTTCCTTAAACCCCAAATTTTTTTTGGACAACAGAACTGCTTTAACAATAATCTGAAAATTATACAGTAAGTTTGATTTGAAAATCTGAGATTTGTTTAAAAAAAAAAGGGGGAAGACAAGACTTGAAATCTTGGCTCTGATTTTTCTGTTGTTTTTGTTTTTTTGTTTGTTTTTTTTTTGTTTGTTTGTTTTTTAAGAGGGTCTTGCTCTGTCATCCAGGCTGGAGTGGAGAGGTATGATTACGGCTCACTGCAGCCTTGACCTCCCAGGCTCAAGTGATTCTACCACCTCCGCCTCCTGTGTAGCTGGGTACTACTGGTGCATACCACCACACTGGGCTGATTTTGTATTTTTTGTAGAGACGGGGTTTCACCATGTTGTCCAGGCTGATTCTGAACTCCTGGGTTCAAGTGATCTGCCTGCCTCGGCTTCCTATGATGCTAGGATTACAGGTGTGAGCCACTGTGCCCATCTTGGCTCTAGTTTTAAATAAGGAAGCTTGCGAGTATTTATCTGGATTATGGTGGGAACCTCCAGTAGGATATCATGAAAGCTTTGATCATGATCACAACACCTTCAATAAAACAAAGACTCCAATGACAAGGGTGAGTGCCAGAACTTCCTGAGACTATGCCAAGTGTCTGTTCTTTATACAGCCTGCCTCACCCACACCTGGAATCTCTTAAATGGATTAGCTCAGAGCACCTGTGTCCTACATGCCCTTGTGCCACCCTGAAGTCCACTGCAAGGGACTATCAGTAAGACCAGTCTAATGAAAGGCTGAGGGAGCACCCGGTTGTGTCCCCATCAGCCAACTGTTCCGGAAAGATGAGCCTCCTTGGCTGTCCCAGGATTGACACTCTTCCCCTGCATACATCACTAGGAAGGTAGAACCTACCCTGAACACTTGATTTGAATATTTCTATTCCCCTATTCTTTTACAAATGCAAACTAATTCTTTCAAAAATATAAATGATCCTCTGAAAGAAATTTCTTGTGGAATTCTGGAATGACCAAGAAGATGGGAAGAGACCACCAGAAAAGTGGTTCTGAGAGTCTGCAGGGCCTGTCAAAAAAATTATGCCAAAGCTATCATTTGTGGCCTGCATCAAATCATCTAGACTTCCGTTTTCTTATCTTGAAACCCAGATGTTGGTCTATCTGCCCTCCCCATCAAAGGTTACCTGGAGCAGTAGTTCTCAGTTTTACATAGTGGAGTCATCTGAGTATTTCTGAAATGCTGATGCCTGAGTCTCATCCCCTAGAGAGTCTCATTCAATTGTCCTGGGTGGCTGGAGGGGTTAGGGGTTGAAAACTTGCCCAGGTGATTTTAATATACAGCCAGAATGTGAACCACTATGTATGTGCATCTGGGGAAAGCGGGCCTCCTATTTACTTCTAATCCCATTATATGTGGCAGCTGTTTGTTGTCACTCTCCTCTCACCATGGACAACTATTCACAGCACAGACAGTCACCCTTTGGAACTCCAGGACCTCTTTCCTCTTCCATTTGGAGCTGAAGAATGGACATAACGGAAGCACCATTTTATGATTACAGCCTCGTTCTCTAATTCTGCCTATCCCCAGCATACACGGCTAGATATAGACATACTGCAAAGCTCCTCTATGTAAAGGAAATTCTACACATAAAATTTAAACTTGGAATCGACCTTAAATGTGACTATTCTCATGATTATGGGAAGAAAATCAAAACTATAAACTTACTCCACAAGGTTGGTTCATTGGCCATAATTCCTGGACTTACTCCTCAATTTAAAATCTATGATCTTCTAAAAAGGCACCTTTTTTTTCAGCTCTACATAGCCTGGGTCTTGATTCTCTAACCCCCTCAGTTAGGGAAACCTATCCACATTGATGTTCTTTGCCTGGAAATTAGTCCCTTCCCCTCTTCCAGGCAAACTCTAGGACACTGTAGTTCCCTCAAGCACATGCCCCATAGTCGGAATAATTGTCTGACATCACAGGGGGCTTCATCAGGACAACAAAAGGTGGGCTTTGCTCCTCCACATCCAATCTTCTTTTAGATGTGCCCACGAGAGCAGGGGGTATATTTTTTCCTGGTTGACCAGTGGACACCTCTGGTATTATTCCACAAATAAGGGATTCTAAATCAAAGGTCAAAAACTGGTGTCCTGAAGACTGATTCTGACCTCAAAATCAGTCAGGAAACTGGTTTTGTGAGACGGGCACTGCTTTTTGAATATTCAGATTTGTGTGCCTCCAGAGAGTATCTGCTCTCTAGTTTGGGGCAGCCCCTACCATTTCTTATGACCTGTCTCACCTCAGGAAGCAAGTGAGTCTGCAGTAACTTCCCCTTTCCCACCACTGGCCCTCAACACACCCACGTACACAGGTCCCTTCTCCTAGCTGCAGCAATAGACTCTTCAAAGCCGTATTTATACCAGAGAAATAGTATTTCTTCTTTCAGAGAAAAGCAGTGCCAATTTTTTTGTTTTTCCTTCTGCTGTCGGTCTAGGTACTGACGTCCCTCAAATGAATAATAAAACAGCCACCATGTGGGGGCTATTTTATTAGTCATTGATGGGACCTCAGTACCTCATTACCATGGGGCTACTTACATGGTGTCTACACTGCTTAGCTATACACACTCTCGAAAGCTTTGAACGTCAAGATTGTTCTCTTTCTCTTTTGCCTTTTCTTGAAATTAATGTTTGTATAGATTTTTCTCTAATCCCACTGCACACAACAGTGTGATTATTTATCCTATCCAAGAAACCTCTCAGTTATCAGAGAAGAGGAAATTTTTTTCTTTCAAGTTACATCCAAAATAACTATCATTTAATGTGCACCTACCATATTCTAGTCCCTTTCATTCATTATCTCATGTGATCCTCTTAATACCTCATTTTACAAATGTTATTACAGTATTGAGGTTTGGAGAGATTTGTCAACTTGCTCAAAGTCATACAGCTATTAAGTGAAAGATCAGCAGTTCAAAACCAGTGATGCACATTTCCAAGCTCTTATCACTCAAACCACCTCACAGATCTACTGCAAAAAGTAAACTAGACAATGAACATGAAGCTATTCTGCAAACTGTAAAGTGCTGAGGATAAATGTAATGTGGTATCATTCTGTCTAGCAACACCTTGATCATTGACTTGCCCCTTTCTGATGCTCAACAATTAGTTCCTTATACTCCCTTAGGCACCAATCTTGGCAGATCTTGTCCCTTTGTAACTCTTTGTGTTTGAGGGTTTTTGCTTTGTTCAGAGTATCACGTTGGGTAGCCATTCTGAGAAAGTCATGAAGAAATGGTCTTTGCAAGAGAGAATCACCACCACCACTGTCAACATAAACATTAACTATTGGATACTTAATAATGGCCAGCACTGCACTAAACATTTTACATATATTGTCACATCTGCTGTTTATAATAACGCTGGGGAAAATGTATTTCCCTCCCAACTCCTCATTTTACAAAGGAGGAAATCAAGGTGCAGTGATGTTACTTAGCCAGCTTGGAGTTGCACAGTGGAACAGATCTATCTTAACCCAGAATTTTTCTGTTATGGAGCCTTTGAAGGCCACAGTGCTCCTAAAAATGTCATTTCTGAGGCAGCTTTATTTCTTGTCAACGTCTAGTCCAGAGGTTTTCAACTCTGGCTGTATATTAGCGTTACCTAAGGAGATTTTGAAGTTGCAGATGCTAAATACTCAGTAATTTGTAAAAACTCTTTGGGGGGTGCTCAGCTGGAGCCAGGGCTAGAAACAAGTGGTCTCAGTTAATGCCAGCAAAAATGAATCAGGGCCAGGAGAAGGGAAAGAGGCTGGTGCAAATACCTACAGCCAGAGGGAATGCACAGAGGGTTCACAGTAAGAATATAGGAAACCCAGAAATATTATTTACCCAATATGTCCTTTGAGGTGTGTCAGTTACTAATCTGGGGCTTCCACATTCACCCGTGTCCTTCTTGCCTTACTTTGTGATCCTGGTGGTCTCTGTAAGCTACAGCTCTCCTTTGCCAGCCTCTCTATGCTAGGCTCTGCCAATAGAGGGCGCCAGAGGGAGCCTGGGAGACTGGTGGATGAAAGGTTTTTTGTTTTGTTTTGTTCAGTTAGCAAGCCAGCCCCTCTGTGGGCATCTGGCTCCTGACGTCTCCCTAACTCTCGTGGGCAGTTCCCCCATCCCAGGATGGCTTTCTGCCCGTTTCTTTCTTGTGCAGCAGCCATGCCCTTGCCATGGTCTTAGTCTTGAATCTCAGCCTTGCAGAGCTCCCCTCTCAGCAGAAAGTCCCTTCCTTGTTCACGTTCCCTCTATCCCAGAGTGGAAGTCATTCTCTGTAGTTGCTACTCACATTACAACTCAGGGTTCTCTTTCACCCTTTCACAAAACCATTATGCAGTTAACAATTCCTTAACTTTTCCCTGCTCAAATTCTTGCTTTGGTCAGTTGCCTCAACTGGACCATGGCAGGTATATTGGAACACTCTCTTTATAACTCTGCTGTCAGATCACAAAGTGAGATGAAGGAAAAGTTTGCACAGGCTCCCCTCATGAAGCCTGGGAGAGCATGCCCCTTTAAGGAATGGGATCCGTTTCAATGATTCTGGTTAAGAAAAGGCTGCATGAGCTACTGGCGTATTTATTCTGTAACCAACCGCTAATGCCAGACTTTTTCTTTGCTTTCATTGCTATATCACAATGGTAAAAGAATTGACTTAATTAATTTGCAGCCTGTACATAATGAGAAGAATATTTCCTGACAGCTTTATAGAGAGGATGATAGTTACATAACATTAGTTACATAATATATAATTTATAATTTATTTTCTATAAAACTCATTTAATAATAATATCACTTATATAAGTAGATGCTTGTATATCTATCTGCTTTATATTTATTCTGTTGGTTGTGGTGGCAGTGGAGGAAAAAAGGATATCTTCATTATTTTGTCTGTGTAGCTTTTTTCTTAGGATAAACCTACTGGCAGATTTTGATAAAGCTGTTCTGATCTAAGTTAACAACGATCACAAAGGTTATGTGGGGACTGTGGAGATGATTATGGCGCAGGACCTATGAGAAAATTCTAGGGGAAGAGCAGGTCTGCCACTGCTTCTACTCATTTGCATTCACTCATTCATCCGAATATTTATTGAGTGAGCATGCAATGTCTGCTATGTGCCAGGCATTGTTCTAGGAGTTAAAGATCTAGCAGCTTGCAAAAGAGACCAGCAGTCCTGCCCTCAGGAATATACATGCCAGTGCTTCCTTGGGCAAAGTCTTGGAAAGCCATATATGGCCCCGACAAACTTGGGTTTGTCCCAAGTGGGAGGCTACTTGTGCCCACTGCATTTGGTCTCGCAGAGCCTTAAGGATGTAGGTCTGATTACTCATCCTGGAAAGTGCTACCTGTGCATGTGGTGCCAGCTTCAGTGGAGAAGCCTTTGAGTCTGGGGTGGAAGCATGAAATCCTCTTTAGAGAAGGGGATACTCTTGCAGAAGACTCATTTTGAAAGAGTATCTTCACAGCAGATTAGGAAAGCCACACCTGAATTGAAGTGAAAAAGAGACACAGGCATATATAAAAGTACAGAAAATGCTAGACTTGGGGATGTGGGAGGGGAGAGATAGAAAAGGGCAGGTGACTCAGGAAGAGAAATCGCTTCTATACATTGGTCTTTTTGAGTCTCACCACAGCCTTGACAGGTAGGTAGGCAGGCAGCATTATCATCATGTTACAGATGAGGAAACTAGGGGAAGTGACTTTTCCAAGGCCACACAGTGAGAAGTGGACCCCAGGTTTCCCAAGTCCAGTGCACTCTCCATTGTACCATGCAACTCTCATGATGATTGGCATGGATAATTGCAGAAATTTAGGAGAGGAAAAATGTAACATACGGTGATGAGAATGATGCCGCAGAAGCGAAGGTATAATGGAACCAAATATACAGACAGAAGCATACCCTTCCTCATAACTTTGATCTAGTCACTACTATAAAACCTTCACATGAAGAAAACAACTTAGCAGATCCTTTCTAAACATTTACCAGCAAGAAATGGATTGCATGAACCCACAAAACTTGCCCTGGCTCTCCTTACCTCACCATAACAGTGTCATGGTGCTGACATCTTATTGCACCGACATGCCTGAGGAAATACCAAAGTGAGAGCTGAATGTAGTCACGTTTCTGCTACTCTACAATTTGATCTCCCCACTCTGCTTGCACTGTGTCCCTCCCCATTCTCCCTATGAAATCAACAAGTACACAATTTTTCCTAGGGACAGGAAAATGTACCAGATTCTTGGCGAAGTCATTGCCTCCTGGTATTTCAGGCTCTAAATTATTTCTACGTCATCCTGTAGTGTCTGTAAGGTGGTCATCCCCTCTCTCCCACATCACTCCACAAGTCACTGCCATTTCTATTTAATCGGAAAAGAAAAAATGAGGGAGGGAGTCTCTAGGCTGCCATGTAGCCGCTAGAGGAATTCATGTCACCCTCCCCAAACCAGCCTTGGCCACCGGGAAGCTCTCATGCCGTATTGAATCCGAAGCGCGTGGACCCTTATTATCAGAAGATGAAGCTCCCAGATTCACCCAGCATCACTGATCTTGTGCCCTGCAGTGGGCCCTGAGCCATAGTGGCTTTTACCTTCAAGGGTGAACATCAGGGAAGTGGGATTCAAAGAAGAGATTGCAAAGCAATTGAGGGGAAAGGAAAGGTGAAGGCAACAGCTCACTTGGGGAGAGAGGTCTTCTCAAGAGAGTTTGGAAAAAGGATTGGATGCTTCACTGTATGATTTTGTGAGGACTGGCAGAAGGGAGGGTACAATGAAACCAAATATAGATACAGACATCCTTCCTTCCCTATGATTAAGTCACCCATCCCAGTAGCAAAACAAAACAAAACAAAAACATAGAATGCCAAATCTTCCTCTCCTTTTCCACATGGAGGTGAATGTCAGACATGGGTCAGGTCTCTATTTTTAATTCAAAGCTTTGTCTTCCTACTTAGTTTTCTTATTTAACCTACTTCAGGCCTTAACTTCATCACCCTGGCATGAGAATCCCTAGGAAGGAAGATGACAGGATTCTCCAAATTGGCAGGATCAGACAGACACCATGACCCCAAGGGAATGCTTTCCAGGTTAGGCAGGCTGTCCCCCAGGCCTGCCTTCAAGGAGGCCCTCCCAGCTCTCCTGTCTAACTTTTCATCCTAAGAATGTTGGCTCACAAACCAGAGGGGGTCACACCATGGGCCTGGAGGCTGTGTCAATGTGCTGATGCTTCCGGATAGATCACAGCCATCTCTTGTACCAGCTTCTCCCCCTGCAAAGCCTGGACCCAGGTTCTCCTTTAATCTACATGAACTCCTTTTAGCCACTCTGCCCATCAGATTAGAGCCCTGCTTTTCAGGGAAAGGGGCACAAAATGCCTCCAGTCTTTCACCATCTCCATAGCAAAGAGCAAAAAGCTTCACTTCTTAGCATCTTGTGGGAAAGTAATAGGCACTGTACTCTTAGCTTCCATTTCACAGCAGCGACTGCATTCACATGGGGCCTGGGCTCTGCAGGCCACCTTCAACCCATTATAATTTCCTGTTCTTTTCCCAATTACCCCAAGTCAATTGGTCCAACGCAGACTCAAAGCTTAGCCTTTGCAATTTAGATGCCACAGGTAGCTTCGTGTTTGGATGGTAGAGAAAGGAAAAATAATAACCTTGCCTTACTCAGGCCCCTGCCATGTCCCCGTGTCCTGGAGCGGCGCAGCTGTGTCTCTTGGACCCACTTAGTGGCCTTTGTCTCCTCTCACAAGTGCCACTTCTTGCCCGGTAGAGGCTGGCAAGAGTGAAACCATCTGCATAGAACAGAGCAGAGCTGCTGAGAGCCAACAGCGAGAAGGGAGGGGTGCACAAGAAACCAGAAGGGCAGCAGAGGAAGGCTCACAGGGAGAGGGTAATTCCATTAGCTGGAATCTGGCCTGATCCAACATAACCCCACCTCCACCCCACCTTACCTTATGAATAGCTCGGCAGGACCTTAATTACACTCCTAACATAATAAGTACTTTATGTGGATGGACCAACTGTGTTTCCATCACAGTCCCTTTTAGGCCAGGAGTTCAATGTACATAACAAACTTTGTTTGCCATTAGACTTTTATGCTGCAGAGCAGGTTGGTGAATATCAACATTACCCAATTCCAACAGAAAGGAGAAACTGAGGAACCCATTGGTTCAGGCACTTGCCTAAGGTAAGTCAGAATTCGGAAGCACTATGAAGGTCTTTTGACGTCGAAATCGATGTTCTGTTGCCCAGCACATCACCGCACAGCCTGTTGTGTGTAGCTCTAAGTCTCAGGTGTTCTAAAAGATTACAGAAAAGATGGACAAAGTGGGAACAGTTGCTTACTTTAACATCTTAGTCCTAGGGCTTTCCTACTCAAAATGAGGGTGAACCAGTGGGTGCATCCACATGGCCTCTGCAAATTCTCCCTCCTTATATGCCTTTTCCCTTCTCCCATGCCGAGGCTCAAAGTCTGGGTCAGCTTTGACTCGTTGACTCTCTTTGTCCCCACTCCAATATGCATCAGTTTCCAAGTCCTGTTAAATCTGCTTCTGAAATACATCTAAATGCTCTCCCTCCTTCTGAATTAGGCCCTCTGTATCTCCCTAAGGAATGAACGCAATGAAGTCCTGAAGGATCCACTCCCCTCAGAGTCCCTCACACCCATCCATCCTTCAAATCTGCTCAGATGACCTTCTTATGACACAAAACGGTCCTGGCCATTCGGCTCCCCAGGCCAGCTATGGCTTCCCACTGCCTGTGAATGAGCATGAACACTTCCCCGACATCGTGGGCTTGTTTCCCCTTCTGGCTTTCTTGTCTGGGGTTCCCTCACACACCAGGAGCTGAAGCTCACTTAGTCTATTTACTATTCTCCAATCGCATCCCATCCTTCCCTACTTTCACGCAGATACTCCCATTTGCACTCCCAATACCCCAAGAAACACCATCTCA
The DNA here is from genome assembly GCF_000001405.40 of Homo sapiens. Classification (NCBI taxonomy): domain Eukaryota; kingdom Metazoa; phylum Chordata; class Mammalia; order Primates; family Hominidae; genus Homo; species Homo sapiens. The sequence continues at coordinate 13,530,001 of NC_000012.12, read as the reverse complement.
AATGTCACCTCCTCCTTGCAGCCTTTTCCAGTCACCCTAGCAATGTGGGCTCCTCTTCCTTTGATGCTCACATCTCTTTTATGCCACTTGTTTTCTACCTGATCTCAAGAACACAGCCTGACTGGACGGTCCTGAGTGACAGATACCTGCACTAATGCCTCTCTGCACTCAAGGGTGTGAGCAGAGGCTCTGCATAGAGTACAAGGTTAAACAATGTAAAATTGGAAGCTCTTAGGCAAAAAATGCAACTTTGCCTTTTTTATATGTTTGTTTTCCCTTTCCATTCCCTCCTTTCCTTCCTTCCAACAAGTATCTGAGCATCTACTATATGCCAGGTAAATTCTTGTGACTGATGGTACAGCAGTGATCGGATCTGACAAAAATCCCTTCCTTAGTGAAGTGTGAGATCTGGTGAGTGGAGGCAAATAAAAAACAAACATGTAAGATGTTTACTGTGCCAAAGAGTAATCAATGCTATGGAGAAGAGTAAACAGAAGGAAGTGGGGAGAGTCCAGGGTGAGTGGTCAAGGAGGCCTCCGAGAAGGTTCCACATGAGCAGAGTGGGAGAGAGCCATGAAGGATTCTAGGGGAAGAGCATTCTATGCAGAAGGAACGGCCAGTGCAAAGGCTCTGTGAAAGGGATAATGTGGGGGTGTGTTGGGGAAACAGGAGAGAGGAGGAATCGTATGTATAACATTCTCTTTTTCTCTTTTACCCTTGCTGACTTCTAAGATTGGTGCACCATCAGGGCAGACAGAATTGATATTACTCAGGTTAATGGCTTAGACTGGTTAAACCCAAAGTTGGAGTGAAAAACCCAAATTTAGAGTGGAGAAACCAAAGGGAGTGGCAGAAACCCCTGTAGCCTAGCGAAGGGCAGTGAGCACACCCCTACATGTAAGAGGGTGGTGTATCTGTGTCTACAGAAGAGGGATGACCATGCCAGCAACAACCAGGCTGTTTGGAGATGCTACTGCTGGATTCCTATGTTAACATCTGTCGGGGGCTAAATTTGGGTTCCTTTTTGACATTATGAGGAAATATCTTACTGATGGCCTGTCCTGCCTGTGTTCCTTCCTGGCCTTTGACTTGTCTGGATATATCTTTATTCTCAACCTCTTCCATGCTGACAGTTTTGGCACAAAACCCGACATCACTGCTTAGGCAGGCCCAGTCTGCGCAAAACTGGGAATTGTCTTCAGAACTCCATGCTACTGGGTCAGTCTATCTCAGGTCTCTAAGTTAGCCCTGGGAGTGACGGCTGGAATGCAAACAACCCTACTGGAAGTTTAAGGCACACACTGTCTTTTGGTTTAAGGATTCTCATATTCAACGTAGAACACACTTCAGTTTTCCATCTCACTGTAGCATCTAGTACCAGAACTTCTCACCCCACCAAGATTTCAGTCCTGATGGAAAAGTAGACCTGGAGCATTTTCATGTTTGCCTTCATGAGTGCAAAAGTCAAAATAACCACAAAGATGTGACACTGCATATTTATGCTATTGTTACTCCCATTTTATAGGTTAGAAATTGTTAAGTAAATTATCGTGTAATATTCTGTGAGTCTTTGTGTTTGTCATTTTAAGGTAAGTATTAAATGATTGTATGCTTAGGGACTATTGGGATAAGAAAAACAAATATCGCCGGTGCAGTGGCTCAGGCCTGTAAACCCAGCACTTTGGGAGGCCGAGGCAGGTGGATCATTTGTGGTCAGGAGTTTGAGACCAGCCTGGCCAACATGGTGAAACCCCGTCGCTACTAAAAATATAAAAGTTAGCTGGGTGTGGTGGTGGGCACCTGTAATCCCAGCTACTTGGGAGGCTGAGGCAGGAGAATCGCTTGAACCCAGGAGGCGAAGGTTGCAGTGAGCCGGGATCATGCCACTGCACTCCAGCTGGGCAGCAGAATGAGACTCCTCTCAAAAAACAAAACAAAAAACAAAAGAAAAACAAATATTTATGGAGCACTTAGTGTGTGCCAGGCAGTGGAATTGATAGTTTCCATTTTCAGGTTTGATGTTTCCATAACACCACGAAGGGAGTAGCATTCTCATGTTCACAATGGAGGAAATAAGGGCTCAGAGAAGTTGAGGAACTTTACCAAAGCTACACAGCTAGTTGGTGAACAGGGGATTTTGATCTATATTAGCTCCATAGTTAGTGTGGTCTTGCAACACCCACAGCTCTTGAGTCTGGGGAAGGAAGAGACTTTAAAATGTGGGAAGAACTGAAATCATAGGCTGATGTGAAAAAGAGAGTGCTGGGACATGTGGGTAAATGGTCACCCCAGTAATGGGGCTGCTGCCTCTGGTGTGGGCCAACAGCACACTGAGGGGCTAATCCCCTCAGTGGTCAAAGAAGCCTGGATCCAGAAATAGGCAATAAGAAGATGGTGAAAATACAGGAACATGGGAGGTTGTGAGCATGGCCATTTTGTTTCACCCAGTTGAGACTCTGGATGATGTGGTAAGTGTGAGGCGCGACTGCCCACCGAATGGGAACGCACAGGCCCTATCGTCTCCTCCAGGCTTTCATGCCATGGATTAGATTTCTCCTTGACTTGAGTCACACTTCCCACATACACAATTAAGCCAGACCTCTCCCATCATGAAAAATGTCCTCCCTGAATCCTGGTTGCACTTTTAGCCATTATCAGATCTCTTTTAATTACCATTATAGGCATGTCTCTGAAAAAGTAGCCCACAGTCTACTTAACTTAGTTAACATTTATTGAGAGATAATTAAGAGCAGACACTGGGCCAAGTGGTTTATGTTACTTTTCTGTTCTCACAACTACCCAGTGACAGAGGTACTATTGCCATACCATTTTATGGACTAGTAAACAAAGACCAACTAAGATTAAAGAATTTCCCAAGGCTACACAGAAGGAAGTGGCACAACTGGTATTCATTTCCAGGTCATTTGAGAATGTAAGTAAGCTTTATAAGGGAAGGGATTTTCATCTTCTCTCATTCACTGATGTATCCCTAGGACTGAGACAAATGCCCCAAACACAGTGGGTATTCAATCACTGTTAGTTGAACAAATGAACCTGTGATGGTATCTCCACTTAATCATGATGCCAGGCTGCCCACTGATCCTGTGGCCTTCCCCTCTGCTGCATTTTCTACAGCTGCATGACTGTTTTCCTCTTCTGCAGTCCCATTTTCCCCTGTGGGATTCCCATGTCTCTCTAATGCATTCTCCTTCCCCTTTGCTGCATTCCATTTCCCACTCCTGCATTCCCATCTCCCACTCCTGCATTCCATCTCCCTCTGCTGCATTCCATTTCCCTCTGCTGCATTCCATCTCCCTCTGCTGCATTCCATCTCCCTCTGCTGCATTCCATCTCCCTCTGCTGCATTCCATCTCCCTCTGCTGCATTCCCATCTCCCACTCCTGCATTCCATCTCCCTCTGCTGCATTCCATCTCCCTCTGCTGCATTCCATCTCCCTCTGCTGCATTCCATCTCCCTCTGCTGCATTCCATTTCCCTCTGCTGCATTCCCATCTCCCACTCCTGCATTCCATCTCCCTCTGCTGCATTCCATCTCCCTCTGCTGCATTCCCATTTCCCACTCTTGCATTCCATCTCCCTCTGCTGCATTCCCATCTCCCACTCCTGCATTCCATCTCCCTCTGCTGCATTCCCATTTCCCTCTGCTGCAATCCCATTTACCATTCCAGCATTCCCATTTCCCACTGCTGCATTCCATCTCCCTCTGCTTCATCTTCCCATTTCTGACTCCTGAATTCCACCGCCCTCTGCTGCAATCCCTATCCCACTGCTGCATTCCATCTCCCTCTGCTGCATTCCCATTTCCCACTCCTGCATTCCATCTCCCTCTGCTGCAATCCCATTCCCCTCTGCTGGATTCCCATTTTCCAATTCTTTATTCCATCTCCCACTCCTGCATTTCCATTTCCCATGCCTGCATTCCATCTCCCTCTGCTGCATTCCCATTTCCCTCTGCTGCAATCCCATTTACCATTCCAGCATTCCCATTTCCCACTGCTGAATTCCATCTCCCTTTGCTGCAATCCCATTTTCCACTCCTGCATTCCCTCTCTCTGCTGTATTCCCATTTCCCATTCCTGCATTCCATCTCTCTCTGCTGCAAACCCATTTTTCTCTGCTGCATTCCATCTCCCTCTGCTGCATTCCCATTCCCCACTCCTGCATTCCCATTTCCAACTCCTGAATTCCGTCTCCCTCTGCCTCATTCCCATTTCCCACTCCTGCGTTCCATCTCCCCCTGCTGCATTCCCATTTCCCACTCCTGCATTCCATTTCCCTCTGCTGCAATCCTATCTACCACTGCTGCACTCCCATTTCCCACTGCTGCATTCCATTTTCTTACTCTGCAATCCCCTCTGCTGCATTCCCATGTTTTCCACTTCTGCAACCCCATTTTCCTCTGCTGTATTCCCATGTCCCTCTACTACATTCTCAATTTCCTTTGCTGCATTTCCATTTCCCTTTGCTACACTCCCCTCTGCTGCATTTCCATTTTCCACTCATGCATTCCTATTATCTTCTGCTGCATTCCCATTTCCATCCCTCCATTTCCCCCTGATGAATTCCCATTTCTCACTACTACATTCTCTCCATTGCCTTTCCCAGTGCTGCATTCCCCTTTCTCCATTTCTCTTCTCCTCTGCCTCATTCCCATTTCCGAGCGCTCCATTCCCATTTTCCACTAACACATTTCCCTCTGCTGTATTCTTATTTCCCACTGCTGCATTTCCATTTTCCACTGATGCATTTCCCTCTGCTACATTCCCCTTTGCTGCATGTTTCACTGCTGCAATGATAGGCTGTTCATTCTTGCAATCCAGCTTTCTCCCCACCTCCCTATGCTTTGCCCCACCCCTAAACTTGGCTCTGATCAAGCCAGTGAACACTGCAGGCTTTCTCTGTTATTTGATGCTGTTGAAAATTCCTGGTTGAAATTTTCTTTCCTTTGTGGTATCCATAATGGCAATGATTCCCAATTATCTTCCTGCCTCTTGAGCTGATATATACAGGGATTTTTTTTTCCTATCTTAATATGTTACTCCTCTTCAGCTCACCTCCTACAAATAGGCAGGCTCTTCCTAATTTAGCGCTCTTATTTTTATTGCACACACACACTCATTTAGATCTAATGCTCTAACTACCAACTATAACCTATAAGCTCCAAATCTATACCTGTAACCAGATCCATGTCTGAACTCCAGAGTAATATTTCTGCCTTCCTGTTGTAATTTACACCTGAAATCTCTTGGTGGCCTCAGATGCAACCTCCATACAATAGAATGTATTAGTTTGTCCCCCATACCTGTTCATTCTCCTGCAGCTCTTGTCTTGGCAAATCACACCACCATCTGCCTGGCCCCCCAAAGCAGACTCCAAGTGCCATTGTCCACACTGAATAGACACTAACTCCAGTCCCTTCTACTACCTATCTCTCTCAAACCTGGCCCTTGTCTTCAATCCACTTCCAGGATGGTTCACCCTGTGTCATCCCCCGGCCTACACAACACTAGTGCTCTCTTTCCAAAACGCTGCACTGTCCATCATTCAGCTGCCAAACATTTGTTCGTAGCTCCTTGTCACCTATGGAATAAATTCAAAACTACTTGTATATCATGAAGATCTTCATAATCAATCCCCACTCATTTTTCCTGCCTCATGTCCCATGAGTACCACATGCTCCACTATAGCTGCATTTTCCTGAACATACCAGGATCAGCTACTTGGAATGTTCTCTCCCTGCCTCCCAGCCCTACCCTGACTTCTCCAGCTTCTCCTTCCATGTGAAATCCTGATCACTCCAAGGTGCATTGTCAGCATCATCCCCTCTTTGATGTCTTTCCTGACCCCTTTCCCTTCAGGCACAATGAAGAGCCTCCTCCCTTAGTCCTCCCCCAGTGCCTGAGTCATTTTTCCCTTTCAGTGCTATGACACTGAATTTTAAACTGCAGGCAGTGCCCATCGTGAAAACTAAGCACGGTCCTTAGCTCTCACTTTTAATGGATCTTTTATAAATAAATGAGTTGGTAAGTAACTAAATGAAAGCAAGAATGAGAAAAACTGAATTCAGGGTTCTACCTACCAAAGAGTTGCTCGATCAGTGTGATGTAAATGAGAACAGATCTTCTGGTAGGAGAGTGATTTGCTTCAGAGACAGTTGACTTCTCTGAACTTAATTATATTTCTTTTTCAATTAGAATTGTCTTAACTAATCCTCCAGCAATTCTGTAGCTGAGTTACTTGTAACTCAGAAGGGAATATGTCATTTAACTTATGCTCAACACTGTGTAATTACAGCAGCTTCAGTGCATGTTATTTCCCATGCACACCAGTTAGGATACTTCTTTCTTAAAGAAATGAAACTTGATCCAGTGGTTTAGGAGAATTACAGGAGGATTGTGAATCACTCATCGATTCAAGCAAGGGAAAACAGTAAAAGCATTGGTGAGGGCATCTTTTTCCTGCCTATGAGTCTTAACCTGTATGTAAGTTGTAAAATCAATTTAGGGAGTTCCATTTAGCATTTAAAATGAAACAGAATAAAATCAAACGGGAAGTACCAAAGTATATTGCATATAGTAAAGGTAAGTATTAATTTGTGAAACTTTAATTTCAGATGCACATGTGTGTATGTCTTTGTCATGGGCTGTAGTGTAATATTCTTACCATGTGTCATAATCAAAAAGTTAGAAAACAGTGGTTAAAAGCATTTATTGAATTTTACTGATAATTAGGTCTGCTGCCAGCTCCCTCTGTGACTTTGAACAATTGTTTAACCTTAAACAGGAATAACAACACCCACTTCTTAATGCTATTATAGTGCTTAATGCTTATCACAAAGTATTATATGAGATTTAATATAATTATATATATTTATATAATTATTAATTAACAGTGATATGTTACATATATTACTATTATGGTCTATAATTAATAACTGGACTGGTCTCAAACTATTAACCTCACAAAGAAGTGAGAATAGATTTGCTGTAGTGCTGGTTCATGGATATATGAGTCTAATGTGGAAAATATAAAATGATATTTCCTAATGTGTTGAGTTCACCAATTCAATTCAATAGTTGTTTACTGAGCATCTACTACACAGTTTCTATACTTAGGAAATTAGAATCTATATTTTTCCTGTTTCTACTGGCAGGAAGGCACTAGGCCAAGCCTGGAACAGAATACCAAGTTGCAGGGTTATACTTCTTGCCCTTGAGCACTTAAGACCTAGTAAAGTATCTAAGACACGAAAACAAATGTCTCATTAAAAGGCAATATATAATATATGAAGAGTAAAAACGGTACCACAAGAGAACAAAGGAAATAACTTCTGGCTAAAGACATCACAGTATGGGAAGATGGGGTAACAAAGGTGGTTCTATTTGAGGAAGGACATGAAGAATGGGTACTATTCAAATGAGAGAAGACAGGAGAAAATGTATCCTGAGCAAGGCGAGGAGCATGAAGTCTATCACGAGAATTATAAGAGGTAAGAATGGAAACAGAGAGCAAACTGGGTTTTATGCCTTTGCCTTCATTAACACTGATAACTGCATCTTCTCCAAAAGTTTTTTCCCAGCATCTGAGCACCATCTCCCATCCTTTCAGCTCAACTTCTTGTTGAGTGCTTTGACCTAGAATACCCTTCCAGTCCACTGAGGCTGCCATTTCCCCCATTGCCCCCACACATCTTCACTGTCCTATCTCCAGCCAAGCAACATCATCATACTCATTCCCTCACAAGCATCATGAACTCCTTTGCCCTATTCTCTGTCCAAGAACTTGCCAGGCAATGCCAAAGCCTGGTTAAACAAAACTGTGTGGCTATTCTGAGCCTCCTCTGTAATTGGTGAACTCTGAAGAAAAGTGTATACTGGGCTGTTTTGCCTTAAATTCATGAACACACATTTTAAATGGCATTCAAAATTGATGAATGGCAATCCTATAACACTTCCATAGTATCTCAACTCTCGCAATCTTCGAGACTACTATTTCACACTTAGTCGCTGGAGACAGTTCAAACAATTGTTCTGTCACTTACCAGCTATGTGAGTTTAATCTTGATGTGCCTTAGTTTCTTCACATGTAAATATGTACCTATATGGTTTCCTCATATGAACCACTATATAGGATTATTATGAAAATTAAATGGGTTAATAGATGTAAAACATTTGTGTACTACCCAGAACATGGTAAGTTCTATAAAAATATTTGTTATAATTATTGTTCTTCTCTCTCTTTAAAGTCCCCTATTTCTTTTTCTCTTTTCACTTAATTATTGACCTTATCTCATACTTTATTTGGAAATAAGAACAATTGAAGCCAGGTATAGTGTGCATGCCTGTAGTCCCAGCTACTTGGGAGGCAGAAGTGGGAGGATCGTTTGAGCCCAGAAGTTCAAGGCCAGCCTCAGCAACATAGTGAGATCTGTTTCTATTAAATAAATAATTTTAAAAAAATGAAATTTAAAAATAGAAACAACTGGGAGAGGACTCTGGAAAGATGAAGGAGTGGGAAGCACCAAGAATCTGTCTCCCACCTAGACAATGATAGCACAAAAGAATTCTGGAGTTTTTTGAAGACTTTCAGCTTCCAGGGAAAGGCTTGCATAGTAAATTGCAATCAATTGTGGTCAATTTCAGTTGTTAGTTTAACAGTAGCTACCCATCTCCTACTCCCAGCCCTGTGGCAGGCAATTGTGCACATGTTCCTGGAGCAGCCTGCATGTAGCTTGCAGGAGCCAGAGTGGGCAAAAAGGACCCTGTCCTTTAAATATCAGGGATGTATGCCCTGACCACTGATTGCTGCTTCTGATAACAAAGTACAGATACAGAAGCAGTTGGCCATTTTTGTTACACCTTACCCTATTGTTACAAGTCCTTCCCCCACTGACTCAAGTAACTTCCAGGGGATTTAATGAGAACAAAGAGACAGTGTACCAGAATCTCTGCGACACAGCTAAAGCAGTGTTAAGAGGGAAATTTATAGCACTAAATGCCCACATCAAAACTAACAACCTAACATCACAACTAAAAGAACTAGAGAATCAAGAGCAAATAAACCCCAATGCTAGCAGAAGACAAGAAATAACCAAGATCAGAGTGGAACTGAAGGAAATAGAGACATGAAAAACCCTTCAAAAAATCAACAAATTTGGGAGTTGGTTTTTTTGAAAAAAATTAATAAAATAGACCACTAGCTAGACTAATAAAGTAGAAAAGAGAGAAGAATCAAATAAACATAACCAGAAATTATGGTTCTGGGGGATATCACCAGTGACCCTACAGAAATACAACCATCAGAGAATACTATAAACATCTCTATGCACGTGAACTAGAAAATCTAGAAGAAACGGATAAATTTCTGAACACATACACCCTCCCAAGACTGAACCAAGAAGAAACTGAATCCATGAATAGACCAACAAGTTCTGAAATTGAGGCAATAACAAATAGCCTACCAACCAAAAAAAGCCCAGGACCATACAAATTTACAGGTGAATTCTATCAGAGATACAAAGAAGAGCTGGTACCATTTCTACTGAAACAATTCCAAAAAACTGAAAAGGAGGGACTCCTCCCTGACTCATTCTATGGGGCCAGCATCATCCTGATACCAAAGCCTGGCAGAAATATGACAAAAAAAAGAAAACTTCAGGCCAATACCCTTGATGAACATTGATGCAAAAATCCTTAATAAAATACTGGCAAACTGAATCCAGCAGCACATCAAAAAACTTATTTACCACAATCAAGTTGGCTTCATCCCCAGGATGCAAGGTTTATTCAACATACACAAATCAATAAATGTAACTAATCATATAAACAGATATAAAGACAAAAACCACATGATTATCTCAACAGACACAGAAAACGTCTTTGATAATATTCAACATCCTTTCATGTTAAAAACTCTCCATAAACTAGGTATTGAAGGAACATACCTCAAAATAATAAGAGCCATATATGACAAACCGACAGACAATATCATACTGAATGGGAAAAAGCTGGAAGCATTCCCCTTGAAAACCAGCACAAGACAAGGATGCCCTCTCTCACCATTCCTATTCAGTATAGCATTGGAACTTCTGGCCAGGGAAATCAGGAAAGAGAAAGAAAGTATTCAAATAGGAAGAGAGGAAGTTGAATTACCTTTATTTGCAGATGACATGATTCTATATCTAGAAAACCCCGTCATCTCAGCCCAAAAGCTTCTTAAGCTGATGAACAAATTCAGCAAAGTCTTAGGGTATAAAATCAATGTGCAAAAATCGCTAGCATGCCTATACACCAACAACAGCCAAGCAGAGAGCCAAATCATCAGTGCACTCCTGTTCACAATTACTACAAAAAGAATAAATACCTAGGAATATAGCTAACAAGGGAAGTGAAGGACTTCTTTAAGGAGAACTACAAACCACTGCTCAAGAAAATCAGAGAGGACACAAACAAATGGAAAAACATTCCATTTTCATTAATAGGAAGAATCAATATTGTAAAAATGGCCATACTGCCCCAAATAAGTTATAGATTCAATGCAATTCTCATTAAACTACCACTGACATTCTTTATAGAATTAGAGGAAACTATTTTAAAATTCATATGCAACCCAAAAAGAGCCTGAATAGCCAAGACAATCCTAAGCAAAAAAGAACTAAGCTGGAGGCATCACACTGGTGGACTTCAAACTATTCTACAAGGCTACAGTAACCAAAACAGCATGGTACTGGTACAAAAGTAGATATATAGACCAATGGAATCGAATAGAGAACTCAGAGATAAAGTTGCACATCTATGACCATCTGATCTTCAACAAACCTGAAAAAAAACAGCAATGTGGAAAGGATTCCCTACTTAATAAATGGTGCTGGGAGAACTGACTAGTCATATGCAGAAAACTGAAACTAGACCCCTTCCTTATGCCTTGTACAAACATTAACTCAAGATGAATTAAAGACTTAAATATAAAACCCAAAACTATAAAAAAAGTAGAAGAAAATCTAAGCAATGCCATTCAAGACATAGGCACAGGAAAAGATTTCATGACAAAAATGCAAAAAGCAGTAGCCACAAAAGCAAAAATTGGCAAATGAGATCTAATTAAACTAAAGAGCTTCTGCACAGCAAAAGAAACTATCGTCAGAGTGAACAGACAACCTATGGAATGAAATAAAATTTTTGCCATCTATCTATCTGACAAAGGTCTACCATCCAGAGGCTACAAGGAACTAAAGCAAATTTATGAGGAAAAAAAAAAAAAACATTAAAAAGTGGTCAAAGGACGTGTCTTCTCAAAAGAAGACATCCAAGTGGCCAAAAAACACATGAAAAAAAGCTCAACATAACTCATTATTGGAGAAATGCAAATTAAAACCACAATGAGATACCATCCCATGCCAGTCAGAATGATGATTATTAAAAAGTCTAAAAACAACTAGTGGTGAGGTTATGAAGAAAACGGAATGCTCTTACACTGTTGGTGGGAATATAAATTAGTTCAACCATTGTGGAAGAAAGTTTGGCAGTTCCTCAAAGATCTAGAGACAGAAACACCATTTGACCCAGCAACCCCTTTACTGGGTATATACCCAAAAGAATATAAATCATTCTATTATAAAGTTACATGCATGTGTATATTCATTGCAGCACTGTTCACAATAGCAAAGACATGGAATCAACCCAAATGCCCATCAATGATGGACTGGATAAAGACAATATGGTACATATACACCACGGAATATTATGCAGCCATGAAAAGTAATGAGATCGTATCTTTGCAGGGTCATGGATGGAGCTGAAAGCTGTCATCCTCAGCAACCTAATGCAGGAACAGAAAACCAAATACCACATGTTCTCACTTATAAATGGGAGACGAATTATGAGAACACATGAACACAGGGGAGAAACAACACTCACTGGGACCTGCCAGGGGTCGGGGGAGAGCATCAGGAAGAATAGCTAATGGATGCTAGGCTTAATACCTAGGTGATGGGATGATCTGTACAACAAACCACCAGGGCACACATTTACCTATGTAACAAACCTGCACATCATGCACATGTACCCTGAAATGTAAAATAAAAGTTGAAGAGAAAAAAAGTTCAGGAAATTTATGAAAAACAAAACCTCTTCAGGCCAGGCATAGGTAGCTCACGCCTGTAATCTTAGCACTTTGGGAGGCCAAGGTGAGCAGATCACTTGAGGTCAGGAGTTGGAGACCAGCCTGGCCAACATAGCAAAACACTGTTCTACTAAAAATACAAAAACTAGCCAGGCATGGTAGTCCATACCTGTAGTCCCAGCTACTCAGGAGGCTGAGGCACAAGAATAGCTTGAACAGGGGAGGCGGAGGTTGCAGTGAGCCAAGATCTTGCCCCTCACTCCAGCATGGGTAATTAAATGAGACTCTGTCTCAAAAACAAAAAACAAAACAAAACAAAAAAAAACAAAAAAAAAAACCCTTCAATATTTCTTAATTATAGTGGTCATAGGGAACACTCATATGAACATTCTGAAATCAGGGAAAAATAAAGCCTTAGTTATTTTGTGAAAGCAAAAAAAGCCAGCACCCTTTCTTTTTTCCCTTTTGGGAGCTAAACAGTAACCTTTAGGACATGCAAAAATAACTGCAACTATGGGGAAAATTAGAAAGTAACCATGCACACTCAGGAAAGGGGCAGGCTCAGAAGACCTTAAGTTTATACCACAGGCTGATCCTTGGCACTGAGAGACATCATCTACAACAATAAAAATAAAAACAATAACAAAAAACAGCAAACTTTGGGGAAGAAGCAAAATCTGAATTCCAGAATTACCACATTTTTAGGTCCTAATGTTCAGTTTTCAACAAAGAACATCCCAAGGCATATGAAGAAACAGAGAAGTATGACCCAAAGAAAAAAAAATAAATCAACAGAAAATGTCCCTGAAAAATATCTGATGGCAAATGTGCTAGACAAATAATTTTAAACAACTGTTTTAAAGATGTTCAAAAAACTAAACAAAGACATGGAGAAAGTCAAGAAAATGACGTAGGAACAAAATGAAAATATCAATAAAGAGACTGTATTACTCTATTCTCACACTGCTATAAAGATACTACCCGAGACTGGGTAATTTTTAAAGGAAAGAGGTTTAATTGACTTACAGTTCCACATAACTGGGGAGGCCTCGGGAAACTTACAATCATGGTGGAAGGTGAAAGGGAAGCAAGGACCTTTTTCCCATGGCAGCAGGAGAGAGAAGAGAGAAGGGCCCCTTATAAAACCATCAGATCTCATGAGAACTAACTCACTATCATGAGAAGAGCATGGGGGAAACCACTCCCTGATTCAATCATCTCCCTCCCTCGACATGTGGGGATTATATGTCTCTCCTTTGACATATGGGGATTACAATTTAAGATGAGATTTGGGTGGAGACACAGAGCCAAACAATATTGAGATAGACAACCTAAAAAAAATTCTGTAAAACACAAGAACAAAACTGAAATGAAAAATCTATTAGAGGGATTCAAAGGCAGATTTAAGCAGGCAGAAAAATCAGCAAACTTGAAGATAGGCTAACAGAAGTTATCAAGTCTGGAACAGAAATAAAAAACATTAAAGAAAAGTGAATAGAGCCTATGGGACCTGTGGAACACCATCAAGTGAACCAACATACACATTGCGGGAGACCCAGAAGCAGAAAAGAGAGAACATGTGAAGAAATAATGGCTTCAAACTTCCCAAATTTGGTGAAAGGCATGAATATAAACATTCAGGAATGTCAGTGAAAGTCAAGAAAGATGAATTTTAAAAGATTCATGCTGAGACACATTACAATCAAACAGTGAAAATCCAAAAACAAAGAGAAAATATTGAAAGCAGCAAGAGAGAAGAGAGAAACACATAAAGGATTCTTAGTATGATTATCAGCAGGTTTCTCATCAGAAACTTTGGAAACCAGGAGGCAGGGCAGTGGGCCCATATATTCAAAGTGCTAAAAGGAAATAATCTGTTACCAAGAATTCTATATCTAGCAAAACTGTCTTTTAAAAGTAAGGGAGAAATTAAGATATTCCCAAATAAGCAACAGCTGAGAGAGTTTATTATCATTAGAACTGCCCTGTGAGAAATGCTCATTTTCATTTCACTCTTAAGAAAGTCCTGCAGGGTGAAATGAAAAAATACTAGACAGTAACTTGAAGCCATATGAAGAAATACAGATCTGAATAAAGGTAAGTACATGGCCAATTATAAAAGCAAATATTATTGTAACAAATGTTCATAATGTGACTTTTTGTTTTCTAGAATATTAGAAACTAATACTTTTTTTAAAACACACAATTACTAGTCTAAAAGCTAATATTATTATAGCCATGGTTTGTAACTCTACATTCTGTTTTCACTTAATTGACTAATGAATTTAAAATCATTATTTGACATAATATAATTCTGTTTCAAGGCACACAATGTATTAAGATGTAATTTTGTGACATCAACAGCTGAAAGAGGTGGGTCTAACTCTATAGAAACCAGAGGTTTTGCATGTTACTGAAGTTATACTAGTAAAATTCAAATTAGAGTGTTATAACTTTAGGTCATTAAATGTAATCCCCATCGTAGCCACAAAGAATATAGCTGTGGGATATATACGAAACAAAATGAGAAAGAAATTTAAACACTTCACTACTAAAAAAAAAATCAAACACAAAAGAAGACAGTAATGCACAAATTAAGGGACAAAAAGAGCTGTAAAGCCATAGAAAACAAATAGCAAAATACAGAAACAGATGCTCCCTTATTGGTAACTGGCTATTTTAAATGTAAACTCTTTTGTAAACTTTGATAGAGAATTAAACTCTATATCAAAATGCAGAAATTGACAGAATGGATAACAGCAAATGATCCAACTATATGCTGTCTGTAAGAGAATCACTTCAGATTCAAAGACACAAATAGATTTAAAGTGAAAAAAAATAGAAAAAGATATTCCATGCAAATAGTAACCAAGAGATGGCAGGGGTGGTTATCCTAATGTGAGAATAAGTGGACTTTAAATTTAAAAAAAAAGAGTTATAAGAGACAAAACATTATATATTAATATGTTTCAATATAGCAAGAATATAGAAAAATTATGAACATATATGTACCTAATAACAAACCATAAATATATATGAAGCAAAAACTGATGGAATTGAAGAAAAACATAGTTTTACTAATAATAGTTGGATACTTTAATATTCCCCTCTGAATAATGGATAGAACAACTGCACAGAAGTAAAGAAGCAGAAGACTTAAAGGACACATAAAACCAACTAGATCTAACAGACATATACTGAACACTTTACCCAACAGCAATAGCATACATATTTCTCTTGAGACATTTGTGATATTTTCCAGTATAGACCATATTTAGGCCACAAATTAAGTATCAGTACATTTTAAAAGATAGATTTCATACAGGGTACCCTCTCTGACTATAATGGGATGAAGTTAGAAATCTGTAAGAGAAGTAAAGTCAGAAAAAATTAAAAATTTGTGGAAATTATACAATGTACTCTTAAACAATGGATCAAAGAAAAAAATCACAAAGGAAATTGAAAAATATTGACAAATTTAAATGAAAACACAACATAACGAAACTTATGGGACATAGCAAAAGCAGTGCTAAGGAGAAAATGCACAGCTATAAATACATTAAAAACCTAGAAAGATCTCAAATTAACAACCTAACTTTAAAACTTAAGGAACTAGAAACAAACAAACAAACTAAACCCAAAGCTAGCAGAAGGAAAGAAATAATAATTAGAGATAAATAAAATAGAAAATAGAAAAATAATAGAGAAAGTAAATGAAACCAAAAGTTGGTTTTTTCAAAAGATCAACAAAATTGACAAACCTTTATTTAGATGGACTAAAAAGAAGGACTCAAACTATTACAATGATAATTGAGAGTAGAGAGATTACAAAGTATATAGAAATAAAAAAGATTATAAGGGAGCACTATGAATTACTGTATACCAACAAATTGGATAAGATAGATAAAATGGACAAATTCATAGAAACACAAAACCTATGAAGACTAAATTATAAAGATATAAAACACCTGAATAGGCCTATAACTAGTAAGGCAATTGAATCAATAATTTAAAATCTCCCAGTGAAGAAAAGTCCTGTACCTGATGGCTTTGCTGGTGAATTCTACCAAACATTTAAAAAAGCTAACACTAATCCTTCTCAAATTTTTGCAGGAAATTGAAGAAGGAGGATTTCCTAACTTATTCTATGAGGCCAGCATGACTTTGACACCAAAGCCAGAAAAAGATACTATAAGGGGAAAAACTACAGATGAATATACCTTATAAGCGTTGACACAAAAATCCTCAACAAAATTCAGCAGCCTATCAAAAGGATTATGTCAATGACCAAGTGAGATTTATTTCTGAAATGCAAGGATGGTTCAATATATGAAAATCAATTAATGTAATACATCACATTAACACAATTAAGGGAGTAAAACACATGATAATCTCAACTGGTACAGAAAAAAAACATTTGACAAAATTCAACACTTTTTCCATGGTTAAAACACTCAACAAACTAGGAATAGAAGAAAACTACCTCAACATAATAAAAACCATATATGAAAAACCAACAGTAAACATCATCCTTAATGGTAAAAGACTTAAATATTTCCTTCTAAGATCAGGAACAAGGAAAAGATGCCTCCTTTCACCACTTCTATTTAATACAGTATTGGAAGTTCTAGCCAGAGAAATCAGGTGATAAAAAGGACTAAAAGACATCCAAATTATAAAGAAGTAAAATTATCTGTTTGCAGATGATATGCTCTTTTATAGTATATAGAAAATTCTAAAGATTCCACCATGAAATAATTAGGACAAATGTATGAATTCAGCAAAGTAGCAGGATACAAAGTTGACACATAAAAATCAGTTGCATTTATATGCACTGACAATGAACAATCTGAAAAGAGAATTATGAAAACAATTTCATTTACAATCACGCCAAAAAGAATAAAATACTTAGGAATTAACTAAAAAACTCAAAGAATTATACAGCGAAAACAATAACACATTGCTGAAAGAAATTAGAGAAGACATAAGTAAATGAAAACACAGCCCAAGTTCATGAATTGAAAGACTTATTATAAAAAATGTCAATACTAACCCAAGGAGATCACAGATCCAATGCAGTTCCTACCTATCCAAATTTCAATGACTTTTTATTATTGCAGAAATAGAAAAACTCATGCTAAAATTTATATAAAATCTCAGGGGACCTCAAAGAGCCAAAGCAGTCTTGAAAAAAGAGAACATAGCTGGAAGACTCACACTTCCTGATTTTAAGACTTACCATAAAGCTATAGTAATCAAAACAGTGTGATACTGGCATAAAAATAAACTAATGGAATAGACAAGAAAGCCCAGAAATTAACTCTTGCATTACGGTCAAATGATTTTTGACAAGTATGTCGAAAACATTCAATGAGAAAAAGACAGTCTTTTCAACAAACGGCACTGAGAAAACTGGATATCCAGGTGGAAAGGAATGAAGCTGGACCCTTACCTAACACCATTTTCAAATTAACTGAACATGGATCAAAAAACTTACATGTAAGTACTAAAATACATTTTTTAGAAGCAAATGTAAGACAAAATCTTAACAACATTGGATTTGGCAATGATTTCTTGGATATGAAGCCAAAGGCATAGGCAACAAAAGAAAAACATAGACAAATTGAGCCTCATGAAAATGTAAAAATTGTGTGCATCAACACTATCAAAATGGGGGAGGTTAGGCATGTGTGGGAGCAGAGGACATATGGGAAATCTCTGTACCCTCCTGATTTTGCTGTGAACCTAAAACTTTTCTTTTAAATAAATATTTTTAAAAACCATCAAAGTAACAGCAACAACAACAAAAAAGACACTATCAACAGAGTAAAAAGGCAACCCACAGAATGGGAGAAAATAGTTGCAAATCATTTATCTGGGAAGAGATTAATATCCAGAATATACAGGGAACTTCTAAAACTCAACAATAACCAACAAACTAAATTCACAAATAGTCAAAAGACTTGAATAGACATTTCTTTAAAGAAGATATATAAATGACCAATACGCACATAAAAAGATGCGCACTGTCATTAATCATTAGGGAAATACAAATCAAAGCTATAATGAGATATCACCTCAACCAATTAGGATGGCTACTATCAAAAAACAGAAAATAACACATGTTGATGAGGTCGGAGAAACTGAAACCACGGTGCACTGTTAGTAGGTATATAAAATGGTACAGCTGCTGTGGAAAGCGATAGGGCAGTTTCTCAAAAAATTAAAAATAGAATTATCATATAATCCGGCAATTACACTTCTAGGTATATACCCAAAATAATTGAATGCAGGGTCTTAAAGAGATATTTGTACACCCATGTTCATGGTCAGCATTTTTCACAATAGCTAAAATGTGGAAGCCACCCAAGTGTTCATCAACGAATGAATAAGAAAAATGTGGTATATGTATACAGTAGAATATTATTCAGCCTTAAAAGGAAGGAGATTCTGCAATATGCTTTAACATGGATGGATCTTGAAGACATTAATGCTAAGTAAAATAAGCCAGTAGCAAAAACACAAATACTGTACAGTTATATATTACATAAGGTACTTAGAAGAGTCAAAATCATTCCATTGTTAATGGGAACAAAGTTTCAGTTTTACAAAAAAAAGTGATAGTCGCACAACATTATGAATGTATTTAATACCACTAAAATGCACACTTAAAAATTGGTAAGATTGTAAATTTTATGTTACATGTATTTTAAGATAATTTATAATTTTTTTAAAAGGAGCAATTAGAGAGCAACTCCATCTTTCTTCCACCAAGTCTACCATCCTTTTGGTATTGGTGCCCATGTGTCCACACTGTCTCCTGCTTTTATCCAGAGCCAACTCTTCCCTCATGCTCTGAACCCATCTGCTCTCACCTTCATGGACTTCAGTCTTGCAACTCGCCCCCCTTTCTTCTGCATTAATTGCCCCTCTCCTCTCTACTACACAAACAAGCTCCAGTATTATTTAATTTTGAAATAAAACTTTCGCTTGCCCACCAAAGCCTCATTTTTTTCTCACTTTTATAGCAAAACTTCTTCAGCTTCCTAATGTCACTTTCTCTATTTCCTGTCCTTTCCTGTCCTGTATTCTTTCTTCAAACCCACCCCTGTTAGGCTTCCAGTCCTACTGCTGCATTGAGACTACATTGGCCCGATGATTTTCATGTTGCTAGATCCAATAGTCTGTTCTCATATTACTCCCCCTCTCAGCATCCCACACAGTTGATCACTTTCTTCATCCCAAAATACTTTCTTTTCTTGGCTTTCATGATACCTTATTCCCCTGATCCTTCTCTTTCCTCACTGGTCACTTCTTCACAGACAACTGTGTCAACATTTCCTCTTCTACAATTCAAAATATTGCTAAGCCAAAGACCTTGGTGCCAGGCTCCCATCTCTATTCTACCTACACACTCCTTCCAGGTGACTACATCCGGTCTTGTGGCATTAACTACATTCCATATCCACTTTATTCTAAATTTTTATTGCTATCATGAACTTTTCCCTAGCCTAGATGCTTACATTCAAATACGTATATTCATTTATTTCACCCTTCAACTGGGAAGTTTAATAATTATCTAAAACATAACATGATAGGAAGATACCTACAGATAACCTATCCCCGTTACCCTGCTGCTTTTGAAACTTTCCCTCTTCAGTAAGTAGCCCCTAGTGTCTCACACCAAAAATCCATAAAGTAGCCTTGATTTCTCCCTATCATTCACCACAATATATAAAACATCATCAAATCCTCTCAGTTCCATCATCAAAATATATTCAAACCAACTCACTATCCTGCATCTCTACTGCTTCTACCCTAACAGAAGTCAATATCATTCTTACCCTTTTTGCCCTGCTTACAGTTTATTCACCACAGAGTGGCCACAGTTATTTTTAAATGCACAAATCACTTCATGTTACACCCCTTTGAAAACTCCTCCCACTGTTTTTTATGCTATCTGGAATAAAGGATACACTAAGTCCTTAGCCTGACTTTGAATTCCCTAAGTAATCTGGCCTCTGCCTCCCCCTCCAACCTCACCTAAGACCACTGTTCCCCCCAGTATCCTCTACCTGCACCAGCTTTCCTTTGGTTTCTCAGATTTTCAAGCTCATGGCCACCTTTGCCCTTGCTGCTCCTCTGCCTGGGATGCTGTTGCAGCAATCATCACAAGGCTGGTTCCTTCTTCTTCAGATCTCAGCTTAAATGCCACATTCGTGGTAAGGCAGTTTGTGGCTACATCTAAATTAGGCATTAGATGCTCTATCATTTCACTTCAGTATAATCCTCTGCATGGCACTTTAATGTATTCTTTTTGTGTGATTATATTCTCCTCCCCTACCCACTAGAAAGTGAGCTCTGTCCAAGCTTTTCTGACCATTCACCACTGACTATACCACGTGTGCCTACAACTGGCACATTCTAGAGATTAAGTAAATTTCTTGTTGAATAAGAAATGAGCTAAGATAGCTTTTGGGCTTCATAATTTAGCTATGAGGGGCCAGTGATGTGGTTAAAGGGGTATCATTTTCCACCCCTTCAGAAGGCCAGCCTCACCTCTTAATAGAACCCCAGTCCTTCATTCCACCGCATGTCCTCCCTTCTCTCCCAGCACTTCTCACCTGCACTGCGTCAATCGCCTTCTGATAACACTCCCTGTCCTCTTTCTTTCCCTGATCCAATCCATTCTACACATCACCACCAGAACTCTTGAAATTCTTTTGTCACCATATTGCTTTCCTGCCCTAAATCTTCACAAGTTTTCCACAGCTTACAGAATAAAGTTCAAAATCTTCAGCCTGAATCAAAGAATCTTTTACAATGACTGTGAAAGCTGCCTGTGAATATAAAAGAAACACCAAATATGTGTGGTCCAGCAGGTGGGACACTCTGAGCTGAGTTATGTCTCCTTTCCCTTCATAACTCAAGTGATTTTTTAAAGATGATAGCTGAAATTCAATGTCAAATGACCCCAGATAGTAGCCACTGCCCCGCCCCCAACCCACAATACCTGAGCAAGGCTCCACAGTAAGTATCACTACAGGTATCTGAGCTGAAGCCAAGCACATATGCACATCAAAATGCTTTTGAGAGTTTCACAAACACAAGGTTCTTCCCAAATCAATTTGAAAGGTTTACCAAGGCTCTATGATCATTTCTTTAGTAAAAGGCTTAGGTGGTTTTTGATGAGTGGTCTAGTATGTGTACACTCCTCCTTATATTCTTTTGATTCAAACCAGTATGGACAAGTTGTTCTGAATACTAAATGCACATTAGAATAATATGGGAAGCTTTAAAAAGAATACCAGTGCTGGAGCCCCACTGCAATTGAACTGAATCAGTGTCTCTGGGCTGAGACCCAAGCACCCAGGTTTTACAACAACTGTAAATCTATGACCCACTAATCGAGACATAAAATAGAATGAACTTGCAGGAAGGAAGACTCCAGGGAATCCTAGCACTTCCTAAAATATTAAGAATCAAAGTTTAAAAAACTACGTCGGCCAAGGGGAGGGCAAGGGGGGGGGGGGATAGGGAGATGACTAAGATAATTAGCATAGTAGCTGATATTTGATAACATATGATGCCAGTCACTGCTCAAAATGCACTAACTTACTTATCTTCACTGCAATCCTATGAGGAAAGTATTATTGCTTATCCCCATTTTACAGATGAAGAATCCGAGTCATAGAGAGAAGGTTAAGTAATTGCCCAAGGTCAGCAAGGTAAAGCTGTGACCTGAACCCAAGAAAGCTGACTTTAGAACCCTACCTTATCTGCCACTAATAGCAGCAGCATGCATTTACTTAGGCCTTATTGAGTACAAGGTGCTCTTCTGAGTGTTTTATACATATTATCTCACAAGACTGTTGTAAAGATTAAATGAGATAATATGTATAAAATACCTAGAACAGCACCTTGTACTATTAGTCTATTATCTCCAGTTTACACATAAGGACACTGAAGCACATGTGGGTTAAGCCACTTGACCAAGCACTCTACCAGGAATGGGAACTGGGAACATCCTTTGCTGTCCTCCTGGAGCTCCATGCTGCAGCTGTTCTCCTGGGGATAAGGCAGGTGCACTCAAAGTTTGCCTGTTCTCAAGAAAATTATTGACAGCTTCTTGGTGCTACCATATTCATTCTTTATTTTAATTTTAAAAGCCTGAAAGCCTGCTTATGAAGGTGTTAGGGAGCCCACAGCAGATGTTTGATTAGTAGTACACATGGGGTTGATGGGAGCAGGGTCCCCTCAGCCCCTCATAGAGGCAGAATTCCCTAGCTGGGAATTCTGAAGTGGATCTTTCTACAAGAAGCCAGACTGCATATGTATCAGACAAAAATCGCAGGCCCTTACCAAGTCCCCTCCTGTGGTTCCTTGGTCCCTCCCCATCCTGTGTGCCAAGTTCTCATGTGCCTCATGTGCCTAGTCCTCATGTGCCTCATGTGCCTAGGACAGGCTGCTCATAATGCTCATCAGAGCTCCTCGAACCCTCCTCCTCCTTCCATTAATATGTACCTTCTTTTCTATTCTAAAACTGCTCAAATGGATCAAGAAAGTATAATTTTAAAATATCCAACCTCTGTCCAGGAGAGTCTTTTTTTTTTTTTTTCCACCTAGGCGGGAATTCAGTGGCACCATCAAGGATCACTGCAGCCTTTACCTCCTGGACTCAAGCAATACTCCCACCTCAGCTTCCTGAGTAGCTGGGTCTACAAGCACCATGGCTTTGAGGGAAAGACAGGAATTAATAATGGAAATTAGAGGTACCTTGGTCAAGTTGAAAAGTTTATATTCAGTTTTACAGGCAAGAGGGAGCCATTGCTGGTTTTGAGCAGAACAAAGTCGTGGGTCCTACTTTAGAAAATCGATCTGGCAGTGATACGTAGAATGAATTGGAGCAGAGAAAAGAACAGTTGGTTGGAACATGGTGCTGTGAAGCCAAAGGCTTGGGAACGTTGGCACAGATCATGCGGATTCATCAGTACAAGCCATTCTTGCTGCTAAAAAGCCGGTCAAAGAGCACATCTAACTGATGGATTTGTATTAGGAGGACAGCACTTAAAATATGTGTCTACTCTGAGCTGCTTTTATCTTCAGATACCATGTTAGGAAAAAGCTTCCATACCTCTGTCATTACTGAGTTACTAGCCTCCTTGGTGCATTAAATCTTCTATTTTCAGACCTGAATGTCCTGGGCAAGTAACTCTATTTCACAAGGATGGGGATGCTATTTCATCTCTCTTTATGTGATGCAGGGCTGGATCCAGGCAGAACTTTCTGCAGAACCCTTCTGTTACCACCTCCCCCATGATTTGTCCCTTTCCTCTCCTTGCTTACTTTATCCATCTCTGACCCCACTCCAGGACACTCTATCCAGCAGAAGAATGATCCTTTCTCCCTGCCCATCCCCCTCCATTGTGGCTGACATCTCACCACCTTGACCCAAGCATTCACTTGGGTGACATTAGCTGTACTTTGATCTCTGACTCTGGCACAGTGACCAACAAATTTAGGGGCAAATAATTTCAGAAGCAAAGAATAAAAAATTCTTTGGCTGTGTTTATGAGTCACTGTGGCTGCAGGAATCTTCAGCTCTGCAGAATTCTGTATTTCCAGTGTTTTATTTCTAAACTTGAATAAAGCCAGGTTAGGCTACTATGTTCTAGTTCATGAACTTCTCCCATCAGACAGGCTGGGTAGAGATAAGAGAAATCAGGGGATCTTGTTCCTATGAGAGGGACTTTTCTGACCCCTTGGCCAAGTTTTGCCATGATCTGCAAGTTCCACCATCTCTGCTGTTGAACGTAGTGTTAATCATTCTCACGGCCCGCTTAGGTTTT
Source organism: Homo sapiens (assembly GCF_000001405.40). NCBI lineage: Eukaryota > Metazoa > Chordata > Mammalia > Primates > Hominidae > Homo > Homo sapiens. Next base: position 13,506,011 of record NC_000012.12, on the reverse strand, counting down.
GATCTGGGTCCTGAGTTTACGCATATTCTTTCGCAGACACACAAGGGTAGGAGGACCTCAATCAAATCCTGCCAAATTGTGGCTACTGTGTATTGTTATGGAAAGCAGTACAGGTTACAATCAATAGTTTGGGCAACTGAGATTTTCTTAATGATTTGGGGGATAAAATTGCTGACTCATTATTCAGACTGCAACCTCCCTTCCACTGTTACCCCAAGAGCAGCGAATTGGGCTTTCAGAATTTTCCTCTGCCAACTGCGCACGTCAAGAAGGCTCTGAGAGTCACTTTTTCCTTCCAATTCTTTTTGTTTTTCTTTGCTGAAAATCACCCTGTTTCTCTTCCTTTCTTTAACTTGCTGACTTCTCACCCTCACAACACTCTGTTCCTTTTAGAGTATCCCCTATCTCAGCCAATGGTAGCATCATTTACCCAGGAACCCAAGGTAAAATCCTGGAAGTTATCCTAGACTAGTGGTTCTCAAACTTGAGCTTGCATCAGAACTAGCAGGGCTTGTTAACACACATACTGCTGAACTCCAGCCTCAGTGTTTCTGATTCAGTAACTGGTTCACAAGGTCTGGGGTTGCCCCCAAATTTGCATTTCTAATACATTCCTATGTGTTGTTGCTGCTGCTGCTCCACCTATCACACTTTAAGAACCACTGTTCTAGAAACCTGCTCTTTTCCCCTTTCTTCCTATACCACAAATAACTAATCAGGTTCCATTGATTTATGTCTCCAACTTAGTCTATCTTCTCCCTGGAACTACTGTCCTAGGTCAGGCCTTTGCCATTCTTTCTTAAGCTCTTGAAATCACCTGTAAGCCACACCTCTCTACCTCCAGTCTTGCCTCTTAAATATATATAGCTAGTGAAACGATCTCTCTAAAACACAGATCAGGCCCCATTTTTTCCTTAATGACAACCCTTCAGTGGCTTTTACGCTACCAACAGAACAATGGTTAATTTCTTCAGCATGGCAGGCAATGCCCCTTGTGACCTGGCCCTGTTTACCTCTGCATTCTCATTTTGGCACTACCCCCGTGCTAACCAAGTGCTAAAAGTCCCCAGCATACAGCATGCAGTTTCTTGTTCTCTCAGACGCTGCCATTTTGTCTAGACCTGTCTTCCTGTCTGTACATCTTGGCTATTAGCTCAGCCTTCCATTGTCCAGATACCCTTCCTTTATAATCCCCATAGTGACTGCAGTGACCCCACGCAGCTCTCCCAGGGTCCCCTAGCACATCTCTACACTATTTCTGAGCACATTATATTGAAATTTCCTGTTTGCATGTCCTCTTGTGGCAGGAAATTTATCAAGTTTTATCTCTAGCACCTAGCTCAATGAATGCTTGCTGAGCTGAATTTCCTCACCAAAATTCCTTCTCCCCTTCTCCTGGTACTGGGCCTGGCTCTGCTTTTCCCCTACACACACTTCCCTCTTGATCTTCACAGAAGAGATTAAAGATCTCAGAAGGGCCAGTGATGGCTGAGATTCAGCCCACCGGCAGCATTTCTTAGTCACTCTGTGAAGTCTAGTTATATTTTCTCATGCATCCTTAATAAAACAACAGCTCTACTTTGCACAAAATCAGCCTTTCTCTTCAAAGACTTTAGGGAGCTTTACAGCTCTGGCTATGATATCCTAAGTGGAACACTGTGTGGTAAGGAGAGGCCAAAAAGAGATGAAAGTGGCACATTTAAAGGCCAAAACCCAAATCAAATACATTTCTTGTGCTGTGTTTATGAGTCACTGTGGTTACAGAAATCTTTAGCTCTGCAGAATCCTGTATTTCTAGTGTTTCATTTCTAAACTTGAATAAAGCCAGGCTAGGCTAGTGTGATGTTCCAGTTTCTGAGCTTCTGACCTCAGACAGGCTGGGTAGAGATAATAGAAATCAGGCACAATCCCAAATGAGAAAATGTTTCATTTGCCTCCCCTTCCTCAGGTTTTGTTTTAGCTTTCTGAGTAGGAAATTACACATTCAGAGAAAGATGCCCCTAACTTCTTAGCCATCTATATGATGTTAATAGATGAAAATTTCGATCCTAAAAATGTGAATGGGAGAAATTGTTAAGATTGGGTAGAGGCTAATGTAATATTCGGGATTAAAGTTTTTAAGTAGGCAAGATGAATAAATTTTGGAAATTAATCAAACAACTGACAATGTTTCACCAAAGTATTTTATGTGTTTAATATACACTGTGCACATTCTCCTACAGGCATATGCAAATGTATAAACTTAACATATTAAATAGCAGACTAGGGGATGAGAAGCACTTTAGTGTATAAAATATTATTATTTTCATTATTGTTATAGCAAACTTGAACACTCTTTACTGGAATCATTATTTGCTTGGAGAAATTTGCTGAGTTTGGCAATTTTCCACTGTCATTATGAATTTCTCTTTGTCAGGCAGCAGGGCCTCTGGAAGAGAGAAGGGTAAGTAATTCAGACAACTGGTTAGAAAAGAATCCTGTTTTTTTTTTTTATCAGTTTCTTTGGCCTGAATGCTGAATCTTTTGGCCATGAATTGTCTGAACCACCTGTCCCACACCGTCCATTTCTGAGAAATAGTCACTGCATTCTTCTCTAGGTTGTCAGAGGCTGAGAGGACAATAAATGGAGATAGCCAAGGATTCTTTCCAGCAAGAACTGTCTTGATCTATAGGCATCAGAGATAAGAGAAGCCCTGGGTGCTTTGTTCTAACAGGCTACTGAGGAATGATCATGGGTGCTGACCTTGAAATGCTGATGGAAACTCAACTCAAGTTGTGACATAGCAGTCTGCTTAACCAGCAGGGCAGAGCATTTCTCCAGCGCTCTTTCAAGAGGACTGTTAGTTGCATCCTGGTGTGCAGACTCAACCAACAGGAGGAAGAATAGACAAATAGTTCTTGTTCATTGCTGTTTTGGGGGCCCTTTTGAGTTAAGCTTAGTTTTGTTTTCTTAATGTCAAATCTGGCTGCTACAGTTTTGTATATGGTCATCTCACTTTCTAATTCTAGGTTTGCAAACATGAATGAGAAAATATCCAGCCAAGTATTTGGTGCTATCTGGCTTAGGAGCCATTGACCCAAATAACTGGTATCTCACAATGTGGATGACAAGGACCATAAACCAGCAGCACCCAATCCACTTGGTAAGGGTTTTTAAACAATGGGGTATAGTTATTTTTACTAATGAATATTTTACAAATAAAAACATTTGTGCTGACCTAGTTGAAATTTGGCAGATGTGACTGTTCCAAACTCAGCAAAGGGATATTAAAATAATGAATTCAATAAAGGAGTGTTACTTTCTTAATTCAAAATTGTTTATTAACTTTATTGGTATTTAATTTTTTTCCTTTTAAAATTAATTCCATTTAGTTGAAAGGTCAGAATTATGGTTCTCTCTATATTGGGGCATATCACCCTCACCAAATTATAGACACACAGGTTAGGCCACAATTGGGCAGTCTTTCTTGCTTGAACTGTAAGAGGCACAGGAATTAACACCATTGTATTCATGAGAAGAAGTAGAAGAAGAGGGAAAGAACATTTGTTTGGAGTAACAGTTACATTAAAAAATCTGAAGCTCCATAAATCACAGAACATTTAACAAAGAATCTGACTTTTCACTGCTTTACCACTCCCCTTCACCCCATCTATTTCCTTTGTGTATTCTAAATTAGGATGTATTCCAACAGTTATCATAATAGCTCTCATTTATGCACCCCTTGCATTGCGCTACTTATTTTATATATATTTACCTCTTAAAGCCATAAAATAATCTTATGAAATGTATCATGTTTCAGCCCCATTTTACATAAAACTGAGGCACAGAGAAGCTGAAAACCTTGCCCAGTATCACAAAGCTAATAAGTGAAGGAGTCAAGACTTGAATCTAGGTAGTTCGGCCAAGAAGGGATTAACAAAGTGCCACTATTTTCCTAGCCATAGTGCAGTATCTCCGTTGGCCAAAGGAAAAGGGGGAAATTTGGATCCCCCAGATAGGATTAAATAGTAGAATTGGTCAGGTTCCCAGACTCTGGGGGCTGTGGCCATAAGTGATCTCTCTGCTACCCCATGCTCAGAAAAAGGAAATGACCAGTCAAGACAAGAAATGCTTGATTCTAATAGGGTGTGGTAGTCTCTTCAAGACGGTCCTCTGAAATCCCCACCTCCTGGTAGTCATACTCTCATGCAGTTTGTTCCATTTTGTGGCAGTCATACTCTCATGCAGTCTGTTCCATTTTGTGGCAGAGTTGGTCTGGGACCAACAGCAAATGGCAGAAGTTATGGTATGTCACTCTCAAGGTAGATTACAATGGACCGCGGCTTCTGTCTAGGTTGTTCTCTTGTGTGTGCTCAGATTGTGGGCTTTGGGAAGCCAGAAGCTGTATCACAAGGACATTCAGGAGCCTATGGAGTCACCAGCCTGAGGAGGAGCTGCAATCTGCAGCCAATAGCTAGTGAGGATCTGAGGTCTGCTGACAACCATGTGAGGGAGCTCAGAAGCAGATTTTCCAGCCCCAGTCAAGCCTAGAAATGATTGCAGCCTGGCCGAAAACTTGATTAGTCAGAAGCACTTAGCTAAGACACTTCTGGATTCCTGACCCTCAGAAACTGTGAGATAATAAATGTTATTTAAGCTGACAAATTCTGGAATAATGTTGTTATTCAGCAATATATAGCTAATACATAAGGTGTGAAGAAGCAGTTATATAAGTTAGTATCGGTGCCAGGGGAAAGGAGGACCACTATGATCTGAGGAAGGAAATGGGTGTCCAAATGCAGGAGTGTGGCCCCACTGTTTAGAAGTTGCATCTGTGTGAGTCTCCATGGGAAATAAGGTATAGAACTCAGTAAGGATCCAGCTAAGACACATGGTAAATTGTGCAGGTGCCTCTCAGTTTTTCCTCATTTGCAGGATGTGCTGTATTGAGGTGGGAATGAGCTAAGCTGTGACTAGGAAGGCCTGTCTGTGATCCCTGGAGAAAGCACTATTGACTTACCAGCCTCTGCAGTCCCTCAGTTAAAACAGAAGCTTCAGAACAGCAGGGACAGCTGAAGTGGTTCTGCGCCACACCCAGAGAAATCAGTCTCAAATAAGATCACCCAGGGCCCACTTTACTCCAGAGGAAGAGTGGAGGAAGCATGGGCACCTTCGTCCACCTTGCAGAAAGCACTGACCTGGATTCTGAGGTGCGGCCCTGATCCCAGGAGTATTTGTTTCCCTGGACAGCTGTAACAAAGGATCACAAACCTGGTGGCTTAACACAACACAAATTTACTCCCTTGCAGTTCTGGAGGCCACAATTCCAAAGGCACAGAGTCAGCAGGGCCATGCTCCTTCAAGGGTGCTAGGGAAGAATCCTCGCTTGGCTCTTTCAGTTTCCGGTGGTTGCCTGCATCCAGGGCTCTCCTTCCCTCGAAGCTGCATCACTCCAATTTCTGCCTCTCTCTTCATGTGATGTTCTCTTCCTGTGTCTGTGTCTCTGTGTCCAAACTGCCCTACTCTTAAAATGATACCAGTTGTATAGCATTTGGTACCTACCGTATCTTTTTTTTTTTTTTTTTTGGAGACGGAGTCTTGCTCTGTCACCCAGGCTGGAGTGCAGTGGCACAATCTCAGCTCACTGCAAGCTCCGCCTCCCGGGTTCACGCCATTCTCCTGCCTCGGCCTCCCGAGTAGCTGGGACTACAGGCGCCTGCCACCATACCCGGCTAATTTTTTGTATTTTTAGTAGAGACGGGGTTTCACCGTGTTAGCCAGGGTGGTGTCGATCTCTTGGTACCTACTGTATGCTAATGTGATTATGTCTGCAAAGGTCACATACAGAGGTTCAGGTGGAGATGAATTTCGGGGAGACACTAACGACACTGACGTGATCGGTTCTCAAATATACCTCCTCCTTGTCATTGATTCCTGGCAACTGTGGTCCTGGCAACTTCTTCCCTGGCTCCTTCCACAGACTGAGCTTCCATTTCTCTGATCTCTGCTTACCTGCCTTCCCAGACTCCCTCTGCTCATCTCTCTACCCAGCCAGAGGTGCAGAGCAGACAGTCAACATGGCTCTGGTCTAGAATTGAGGAGAACAAGGATATCTCCTTGGGCTCTGTCGTTATGGTGTGATTTTAACTTCCGGGGTGATCAGATTTTCTGTCTATAAGATGGTTAGGTATCTGTGCTACATCTGTTATGACTAAGCAGTATGTTGGTTACACACAGTCCCTGAGTTCCATGCCACCAGTATTATTGGAGAAACTGGCTGTCATCATTCAGTATTAGCCTCTTCTTTCCCTTCAACAGATTAATATTGCTAACCTATTGCCTCTCTTTTAGATCTTCCTATTTTTCCTCCTGTTTAGCCAGATCCTGGTAAGCACACACAGGTTCCTGGCAGAGAAGTGACCCCGACATCACCACAACCTCCCACATCGGGAGACTAGAGCCTCTGGTCCAGCATCTTTCACCTCACAGAAAAGCATGGCCTTCACATTGAGGGAGGATTCAAATGTCTCCCAATTCTTCCAAACCCTGGCTTACGGACTCTCGTTTCCTTTCTGAAAGGCTCTGAGCTCCCGGCTTCCCACTGGCCCTTTTAGCCATTCCCTGTCCTCTTCCACCAACCCCCACTGCCACCCTCCTTACAGAGTATTCTGTCTCTGAGCAGAGCCTGCCAAGGCTGAGCAGGTTTGAAGGAAGCTCACCATAGCCCAGCCATGGATGGGGAGCATGGGGAGGGGTGGGCAGCCCAGCCTGGCCTGTGCAGGCTATGTGGCTGCACGGCTGAGAGTTCCTTGCCTGCAGCCTTCTCTCAGCAGGCTCCCCTCTGTGAGAAGCCCCTGACAATGTGTTCCCATTAGAGTGAGGTGTGAACCTGAGCTCTGAGTTCCAGCCCCGAAGCCTCAGGGAAGCAGGGAGAGCAGTGGCCTGTTCGTTTGGGAGGCCACACACTGCTGTATTTCCAGTTTTATTTCTGGTGTCTGGTCATTCCAGGTAACACTAGGGTGGGAGGACATCACATAGCTGACAGTTCACCTCCTCAAGGAGTAGCATCTCCACCCCAGCACAGGCTCAAAGGGCCAAGGTCAGACTGCAGAAACGGCAAGGAAAGAGAGCCAGGGACGCGCCTGGACTGAGTGCCCGCAGCACTCCACCTCACAGCCTTCACTATCAGTCCTAACTGGAAATGGCAGGTTATTCTCTAGTGAGGCAAGGAGGAGAGCATTTTGTTCACCTTCTGTGAAAAAGAGAGGAAACATCTGAGAAGAAAAAGAGAATGATTTGCCAAGTCATTTGCCTGAGGAGGAAGTGGAGCTCAACAAGATGCAAAAATTCTTCCTCGCTCCTTTAGTGTCACTTGTGGAGAGCGTGTCCCTGACTGTGCAACTGTGGGTCCCAGCACTGCAGTCTGGGAATGCTTCGAGTAGTGGCAAGGCAGCCAGGAAAGACACTCTGAGGGAGGTACAGGCTCCAGGGTGTTCTGAAGGGGAGACAAAGATGTAACCAGTCCACGTGACTGATGAGAGACTCAAAATTACGGTACAGGGAATAGGAGGTGGGGGCTGAGTCCAAACCTCCCCTCAGGATACAGGGCTTGGTCTGAAGACTCGCTGGAGACCTGTGTCTGGACCAGGAGCCTGTCTAGCAATAACCGAGGGGACAACACACTGCTAGGGATGAGCCAGGCTGATGCACCTTCCAGCTGGGAAGCACTGAAAGATACAGAGATGCCACTCATCCCTCTCAGTTCTGCTTCCCCCCATGGACCTTACCAGGGACTCTGTATGTATAGCACAGCATGCAGTTTACCTGTTTGTGTGTGATATGCCTCCCCCAACCATAGTGAAAACTCCACAAGGGCAAGTTTTTTGGTCCATATTATGTCGGCACCTGGCACACAGCAACACTCAATAAATATCTTTGGAATGTATTAATAAAGGAGGCCTGTAATTGTGAGACATGACAAATCATCTTTTTGAGCAAAACGTAAGTAAGGATTGCATACTATTTTATTTCTTTACAAATTCACTAGTATCTGGTGTTGAGGGCAAAAAGGTGTTTAAAAAGAGAAATCCAGCAATCCAGGAAAAAAAAAAAAAACCAGAGAGCCAGAAATCCAGATTATAACTTCGTTTCTCAGTGCCCAAAGTAACTAAATTCAGCCTTTACTCTGAAACTTGAAGAGTCATTTTGCTTCACAGAGCACCACTTCTAGAAGCATGAGGCATTTGATATCACTGTCTCTGCTTCCAAGGATTTATAACTGAGAATTTCCTATGTTAAACCATATAGATAAGCTTGATCAACAGCATCACTGGAATCCAATGATCCGTAGTTCATTGGTTCTAGACACACTTTTTTTTCATATTTTACAACATCTAAAACCAGATTGTTTCTTACCAACATGGTATATTAGAACCTCAGGAGGCTGGCAGGCCTGGTGACATTGTTATCATTCTTTGTTTTGTGCAAAGTTCCTGTCAGCTATTTGTGTCATTGCTACTTCAGCTGTTTATTTGTTACTCTTTGTGCTACACTATTAAGTCTAAATGCTCTTTAAAATATCTTCACAAAGAGTACATTGTGATTTAGCTTTGAAACATAGAGGTATTGTGCATACCCAGAAAGGTACAAAAACAGTGAGGCAGAAAATTGGTAATACTGAAGTAAATGTTTGATATTGAAGGAGTAACCAGTTTTTAAAATTTTCTTATAATGCAACAACCAAGCACCTTACAAAACATAGGAAGGATGATGCCTAATAGTAGATGAAGCTTTGTTATGTCCATTCAGTGATAAATGTGCAAAAAAGACACAATAAACAAGAAAGCACCATCTTCAAAATTTGCAGAAGGATTTCAACGGTGTAGGATAAAATCCCAAAAGAAAAGTGTTCGAGAAATTCTGCATCCCAGGGCTCCTGATGGTGCAGAAGCTGAGACTGTGTGCAAAAACACAGATGTTGATAACTCTGAGTTGAAAACAATTCAAAAAGATCAAATTATTGATTTGTAGCAGTTTTAGGAACTCCTTAACCAATTTATTTGGCTTACATTTTCTTTTTAATTTATGCAGATGAGTAATAAAGGGCAGTTATGTTTGAATAAGCTAAAAGACCTCCTTTAAAAGTCTTTTAAAAATTCAATATGATAATACATTAAGTCATAATTTAATTGGCAGCATCTTTTGTGGTCCATGGAATACGATATATGTCTTAAAATTTATAGTATGCTAGATTTGATGCAATATGGTACATATTTTGTACTCTTATCACACCTATTTTGTCTCACTTATTTCTTCAATAAAGTGTTTAGATTCTTAAGCAATATCCACAGTCATTGCTCATGCATTTATATTTCACAAACACAATTAATAGCCTCAGAAATTAGCATAGAGCTGTGGTCAACTGCCTCAATACTAATTTTGGAAATTTCTATGGCTGTGAAATTGGCTTGTATGTGGAGTTCATGATGAAATCCTAGGATTTTTAACTCTTGAGTAAATAAAACATAATATTTTAATGGTAAAAAACACCCCCCCCAAAAAAAAAAAATTACACATCTTGGCTACAAGAGAGAATTGCTGCACGTTTCAAACATCAAAGGAACAGCTCCAGTATAAATAGCTCCAGTTTGCAGCATATAAGCACTGAATTCCCAGCTACTTAACAGAATCTACCAAATTTCTTCCTCCAAAAACCAGCATTTACTAGAAAACATGTCCAATGTCAGCTAGGATAATCCCATTTGATTCATCACTATGTACTTTACCTGGCACAGTGCCTGGCACTTAACAGGCAGCCAATAGTATTTTTTAATAAATGAAGGAAAATCTCCCCTGCCCAAGCAACAGGGGATTGTACACTAATCCTCAGTTCTTAGACAGTGTGGGATAGTAAAAAGAGCACGGATTTTGGAAGAAGACAGATTTGCTTTCTGGCCACTGGTTGACAGTAATAGAGCGTACTCACTGAGTTGGTGGGAAGAGTAATAGATGTAATACCTATAGATGACTGAGTATGAGGGATGGGTATACAGAATATGCTAACAAATTATAATTATTACTATTATAAAATGTGACAAGTACTCTTCCAGAAAAACAATCTAGGCAAAATGTACTTATTGCCACAGACTAAGACCAGACTCATCCACCAGAGAGGATGGTGGTCTTTACATATACTTAGGCATGGTTTGGTTCTCATGGCTCAGGGACTGGGAAGAGGGAGCTTGTAGGGCTCAAAGTCAAGGCAGCTAGAAAAAGACAGTCACATACTTAGTGGTATAACTAAAGATATAGATAATTCTGAAGACTTATGCTGGCCAATATGGTAAGTCTCTAGCAATTTGTGCCTAATGAAATTAAAATTTTATATTCAGTTCCTCAGCCAAACTAGCCATATTTCTAGTGCTAGTGACCACATGCAGCTAGTGACCATCATACTGGGCAGTGCAGCTATAGAACATTTTCATCATTGCAGACTTTCTATTGGGCAGCATTGCTTCAGACAATAGTCTCTAAAAAGGCTTGTTACCCATGGAAATTGTTACAGAGCATTCATAAAAAATGTTTGTAGAATTTCCTGATTCCATCATCTCTGGGGAAGTAGTTCTAGCCTCTAAGTAACACTATTTGGCAGTAAGAGGCAGCGCAATGTGGTGAAAAGAGCACTACTGGGGACAGAAAATCCGGGTTTTAGTTCTGGCTCTAACTTGAACAATAACCTGGGCAATTTGCATATGCCCAAGTCACTCTATTTCTTCCTTCCTCAGTTCCCTCATCTTTAAGTGCATGAATTGAGCTAGATATATCTAAGTCACTGCCAGCTCTTATGCTTGGTAATTTCAATACACAACTGCTGGCTCCATGCTATCTGTCATTTTGCAGCTCCGCCTGCACAGCTCCGACACTGTAAAGGAAGACAGTCATGGCAAAGTATCAACAACCTGGATTGGAAAAATCAATATTGTTAAAATATTTATACTACCTAAAGCAGTTTACAGATTCAATGCAATCCCCATCAAAATACCAATGACATTCTTCACTGAAATAGAAAAAGTAATCCTAAAATTTACATGGAACCACAAAAGACTCAAAATAGCCAAAGCTATCTTAAGCAAGAAGAACAAAACTGGAGGAATCACATTACCTGACTTCAAATTATGCTACAGAGCTATAGTAACCAAAACAGCATTGTACTAGCATAAAAACAGACACATAGACCAATGGAACAGAATAGAGAACCCAGAAACAAATCCACACACCTACAGTGAACTCATTGAACTCATTTTTGACAAAGGTGCCAAGAACATACACTGGGGAAAAAACAATCTCTTCAATAAATGATGCTGGAAAAACTGGAAATCCATATGCAAAAAAGTGAAACTAGACCCCTATCTCTTGCCATATATAAAAATCAAGTTAAAATGGATTAAAGACTTAAATCTAAGACCTCAAACTATGAAACTACTGCAAGAAAATGTTGGGGAAAATCTCCAGGACATGGTCTGGGCAAAGACTTCTTGAGCAATTCCCCACAAGCACAGGCAACCAAAGCAAACATGGACAAATGGGATCACATCATGTTAAAAAGCTTCTGCACAGAGAAGAATACAATCAAGAAAGTGAAGAGACAACCCACAGAATGGGACAAAATATTTGCAAACTACCCTTCTGACAAGGGATTAATGAGCAGAATATATAAGGAGCTCAAACAACTATACAGGAAAAAATCTGATAATCTGACCAAAAAATGGGCAAAAGATTTGACTAGACATTTCTCAAAAGAAGACATACAAATGGCAAACAAGCATGTGAAAAGATGCTCAATATCATTTACCATCAGAGAAATACAAATCAAAACTACGATGAGATATCATCTCATCCCAGTTAAAATGGCTTACATCCAAAATGACAGTGAGAATATAGAGAAAAGGGAACCTTTGTATACCGTTGGTGGAAATGTAAGCTAGTACAATCACTATGGAGAACAGTTTGGAGGTTCCTCAAAAAACTAAAAGTAGAGTTACCATGTGATCTAGCAATCCCACTGCTGAGTACCCAGTTTGTTGTGTACCTGTTTGTTGTAGCACTGTTTACAATAGCTAAGATTTAGAAGCAACCTAAGTGTCCATCAACAGATGAATGGATAAAGAAAATGTGGTACATATACACAGTGGAGTACTATTTAGCCATAAAAAAGAATGAGATCTAGTCATTTGCAACAACATGGATGGAACTAGAAATCCTTATGTTAAGTAAAATAAGCCAAGCACAGAAAGACAGACATTACATGTTCTCACATATTTGTGGGATCTAAAAATCAAATAAATTGAACTCATGAACATAGAAAGTAGAAGGATGGTTTCCAGAGTCTGGAAAGGGTAGTGGAGGGATTGGGGCAAAGAGAGAGTTGGGGATGGTTAATGGGCACAAAAAAAAATACAAAGAATGAATAAGACCTACTATTTGATTGCACAATAGGGTGACTATAGTCAATAACAACTTAATTGTATATTTAAAAATAACTTAGAAAATGTAATTGGATTGTTTATAACTCAAACAATAAATGCTTGAGGGTATGAATGCTTCATTCTTCATGACGTGCTTATTTCACATAGTGTGCCTGTATTAAAACATCTCATGTACCCCATAAATATATATATTTATGTACCCACAAAAGTTTCTTTTAAATTTTTTTTTAAAGTATCAACAGCAAGCAGTGACTTTGTTCTATCATGATGTACTCTAGCAAGCTCAGAAATCTCTACCATCAACCCCTCCTGGGTGATCCCATGTATTTTTCACCTATCTCCCTTGGTTCTTACTTCACTGCACTTAATTATCACTCTGTAGATTATGAGTTTAAGGTGGACACCTGGTTTTTCTAACTCAAAATGTTTGTGGATGTCTAAATAAAGATGGATCAATTCTTGACCTGCTTGTGTGCCTTCATGAATAAAGTATCCTGTAATGGATCCCAGAACTTAACTTGCTTAATGTAGGTAGAAGATCTGGAATCCAGGATCAAGTTAAGCTGACTTTGAAACACATCTTCTCTTCACTCTTCCAGATTGCTTTGTTGAAATTCCTGTGCTATTGTGATGTCAATTATCTGTTTTCTTTCTGGTTGCTGATTCTAAGAACTTTAGGCCTGACATTTTGTCTGGTCTTTCTTTTTCTTTAAATTCCTTAGATGCGTTGCTTGCTGAACTCAGACTGTCACGTTCTACATTCATATTCCAGATGTCTTTTAAACCCCAAGTCCAACCTAATCCCCAAAATGACTACTGAGGCCAAACCATTTAAAATCTGTGGCTTTAGTAAGAATATAATCGTTGTTCCCATGTGCCTTGGTATATATGCATTTCTCCTTCTTCCTGCCATTTCCAAAGTTTATAGTCAGAGTCAAAGGCCTTCTGCTTACAAAAGAAATGTGTCTACTCTTTTCCCCTGAGAGATGAGAGAATGGGCAGCTCTAAGAAATGAAAAGAAAATTTAAGGGCATATATGGCAGGAGAAGGGCTCTGACCCACTACTGCTTCATTCTCTATGACTTTCCCATTTCTGGGATCCTTTTTAGGCATTTGAGTTTGTGTAACGTGTCTGCTTTCAGCACGCCAGAAATCCAGGTGCATCTTAATACTCTACTGCTTACATACCTCTCATGGTGTGTGGGACAAATTTCCTAAATTCTTTCCTAAAATCAGGAGCAACAGAGTCTGGCTACTTTAAAAGAAATTCTTAGGGGAAAAGAATTATAAACAGAAAATGGTACTTTTTGAATTAATATAAATTTGTTATATTTCTATACTTGTGAGAAATGGTTCTTTGTTTCAGCTAACATCTAAATACACATGAGCTGCACTGGCATAGCCTCAGGGCGCCTCAGTTTCATGAGGTTTGTTTGGGCCAGATGGTAAAAATAATCAAACCCAAGGCGATTCAGATTGGCACAGCTTCCATACCAGGTGGGCCCCTCATGCTTCTCTGACTGTCTGCACCATCTCAGCAACGTGCTACCTTTTTACTCCACCACTGGTCTGCCTTCCGTATTCAATCAATAGCCACAAAGATTCCATCCTAACAGCACTAACCTCACAATGTCTTCCTCACACCTTTTCCCATCTACAGCTCTCTAGTCATGCTTGTGATGTGATCTCCCTGTGCCATTAGACTGAAGAATTTTCCCAGTTGATCATTTAAGCTGTTGTCCTTCAGCATCACTGATTATTTTAAGCCAGCCTTTCTCTTTTAGTCTCTTCTCTCCCCATTTTCCTGTCTCTTCCCTCTAAAAGTTCTATCAGTGCCCAGTGCTTCAATGCCCAGCGCTATCTTTCCTTGTAAAGCTTTCTTCAGTACTGAAGGTCACTCTGAAACTAAAGTTTCATTCCTGCTTCAAAGACCCTTTGGGAATCTTTAAATATGTTTCTTTTTTATTGAATAAGAGTTTCCTCTAGTTTTTATTTTCAGAGTAGAGAAGCCTAAACTACCATGTGCATAGAGTCTAATCAGACCTTCCTAGGAACCAGGATTTCTTTGATGCCTTATCCAGGGGTGCTCTTGCAGAATATCCCACCAAAGGAGGAAGTTCACTAGGAAAATCCCTGTTCACTCTACAGGTGGCATTTCTCATCATTTACTGAACTATGATCATTTGGGATTTAAAACAGAACTTCATGGCCCTCCCCTGAGGATTAATATTTAACTTATAAAGTATTTACTGAGCAACTATACACCTTGGTACTGTAAAGAACTACAAGAATAACTAATACTGCTATTTGCCTTAAGAGGGTTTATTGTCTAATCGGAGAGGTAAAACATATACAGAAATAACTGCATTATGCAATAGAAAGTAGTAAGTACTATAAATGAGACACAATTTGCTAAGGGACCCCAGAAGAGTGGGAGTGCCTGTCCACTTGTAGGAGTCAGGAAAGTTTGACCATTTGAACCTGTGCTTTAAAGTGGCTAGATTTCAACATGATGTAATCAGGGCAAAGACACTCCATACAAATGTAACATCCCAAGTCAAGACATGATCATCTGAGGGTCACTGTGAGCCTTTACACTGGGCCGGAACATACGTGTAGTGAGAAAGTGGGAAGAGGACATTGAGGGCAGAGCTCAGAGTTTCTTGAAATTCAGACATTTGGGTTTTCTGTTTCTGGGTAATGATGAACAGCTGATGGCTTTTGATTAGGGGATAATCTGGCCTGTGATTTAAGATTACCCTGGCAAGAGTATATAAAGAGAATTAGAGGAGGAAGAGACTGTGTGTATTGGTCAAATTGAACCAAATAACAAAACAAACGAAACTCAAATCTCAGGGACTTAAACAAGCATAGTTTACTTCTCACCCCCATACACATCCATCCACATCATATTGGCAGGTACATCATTGGCACAGGCTCCACCATAGGAGAAAGAGGTCTGGAGACACAGTTCACTTCTGCTCATGTGCCATTGGCCAGAGCAAGGTGTGTCCATGCCTTGCCTTACTTCAAGGAGGCCAGAAGTACAGGGAAGCATGATTCTGCTGAATGGTATTAATGTTTCCCACTCTCAGGGAGAAGGAGGTAAGTCAGGAGCCTGATACCACTGTCCAAGATGGAAGTAATGGGAGCCTGGATTAGAATGGTGACAGACGGGGGTGGGTGGAAAAAGGAAGGAAAGAAAATAACTGAGAAGGTCAATGGGATTTGCAAGCATAGAGCCAAGAGGGAAAATCACTGGAGCTAGTGGTGAGTTTTTCAATGTGTTGGTTACAGGTTCTAGACAAAGAATAAGAAAGTGTGAAAACTGCCCTAGGAGCCTCTGTATTTCTCACCAAAGAGAATAGGAACCTTTTTTTTTTTTTTTTTATCAGAAAAGTGTTTATTTTATGTATTCACCAAAGGCCAATGAAGCTTTCAACAATTTCACTCAGGAGCAAAACAATTTAATTTTGGGGTACCAAAGGTCATAATCAAACATAAGTTTACAATGGGAAAGAATAATACTTTGCCCAGAAATACAGATACTACTCAACTTACACTGGGGTCACATCCTGATAAACCCATCATAAGTTGGAAATACTGTTAAGTTAAAAATGCATTCAATACACCTAACCTACCAAACGTAACTTAGCCTAGCCTACCTTAAATGTGCCCAGAACACTTACATTAGCCTGCAGATGTGCAAAATCATTCAACACAAAGCCTATTTTATAATAAAGTGTTGAATATCTCATGTAATTTATTGAATACTCTACTGAAAGTATAAAAACAATGTTTGCATGGGTACTCACCATTAATGTCCACAGCCAAAAGTACATGGGGCCTGGAGAAGCATTGAACTAAAGTTAATTGCTGATTGATGGGGATGCTGCAGAAATAGGGTCATCAATTTCTCTGTCTTCTGATGAGGCTCAAGAATAGAAGGCAATGAGGCATTGACACTTATTGATGGTTTAGTAGGCATAGCGTTTTTTGGGAAGATATGGAGTATAGGCTGTTTACCCTAGTGATCGCCTGGCTGACTGGGAGCTGCAGTTCACTGCCACTGCCCCTGCCCCTGCCCAGCATAGCAAGAGAATATTGAACCACATATTGCTAGCCCAGGAGAAGATCAAAACTCAAAATCCAAAGTACACTTTCTACTGAATGCATGTTGCTTTTGAACCATAATAAAGTCGAAAAATCATAAGTTGAACCATCATAAGTTAGGGACCATCCGTAGTCCTATACTTTCAGCTCCTGACTGTCTTTACTAACAGAGGGATGTAATAGTTACCAAACAGATTTAATATTCTTAAAATTGTATTTCAATTAATAAAGAGCAGCTGATATTGTAGGGCCAGAATAACCATACTGCCTACCCAGTAATAAAGGGAATTGTAAGGGGCCAACTCAAGAAGTACTGAAAAGTTCACAGGTATATGTATTTTGTTTTTTGGTTTGTTTGTTTGCTTGTTTTTGTTTTTGTTTTTTGAGACAGTGTCTCACTCTATTACCCAGGCTGGAGTGCAGTGACATGATCTCAGCTCACTGCAACCTCCACCTCCTGGGTTTAAGCCTCAGCCTCCCGAGTAGCTAAGACTACAGGTGGACACCACCATGCCCAGCTAATTTTTTGTATTTTTTAGTAGAGACGGGGTTTTGCCATGTTGACCAGGCTGATATCTGTACTTTGGCTTTACATTTCATGCTGAGATTATGCCACTTCTACAACTAATGCTGAGTATCATCCCAGGATAAATGATTAATAGATTTTGGTATGTTGGGGTTTTTTAATACCTCTCCTAAATTGAATATGAATTTGGATGGGGTTCAAGATATGCTTAAAGTAAACAACAAAAACAATGAAAAGTTGTCATAACCTATTTGGATAAGATAGCATCATCTAGGCAATATTTTCCATGAGAACTCCCATAACCTCCTAGTGAGCAGTCAAGTATGAATACCATTATGAGATTGATCCCTTTTCCTTTTGTTTCCCTGGGATTTCTGAACTAAATCCAAATTTCCAGGCTATATGTCTTAGTTTGTTCAGGCTGCTATAACACAGAGACCAAAAATTGGGTGGTTTATGAACAGCAAATATGTATTTCTCACAGTTCAGAAGACTGGAAAGTCCAAGATCAAGACACTGGCAGATCTGGTGTCTGGAGAGGGCCCATTTATTGTGACCTCACATGGTGGAAGGAACTAGCTATCTCTCTGCTACCTCTCTACTGTCTCTTCCATAAAGGTACTAATCCTACTCATAGGGGCTCTGCTCTTGTGACCTGCTCATCTCCAAAAGTCCCCACCTCTTAGTACTATCACCTTGGGGATTAGGTTTCAGCATATGAATTTTGGGGGAACACAAACAGATCACAGCATTACACAAAAGTGGATGCGGTCAATGATGCTATTTTCTGGGAAAAAACTTCACTGCATGTGTTACTAGTCACTTTACGTAGAGCTCTCTTCTAACTCACCTGGCTTCAGGTATGACCTTTAGTTCCAGGACGTTCTTCTCTATGGGTCATACCCGGGGGGAATGGAGCCCAAGAAATAAGCTGTGTTCTTAGAAAAATGGAAGCCACCACTCCTGCCACCCACCTTTCCAGACTTAGCAAGTAGGACATTTGCCTCATCGTGTAGCTAAATGGCCTACATCCTCCACCCCCAGCTTATGCCGTGAGGGAGTCTCCTTTAAGTGCTCCTATTCCAAATAGAAGGCCTCCTGGAAAGCTGCCTAGCTACACAATCAGGTTGTGTGTGGGCCGTGGGCCTTGACCTTTTCTATGTCTTCACCTGAACAGAGCTGCCAATAAGAATCAGAGACAAACACTACCTTTAATTGCCCTTTCTCAGGGGCTGCTTTTTCCCTAGTGACAGACACTGCTGAGGCGTTTTTGAGCTGGGTCCAGCAGACCCAGAAAATACGGCAAATGAGAAAGCCAGATTTTCTGGCAGGAAAAAGGTAACCAGCTTTCATGCTCAATGAGGGGCCGATCACAAATGAAGTCCAAGTGCATCGTGCCATAGCTGAGAAAACGCCAAGCTGGTTGGAACCCATGGCCCGCTTTCTAGAACATCAACAAAGATAGAAGTACTGTTAGAGTGCCCTCAGCCTTCGTCATCAAGGCTAACCTAAGCAGAGAGGTCCTCCAACTCAGGCTAAGGTGGGCAGGGACTCAAGGAGTCAACAGGTAAGGGACAAGGACACATTCAAGAAGAGAAAGGCTCATATATACGTTGTCAGCTTATAAATGCACCTGCTATCACCAAGGCAAAACAAGCAGAACAGTCCCTGCTCCAATCACTTTCTGCCTCATCTGCCATTTTGTCACTTCAGAGCCTTTTACAGCCTATCCTTCATGGTCATGTGTATCTTACTGTTATCAACATAGAAATATTGGTTACTAGGGATGAATATTCAGGATAATGTGTCCAGGGTCCAGGACCACTCCAGAAAGACTGGCTGCACATCTGCTAGAGTTGGTGACATGAGAGAAGTAGACTGAAACACATTACCCAACTCGCCAGTTCAAAGTCACTTCACCTCTTTGTGGCAATATTTGCCCATAAGGGCAGTCACTCTTAGTTGCTGAGAGGTCTCTGCAAAATTATTGTGGCCCCACGGAGATATCGGCTAGATGTTTGGGCATTGTTTTGGTGCTCCATGAACCAGCTTGGGGTTGGCAAGTCTGAGAAGTATTTTGAAAATGTGTGTGTATGAGCTGTAGAGGCTGGCAACAGTGCCCAGAAGGTCTATTTCTTTAAATAGCTTCTTCATATTTTAACCCTATTAAGAAAACTTCTCCTTTAAAAATTATTGAATTCAAATCTATCAATTTCTTGCAGCTCCTTATCAATAACTTTAATCCAGTAGTTTTCCTAGTAGTTAAAAGAAGTTTTTATTGGGATTGGCAGGTTTGGCCTAGTAGGACATGGCTAGGCAGATTATCTGAAGATATCCAAAGCCACAAGACAGTACCGAGTACTGGTGTTGGGTTGTCGAGGGGAGAAAAGGAAATTACCAATGTCAGACTTTGCCTGCTTTTCAGTTTCATCTAGTTTAAATTCTGATGCTGCTATGGGATTGTAGCCCCCTATTTTGCTGTTTGTTTATAACCCCTACAAATATTGTTTGGTCTACCAGGAAGAAGTATTATAGCTCTTGCCTCTCAAAAATGCTACCAGAAGCTTTGCAGTATTTTTCTACAAGCTTCATAAAGGGCACTTTGTTATATGAGATATCCATGCCCTAGTGACTAAAGCATGTATCAGTCAAGAATCATAACTTTGGAAATAACCATAACTAAGTGACTGCATTTCTGGTAGGAGCCACTCAGAATATTCCAAGTCTTCTTGTAGAATATTTTGTCTGCTGCCTTCAATGACCCTCTGAAGACTTTTCTTCCCTTGATCATCAGAGATGCCAGACATGCTAAGCCATGTACACTGTAGGGAATCAGGGCATCTCTTAACCTTGGATGGAAGAAAATATTTCTGAGGTACCTGTTTCTTGGGATGGACTTCTCTTATTCTATCCTTGAAACTCTCTGTTAGCAAAGTACCAAAGTTAGGTGCATTGACGTAGGGACTCATCTTTTTCCCATTTTTCAGATGAGGAAACAGAGGAACAAGGAGGTCAAATAACTTGCCTGAGGTCATGCAGCTAGAAGGCTGTCAAGCCAGAATTTGAATTGGGCAGATTAACTCCTGAACGCATGCCCTCAGCTACAGTGTTACCTCCCTCCCACAGTGCCAGGTTTGACTTTGACAGTGTTGAAGCCCATTTTTCCAAGTCATCTAAATGTCCAGAATATTTGCACCAGCACTCTCTGAACAACTTTGCTGAAATTATTTTCTGTTTACTTTCCCTCAGCCCTAGGCCACAATGCCTTCACTTACTACAGCTTCATAATCTATTAAGATGATTGTATCTGGTTTCCTGAAAACCAAATTCTCTACTCACCAGCACAGGCAGGGACACACATTGTGTCCTCCACATTTATGCAAACAAGACACAAGTCAAGCAGTGTATTTTTAAAAGAAAAACTTGAGAGATACCATGAAATAAGTTCAGACAGAACTCCATCCTTACAGCCCCACCACTTATCTCCATCTATGTTAATATGCCACTGAGTCAATGAAAAATTGGAATAACAACCGTAACACATTTTGAAAAGCTAAAAGGAACATTCCAGTAAATGATGGTCTTGTTACCTATATTGCTACTATTATAAAGGACTTATATTTGGCATAGTTTTATAATAAGTAGTTTCAAAATAATCTTTTTCATTTCAAAACTGGCAATCCCTTGTGTGTATGGTAACTATTGATCAGAATATTAAATTATAATAATACATTTAAGTGGTAACACTAACAGAGAATTTTATATAACTTGATAATATCTTTCATAATTGGTGACTATAAGATAGTATTCAGAGTAAAAGTATGTGAATTTTACTGACCAGGGTCAGTGTGAAAGAGAGGTTGAAAGCCAAACTTTTGGCCAGGCACGGTGGCTCACGTCTGTAATCCCAGCACATTGGGAGGCCAAGGTGGGTGGATCATTTGAGGTCAGGAGTTCAAGACCAGCCTGGCCAATATGGTGAAACCCCACCTCTACTAAAAATACAAAAATCAGCCAGGTGTGGTGGTGGGCACCTGTAGTCCCAGCTACTTGGGAGGCTGAGACAGGAGAATTGCTTGAACCCAGGAGGTGGAGGTTGCAGTGAGCCAAGATCCCGCCATTACACTCCAGCCTGGGTAACAGAGCAAGACTCTCTCTCAAAAAAAAAAAAAAGCCAAACTTTGGGGTGAGGCAGATGGTTCTATTATCCTGGCTCATGTCTACTTACTGTTTGACACTGGCATGCTGCTTAATCTCTCTGAGCCTGTTTCCTAATCTGCAATATAGTGCCTACCTCATAAAGTTTTGTGAGAATTAAATGAGGCTACCACATTTAGCACAATGCCTGGCACACGTATAAATATCCAGTATAAATATCCAAGCACGAGACATTATTATTTTAAGAATAGTAAAGAGAAATATTTTCCTTTGGGCCACACACTCATATTTGATATCTTTGCTGGAATATTTAATTCAGTATACCTAAGAATATAAATTATACTGAAATGATGTGTCCTAATATTTTCTCTGTAGCCTCACAAGCAAATTTCCTCCAACTTGTTATCTTGAAAAATTTCAAACCTACAAAATAATTGAGAGAATATTACAGTGAAGATGCATTTCTGTTTCACTGATTCACCAATTAACATTTTGCCACATGCAATTGCTTTCTCCAAGCCCCTACCTTTCTCTCCACCTTCACCAAATCATTTGAAAGTAAACTACAGACATCATGACAATTTGCCCCAAATACTTCAGCAGATGTCTCCTAAGAGCACCATAATTGTCAAGAAAGTTAACATTCATACAAGAATATTTTCTAATTTACAGCTCAATTTTCTCAATTCTCCCTATAATGTCTTATGTGGCTTTTCTCATTTGATCCATAATCCAATCAAAGCCTATGCACTTTATTTAGTTAATATGTCTCCGTAATCTCTTTTAGTCTTGAGCAGTCCCTGTTTAAAAAAAAAACAAAAAACACAACACTGAAATTTTCAAGGGTCAGGCCAATTATTTTGTAGATAGTCCTATAATTTAGATTTGTCTGATTGTTTTCTCATGATTACATTGAGATTAAAGATTTTTTGCCAAGAATACTACGCAGGTGATATTGTGACCTTCTTAGTACATCAAATCAGAAGACACAGAATGTCAGTTTTCCCATTATTGGTGATGCTGAATGTGTTCAATTGACTAAGGAAGTGACCTCCAGATTTCTACATTGCAATGTGTCACATGGTTTCTTTGTAATTAATACATAACCTGTGGGGTGATTCTCTGAGGCTGTGTATCCTGTTCCTATGTTTCACTCAGTGGTTTTAATATCCATAGATGATACTTGCCTAAATTATTTGAGTGATTATCAAATGGGTTACATTATATCATTCCTCTATATCTGTTAGCTGGCATTCTTTCTTAAGAAGAGCCCACTCCCCACCTTTTTATAGTACTATTATGGACTCAGGGATTATTTGTTTTATTAAGCATGTTATTATAATCCATTGTCATTATTATTCTTCTTCTTGATACTCAAATTTTACCAAATTTTGGGGATTGTGGCCCTAAGTTGCCTCTTACGTTCTTTGAACATATTTCCATCAGTTTTTAGGCACTTCCTTGCTTTCTGGAATCGATATTCCAGAATCACTTTGAACTTTCCATGCCCCAGATCTAAAATCAATCACCATTATTCCATGGTGCCCTGGTTTCTTCCTGCAACAAGTGTTTTGTCTTACAAGTACTCAGGACTAGTGAATAAAAATTTATCTGTGTGTATGTGTATAATAATCTAGACAAAAGAAAGTTTTTTTTGGCCATTACATTCTGAGAATTGGACTTCACACTAGGATCTCTCTGTTGGGTTGTATTTTTTGTTTAGTGGCATATATCTAGGGGAATGTAGAACGAGGTCAATGGCAAGATCTTTTTAGCTGATCAGATACAATAATTTGAAACATCACTTGGTGGGCTTTGCCTCAACGGCAAATCAAAGCCTTGAGGCCAAAATAGGACTGGGTGCAGTGGCCCATTGTAAGCCCAGCACTTTGGGAGGCTGATGCAGGCAGATCACTTGAGGCCAGGAGTTCAAGACCAGCCTAGGCAACATGGCAAAACCCTGTCTCTACTAAAAATGCAGAAATTAGCCAGCAAGGTGGCACGTGCCTTTAATCCCAGCTATTCGGGAGGCTAAGGCAGGAGAATCGCTTGAACACAGGAGGCAGAGGTTGCAGTGAGCCAAGATACATTGTGCCACTGCACTCTAGCCTGGGTGAGAGAACAAAACCCTGTCTCAAAAAAAAAAAAAAAAAAAAAAAAAGCCTCAAGCCCCAAATTGCTATATGCTGTGTGTATGTGTGCATTATATATATTCTTAATCATATGTGTATATAATCAAATATATATACAAAAATCACTTAATATGGAAACTGAGAATCCTTCCAGGCACTCTCACTCTTTTAAATTCCAACCAAAGTCCAAGGCCAAGAGAAGCAGAGCTTCTTCTTTAGGGGGTCTTCCTGTCTCAGTAACCCATCCAAGGCTTTGTGGAACACCACTTCCAGAGTCCAAGTCACTCTGCTTTCCATCTTGCCAGCTCAGCTAAATGTCTTTCTGTCACCTCCCAGATATTTGCTTTGGGCATCTTCTTTTGGGTTCTTAATGCTCACTTGATTTCCCTGCAGTAGGCAACTGGCATCCAGCCTATGCTTAATCTTAGAGGACGGCTGGGGGTAAACGTTCTTCTATCTGGTCCAGTAGTGAAGCTTCTTTTCCCCTTCTCTCCCTGAGGCTAGAAGCAGATCTCCTCTGTCTCATAGGATCTTCATCACTATTTGTCAATATTATTCTCAGCTAACATTTTTCTCTACATGTATAACTGAGATTTTTTTTTATCTTTGGAGAGTATTTCATCATTCAGTAAGTTTAGATTAAAATTATTAGCTCTCAAGTCTCTAGTATGTGTTTTAGCTGACTATGGAATTTATATGCAGCATTGAACTCTAGCATCCCTAATGACCTTAGTCATTTCCAAAAAAATTATACCTGCTATTTCTGTCACCCTTTTTTGGGACTTGTATGGCCTTCTGTTTACAGTGATAATAGATTTGCATAATTTAAAATAAATAGTTTCCTGGTCTTTTCCATCTATAACTAATTCTTATTTTTCTCTGGAATGTCACCAGATGAATTTGTGGGGACTCAGAACAGCATTCAGCACAGACCCTTATAGTCCTACTGAGCCTTGGAAATCTGTCTTAAGACTTAAGGCTGCCCATGTGCCATGTATCAGGCCTCTTTTCAGAAATCTGGGGAAGGTCCCCTCAACTCCCATGAGATTTTTCTGCTTCCATCTGTCAGTGGGCACACAGCTCTATCATTGCACATTCCTCATTTCACCAATCAGTAAATCAGCCTGGGATTCTTTGTTTCAAAAAATAAGACAAGTTACCTTAGGAAACCACCAAGCACCTCACCTGCCCCAGCTGCCTCCTGAGGCTTGACAATTAAAGTTCTCAGGTGGTGTTAGCAGAAAGTGTCCCAATGTGACCCTTGAATTACAGGCTGTGGAGTCTTTCCCTGTGAATTGAAATGTGTGGTTGGGAACACAGTATGACTTGGTAAGGTACTGAATTAGCAATGTGCAGGCTCCATGACAAAGGTATGGCTTCCTGAAAGCAAGGTCTCATTAGATTTGTCGTGAATGCGAGGGCGTTCCACGGTGTGTATGCATGCACTGCCACAAAAGGCAGGGATACACATTATTTAAGGTCTAAACAGTCTTAGTGGAAGGAACTATGTATGGATCTGGCTACTGCAAAGAACAAACCAGTAAACAGATATGGAGTGGCCATTGGCTTGGTGACATGCTAGGCAGCATCACCACACCGTGCAGGAAAGAGCAGAGCAGGTAAACAAAAGAGTCCCGCTTATAGACTTGTATTCTCACACAACTTGGCAGAATTAACATAAGAGAGAGGAACCTCAAATTTCTGAGGGGATTTTCTGGGGGTGAGAACGAGTCTGGAAAAATAGACCTAGGTTAGGGATTGCACGAAGATCACCCTCCTACCCAGTAGTGGGGGTCGCCAGAGGATGGACTCCTGGGTGGAATAGGCACAGGCATGGTGCCTGTCAAAGAGAAGGAATGATAGTTGACAGAATGCCTTACACACTTATGCCTGAGGTTGCAATCAGACCTTGGAAATGACCTTGAACGGTAGGCTATAAATAATTCCCACATGCTTAGCATTCCAATAATGGAACACTAGGCATAAATGGGTTAAAACTCAGATAAAAAATGCGTTGAGGCCTACTGAGTGACTGGCTTTGCCCAGTGATGATGTAGAGTCAGCTTGTGGGGTGAGGGGATAATATGGTTAGGCTTTGTGTCCCCACCCAAATCTCATCTTGAATTATAATCCCCATAATCCCCACGTGTCAAGAGAGAGGCCAGGTGGGAGGTAATTGGATCATGGGAGCAGTTTCCCTACTGCTGTTCTTTTTATAGTGAGTGAGTTCTCAGGAGATCTGATGGTTTTATAAGGGGCTCTTTCCCCTTCACTCGGCACTTCTGTGAAGAAGGTGCCTTGCTTCCCCTTCGCCTTCCACCATGACTGTAAGTTTCCTGAGGCCTCCCCAGCCATGCTGAACTGTGAGTCTATTAAACCTCTTTCTTTTATAAATGACCCAGTCTCAGGCAGTTCTTTATAGCAGTATGAAAATGGACTAATACAGGGGGCCACTGGAGACTTAAGCTACATCAAATCACTTTACAAAATCCTTCCCCCTCAGCATCTTCCACTGTCTGTAGAGGAACCTGGGATGAATGATTTGTTGAGGCAAAGAACTCCCACTTTTCTTATGGAAAAAGGTTACAGATTTTTTAAATGAAAGGATGATTATGTTTTATTAACTAAAACATGAGAACTGGATGTATATAATAAATAAAATGGAACCAAAGAGCATATATATAATTGGGTAAGTGTGAATCCCGCACAGGCACAGTGTATTCTGGTTCTTCTTATGCTCTGCTCTCTATGATAATTGGTCTGTCTTCAATTTCCAAGGCTAAGACAAATTAGGCTCCGATGTGGCTGTGAAAGCCTCGGAGAGGAGGCACTCTGCAGCCTCGGGTTTGTGGTCTGTTCTTTCCAGAATTCATCCTGTGTTT
The DNA here is from genome assembly GCF_000001405.40 of Homo sapiens. Classification (NCBI taxonomy): domain Eukaryota; kingdom Metazoa; phylum Chordata; class Mammalia; order Primates; family Hominidae; genus Homo; species Homo sapiens. The sequence goes on along the minus strand of NC_000012.12, from coordinate 13,479,735 downwards.
CATAATAGGTAATATGTCTCTCCTGAATGTGACTACTCTTTCTGAATGTGAAAATTTCTGTGATTATACACATAACATTTATAATGACAAATATACTGATAAGAGCCCCTTTTGGCTGATGACTGTAAAGAGTGAATACACTGTAATTACAATATAAAGTGGCATTATGGAAATTTCATAATATTGGCTAGAATCCATTTCCAGATGCTGATGCACCTATGTCCCCTCAACCGTTTCAAGTAAAGGTTACTGCTCTACATTGCACCCTGGGATCAAGCCCATTTCCCTTGAACAACATGGTAAGGGGAGGGGTTGCAGCCAGTACCACTGCAGATCACGTATAAGGCACAGGGCTCTGATGATTCGGAATCCAAAGCCCAGCTTGGCTCTTGCCCTGCTGAGGAATCAGCGAATCTGCCTGCTAGAAAGCCAGCTTTGTGTACCCCACTACCAGACTGAGACTGTGCACTCCCAGAGAGTGAGGACAGCACCCATCTCGTTCACATGTGTAACTGGCTTACAAGGCTGACAAACAGCTTCTCTATGAATGCTTGCTGAATACCTTTTGAGTGCAAGTGAATGAAGAGATGACTGATCTGGGATGCCACAAGAAGGGGCTGCCCTGAGTAGATTGTAGCACATGACCCTTGACACCACCACCTCCCATTTACACATGGTCCCCTCTCCTGGCTCTAGAACTCACAGGGCATAATGTATGTTTAAGAACCTTGGGCCATTTCTCAGTTGACAGTCGATAAATCTCTTTGACATGTTAGCTGATAACAGGGCATAAAATCTAAGCCTTCTGGGAGAATCTTGAATGTCAAAGGAATGGATATATTTATGGTGCTGGGACTTCCGTGATCACCATGTGGGTTTGACCCTCCAATCAATCACACCATGTGGGTGTCACCATTTTGCCTTCTTAGGATGCTCACCTGAACCTGTAACCTCATCTCCCTGAGACTCGGTTTATTGCTTTCTTTTCTCTAAATGTAGGGATCATTATATGCGGAGAGTAGCTCCTTTTCAAATCGTTGTGGGCCGTTTGTGCATCCTTGCAGAATACTTATGCAAGCCTTTTACTCATTTTTCTGGCAAATAGTTATTATAATGATTATTGATTTGTAGGGGTCTTTTAGGTATCTCGGAGATATAAAATATATTCTAAATATGTTATCCCACTTCTGTAATTTACGTTTTCTCTTAATAGTATTTTAGATAAATGAAAGTTCTTAATTTTTACTAATTCCTATTTATCATTTTCCCCTTTATGGTTGTGCTTTTTGTTCTCCATCTGATAAATTGTTCCTCGTGCCAAGATTTTGGAGGCATTTTCCTATGTCTTCTTCTAGATGCTCTGTAGTTTTTCCTTTTGTGTTTAGATCTGCAATTCACCAGGAATTGATTTTTGTGTATGGTGTAAGGTAGGGTAAAATTCATTTTTTACCATTTAGATATCCAATTAACTCAGCACCATTTACTAAAAGGGTTATCTTCTCACTGCACTTCATCATCTTTTTTGCAATACATCAAATGACCTCATATGTGTGGTCTATTTCTGGACTGTATTCTGTTCCATTTGTCTGTTTGTATACCCTTGTGTCAATACCACGGTGTCTTAATTACTGTTACTTTTTAATAAGCTTTCATATCAGTAATGTAATGGCTCCAGCTTCGTTCTTCTTCAAGAATGGCTTGCCTTTCCACATCCTTTTACATAGCCATGTAAATTTTAGAATCAGCTTACCCGTTTACACACATACACACAACCCTGATGGAATTCTGATTATTATTATTATGTTGAATTTATAGACCAATGTAGTAAGAAAATTTACATCTTTATAATATTTCAATATGTGAACATAGTGTATATCCCTTCGTTCATTTAGGTCTCTTAATTTACCTCAATAATGTTTTATAGTCCGAGGTATAGTGGAATTACATAATTTGGAAAGATTGTTTCATGGGTATTTTATGGGGTGTTTTGTTTGTTTCTTTTTTGAGATGGAGTCTCACTCTCTCACCCAGGCTGGAGTGCAGTGGCGCAATCTTGGCTCACTGCAACCTCCACCTCCCGGGTTCAAGTGATTCTCCTGCCTCAGCCTCCTGAGTAGCTGGGATTACAGGCACCCACCACCCCACCACTCTGTATTTTTGGTAGAGATGAGGTTTCACCATGTTGGCCAGGTTGGCATTTTATGGTTTTGATGGCTTTTAAATTTATTTTGGTTTTTAACCATTTATAATGGTTAAAAATATTTTAGCTAAAAAAATTGCAAAGATATAAAATATAAATCTTATCTTCATCATGAATCCAGCATTCTTGCTAGCTTTACTTATCAATGCAAACAGATTATCTGCATAGCTTTTGGATTTTCTACATAAGCTGTTTTATGCCACATGCAAATAATGATAGCTTTTTCTATTCCCTTTCGATCTTTATTTCTTTTTAAATCTTTGAGACAGGGTCTCGCTATGTTGTCCAGGTTGGTCTCGAACTCCTGGGCTCAAGCAATCCTCCAATCTCAGCCTCCCAAAGTACTGGGATTACAGACATGAGCCACCATACCTGGCTCCTTCTCAATCTTCATGCTTTCTTTTCTTGTCTTATTGTCCTAGCTGGGACCTGCAATGCAATGTTGACGATAAATGGGGATGGTGGTTGTTGCTGTTTATTTCCAGTGTCAGAGAACCTGGACAGAATTTCTAACCAATCATCTGCGATAAAGCAAGGCCTCCCCTCTTCTCAGGTCAATAAATCTGGTCTTTTAATATGCTTTGAAATTGGGGCTTGGGGGAGTTTGTGTCAGCAGAAACTGAAAGGGGAAAAAAACCTACAAAATAAATGTCAGAACTGCCATGCCTCTATGTGTCCACCTGCAGTACAATTGATGTGTCTATGTGCTGAGGTCTGTGGTGTTGGGAGAGCAGATGGAGTCTTATCACCAGGAAATAAGGACATGCCAGTCCACATAAGACCCTTAATCCCCAGCCCCAACTGGGGAAGAATCTGACTGGCTCAACCGAATTACCAAATCATAGGCTTGGGAAATACCTCATTCAATCTTCTACCCATGCCACGAGTCCCTGAGAATATCTTGAAGAGCCTGGAGTTGGAGGACAATTTTGGTTACCTTCACACCCAAGAGCACTTCTTCAGTAACATCCCACCAGCCCTTTCATGGCCCTGACTGGCCCCTTTCTGCAGTTTCTGACCCCACAGAGCTTCCTGCCCCCAACCGTTTAGCAAGATGGAGGTGGGTCTCACACCCCATTGGTACCTTCGCTGCTTCTGCGGGCACTCGCGGAGTTCTGAGTGGGCAGGCCATTAGTGAGCTGAGCCCTGTCCCTGGTTTTCAGTGAGCTCTGGAGGGACCCTCCTCCAGGCAGAGTGGGTGGTGAAGACCCAGTCTACCACAGGAAGAAAATCTAGATACTGGCAGAGCAACTTCTACTGGGCTCCCACTCTTCTGTCACTACTTCTTAGATGAACTGGAAGGTATCCAACCCTGATCTGCATTGCCTGCATTTCTCCAAGTCCTTGTTCTTTTTCCTGGTCAGATCCGGTGACTAGTTTATAGGGTGAGATGCTCCCACCCTGCCTCCGCTTCTCTCTGATTTTTCACTGTACTTACTCCCCAGGAGGGATGTCCACCAGCAGAACCCATATCTGACTCTACTGTACCCTTGGACTTAGTCTCCCGAGGACAGGAAAAGCAAAGTCCCAGGGCAGGGTCTGAGTTCTGTCACATGGGTACTATGTGGCACTGGCTCTGGGCAGCTCCATTATCTTCCCCAAGAGCCCACTGTTGGATTCAGAGAACAGAATCCTTTAGCCCGCACACTCCCTGTGGCAAGAAGCATAAGGAACATGATGCCAGAAGAAATCTTAGATCCCCTGTCAGTGAGAATGCTTCTTCTTGAAAGAAAAAGAGATTTAATGGGAATGACAGATCACAAGTTCACCCTCTCTGTTTTGTGCCTTGTTTCTCTTCTCTTACCTCCCTCAGCCCCACCTATGACTGCTTTCAATTTTTCGGACCCTGAAGGAGGAGAAAAAAGCAGTGACCCGCGGGACTGCAGAGAACAAGCAGCTACTCCGAGGGAGGGAGATGCAGCGGGGGGCTTTGCGTGAATGGAGAGGGGGGCTACACAGCGGGAGCCTCGGGAGGGTGGTGGAGCCAGCCTGGGCAGTGCCATGGGCCAGCTCCTCCCCATGCCTCATATGCATTCCTCACACTGCCACCGGGACTGAGGCATGAGCTGTGCATAATTAATTTTTATTGAAAGAGTTTTTTTGTCTGCAGACATTGTGTTCTGCTTTTACCATGACGATAAAGTCTCCAGTACAATTTTGGATTTAATTATAGCCCTATTTCGAGGGAATAAAAAAAACCTCCTATGTCAGAGGCACAGATAATTGGTGATGCCAGGTGGAATTGAGACATGGGTTCTGGGGCGCACAGCAGTGGCTTCCGGCTGATTCAGATCTCATGATCCATTCAGCTGGGCTTTGGTTGGGTTCTGGCCTCCCTCCCCTCTATTCCCATCGCCGGAACCAATGCGAAACTGGTGCCTGACAGGACAGAGACAGGACTAAGTCACGCATACAGACCAGCTCCTAACCCTTCTTCCCAACCCCTGCCACCACCCTGTATTCCAGTGACCTTAAGCCAGGCCAGGATTTTTCACGCTGGTGTTATTAGTAGATTCCTTAGGCCTGGAGGGGACCCTGGAATCTGTGTTTCAGACATGTTATCTGTGATTCTTGTGATGAGGCATGTTTGAGAAACCCTTCAGCAGGCAAAGGGGCTTGGTTTCTGTGGATGAGCCTGATCCTTCTGAATAAGTCACTGAAGTGAGGCTTAGGCAGCGGCAGATGAGATTGTAGGATTGGCTTTGGGCAGCTGGTCCCGGAATATGATATCTCATGGATAGGGACAGAGAAGAAAGTGGTGGAAAGGTAGGCAGGGAAGAGGGATCAGAAGGAAAAGGATGTTCTCCCAGGCAGCACTTGAAACCAGAAGAGGTTCAGGGTGGTCCCCATTAGGAGGGTGAGCAGCAGGCTGGACACAGAAGCAGGATAAAGAAATCATTTGATTGGCTAAAGCTAGGCATTTGCCATATTTGGATATGACTCGGTGGAAAGCCCCAACTTAGAGGTTAGTGGCAGTTTCTGATTGGTTATGCCTAAGTTTTGTTTTACTGTTTACATTGGGCTTCAGTTTGCCTGCACAGGAACCCAAGACACTGGAGCCATCTCAGCTGACTGGCCTCCCAGTTAAAAAACTTTTAACAGTGTTTAGAGCAAGAATCCTGGGCAGGCTATGCCAGGAAAGCATCATGGACCACAGCAGTGGAAACAGACTGCAGTTATAGGTGTGGCCCAGCTTTGGAAAACACAATATTCACATGGATGAACTCAGAACTTAGATGGTCAGAGGTTAAGAGGGGTTTCATGCTGTGGCACTTAGTGAACAATCTTAGACTATTTTAACTATTTCACATATATTTTGTCTTCTCAATGAATTTATAAGCAATTCCAGGATTGGACTCTACTATGTAAAGTTTCTTCAGTTATATTTTTCGTATATGACTAAGAAAGCTTGAGTTTAAAAAAGCGCATTACAAAAACAATTGGTTCAATGCTTAAGGACCAAAGAAATGCAGTGTCTTAATAAAATCCATTTTCCTGCAGGAATTTCAAAAGCAAAGCCTTTTTTATAGCTATAAGTGGGTAGCTATAAAATGCAAACATCACTGAGCAAATCCAGCTTCTGATTATATAGAGTTTTGCAAGGAGAAATGTCCTCCTTTTTCCTTTCGTCAGCCACATTCACCTTGACACAGGCTTCATGCATGTCCTTGTCACTGTGATTATCTGTGTTCTCCTCCAGCACCTTGCAGGACCAGCCCTAGGGCAGGTGCAACAGGTATCAGTCCATGTGGCACCATTTCTAGGATCCAGGAAATAGACTTCTTGCTCCTTAAAATAATCCTCCCCCATCTTCCTCCTCTCCCCAGAGAGTACCTAAAATTTCTTCTTGACAATGTGTTCTGTTCCTTACTTTGAGATAGAGCTTAACAAATAAAAACACCAAGAGAAGTAAGACATTGGCCCAGATTGAGAATAAAGAACAAACAGGTGATAGTTTTGTCACATAGGAAGGGGAAAGGTGACATGATAACCAGGCAGCCCAATCTATACCAATGTAGAGACTGTGCCTGGGATCCTTGGTCATCTCTGGGAATCATCTCTTTTCATACTATGTCCCTCACTTTGGTAAACTCATACTTAAAATCCAGCTTTTTATATTAAGTGCTGTCCCCTCATAGGTTTGAGTGCCCCTCCTCTGTGCTTTCTTTGGCTCCTGATGTTTGCAACATCCCATTGAACTAATTTTCCATGGCACATCTCCCCTAGCATAATGTGAGCTACACAGAAGCAGGCATTGGGCATCCTTCTTTATGTTTCCTGGCTCTAAGCACAGTGTCTTGTACACAGTGGGCACTTCATAACCTAAATTTAACAGTGGTACAATGGAATGAGTATGGACTTAGGAGTCAAGGGTATCTTTGACGGTCTCAGAATTTGCCAGATTTTTGACCTTGAGCAAGTAGTTCTGAGCCCTCATCTGTAAAAATGGGCATAATAAAATGAACTTGCGTGGTTGAAAAGATTTCATGAGATAATGCAGATGCTTCAGTCAGCACAGAAATTCACTACTTGTTTGTAATACGAAAGGGAAACCTATGGTGAAAGCTTACGATGAATCATCAGCCCTGAAAGGATGTGTGTTGTACACGCAGCTGTTTCTATAACCTCTGAAGCACATCTCTCCACATATGCTTGAGAAAGTAAAGAGACAAGGGAAAATGACTATCAGTCAAAAATCAGAAATGAGATTCAAATATGGCCATCTTGGGGGAAGTCTCAATTTTACCACATAAAAACCACCTTCCGATCTCCTTTTCTCTTCCCTCAGTAGTATCTTGGGTTGGGTTTCATCATTGCAGGTTTAAACAATCACTTGAGCTTCAAACTTAGATCTCAACATCTAATGTTGATTTTAACATCATTATTCCCTCCACTCTGCCCAGGAGATTTAGGTGAGATGAGATGAGGGAGGTTGAGGGATTCTACCCTGGTGCCTGGCATTTTTCATGTGCAATTCCAGGCAGCCCAATCTATACCAATGGAGGGGCAGAATCGAACCAGGGAACATGCCCACTCCACCTCTGTCTTTAAAGTCTAGCTCCTCCAGGGTTGTAGTGGGCTGGGGGCTCAGAAAGGAGGTAGTGGTGCCACAGATGGTGTTATAACTGACAAGTCGGTGGGAGGGCTGTCCTTGATGATTATTTGAAATGCTTGTGCTAAAACCCTGAATGTGTCTTCCACGCCAGTAATGCTTTTGGTACATGTGACAGGGTGGTAGTCCAGACAGAAGAAATAGCATATGCAAAGGCCCAGGAGAGACTACCTAGCTTTCAAGCAGACAAGAACTTGGGAATGGCCCGACAGGGACTTGGGTAATGGAAGTAAAGCAAGCAAAGGTCAGATCAGGAAAAAGTCCTTTCCTGCCAGGCAAAACAAGCTGGGTTTTACCCAGTGGATGATGGGGAAATGTTGAAGGACATTTAGGCAGACTCGTGGCATGTTGGGAAAATCTTCCAGGTAGAGCTTCACGGGTGGATTGGAGAGGACAAGGCTGGAGGGCAGGACACTCATTGTGAGGCTCAACTGAGGAGCTCAACTCCGGGCCCTTGCTGCGCACTCTGCCTCCCATGATGCTCTCTGCCAGGTATTCAAGGCCAAGGCCTCACCCACTAAGTTCCAGCTCATTTCCTCCTGCCCTGCTTCCTGGGTTCTCCTTTCCAAAGCTGCCCAAGTGCAGATGGGCTAGGGAAACTGTCAGACTCATTGCTCAAGGCAGCACTTGCTGCCAGTAGGAGAAAGGAGGCCTTCCTTTTATGGAAGGCCTGGGATTCTTCCTTGACAACAGCTCTTAGATCCTTGCTTAGTAACGGAAGATTCCCCCCTCCTGCCTTTCAAGTTCTCCCATCAGTGGCTCCCACGCAGGCCCCACCAACTCTCAGTCTGTGGATGGCACCCCCTGCTGAAGCTGAGGAAGAGACTCTCGGCCAGGTCTGAGGGCGCATTTGAGTTTCCCCGCCACACACACACACGTACTCATGCACAAGGAATGACCTTGACTTTGCCAATGGAGGGAAGTATATTTTGGCAGCCCAGGAAACTACACTCGACCCAGTATGATGAAAAGTAGTAGTCTAGTGACATTGGAGCCACACAAAACCATGCAGAATTAGGGAATACTAGATTCCCACTCTGCCTTGGAATTGGGCAGATTAACTTCTTTAAGCTTCAGTTTCCCAAACCGTAAAATACAAACAATCCCTACCTTTTGGGGTTGTTTTGAGAATTACTGTTTGTAATGTCCCTTACATAGAGATCTGTAATCAGTAAATAACTATTAATGTTATTAACAATCCTGTGCATTTCAACATTTGAGTCCTCCTAAGAATACTCCCTACCCCAGCTCCTGTTCTAAGAGCTTTTAATCAGTTTCATTTATTACACTTATTGAAACCCTACTAAGTTCAGAGCATGGTCATAAATAATTATAAGAGATAAATTATATAATAATCTTATCTTTGGATTGTTTGCAAAAGATGCAGAATGAAAATTTTGCTGAAGTGTTAGACTTTAATAATAGTAAGTAAAAAATAGTAAGTAAAAAAGAAGAAAGAAAAGAAGAAATGTATTGTTCAGCTTAATCCTAAGCCAGATATTCTCAATACTAATGCTCTGGTGATTTTTAAAAGTGTGTGTGCATGTGCCTCTGAATGCATATGTGAGAATGAAAGACAGGTTAAAATTATGAAATTGAACTGTGTGGTGTAGTGGGGAGAGCCCCACCTCCTTGGGACATAAGAAGACAATTACTGAACACAGAGCCTTGGACACACCTTCTCTGAAATGCTGGTCATAATCTCCTCTCAAATCACAGAAGAGTCACTGAATCAAATAAAACAGTCATAAATATTTCACAAAAGAAAACGTTAAATCTCTAGCAAAGGTGCTAAAGTAGTTGAACATAAGCCAAACCATGTATGGGTGAAGGCTGGAGGACTGGTATGTGAGATGAGGAAGGCATTTCCAGCTACAGAACTTGGCAAGTGGTCCCTCCTCCTGGCATATAGTAGGAGTTCAGAATTGACATCCCAAGGCTTTTATAGAGAGGAGGAGGGCAGAAGACATGGTTTATTTCCCGCAAGTCCATCCCTCCTCCAGTACTCAGTGACTGCTTCTTGCCATTTCTCCCCAGGTCTTCCCACCATGGTCTTTCTTCCTTGTCACTGGCATTGTCGATTACCTATAGCTTGACTCTGCAGGCTATAGGTAATGCCTGTTGGTCTTTGTTGCTTGTTGGTCTTCATCTCTTCCATCATCATCCTATACACTAGGACCTTTTAAAAAGTGGTGGCTACTCATTTCAAGCCCACAATCAGAGCTCTTATCCTTGGAGTCCTAGATTTTGTAACCCATCAGAATGTTATGACAATAATTTTTTTTAAATGATTGAGGGGCTACCATATTCCAGCCCTTTTCTAAGCACTATATATATATATATAAAACCTCATTTATACTCTATAACCATCTTGCAAGAGAAGTTCTATTATTATCCTTATTTTACTGATGAGGAAACAGGTATTAAGATTGAATAACTTACACAGTTAGTAACCAGAATACTCCAGTCTGACACCAAAGCCCATGCTCTTAACCACTCTATTCTACTGACTACGAACTTGGAACCAGGTGTGAAATTCCCTTTACCTGAAGGTTATCTTGAGGTCATTAGGGGAGATTCAGACAGTGCTCTGGAAAGATGAGATCAGTGGGAAAAGTAAACTGAATCTTCTTGGTTTCATATATAAGTAAGAGGACTGAAGTCAACTGGCATGGAAGACAGAGCGATGTCTTTGTGGGGACCATGGTAAAATGAGCACTGGACTGAACTAGCAGACAATCTTCTGTCACCAGCCTGCTGGGTGACCTTGGGCAGGACCACCCTCTGGGCCTTATTCTTACCTTCCGAAAAATACAAAGGAGTTGGGAAAGACTCTGTTATGATCTCACCCCTCCAATTAAACTAGAAAAGGATGTAATTTGGGGGATATCATTCTCAGGAAAACTATGCAGGCCCCTCCTCTTGGAGAAAGATCTTCAATAATTTCTTTTTCATTTCTTTGGCGTTTGGGTCCAAAACACAGAGTTGACAGTTGTCATTAACCATAAGAATATGGCAGACAGAGGATAAGGAAAAGGAAGAAAAATCTAGAAGCTTCTTTTTGCTGTTTTTTTTTTTTTTAACTTTTTCTTTTGGCAGCCAAATAACACATCTTGTCTTAGAGAGGCTTTCATGGTGTATAATTTAAGACCTATAAATAGATGGCTGTTATTAACAAACACACACACACACACACACACACACACACACATACACATACATTTTTCTCTCTATTCAGACATCAGCAGAAATATTACAGATAGGGATATGTGCAGTTTTAAATGGGAGGCACCTTTTTCTCTCCTCCACCAGCTGGAGGGCTGCATCTGTCTCTTCCTCCGCCTTTCCCTCTCAACTCTTTCTATTCTTCTGGGTTTTATTTCCATCTCTGTCCCCTCTGCTGCTCAACCCCACCCTCCACATTCTTGCTTTGATCTTTCTTTCAACTCTCCCCTCTAACTCTTTATGCCTTAGTCTTTTCCTCATTAATGATCAGTCCTCTTCCCTCTTTCCAAAGGCAGTTTTAAACCTTATTAGACTTCCCTAAAATTCCACAGGACACACAGGCATGGATACAATCACATTGGTAGAAAGAACTACACATTAAGAGTTAAACAGGTTCAAATAAAAAAGAAGCCAGGCCAAGAAATATGGAGCTGGTAATAAAATGTGTCTGACAGATGCTATTTATTACAGGAAAATTAAAAGGGGGTCAGACCTGGCATAAGTATGATGGATTCATTGATGATTATTAAAATGTACATTTATATAACAGAGAATCCAAAGAGCTCTTCAGTACATGATTTCAATTGATCCTCAAATCAATAAAGCAGAGGGCAGAGGAGACAATGAAGGTTAGGAGGCTTGATCCTCCCAAGATGCTACAGCCAGTGAATGGCAATCTAGGACCAACTCTTAGTTTTGTGCCACCCTCAGGAGGCATTAAGGCATGTGTCTTGTCACCATCTTAATATTTATCACACCAATTTATAAGGTCTGTTTACTTGTTTTTCTTCTCCCCTCTTCTATAAGTTCTTTGATTGCATCCCCAGAGCTAGGAAAATGCCCAACACAGGGAGGGGTAATAAATGTTTCTTCAATGAATTAACAAATGAAAAGAAGAATGCATGCATGTACCTTCCCCAAAAAGCCAACCTTAAACTAAGTGGTAGACAAGGTAAAGTTTGACGTGGGACACTTTTTATCGTTTCACACCATGTTTGCTTCTGGGGCACCTGCTTCAGCAGATCAGGATCCACATTCTCCATTCAACCATCATGGCCCCAATCTTTATTGCACCCACTCCTGTCCATCCAGACAATCTCAGCTCATTTATATCCCACCTCTAGCTGCATTCTGCCTGGTCTTATAATCTGGCACTGCCATGACTTCCCTCCTGCATATACTTTAAGCTTTCTAAGTAGCCATGTCTTATTCAGTTCCTTCATCTATTAATTTCAAGAGGATAACTAATACTCATTTAAGGTCTACTATATGCCAGATACTATCATAACCTCAGGAGAGTTACACTTTAATCTTTATTTTATTGATGAGGAAACTGAGTCTCCAAAAGCTTAATTTACAACTCCTCATAGGAGGTTAATACATATTTCTTTAATGCAGGAAGGAAAAATGATGCAAAGAGTAAGTGATTCAGAATTCAAAGTCAAGCTTTTCTAAATCCCAAACCCAAGATTTCTCCAGTAGATTAACCTCTTCCAATTCTAATTCCAGTTGGAATGTCCCTTCCAATTCTAAGACAACAGCAAGAACTTGTTAAATTGTCAATGAATTGAAAATCAATCCCTAGTCTCCAGGCACATGTAATCGTCATCATAATTCTTTGAAACTATTTTAATCTTTTCTTCTTAACAGCATAAGGAATAGTATACATATTGCTTATCACTGATGTGGCTTTATTTATACACAAGGGGACCTGTTATTAGTTCCATTTTTCAGGCTCAGGCATAAAATGCTATTTCCTTTGTGACCCCAGCTTACCAAGTAAGTGAGAGGTGGATCTGGGGATAAGAGGCTGATTCCCCTGACAGGATGCAAATACCCTGGTGCTTTCACTAGCCCAATAAGAAAGTTCTGGCATTCTCACTAGGTTTCTATTTTTTAACTTTAAAAAAGTACATTCAGGACGGGCGCAGTGGCTCACGCCTGTAATCCCAGCACTTTGTGAGGCTGAGGTGGGCAGATCACGAGGTCAAGAGATCAAGACCATCCTGGCTAACACGGTGAAACCCCGTCTCTACTAAAAATACAAAACATTAGCCAGGCATTGTGGCATGCGCCTGTAGTCCCAGCTACTCAGGAGGCTGAGGCAGGAGAATCACTCAAACCCAGGAGGTGGAGGTTGCAGTGAGCCAAGATCATGTTACTGCACTCCAGCCTGGGTGACAGAGCAAGACTCCATCTCAAAAAAAAAAAAAAAAAAAAATCATTATCATGTCTCTAAAAGGAGACCTGGGAACTGAAATGAAAGCTGTCAACACTGTTCTGTCACCTGGCACACTCCTAACTGATGCTTCTGCACACTGCCCATCGTGATCTAGAAGGATCCTGGATTTCTGTAAAGACATCTGAGCAGGCAAAGAAAGATTAAATCATTCTTTTTTCTTTTTTTTTGTAAGAACTATGCATTTATTCTCACTTCCCTGCCATTCTTGTTTTTCCTCCCTCAAACCCATGTAAATCCTGCTGGTGCTTCAAAGCCCTGGAATACCTTAACTACTCTGGAAAATCATCTCAGATCACAACTCTCTCCTTGATTGCTGTCTTGTCTGAATCCCAATTTCTTTCCTGGTCAGGGCTTTTTAATTGTTTCTCATGTTTTAAACTGTTTACCATACACACACACACACACACACACACACACACAGACATATATATGTGTGACGCCCAGGCTGGAGTGCAGTGGTGCGATTCGGCTCACTGCAACTTCCACCCCCTAAGTTTAAGGGATTCTCCTGCCTCAGCCCCCTGAGTATCTGGGATTATAGGCACCCACCACCATGCCCAGCTAATTTTTGTATTTTTAGTAGAGACAGGGTTTCATCATGTTGGCCAGGCTGGTCTCGAACCCCTGACCTCAGGTGGAGGTCCTTGACCTCCCAAAGTGCTGGGATTACAGGCATGAGCCACCACACCCAGCCAAGTTTTAAACATCTTAAGATACAGACCTAAGCACTAGAAATGCAGTAAGTGCATAGGAAATACATTTCAATTCCTTCAAAACCAGAAATATACAAGTTCTATATATGATAAACCTCTATTAATCTAAATTAACCAGAAAGGACTTTCTATTGCTCTAACTTCACAGATGTCAAAGACTTTCAGTCTCCTGCCAAGTGGGCTAGTGCATCTTTGGAAGCATGCACGGGGGACAGGAGGTCAAGCCCTGTGAGGACCTTGATCTGACACCAGGAGCAAGTGAATCCTGCTGGGACACTGGTGTCCATGTCTGCCCCCAGCAGCACACGGCTTCTAAAGCCATGAGAAAATGGGGCCAGAGGCTGACTCAGAGCTGCGACTATATTCAGTGTTGGGGCAGCACACGCTGAATTGCGTCACAGCAAATTTAGGCCTGTGCTGAACAAGTCAGGGAGCTCAGCACCTCCTCCTTCTCCACAGCCTGTCCATCGCCTGACATCTGGGCTACAGCCCATCTCCAGAGCTGTTCCTCAGTCTGGAAAAGGACATGCCCCTTGGACAATGGGTTCCCAGTAAAGGGGGTTATGAATGCTGTGAGCACCAAGGAAGGTGGTGTATTTGGAGACCGGGGCTTTGACAACATTTTCTTAAGGCTAGGACACATTTCGTGGGCTGGATTATTTTTCCCTTTTCTTCTTGTTCAGATTCTGTTGGACACCAGTGGCCGACAGCATTGCACAGTTACAAGCCTAAGCTGTCCTCTTGGGTTTTTGAATTTTAATGTGGGAAATTATGTATTTGCTAAAAATAACATTTTAATCAAATGTCCTCTAGAACCAAGCTCAGTGGGGCTGTAACATTACAAAAGAAAAGAAAGGGAAGTCAAGATCCAGAATTCAAAATCAGTGAGAACCTCCAGGTTTCTGCTTTTCAAAGCTGTAGGGAACCCCTGTCGCTATGTGTCTTACAACAAGACTATCAGATTGCAGCAGAGACTGCTTCTGACCCACTGTTTAGGAGAACAAAAACTTTCTTCGGATCTGTCCTTTCCAAACCCGGTTTTCAGGTGGAGGTAAATTTAACCACCAAGGACCAGCACTGATTAGCAAATTTATAGATAATTCCTACGTCTGTTCCCAAGATAATATGTTTTATTATTTTTGTTTTTTCTCTCTGCATGTGTGCAGTTCAATAGATAACTGCTGAGCCTAGAATAGTGAGCAATTATGCCTCTATTTACTCATCTGGTTTTTTCATAGCTGATTTTTAAAAACACTCTTTTGAAATGCTAAGAGGCTCTGAAATATTTAAGTAAACAGACTATTAGGCTGAGAACCTAAGTGTCAAACAATAAAGAAATAATGTAGCAATTTGCTATTTGGTAGACAGAATAGGGAGCTACATTGCAGGAGACAAAATATAAAAAATAAACTCTAATAAACTCTCTGCCTGAAAACAGAGCTAACCAAGAAGATCCTATAAAAGGACTGAGTTAGAACAATAAACAACAAAAACATAATTTCCTTCATTTGAGACAAGCTTTTCCATTGGAAACACCTTTCGCAGACACTAATCTCATTTCCATCCCATAATCACTGAGGCAGGCAGAGGTTATCATCCTCATTTTACAGGTGAGAAAATTGAGTCTCAGAGAGGTTCCATAGCTCGCCTAAGTTCACATAGCTAAGTAGTGATTGAACCAATGCTAAAACCACATCTTCTTACTTTAAACTCTTTACTATTTTCAGGAGACTGTGATGAAAGGAGAAGGCGTTACATAGCACTAGTCATCCTCTGTTTCCGGGTAAACCTGCGAGTGCATCTCCTGTGGCCTTTTTTCCTGCTGCCTCAGCCTGGATTACACTTACAGGATTATTATTACTGCTGTTGCTCTGTTGAGCAGGCCCTTATGAAAACCTTTCTGCTAAGGATGTCAAAGCAATTCTACCAAAGGAAAAATCCAGCCCTGAGAGGCTATAAACCACTTTATTCCAGTCCACCTAGTAATGCTACGAGAAGAGCAGAGTGTCTTCATCTTCCTCTGTCAGCCTTTAATAAATCCCAGACGAGGGGTCAGCAGTCCATGACAGAGATCTCCTGCTACTGCTGTGTATGGCATGTGTCAATCCTAGTCAAAACCCCTAGTCAGAGCTCTCTCCTCCTTAAACCAAATATTTGTGGAAAAGTTTAAAAATGGCAAAATGCTGTATAAATGTAAAGCATTATCAGCTTTATATTTTGTGGGCTCAACAGAAATACTTTTTATCTAACTTCCCCACATCCTGCCTTCTATGTCTGCCAGCTGAGCACCCATTTGGCTTATAGTAGGCACTCAGTAAAAATGTGTTAATATTAATACTGATTTGAACCCCTTAAGAATATCCCTTCCAGGAATATTCTCTGTGGCTCTTAAAGCTGTAAAGACCTTCTAGATTTAATTAACCCATCATTGCAGCATGCCAGGGATAGATGAGGTTCAAACAATAAACCTTCAACACAGGATAAAAGGTCAGCCTGCATATGCTAAAGAGCACTCCAGACATATAGACCTGTTGTTTCTAGCATGCACCTGCTATTTCTTGCTTATCCTCATGCGGTTCCCTTCTCCTGGACTATCCTTCACTACTCTGCCTGGCAATTGTCCTCTAAAACAGAGCTAAGGTGTCTTCTCTTCTGGGAAGACATCTCTGCCCTTAGACTAGCCTGCACCCTACTGTAATCATTGGTTTCCTCCTTCATCTTTTCTATGGGTGGTAAACTCTGAAGGCCTAAGTATTATTGCATTCTGCATCCCCAGTGCCTAGCACATGTTGCTGGCACACTAATGGTGCTCAGTTGATGTGTGTTAAGTGACCACTCGGGGCCAAGACTTGTTGCAAGAGAAGCTGGAACAATGAACAGAAAATTCCTTCTCAAGTCCTCTCCAAAAGTCTTAGACTCGGTGTCCTTGGCTCCCAGATGGACTGCTCTGGGTTTTGTTTTTTTTTTTCCATGTATTCTTCAAAGTTTACCCAGGCTACTCACAACTTCTGTGGATCAAGTATCTTCCACAGCCATCAGCAGATGGACACTGCCATCCAGGGATGATAATTTAATCTTCCCCTACCCTTTTAACAAAGTTATGATATATGGGTATATGTGCAAAAAAGTACACAAAACACATGCAGTTTAACAAATAAATAAAATACAGAGGACACCCACATGTCTACCAGCCAGGCCAAAA
This sequence comes from Homo sapiens, assembly GCF_000001405.40. Lineage (NCBI taxonomy): Eukaryota > Metazoa > Chordata > Mammalia > Primates > Hominidae > Homo > Homo sapiens. The sequence continues at coordinate 13,463,040 of NC_000012.12, read as the reverse complement.
AGGAACCTTCACCATAGAAGGTCATGTATGTCCCTTTACTGATTACTACTTTACCATTTCCTCTCAGAGGTCACTACAACATTGACTTTTGTGATTGTCATTTCTTTGCTTTTTATGGTTTTACCACTCATGATGCAACTCTAAAGTCTTGTTCCCTGTTTTGGAAATATATATAAATGGAATCATTCTGTATTATTTGAATCTCGTTTCTTTCATTAGATACTGTGTTTGAGATTTGCATATACTGTGGAGCTGGGGCACTATTATTGCTGTACAGTATTTCATTGTGTGAATATACTACAAAGTATAATTCATCTATTCTGTTTATGGGTATCTAGATTGTATCAGTGCTAGAGTTATTACGAACAGTGCTGCAGTGCTGCCATGCACATGCTTGTAAAGGTTGACTGGTACACATATGCACAAAATTGCTAGGGCGTATACCCAGGATTATATTTCTGGGTGTGTATATTTAGAAGCAATATACTAAATAATGCCAAACTGATTTCCAAGTAGTTGCACCAACTTATACTCTCACCAGCAGTGGAGGAGCTTCCAATTTTCCACTACCTTTTCATGGTCAGACCTTACTGGCTTTTGCCCATGAAGTAAGTATGTAAGAAATCTCTTTATGACTATATTTGATTTACTGATTGATCTTATATTTAGTTCCATTTGCGTTTCCTTTTTGTACAGCATCTGTTTAAGCCTTTTACTCATTTGTCCCACTGAGTAAAATGGGAAAATTGGTTTGCCTTTTCCTTAGTGATTTGGAGGAATTCATTAAATGTTTCTGATACTACTCTGTTGTTTGTTATAGAAGCTAAAAATATTTTCTCCAACTCTGTGGTTTATTTTTTTTTCTGATGTCATATCTTTTGTAATTGATTTTTCTTCCACCCATAGTCTTTAATCCACTGAAACTGACTTTTGTAGTATATGGCATGAGGTAAAGCTCACAATTTTTTCCCATGTGGGTACCTAATTGCTTCAGTAATTTGTTGAATAATCCTTGCTTTTCCCACTAATCTTGACATATGATACAGCTAGTGAGTTCTACTTCAAGAGTATCTTGGATATTCTAACTTTTTGCATATTCATATAAATTTTAAAATCAGCCTGCCAAGTTAAACAAAAAATACAAATTCAAGAAGTTTTGTTTGGGTTTGTGTGGAACTTAGAATTCAAGTGACATTTTTACAAAAATCAACTATTCTGATTATAAACAGTATACAATCCACTTATTTTGTTTTCTTTTTTAATGTCTCAATAAGACTTTTAATTTTCTTGGGTGAAGCCTTAAACAGAAATATTTTGTTAGTTTTATTCCCAAGGATATCATCTTGTTTTATGCTATTATAAATGGTAGCACTTTCATTTCATTTTCAATTTCGTGCTTGATTATATGAATTAAATTTATTGTTTGAGTATTGAACGTGAATGCTAGAACCATGTCAAACTCTCAAATTAATTATAATAATTTTCCTATGAATTCCTTTGGATTTTCTACAGATCTCATCTATGAATAGTGGCAGTTACTCTTCCCCACTTTTCAATTCTCACACCTTTTATTTCTTTTTGTTATTTTACTGAGCCAGCAAGGAACTCCAGAACAAAATTGAATAGAAGGAACAATAGTGGGAATTCTTGTCTTGTTTCAAATTTCAAAAGTATTCTCAAAGTTTCAACATTAAACGTGATGTTTGCAATAAGACTGTAGTAGATACTATTCTATTCCTATTTTGGTAAGAGTTTTATAAATGAATGTTGACTTTTACCAAGTAATCTCCCTGAGTCTGTGATAATCACATCATTTTTCTTTTTTGTTAATGTGGTGAGTTGCATAAATTGCTTTTCCTAAGTCACACTAATCTTGCATTCCTAAGAAAAACCCAAATTAGTCATGATATATATATTTTTTATATATTCCTGATTTCAATTTACTAATTGTACTTTACATTTTATATTACATTCATGCATAAGATTGGGCTCTAATTTTTCTTTCTCATTTTGCCTTTGTTGAGTGTTACAATCAAAATTACATATAGCCTCATAAAACATAATGAAGTGCCCTATTATCCTGTTGTCTGAAGAAATGTGTATAAACTGGAAATATTTCTCCCTCAAACATTTATAGAACTTACTGATAAAATCATCTGGGCCTAGAGTGTTCTAGATAAGATTTTTTTCAATAATTAAAGAACAATTCAGGATTCTTATTTCTTCATGAATAAGATTTTGGCAAGTTACATTTTTCCAAGGATGTATATATTTCATATTTATTTTCAAACATATTGGCATTAAGTTTTTCATGTATCCTATTATCTTAATGTGTACTGTATCTGTACTAATGTTCACTTTTTCATTCCTAATATTATTTGTACATTTCTTCACCTTCTTGGTCAATTTCACCAGAGGTTTGTCAATTTTAGTCATAGTTTTAAAGAAATAAGTTTTGATTTTGTTTAATCTCTATTTTATATAATATTTTTCTATTTCATTAATTTATCTTGTTTCTTTTAATCTACGTTCTTCGGATTTATATTGCTTTGTTTTTCCTAATTTTGAAGTTGAAACTTCTCATCTTTTTTCCAATCCATGCCTTTGAGGCTATACATTTCCCTCTATCTCATGTTCTAACTGCATTCCACGGTTTTGTGGTAACTAGCTTGTAAAAATATTAAAAAGGAAAAGGAAAAAAGAAGGCCTGATTTGTAGCATGCCAATTTCATATTTGTCTTGTAAATACTCCACCATGACCAATTTCAAGCTACAAATGGTTTAACAACCAGTTGGAAAATTTTCTGAATATTTAACATTTAATATTGCAAGCTGATACAAACCAGCTCTAGCACACTCAAATTTTCAGTAGTATTTTCATGATTCCTTAATTCAAAATAGGTCCTAATAAACACTATACTTTGTTATCTGTCCACATGTCTTTAATTATTAAGAAGTGTGTTCAAATTTGCCATTTTATGGGAATATTCTAATTGTTAATTTCTTAATTGCTTTTATTAGAAATCATGCTTGATACAATTTCAATCCAGTAAAATTTATTGAGATTGACTCAAAGTCCAGAAATAATAGATTTTTATAAATATTATTTGTGTGCCTGAAAGAAATGTTTTCTGTAATTTTTTGGTACAATGTTCTATATCCATTCAATAGGTCAGATTTTTAATCTGGTTTAAATCTTCTGTGTCATTATTCTTTTTCTGCAAGATGTATCTATGACAGAAGTATATTAAAATCTCCTATTCTGTGCTCACTTCTGCAGCACATATACTAAAATTGGAACAACACAGAGAAGATTAGCATGGCCCTTGCACAAAGATGACATGCAAGTTCGTAAAGCATTTCATAGAATAAAAATCTTCTATTATGCTTTTTTCCTCATGCAATTCTTTGTTTATTTGGTTTTCGGGGACAGCATACCTTGTTCAATTCTGTAAATTTTTCTCATATATTACAAAGCTTTATTTTGTGTTCTTACATATCAAAGTTGTAATAATTGTGTTAATTAAAACATTTTCATTGTGAATTTATACTTCTCTAATAATGTTTAGAGTGTATTTTGTTTTATATTAGTGTATTCTTCTAAGATGTCTACTGATTACTATTTGCCGGCTGTATTTTTTCCATCCTTTTATATGTCACCTTTTTGTATCCTTACATTTTAGACACGTCTCTTGAAAATATTATACACAGGAATGTATGCGTGCGTATTTATAACTGCATATATACAAAAATATGAGTATTTATACAATATAGTACTCTCATGTTAATTTATTTTTATATGATGTCATGTGTATATGTATTTACTACAGCTTGAAAATCTTTGTGTTTTCTGGAGAACTTAATCCATTTAAAATTTTTAAATTTCTAATATTTGGGGGTTAAAATTTTATTTTGTTTTTATATTTGCCTTGCTTCTTTTATTACCTTCTTTTGGGTTTGTCTATTTTTATTATTTCTGTTTTCCTTCTGCTAGGGAGTTATACTGCTTGTATTATTTTAATATTTACCCTCAACATTGAAACATACATAATTTCTAAAATTTTAAACTTACACAATATATTTATGCTCATTACAGGTAGTATAAAGATCTTAAAACACTTAACTTCACTTTTCCCCAACTTATATTCTTATTGAATGTTTTGTTTTTTAATCTGATAAGACACAATTCTCAGGTTTCCAACTGACAAGTACACTTATATGGGCATACCTATGTATCATTTTGTCCTTCCTTTCTTCTTGCCTGAGAACATGTGTGTCATAAAGACTGGAAACCCAGGTCCAAGATGGTAAGACGGGATTTATAGTGGGCATCAGCAGCTTGGCCTGATGGAGCCAGGTTTGAGGGGATATCTAAGAGCTGATGGTCAAGCCATAGCAAGGGTCAAAAGTTAGGTGAGAAGAGAGTGGTCAGGCAAGTCTAGCCACGCAGGGAGCTGGATCTTAGGCAAGGAGCTGGAAACCAGGGATTTGGGCAAGACAGGACCCAGCAAGCTGTCCTGACTACAGATATGAGGCATCACAACCAGAACACCTGTATGTTGAGGCACCTCCCAGCACCATCAGGGAGCATCTTATGTTTCTTTTGCTGAGAGGGGCACAAGCCCACAGGTGTGGTCAGTAAGTCTGTCAGGGAGCTGGAGGCTGAAAGGAAATGGAGTCAAATAAGAACAGACCATATTGCAACCATTGACACTGTTCTGTTCAAAGTATTGATCTCCAGAGCATAGCTCAGTGCCCAACACTTAATAGGCACTCAATCAATGTATATTTGTTAACTTATTTACTGACCCATATTGAAAAATGGGAATATGCCAGGCTTCAGAATGATAAAAAACTTGAATTGGATATATTTTCTAATCTCCAAGTACTTATATCTAGGGGCTGAAGTCAATGTAACTAAAACATAAGGCATGGTATAGGTACTAACAAGAAGTTAAAATGGAGCCATTAGTGCTACCTGAGATTAACAGGATGGCTTCATGGAGAAGGTGGCAGGCTTGTTGGGAAGGTCAACTAGGGGGCATCTTCAGGACACAGATGGCCAAAGGGAACACTGCTATTATTCTGGACCTGTGCTTCCTGAGTTATTAGCACTGAGGTCAGGGCAAGGCCTTGCTCCATGGTGGACAGTATTTCTGGTGAAAACCTGGCCAACAGGGGAGACTCCTTCTACCCTGTCCCACCTCCCCACCACCAGCCAACTGGGAGTGCTGTTGTTTCTGCTTCTTGAAAGTTTCCTGCCCAAGATGTTGAATAGCAGCCATCTGGTGATGTGTGTCTCACTCCACCTCACAGTCCAGATGTATGAATCCTACAGCATTCTAAGTTTCTAAGGATGAGATCCAGGTCAGCTTCATTCCCATGTTCATTTTCTGTATAGTTCTGCCAACCCCAACCAGATAGTAGCAAAAGTCTTGGATTTAAAGAGTAATCAGTTAATGGGACCAAGTACAGTGGCTCATGCCTATAATCCCAACATTTTGGGAGGCCAAGGTGGGAGGACTGCTTGAGGTCAGGGGTTCAAGACCAGCCTGGGCAACATAGTGAGACCCCCATCTCTACAAAACATTTAAAAATTAGCTGGCTGTGCTGGTAAATGCCTGTGGTCTCAGCTATTCTGGAGGCTGAGGCAAGAGGATCACTTGAGCCCAGGAGTTCAAAGTGGCAGTGAGCTATGATCACATCACTGCACTCAAGCCTAGGTGACAGGAGGAGACCCTGTCTCTTAAAAAAAAAAAAAAAAAAAAAAAAGGGGGGGGTAATCACTTAATAAGTATTGGATAAATGCTAGAATGAATGTCTAAGTTTAAAAATGGGGGAAATAAATGAAGCATAGGAAGAAGCACAAGTCGGTCTGTCAGGCAGGTTACCAAAACGGAGACAAGTGAGAAAAGAAAAGAGCATTCAAATGTTTGGGTATCATTTGGCCATATAAAAGCATATCAAAATTCTGAGTGGTTGGAGGACAAGACAGGGGCAAGGTAAAGAGACTAGGAAAGGGACCAAGGCATATTCTTGAGGATCCTCAAAGCCCTTTAGGATCCTAAACCCCACCACTGGGATTCAGCTCTAGGTTGAAGGATGACCATGGCCTACATCACTTTCTATTACCAGCCCAGACTCCCCCAGCCAGGGGAGTTTTTATTGCAGCAATGCAAGCAAGAAAGGGGCATGTTGTCTGGCTTCCACATTCCATACACACGAACCCGCCCAGACTGCTGATACTCAACTTTCCCACAATCCCCTGTAAGCACCAGAGAAGTCACCAGAAAGGGAAGCAAAACATACAGCCTACCTAGGATTCCCTTAACTATGATGACCTGTCTGTCCACAGCATCCCAGGACCACAGACTGAGGACCTGCTCTGACCTCCAAGGCTACTTAGACAAGGCAGCATATGCAGGCAGAGTCAAGATTATTAGTGGGGTCTCCTATGCTGTCAAGAGGGAGATAACCATTACCTGAGCCACTTCACAAGCCCACCAGCTCCTCCACAGAGCCCTCCCTGTGATAATTCTTTTCTTGTCACTTGTCATTCTGAATCTGTTTAGCACCTATGTTATCCTGCCTTACAGGTACACATAGAGTTTATGTGTTGCCATGCACAAAGATTAGAAGAGTCTCGACAGTAAAACCATATCACGTTTGTATCATCACAGGGTCTAGTATAGTGTCATTCATCAAGGGTCCAACAGTGAGTCAGTCAACAAAGACGTACAGTTCATTGTTTTTTTAAATACCAGGCTACACTCAGAGAAGATGTTCCATGGGAAGCAGGTTGATGTTGAGATTTGATTTGTGTGGTGGTTTCCCAGGGGCTGCTACGCAGTGAGTGGCTTAGAACAACAGAAATTGATTGTCTCACAGTTCTGGAGGTTGGAAGTCAGAAGTCAAGGTGTTAACATGGTTGGTTCCTTCTGAGGGCTGTGAGACAGAATCTGTTTCAGGCGTCTTTCCCAGCTTCTGGTAGCCTCACACGTTCTTTGGCTCATAGATGATGTTCTCCCTGTGTCTTCACGTCATCTTTCTTCTACGCACAGCTGTCTTTATCTCTAAATTTCCCTTTTTCGTGAGGACACCAGTCATATTGTGTTAGGGCCCACCCTAATGACTTCATCTAAATGTGAGCATTTGCAAAGACTCAATTTCCAAATAAGGTCATAGTGACAGGTCCTGGGGGTTAGGACTTGAGCATTTTTTGGTGCATATAATTCAACCCATAATAATTGTATTTGTGTATTTACAGATTCAGAGAAAGGGCATTTCAGGCTGTAGATAGGAAATAAGCTAAGGCATGCAGATAAGAAGGGTGGGATTTGTGTGTTTGAAAGAGTACATGGTCTCCTTCGGTTCTGTGATTGGAATAATATAATGAATGTAAGTACATCTGAATTGTATGCCCATGTACATGAAATTTGTTTGCATATAAAGTTCCCAGTATAGACTCTGACTCACTTTTTAAGTCTCTGGTTCTAGATTTGCCTCATGTGTGTTTCAAGAGGTTACAGTTGGCTTAAAATACTGCCTTGGTATGTTTAGCACCCTTTCTAGTTTCACATAGGTGAGACACCACCTGATGTAATAGGGTGCCCTTTGTGACAGGTTGGTAGGAACTTTGATCAGGAAGAGAAATCAGCATAGATGGACTCTCAGAAAAGGAGACTGACACCTCAACCGTCAACTCCCCCTAAAACATTATGTAAACCAGGCTTATTTCCCATTCTGCAAGCATCGTGCTCTGTCCTGGATTGACAGCTCCCAGGAGAGTGGCATGTGCAGCCTGCTCAAAGCTAAGAGTAGAGTTTGTCAATCTCATCTTCATTCAAGCACCACCTAATCCTTCAGCATGCTGTAGCTGTGACCCAAGTACCACTTCTGAGAAGTGCCACAGGGCCACATGTAAACAGATGCTTCACAGTGTTTTTTTGGTGTTGACAATGGTGATGGTAGAGGTGATTCTGGCAGAGCTCTGACAGTGGTGGTTATAGTTCTAGTGACAGTAATGATGGCAAATGTAATGTGTTAAGCCATTACTTCAGTGAGTGTCACATGCCTGAAGCTTGGCGAGAAGTGGAATGAGGCTGCAGAACTTTTTATATCCTTCCCAATGCCTAGCCCTAGGCTTTTCCTACAGTGGATGCTAAGTCAATACTTGTTAATTAGATACATTATTATTCAATGTGATTCTTATTGAGTTCACAGTTCCATGCTCAGGAATTGAATCCTCACTCTGCAATTTATTAACTCTTTGATCCTACAGAATTTACAGCAACAAGTGTTGATACTTGATCTGGATATAGTGAGCCTTCAGTTAATGGACTCTTAGTATTATTATCCTCATTTGGGATTTACTAAAAAGCAACTTAGAGCTCTAACAGGCTAGTCATAGAGGCTGGGAACCTCTTTGCCCACTTTAAACACCAGTATAGCAGTGGGTGAACTGAAGGGGCACTACCATATCTCTACAATTGATACCCATCTGCCTCTGCCCCTACACAATGCTAGCTGTGGGTTTGCAGTGAAGTTTATAAATGACCAACATGCCAATAAAGTGACCCTCAATAAAGGACTGAAATTGTTGTTATTGATTCATTAAATCAAACCTCATTAGCTGTGACTAATATCTCTATGCCCTCTGTCTTAGGGAAGGAGGGGCTAAGGAGTTGACTTAGGCATCAACTTCCTTTCCCCATTGCAGCATTTCTCAGAGAAGTCAAACAAGAAGGCACAGGGAAGGGCCAGCGCCTCGTCAACAAACAGGTTCTGCATCAGCTTGGACTGGATTGCCTTTTGGATAGTGTATTAGTCCGTTTTCACACTGCTGATAAAGACATACCCAAGACTGGGTAATTTATAAAGAAAAAGTTTTAATGGACTCACAGTTCTGCGTGGCTGGGGAGGCCTCACAATCATGGTGAAAGGCAAAAGGCACGACTTAAATGGTGGCAGACAAGAGAGAATGAGAACAAAGTGAAAGGGGGAACCTCCTTTTAAAATAATCAGATCTCATGAGACTTATTCACTACCATGAGAACAGTATGGTGGAAACTGCCCCCATGATTCAATTATCTCCCACCGGGTCCCTCCCACAACACATGGGAATTATGGGAACTACAATTCAAGATGAGATTTGGGTGGGGACACAGCTAAACCATATCAGATTTTTTTTATCAACTTCTTTCTTTTCTACTGATTGCCTACCCCTTTATATCCTCTCCCCATTCCCTCAGCGAGGTATTAAATTAACTCAGCTAGTTTCCACCCAAATAAGAACGGGAGCCATATTCAGGAAAAGGCCAATATCCATTTACAGTGACTTATATATGAAGATATTGCATATCTTTCAAGAAAGTTGTAAGTAGCAAGCTTAGAGAGGAGATATGTCCCTCTCTCTTCCTCCCTCCCTCTCTGAGGCCTTCAGATTTTAAACACACACACACACACACACACACACACACACACACACACACTTATAAGCAGCTCTTGAGGGTGAAGTGATGCCTTAGAAGAGGAGGCAGGTGCATAGGCAGAGAGTTTATGTCCCACGCAGCGTGATCAGCCCTGATGGAGGTACAAACAATTTGCTGTGAAAACCTGAATGAGTCCAGCTGGGAGGATTGGAGAAGTCAGCTGCAGCCCATTTCAATCAGGGCTTTGTTTTTCCCAGCTTTGTTAGTAGCTGATTGTCTCAATTTTGGTTAGATCTGAATCAGCTGTTAGCATTGTGGACCGATCCAGAACAGCTATGCTCCCATGTTTCTTAACAATAGCTCACATTTATTTAGTGCAGCTTTTCCACAACCTCCACCATATATTATTTTATCCTCCTATGATCCCTATGAGCTAGCTCTGGCAGAAACCAAGGGTGGCCAATGCTGAGCTCAATGCTGCCACCCAGCAGGGGGAACTCAATGTGTGGGATTGGCTGAACGGGATTGGCTGGCCATGTGGATGAAGGAAAGCACCTATTTAGGTCAGTGGCTTTCTTAAAATGTCAGGGGTCTTTAATACCAGATGAGAAACAGAATCCAGCCTTTCAATGTTTTTGTCCACTTCTCTCACTCCATCTTTATGTGGATGGGGGGAAGGGGGAGAGCATATAAAGGGGTAGGCAAATCAGCAGAAAAGAAAGAAGTTGATAAAAGAATCTGATATGGTTTGGCTGTGTCCCTACCCAAATCTCATCTTGAATTGTAGTTCCCATAATTCGCACGTGTTGTGGGAGGGACCCTGTGGGAGATAATTGAGTCATGGGGGCAGTTTCCCCCATACTCCATCCACATAGTCAGGAATCAGCCATTCACAAGGTGGGATTGGTGTTCTTCCCCAAAATTCCCAACCTTACTGGAGTTGACTTATTTTTCATAGGACCTCATGGTTATTTTCAGTCTCCATATTAATCTGCAGATTTCAGTAGAACAATGAAGAAAACATATTTTGATTGTCAGTATCATCACCTCCATTATCAAAATTCATGTGGAAAGGCTATGAGCTATATAAGACATTTGCATTGATTAAAGTCACCTTTTTGCACTTCTGTTCCATTGCCAGACAGACTTCTTATTACTTGTGGCCCCAAGGTTGCAAGCAGAAATTATTTATGTATTTGTATATTACTTAAATGTATACTTAATTTTTTATACAGAAGATGATATAGTCACAACCTTAAAGACATAGAAGAAAATCACTTAAAAACTCTTACAGCATTAATACCAGGTTCATTTATTCATGTCACCTTCCCAGATCTGTCATACTGCATAGTGACAATTACAATGATAGTTTTGGACTATTTTTGTAAATCTTATTTCATCAGTTACTAGTCTATCAAAAATATTTTCCATATTGTTCCATAGACATTACAGTTATAATTATCATTTTAATAATATATTATTCCATCAGAGTGATCAATCATCATTTATTGACTCTTGAGTCCCTCATGGTTAGTCATTATTTCCAGTTATTTGTTATCATAGATAACACAGCAGTGAAGATATTTTAATCACAGACCACAGTGGTTTTATTTTGATGCCTATGACTCATGCTGATGCCCAGGGGTTTCATTTGTAGAATTCAGCAATGTTCATTATATAGTTACTACGTGCTGAATGTTATGTTATGAATACTAGAATATTATACAATTCTTTCCTTCAAGAAATGTTGAGCTTTGTTGGGAATGAGATAAAGGCACATGAGGCCACAGGAAGCTGTATGAGAAAGCACACTACGACATCCTCATACTGGACAGACACCAGGGGCTCTGAGCTCTTTGAAAAATGTGCGCGTCAAAAGGGATGGTTGGAAGGCAGACAGAGGACAAAGCACAGCATCCACTTTGTCACTGCTCAAGACGCCCCTGGGGGGCTGGTGCCTGCCCTCACCATCTCTCAGAGCAAGACTACACTTCACCTACATTCTGACGCATTGCCAAGGCCAAAGATATTAGTGATGGGGAACAGGGGAACCCCAAACCATCAGGAGAAGGAACAGGATGAGGGGGTCAAGAGACAGAGACAACTCACAGAATTAGGTCTCAGGCTCAGGGATGGCATCGTGTTTCTGAGGTTGGCAGGAGTGGGGGCGGGGTTCACCAGGTGCCTCTGGTGCTGAAACCTGCACTACACAGGACAGAAAACTCCCTCAGGGCCAGGGCCAGGGCCAGGGCCAGGGCCAAGATACCTCAGGGGGACCAGACATCTGTGTTTGCCTCACTCTTCATGGAAGTAGAAAACCTGTCAGGAAGCACATTAATTCCCCATAGAACACTATGATGGTATTTCATTCAGATACCCATTTGACAAACATTTATTAGATAGCTACAGGGCTTCTGTGTTCCGGGAACCAAGCTAAACTTTGGAGCCATACATCTGAATAATATGTGGCTAATTTCAAGGATCTTATAATCTACTGAAGGAGACAGGCTTACCAACAACTACCTACCTTATCTGTAAGAGCAGAATAAAATGAGCTCTACAACTAGAGAAAGGAGTGGTGCATTTTGAGTGGAGCATCCAAGGAAGGATGGAGTAGATGTGGCATTTGAATAGGGCTTGGAAGGAGAGGATTCCCATAATCCCAGAATGGGACAGGCAGTAGGGAGGGCATCCAGCTTAGGCAATCCCAGGGGCACAAATGGGCAGTGAGCCTGAGTAACCATGAGTGGGCAGTTTGGGGGGAACAGAGTCTGCACCTGGAAATGTGCTGGATGCTGAGACTAGAAAAGTGGATGGGGCCAGATCCACTGATGCCAAAAAATGTGATCTGAGTTCTCCATCCATGGAGAGCTCCCAAAGGAGCCTATGAAGTTCCTTCACTCTTTGGAAGCCCTGGACTTAGCTTGGACTTATCCCCAGCTCCTTGTTACCCACCAATGTGCCATCAGACTATGATTCTCACCAGGGCCCTGGCATGTCCTGGAGCAATTGCAACCTTTGGCTCTGGCACCCAGCTAGCCACCCTTTGCCCTTACACATGAGGCTGGAGCACCTGTTCAAGCTTTGCTGTGCACCCACCTCCTGGCTCCCAGCCTTGCTTTGCCAGCCCAATATTGGAGCAGAGAGCTCCGGATGACTGAATCCACAAGCCTCTAGGAGAGAGTAGAATAAACCCTACATACACTAGGTCACCAAGGAACCAAGCCACCACAGTGGCTCTGAAACAGCATAGTTCCAGGAGTACGAAGTCAGGATGCTGCTTAAAGAGCCTCATTGGCCCTTTGCATTGCCTTCTCCAATCCATGTGGAATTGGGCATCATGCCCAGGACAAAAAGAACATGGTAGTGAAAAGGCCAGAGGCTTTTGGACAATGAGAAGCAAAGAACAGGAAAAAAAAATGTTTTCTAGTTCTAAATTCTAAGCCTCAGGGGGGCATCATTTACATGGTATCTCTGGGAGATTTGTTCACTCAGCTAAATTAATTGAGTAATTAGTATTTGCACAGCATTTTATTGAATGTTATTTTAGATGCAGAGGTGAAGCTGATAGACCTTTCTCTCAGGAACATAGAGTGTTCAATACAAAATGAGACATAGCCTTAAGAGAATGCATGGGAAGGGCCATAACCTGTGAGGAGGAATTGATTTCTTCCAGCTTGGAGAGAGAAAGAGGCGAGGCAGAAGAAAGCTTCAGAAAGAAGGTGATATTTGAACTGGGGGAAAGCAGGGCATTGAAACACAAGTGGAATTTGGGCAGAGGCAGAAGGGGGTGGGGTGAAGAGAGCCATCCAGGCAGTGGGGACAGAGAGGTTTACAAGCCCAGCAGCTGCTTGAGCTCAGACATGCCACCTTTCATTTCAGTATCCTCCATGCCTTGCCCAGAAGTTCAATATCTAGTGAGTCAATGAATGAGGGAGTGATAAAGAAAAAGTAGTTTGATTTAGTTGAAACATAGGGAACATGAAAAGAGTAACGAGAAATAATGTTGCAAAGGCCACACCTTGAATGGATGTGGATTTTATTCTGCAGGGAAGAGAAGAGCCATTGAGAGGTGTTTAGCAGGGTTAGGACATGATGAAAGCGGTGCTTCAGGCAGATTAACCTGATACGTAAGACTGATTTGAGGGAGGCAGAGAGACCATTGGGAAGGTTACTGCTGCAGTCCAAGCAAGAGGTAATAAGCACCTGAATTAGGGCAGCAGCAATGAGAACAGAAGAGGGGACAGGTGAGGGAGAGAACAGGGAGGCAACATTGACAGCAGATGGGCTGTTGTGGGGGAGGGCGAAGCAGGGAGATTTTGAGCCTGGGTGGCAGGGAGGATGGTGATACCATTAACAAAAATAGGCAGCACAGGAGGTGGCGCTGGCTGGAGAGGGAAGATGACGAGCTCTGTTTGGCACATACTGAGATGTGGAGATACGTTCTTTTCTACCTGAACATGAATCAACTCTTTATCAGGAAAATACATTAGAGAGGTGGAGGGACTCTGCAGGCCAAGCAGCAGTGTTGTTCCATTTTTATGGACTAGGTCAAGACCCAAGCCATTTCCCGAATGCTGATTTTACAGACAACTCTATGCTTTACACAGAGAATGTTTTTGGAAAAAAAAAAAAAGTGTTGTTTTAATAATGACTTGAGATAAAAACCTGCCGGTGTTCTTCCTTTTCCTCATCATTAATGAATTAGGAGATACTCAAAACCTAATAAGAAAAAAAAAAAAGCACATAAAAGACTCATAAGCATTCTTCAGATCTTCTTTGCCAGTTGGTCACTTTCATTTTATAAAGCTAGAATTTCCAGTTTTTAAACATTACATAACAGCAGTATTTGACTATAGCTTTAACAGTATTTCAACAATAACAAAAAAAGTGTTAAATAAGCACTCTCTATGGAGTGGTACCATATGAGGCACGAGAAAAACTGAGATGAAAAGAGGAAAAAAAAAAGGTTTCCACCCTCCAGGAGGCCACAGTCTTGTAGAGGGGATAAACAAAACAATAAGTACATACAGCATGTGATATGTACCATAATAGAGATATAAGCAGGTGAGCAATGGTATTTGAGAATTATTTATTCTGTCTTCCGAGAAGTGATCTGGAAGACTTTGCAAAAGAGGGGACATTTGACAATGGATATGGAGGATTACGTTGGAACAATAATGGGAATATAACTTCTAAGCAAATATAGAAGGTAAAAAGCAAATGAAGATGATTTGGGATTTGAGGGGAAGGAAGGAGAGTAACAAGAGAGAATTAGGGGCCAGATCATGAAGGGCCATTCTGTATGTCACCTACTGAGAGAAACAGCTTTTAATTTTGATGAAGTGTTCAGGTTTGCACCTAGATGAGCCACCATGGCAGCTTTATGGAGAATGTCTTTGAGGGGTGTGAGATGAGGCCAGGACAGTGGCCAGGGGCCTTGCCACAGTCGAGGTGACAGATGGCAAAGGTGAGAGGAGATGAAGAGGCAAGAATAACAAAAAATGGTTTTAGGAAATACAAATCAATGGACTTGTTGATTAATTAGAGAGAAGGGTCTAGGATACATCTCAGATTTCTGGATGATGTTCCCACCTGTAGAGAAAGAAAATACTGGAGCGGAAATAGTTTGAGACAAGGGTTTTATGTTCAGATTTGGAAATGTTGAATTAAAGATATTTGGAGTCATCCAAGTGTAGCTGTCCAATAGGTACCTGTGTGTGTGTATGTCTGACACAGGGGGCGAGTGAAGACAGGAAGCACAGGACTGTGATCCTTGAGCGTAGGGAAATACACACAGGGCAACATGTGGTATCTTACAGTTTGGCGTCAGAAGTCACATGGAGTCTATTCAGTTTGCTGCCACACAAGTCTGCTCAGGTTCAAGTAGTTTTTTACTTGATAGAAAAGAGGAACATTTAAAAAAAAAAAAAAAAAAGCAGCATGTAGAACTGAAGATATCCTTGTGGCCAGATTTAGAAAGTACAATCTGCCCCACCTACCTTATGATCTAACAATCCCACTTCAAGGTATTTATCCAAGACAAGTGAAAGTATATGTCCACAAAAAGACATACACAAATGTGTATATCATGATTCACAGCATCCACATTCAACCCAAATATTCACCAACAGGAAAATGGATAAACAATCAAGGTATATTCATACAAGAGAATGCAACTCAGCAAGAAAAAGAAATGGATTACTGATACTCAATAACATGGATGATTCTTACATGATTCTAAGCTAAAGAATAAAAGAGTCTATATTCCATTTAAATGAAGTGCTAGAGGAAGCAAAACTAATCTTTGGTGAAAAAAATATCAGAAAAAAGTTTCCTCTGGAGGGTGGCAGTGTTGACTGGGAAAAAGCATGAGAGAATTTTCTGGAGTGATGGATATATATATTTTGATAGGGGTATGTGTTACATAGACATATGCATTTGTCAGCCTTGATGAATTATATACTTAAGATCTGTGCATTTATACTATTTTTCCAGAAAAAAAAAGTTATAACCAAAGTTGAACTCTGGCTAATTTTAGGTTTGGTTTTAGCAGTGATATGGATTAAGAATTCTGAAACTTTTCTGTTATCCTAGGTTTGAGAAAATGAGTAAATACATTGACAATAATGAGAGCCAAGTTTCTAACTGCTAGAGAGAGTTGTCATACAAAAAGGGGAGAAAAAAGTGTGCCCTCTAGAACACATGATTTTACTACGTATATATTAATCATCTTTCTATTATATATGTACATAATCTATCTCTGTCTCCAAGAAAGCCTAGAAACAATAATATACCAGTAGCACTAAGTGTGCACAGAACCCAGATTATAATTTCTAAATACCTTTCTCCATTAAAAGGGACCCAGATTCCTTGGAAAAAAGGCTGATTCCAGGCAAAGAAAGGATAAGATGAACCTGAAACATCTTGTTTCACAAGAAAGAAAGAAAATTCTCAAAAAATGATGGGGACACATCAAAAGGACACAAAGTCAGCTTGAAAGAGCTCATACTGGCCAAATCAGGGTAATTTGAACATCAAAAGAAACAGTAACTAATTTATTATAACTCATTGAATAACATAAGAATCTATTTTAAAAAAAACTCTCGAAAAACTAGCAGTAGAAGGAAATTGCCTCAATATAGTAAAGGCTACATACGAAAAACCCACAGAAAACATCATATTTTATAGTTAAAAAAAAATTTCCATCTAAGGAATTTCTAAGGAATAAGGCAAGGATGCCCACTCTTGCATTTGTATTCAGTGTAACACTGAAAGTCCTAGCCAGAAAAATTAGACAAGAAAAATAAATAAAAGGCATCCAAGGCATTCAGAACAATTTTACTTCTTCCTGTTTACAGGTAACATGATTTTACATATAGAAAATGCTAAAGATTCCATTAAAAAAACTGTTAGAATAAATGAATTCAGTACAGTTTCAGGACACAAAAATCCACATACATAAGTTGATTACATTTGTATACACTAACAATGAACTATGAAAAGGAAATCAAGAAAGCAATCCCCTTTATAATAGTACCAAGAAGAATAAAAATATGAAAAAGCTAAGGAGGTAAAGATTTGTACTGACAACAAAATACTAATGAAAGAAATTAAACAAGATACAAAGACATTCCATTTTTATGGATTGGAAAACTTAATATTGTTAAAATGTTCATACCACCCAAAGCAATCTACAAATTTAATGTAATCTCCATCAAAATCCCAATGACATCTTTTACAGAAATAGAAAAAAAAATTCTAAAATTCATATGGGACCACAAGAGACTATGAATAGCCAAAACAATCTTAAGAACAACAAAGCTGGAGATATCATACTTTCTGATTTCAAAATATATCACAAAGCTACAGTAATTAAAATGGTATGATATTGGCATAAAGACAGACATATAGACCAACGGGACAGAACAGAGCTCAGAAATAAATCCATGCATATTTGGTCAACTGATCTTTGACAAGCGTGCCAAAAACATACAATGGAAAAAAAGACAGTCTCTTAAACAAGTGGTTTGGGGGAAACTGGGTATCTACATGCAAAAGAAAAAATGAAACTAGATCATTATATCATACATGAAAATTAACTCAAAATGGATTAAAGACTTAAATATAAACTGCACCGAAACTGTAAAACTCTCAGAAAAAAATATAACACAGGGAAAAGCTTCATAACATTTGTCTTGGTGATGATTTCATGGATATAATACCAAAAACACAGGCAACTGAGGCAAAAATAAACAAATGAGACTACATCAAACAAAAAAGCTCTGCATAGTGAAGAAAATAATCAAGAATTAAGACAACCTGCAAGATGGAATAAAATATGTGTAAGACATATCTGATAAGAGGCTAATCTCCAAAATATATCAGAAACTCAATAGTAAAAAAAGTGAAACAAACCCAATTAAAAATGGGCTAAGGGTTGAATAGATATTTCTCTAAACAAGACACTCAACTGGCCAATAGATATATGAAGAAAATGTTCAATGTTGCTAATCATGAGTGAAATGCAAATCAAAACCACAATGAGATATCACCTTACATTTGTCAGGATGACTATCAAAAAAAAAGAAATAAGTAAATAAAAGACAAGTATTGGTGAGGATGTGGAGAAATTAGAACCCATACACACTGTTGATGGAAATGCAAAATGGTGTAGATACTATAGAAAACAATATGGTGGTTCCTCAAAAAATTAAAAATAGAACTACCATATGATCTGGTAATCCCATTTCTGGGTATTTATCTAAAAGAATTGAAATCAGGATCTCAAAGAGATGTTAGTACTCATGTGTTCACTGCAGAGCTATCTACAATAGCCAAGCTGTGGGAACAACCTAAAATGTCCACTCACGAATGATCAGATAAAGAAAATGTGGTATATACATGAATGAAATACTACCAGCCTAGGCTAGGCATGGTGGCTCATGCCTGTAATCCCAGCACTTTGGGAGGCTGAGGTGGGAGGATCACCTGAGGTCAAGAGTTCAAGACCAGTCTGGCCAACGTGGTGAAACCCTGTCTCACTAAAAATACAAAAATTAGCCAGGCATGGTGGCAGGTGCCTGTAATAATAGCTACTTGGGAGGCTGAGGCAGAAGAATCACTTGAACCCAGGAGGCAGAGGCTGCAGTGAGCCGAGATCACGCCATTGCACTCCAAAAAAAAAAAAAAAAAAAAAAAAGGTGGGGGGTCGGAATAATACCAGACCTTAAAAAGGGAAGGCTATTCTGCAATATGTGACAATATGAATGAACTTTGTGGGCATTATGCTAAGCGAAACCAGTCACAGGAAGACAAATATTGCATAATTCCACTTATATGAGATATCTAAAACAGCCAAACTCATAAAATCACAGAGTGGAATAGTGGTTGCAGGGAGAGGGATATGGGAAGTTACTACTCAATGGAAATAAAGTTTCAGTTAAGCAAGATAAATAAATTTTAGAGGTTTGCTTAACACATTATATCTATAGTTAACAATAATGCATTGCACACTTAAAAATTTAAGAGGGTAGATCTCATGTTGAGTGTTATCACAATAAAATTTTAAAAATTATAAGTTCTTACAGATATAAATAAATAGATTAAATGTATTTAAAGAGCCCAACAAGTAAATAGGGAAGCAATGAAGGACTTGGAAAGTCATCAACGGGTGTTAAAACTAGTAAGAGAAAGTCTCTTGAAAGACAGGATATCTCTTATCCTGAAACTGTTTTTTCATACATTACTTATTAATTGCAAAGGAAGAAAATGTGACTTAACAGAAGTGAAAACTGGCAGATGCTACCTTACTCAAATAAGCAAAGTTAACATCACCAATATTGGGACAAACTGACATTATGAGCCTGCCAAATGATATTTCTGCCAAGAATTCCCAGCCTGAATGTACTCCTGAGGAAATATCAAACTCTGCAGAGCCAGCAGCCCCTCCCAGGCCACTGTGAAGGGGAAACAGCTGGGAGTCAGCTTGGTCTGCCTGACCACTGTGCTGCTCCAAACCCTTCATTGGCTCCCACTTGCCCTGGGAAAAAGACATGAGCTTCCTTATCAGCATTAATTACAGTTACATGTCATTGAGCCTCTCTGTGTGCCTGGTAGTATGAGAAAAATTCAAGGACATTGTGGCATTTCACAGTATTATATTTGCCCACTTTACAAACAGGGAAGTGGAATGCTTTTGCCAACAACTCCCCAGCAGAAAGATCTGTGGGCTTCGGTGTGTGGTCCTCTTTCCTGTCCTCGATGGCATCTGGCCTTTGTTGAAGAACCAGTAAGGATTTAGGACTAGAATGCTGGCATTGGCATCTTTCTAGATGGGTAAACTGGACAAAGTCCTCAGGCTTCATTTTGCTTATCTGTCAAGTAGCAATGACAACAACACTTTCCCTATTTGAGTGGCAGGACTATTAAGGAGCATAATAATTGCAAAGCAAAAAGTGGGCTGGGAGGATAACAAGCATTCCTAGCTTGGTCCCTGGCACATGGCAGGCATCAGTAAAGGCTGGAACAGCAAAGCAGTGTTTATATTATTAAAAATATGAAAAGGACCAAATGTCCAATTTTAGAGGATTGGTTAAATAAACAGAGTACATTTTCACAATGACAAAAAACAAAAGACAAGCACCTCTGACTTTGGATTTCAATATTAACAGCATTTACTAGGCCCCACTGTTTGTTCTGAGGTCTGAACCCAGGATTCTCCCCTTAAGGAGGGCATGTGCACACAGATGACTAGAGGCCTCTCCTCTCACCTCTTTCCAGTTTGTACTTCTCCCTGTAACAAATGCACATTCCAGGTTTCCTCTACCTAGAATGCCACCCCTTGTCCCTAGCTAATTCCCACTTGTTTTCTGCCTTACCTCACTTCTTCCAGGAAGACTTTCCCAATTTCCCTTTCTTTGCCTCTAGCCAATCTGGACTCTCAACAACCCTACCCAAGGGAATGTCATTGCTCCATTTAAAAGAAAAAAGGAAATAGCAGACAAACCCAAGTACTGCGACTTTCTACAAAATAACTAGCCAGTACTCTGAAACAATGTCAGGGTTGAGAAAGTCAAAAAGCAGTGGAACTGTTTCAAATTAAAGACACTAAAGAGGCATGACAACTAAATGCAAAATATAATCCTGGGTAAACCTTGAACTAGAAAAATATTATAAAAAATATTGAGAAAATGGATAATATTTGAATATGTGAATTAACTACAACTATTACATCAATGTCAAATTTCCTGATTTTGATTATTATACTGGGGTTATGTAAGAGAATATTCTTGTTCTTTCTTTGGAAATACACGGTGAAGGGTCAAGTTGTAAAGTGGGATGATGCCTCAACTTACTCACCAATGGTTTAGAGAACACAACCATACACATACAGGGAAAGAGAGATGAGGAGGGAGAAGTGGAAAGAGAAGGGGAAGAAAATGATAAAACGGTTTTGGTGCAGGGCATATGGCAACTTTTCTTTGGAGTTTGCATGTAAACTTTTCTGTAAAGTTTATATACAAATAAGTCTAAACCAAGACTGGGAAGAAAAAGGAAATAAGTTCTAGAAAGGTGTAAGAGTGGATGGAACAGAGTATGAAAAATAATTGAATGATTGGAGTACTCCTAGGTTTCTAATAGGAAAACCAGGTGAATGTGAGTTTCTAATGGAAGAGGATCCACCAGATGAGGAAGGTGGAAGGGAGTGAGATAATGAGGTCACTGGAAACAGTATTGAATTTGATTGCTAGCAGAGCATTCGGGTTGAGCTATGCAGCAGGCGGGTGGATGGGTTGGTCTGGGGCTCTTTCATACAGAAACACTATGCCCACTTAACTCCTGAGGGTGGGAAGAAGAGAGAAGCCCCAGTTCGCACACTTGTTTTATTCCAGTCGCTGCCTAAACATGCCTGACTTGGTCATTCCAGGCCGTGGTCCTGAGAGTCGTCTGTGATCCTGGGCCTCTGTATCTAGTAATTACTTTTTGAAATCAGGAAGAGTTTGAAGAAGATAAGGACTTGAGTGACGGGAGAGGAGTGGGTGCTGGTTCTTACAACAGATGCAGGGAGGAGCACGTTTCCCCAGAATGTAGCAGCATGGCCTCTCCCAGCACAGCCATGCCAGGGAGACCTCCCGTCCCAACCTACCCACTCCCCCACTAAACCCCAAAATATTAGATAACCTAAGAGCTCAAAGTCCTTCAGAGCAACCAAGAGATTCTGACCAGCAATAGGAGTTTTTTTCAGATCCCCTGAACTTCAAAAAACTTCACAGAACTCCACTCACCTGAAGAACTCCACTCACCAAAGGCTTTTATCCTCACCATCTATACCCAGCTCACTTATGTTGAGCCCCACTTAGTTGCTGAATTAGCCTCAGCAGTGTCACACCGACATACACTGTCTCCAATTCAACATTTATTGTTTTTTTGTTTGTTTTTTTACTACCTACCAACACACAGGCTATTTTTCAGCTAATTGTTTACTTAGCTCCTGGGTCAGGCCCAGAACTCAGCAACACTGCCTAGCTCCAACCCGTTCTAGTGCTCTTAAAAAGCATTAGGAAATACTTCCAAGGTACAAAAATTATACAAACAATAAGATTGTTGTCTAAAGCCATACCACCCTGAACACGCCTGATCTCGTCTGACCTCGGAAGCTAAGCAGGGTTCAGCCCTGGTTAGTACTTGGATGGGAGACAAAGAATAACATCGTTTCTACATACATTAGTTCTATACTACCACATGACAAAGTTCCAAAAACTTAGCAGTTTAGAACAATACTTGTTTACTAGCTCACAATTCTGTGCGTCAGAAGTTCAGGCCCAGTGTGATTGGGTTCTCTGTTCAGGGAAACACACAAATCCAAGTATCGGCCAGACTTACTCACTGTTCATCTCATCGGTGGCTCAGCGTCCTTTTCCAGGCTTGTTTGGGTTAACAGAATTCAGTTCTTTGCTATTGTAGGACCAAGGTCCCTGTTTCCTTGCTGGCTGTCAACTGGGACTACCCTCAGCTTACAGAGGCCACGCTCAGCTCCTTGCCACATGGACCCCTTCATTCCAGCAAGAAACAAAAACTCTCCTTCACAGAATCCCTCGCATGCTTCAAATCTCTCTCACCAGGAAAAGTCCCACCCCTTTTAAAAGGGCTCAGCTGATTGTGTTAGGCCCATCTAGGATAATCTTATCTTAAGGCCTATCTTTTGGAACCTTAATTACATCTGCAAAATCCCTTCACAGCAGAAGCTCCACCAGTATTGATTGAATAACTGGGAGAAGCTGTGAGTACCCCAGGTGTGAGAATCTTGAGGACTCTTTTAGAAATCTGCCTACTACTCCCTATGTACCCACCATTCAGCTTGTGAAAGGAACTATTCTAATAACCTGTGTCCCTAGGTAGCCTCCCTTTGCCATCATGGGGCATTTATCATCATGCATTCATATGGTTTGGCTCTGTGTCCCCACCCAATCTCATCTCAAATTGTAATCCTCACGTGCTGAGGGAGGGACTTGGTGGGAGGTGATTGGATCATGGGGGTGGTTTCCCTTATGTTGTTCTTATGATAGTGAGGGAGTTCTCACAAGAGCTGATGGTTTTAAGTAGGGCACATCCTCCCTATCTCTCTCTCTCTCTCCTGCCACCTTCTGAAGTAGGTACTTGCTTTTCCTTTGCCTTCCACCATGATTGTAAGTTTCCTGAGGCCTCCCCAGCCATGCAGAACTGTGAGTCAAATAAACTTCTTTCCTTTATAAATCACCCAGCCTCAGGGAGTATCTCTATAGCAGTGTGATAATGGACTAATACACGAAATTGGTACCAGGATAGTGGGGTACCACTATAAAAATAACCTGAAAATGTGGAAGTGACTTTGGAACTGGGTAACAGGCAGAGGTTGGAACTGTTTGGAGGGCTCAGAAGGTAGGAAGATGTGGGAAAGTTTGAAACTTCCTAGAGACTTGTTGAATGGTTTTGACCAAAATGCTGATAGTGATATGGACAGTGAAGTCCTGGCTGAGGTGGTCCCAGATGGAGATGAGGAACTTACAGGGAGCTGGAGTAAAGGTCACTCAAATTATGCTTTAGCAAAGAGACTGGCAGCATTTTGCCCCTGCCCTAGAGATCTGTGGAGCTTTGAACTTGAGAGAGATGATTTAGTGTATCTGTGTAAGAAGTTTCTAAGCAGCAGAGCATTTAAGAGGTGACTTGGCTTATTCTGAAAGTGTGCTGTTAAATGCATTCA
This sequence comes from Homo sapiens, assembly GCF_000001405.40. Lineage (NCBI taxonomy): Eukaryota > Metazoa > Chordata > Mammalia > Primates > Hominidae > Homo > Homo sapiens. The sequence goes on along the minus strand of NC_000012.12, from coordinate 13,439,367 downwards.
CAAAAAGATGGTTTGAATTGGGAACTTATGTTCAAAAGGGAAGCAGAGCACAAAGGTTTGGAAAATGTGCAGTCTGACCATGTGGTAGAAAAGAAAACCCATTTTCTGGGGAGGAATTCAAGCTGGCTGCAGAAGTTTGCATAAGTAATGAGGAGCTTATGTCTTTGTTAATAGCCAAGAAAATGGGGAAAATGTCTCCAAGGCATGTCGGAGACCTTCACCACAGACCCTCCCTCACAGGCCCAAAGGTCTAGGTGGGAAAAATGGTTTCATGGGCCAGGCCCAGGGCCCCACTGCTCTGTGAAGCTTTGGGACTTGGTGCCCTGCATCCCAGCTGCTCCAGCTTCAGCTGTAGCTAAAAGGGGCCAACATACAGCTTGGGCCATCGCTTCAGAGGGTACAAGCCCCAAGACTTGGCAGATTCTACATGGCTTTGGGCCTGTGGGTGTGCAGAAGACAAGAGTTGAGCTTCAGGAACATCTGCCTAGATTTCAGAGGGTGTGTGGAAATGCCTGGATGTCCAGGCAGAAGTCTGCTGCGGGGGCAGGGCGCTAATGAAGAGCCTCTGCTAGGACAGTATGGAAGGGAAATGTGGGGTTGGAGCCCCCACACAGAGTCCCCACTGGGCTACTACCTAGGGGAGCTGTGAGAAGAGGGCCACCATCCTTCAGACCCCAGAAAGGTAGATCCATCAACAGCTTGCACCCTGTGCCTGGAAAAGCCTCAGGCACTCGACATCAGCCCATGAAAGCAGCTGCAGGTGCTGTGCCCTGAACAGTCCAGGGGCGGAGCTGCCCAAAGCCGTGTCAGCCCACCCCTTGCATCAGCATGCCCTGGATGTGAGACATGGAGTCAAAGGAGATTTTGGAGCTTTAAGATTTAATGGGTACCTAGCTGTGTTTCCACTATCTGCCCTCAGAATTATATTCACGAGATTTATCTATGTTCATCTGTGCAGCTTTATTTCATTTATTTTCACTGATGCATAGTATTTCCTTGTATGACTATATAATTATCTATTCACTCTTCTATTAATGAATATATAGTTTTCAACTTCTTGTGATTACAAATGATGCCGATACAAACATTTCTGTATATGTTTCTTATGTGTATACCTAGGAGAAGAGTTGATGGGCCACAGGGTATGAACATCTTCAATTTTACTGGGTATCACCAAGTTGCTCTCCAAAGTAGTTGCACCAATTTACACACCCATGCCAGCTGCTATTTATTAGTAATATAAATGGTCAATGTATGCATTCATTATGCACCAAATAATAACTTCTGTACATACATTATTGTATTTCATTATCACAAAATTATGAGTGAGGGATGATTGTTATCCCTATTTTACAGATGAGAACACTGAGACTTAGAAGAAGTATCTTTCCCAAAGTCACAAAGTTAGTGACAGAGCCGGGATTCGAATCCATCAACTTGAATCCAGAGAAAATGTTCTGCATCACTGTACAACACTGACTCCTTTTTCTCCTTTGAAAACAAGGCAAGATGCAAGAGGAAAAGGAAAGACTGGATGGAAATCAGATGTGTGTCCCTCCCCCTCTTCCCCCCTCCCCCCACAAAGCTTTTCTCATCCAGACATTCTTGGGACTCCATCTACTGGAAGATGAGGTATAAAATCTTATTGCGTAGGAAGAAAAGTTCAAATATGGGACTGTTCGGTGTAAATGGAGCTACTGACCAGAGTCACGCCTACAAAGACACATGATGCACTGTTCTGAAGTCAAGTCAATCTCAGCTTGAATTTATACTCCACTGCTAGCCAGATGATTTTTTCAGAAAGTCCTTTACGTGGTCCAATACTCAGTTTCCTCATCTATTAAACAGGATAATGATAATACCTACTGAACAAGTTGAGAGTCGGTTGAAATAAATGACGACATCTTGCACTGAGCCTGGCATCTGATGGGCACTCAGTAAATGTTGGCAAGTTGAATCCTTGGAAGTGGGAGATTTCAGAACCTTAAACGTTCTATTCAGTCTTTGAGATCGGAAGAACCCAAGCATCAAGGGTGTGTGTAGCCATTCACAGGAGGAATAGTCCCAGCACTGTCAGCAGGTCCCAGGGGGGTTATCACAAGGCTCCAGGCAGCAGTTACGTAATTCGGGGAAAGTGTGAGTCAGTCATATGGCACATGTGGCCATGGAACTCTGGGCAAGGAGGTGAAATACCATGTGCTGTTAGCCCCAATCTGTGATCCACATCACTCTGACACAAAGAGACCAGATCCTCCAACACAGGAGAAAAGCCATGGATGTGGTTGTGCCTTATCAGGGGGGAAGGGATTAAAAAGCAGCAAGAGCCAAAAGATAAAGTAATTGAAATTTACTTTAGCCGAAGTCAGAGATATGCCGACAGCATCCACGAGGCAGGCAGAGTTCAACTTACAAGGTGGATTCTGAAAGACATGACTCAGAAATGCACACATGCAGCTTTGTCCACTTACTCTGCCAACAACCTCTCCTAAAAGTCAGGGTAGGCTGGGGGCTAGATCAGGCTAACTCCCCTGCAGCAGTTCTGTGCTTAGTGCCACCAAGTCCAAGATAACCAAGCCTTGATCCTGGCTCTCGGGGACCTTGGCTCCGGCTCTGTCCGGCTTCCTCTGCAATGGCATTCCACGGCTATGTGCTCCTTGTTCCAGTACCCTGGGTCTATTTATTCCCCAGGACTCCTCTCCCTCCTGGAAGAGTCGAATCTCAGAAATAAATCCCTCTGAACCTGCAAGATAAATGGCCCATTATCTTATCCTACCTAAACTGTGTCCCCTCATTAAGGATCGCCACTAACACTGAGAACTTCAAGTAATCAAGGGAGATGAGGTTGCTGAGATAATCTCTTGGCACATCTCCAAGCATGCAGTGGAGCCCTGACAACTGCCAGGCTGGAGAATAAGCAGGTGTGTCATTTTTATACATTATATTTCCAAAAGGGAAAGGCCCAGAACTGAACAGCATCCTCAGCCTAATGCCACTGTAGGTTTTAGATGAAGTTGGCCTCATCTGGAAAAAGCTGGCTCTGGGAGGAGTCAAAACTAGAAAGGAGGCTCCAAATGCACCATACCCTGTTGAGGGGATGACAGCTAAGAGCATGGAGTGGTGCCCTAGCCAGAAGTCCAACCGTGAGAAAGGACTGGATCAGTTAGATGCCTAAGTCATGGGGATCATGGGAAAGGCACACATCTCATTCTGGCAATCCAATGCTCTTGAAAACCCTGAAAACTGCCAGTGAAGTTTTAAGCTGCATGAGCCATTAAAGATATTGAAAAAGGGAGATGGAGGAGAAGAAGTGAGGAAGGGCAGAGGGAGTGGGGGGAAAAGGGGAAAGGGGAGAAAGAGGAGAGAAGAGGAGGAGGAGGAGGATAAGATCTTGCCTCTTACACACAAGCCCAAGGAGCTGAATCTTATAGGAAGGAAATCTTGCCTATTCATTTGACCTGTTTTGAATGAGAATAGAGAAATAGGGCTTGCTGTTTCCAAGCTGCAAGTACTAGAACTTTTCCTGCTGGGATTGTGCTGGAAGAAAAATCAAACCGCGGCAGGGCCTTTTAGACAGAGGAGGTTGCCTTCAACACCAGCCTGGGGGAAAATAGTTCCAAGTAATAAGCTAACTTGGGGATTAAGCCCCCTGTGGCTGAGGGTGAGTCACTTCCCAGAGCATTGCAGTCTCCCATCTGCAAAATGCAGTAACGGTCCTAGACCTGAGCATGGGGAGGGGAGGGGCAGAGAGAGTCTGGAGAGAGTGGATACAACTTCAGATGCAGCTTGGGTTCTAGAAGTAAGGCACCAATTCTTTTATTTGGGTGAGAAGTATTTGCATCTATATCAGGTGACAGATTTTGCCCCAGCTCCACCTAACTCTAATTTCCTTACAGGGCTGAGCTCCATAAAATGCCTGGCCTGTGTGTGAAGGGTGGCAGAGTTTAGAAATGTGTTCCCTCCCAATAGCCTCCCAGGGCCTGTCATGAATATATGCCTCAGCAAAATAAAAAATTAACATGATATCACCCTTTGGGGTCTCTGGAAAAGGGTCAAAACTACAAAAATATCGACAATGTTTATGGAATTTTTGTCATTATGAACATGATATGTGCACATTTATACATATTAAATGTTCAAAACCTATAAAGAGAGTAATAAAAATGAACCATAAACAACTGTTAATATTCTGGTGTATTTCCTTCCAATCTCTCTATATGTAAATAAGATAATGGGATCACATTATGTGAATCCAATTTTACATCTTACATTTCATACTTTACACTATACTGTGGGCATTTTCCAAAGTCATTAAATATTCTTCAGAAACATGATTTGTAATGGTTTCATAAAATTTCCTCCTATGAGTACAATATAATTTATTTAATCTTCATCCATTTAAGGACATTTATATAGGCTGTTTCCCATTTTTCTTTCTTATAAATAATGATATACTTAAATTTTTGGATGAAATTATGATTATTTCATTAGGATATATTCTTAGAAGTGAAATAACTGGGTGAAAGGCTGAAGAACAGGCTTTCGGTGGCAAATAGCAAAAAGCCAAACTCAAATCAGGATGGCCACCAGCCACCATCATGGCTATAGATGTCCTCAGGCACATCTAGTGGGAGAGTGTACATTTCTCTCTCTGCCTTCCAAACAACAGTCTTAAGATTCACCCTGATTGGAATATAGGTCTGTGCCCATCCACAAAATAAACACTTTGGACCAGAAGTTCAAAAGTTCTAATTGCCTAAGCCAATCAGAGACATCCATGTTAGTTGGGATGTCAACTGCCCCAATGCACATGGTCTCTTGGAGAAGGATGGATATCCAGATAAAAACCTAACCAGTATTAGGAGGGAAAAAGGCAAAAATGAGGGCTGAATAAACACCCACAAATATTAGCTGCAAGAATGAACTTTTTAAAGAACTTGATATGAATGTTCAAATTACTTCCCATAAGGGTTGTACCAATGTAGAATCAGCCGTGTGTTAGAAGGCCTAAGTGTGCCCTCCACAGCATCCATTATTTTATTTTAAAGGAAGTTTAAATTACCCAATTCTGATTTGATGGGTCTAAACAGAGATTGCATCCCAATTTAAATGTATTTTCCTTGATTATTTATGTGCTTGTGGACATTTAGGATTTCAAAATCTTAAAAGTTAAATATTGATTATAAATATTCTAAAGACTGGTAAGCCTCAGGCTGATCTACTCTGTCCCTGACCATTGAGAAACAAATATTGTTAATATTTGGGGCCCTATCTCTACCAGTGATTGGAGTCCATGTTTAGCCTTTAGCCCTTAACTGAATGTTCCCTTAGTGAGTGCCTGAGCACCCCTAATGTCCTCTGTGCTTCTGGAAAGACAACTCTTGCCTAGTCCCAGCTCCAATTCCCAGTTTGCCCTCCAGGGCAAAGTTCCAGGATTGGCACTTTGATATTTTGTTCCAAATGAAAGGGGTGGCTGGCTGAACCTTAGCCCCTGATTTCTAGCTGCAGTCCTGTGTTTTGCATAAGCAGGAAAGGAGGATCCTGCCACTGTAACTTGTTCTTGGGGATTGAACCTCTTTAAGTGCCATCTCAGCATCTCAGGCCAGACAAGAACTTATAGCATGATTTGACTGCTTGCAAAGCCAGTCCTACAGCCAGGTCAGTCTCTCCAGAACTGGCCTTCATGACCCTTGTTGGGCCATCCACCTCCAGCCCACTACTAACATCTCACCCTGCCTCTCTGCCATGGTTGGCCTAATACTCCCAATGACATGGAAGTCTCCTCCTTCACCAAAAACCACTGCTCGGCCTCTTCTGAAACCCTGCACTACTTGGCTTCACCTTCCTGGGGGTTGGCATTAGAAAAGAGGAAAAGATATGTGTTATTCAAAGATAGAAATAGACTTAAGATTACATCTACCTTCCAGATAAAGCTCTAGCAAAAATTCAACAGGAAGGGAGGTCTCATCAAATAGGTTGTGGGGTTAGCAATAACAATATATGCTGAGCTTGGACCTAGGCTTTCAAAAGGGAAAAGGGAGTTCACAGGTATTTTTCTAGAAAAAATCCCCCTGGATGATGCTGGTTCAACATGCTGAAAATCTTGGACTAGCTTCTTCTTTTTTTTTTTTTTTGGAGACAGGGTCTCCCTCTGTCATCCAGGCTGAAGTGTACTGGCATGATTATAGCTCACTGCAACCTAAAACTACTGGGCTCAAGCAATCCTCCTGCCTCAGCCTCCAAGTAGCTAGGACTATAAGGTGTATGCTACAATGCCCAACTAATTTTTTAAAACATATTTTGTAGACACTGCATGTTCTCACTCATAAATGGGAGTTGAACAATGGGAACATACGGGCACAGGGAGGGGAACATCACACACTGGGGCCTGTCGGCGGGTGGGGGGCAAGGGGAGGGATGGCATTAGGAGAAATACCTAATGTAGATGAAGGGTTGATGGGTGCAGCAAACCACCATGGCACGTGTATACCTATGTAACAAACCTGCACATTCTGCACATGTATCCCAAAACTTAAAATATAATTTTAAAAAGAGGAAAAAAAAGAAAATATCAATAAGGTATAATTATATTCTAAATTTAAAAAAAATAAAAATGTTTTGTAGAGATGGGGTCTTGCTATATTGCCTAGACTGGTCTTAAATTCCTGGCCTTAAGTAATCCTCTTGCCTTGGCCTCCCAAAGTGCTGTGCTCACAGACAGGTGTAAGCTGCTGTGCTCACAGATAGGTTTAAGCTACTGTGCCTCATCAAGGACTAGCTTCTTAATTCATGGAATGCTTTAGTTAGCAGGAACTTTAGAGATCCCTTCCATTCATTCCACTTTTCAGCCAAAAGTGCCAGCCCTGGGCTAGTTGCTGGAGATATAAACAGGAATCAGATATGGCCTCTACCCTCAAAACTAGAAAAGCCAGGACAAATAAGTGCATGCAAAAAAAAAAAAAAAAAAAAAAAAAAAAAAAAAAGTGATACTGGTGCTGTTACAGCCATTTATTCAGCTGGGGCACAAAGAAAGAAGGGTTCAGACTGGCTCCACAGAAGAGGTGCCTTTGGACTGAGTTTTAAAAGTGAACAAGAGTTCTCCAGCTGCACAAAATGGAGTGGGGTGTGTTAAGTATGGAGAAAAATTGAGGGAAAGCTAGAAAGTATGAAACATCCTAGTATATGCTGAAGAACTACAGGTAATTCAGCATTTCTAGGTCATGAGGACAGAAGGACAAGAGATGGGTTATAGGAACTGATCAAACAGGCAAAAGAGTTTGATGTTTATACCATGGGCTAGAAAAGAAAGGACATAGATATTTATTTCTGATATCCTTATAGAAATTTAATGAAGCACCATACTGAATGCAAGATCGTTGTCATAGTCCAGGTATAAGATAGAAGAAGGAAGGCGTATGAGAGTTGGTGAAAAGTAGAATGCTTTAAAATTAAAATTAGAACCAGACTTGGTTACCAGTTGGATATAGAGACTGGGGGATAATGAGCAGTAGAGGAAGGCTTTTAAATCCTCATTCACACATTCATGCATGCATTCAATCACTTATCCATTCAATATCTATTTGAGTACCTGCTTATTGCCAGATAGGCTTGAGGAATACAAGCTAGTCATCCCTGTCTTTATAGAACTTACCGATAATTAAACAAATGATAACAATAAGAATGACTGATGTTATGATAAGGGAAGTACAGAGAGATTAAGGGCAATAATTAATCTTGTCTAAAGGACAGATAGAACCAAGCTGAGAGAATGATATTTACACAGATATATGAAGGATGAGCTGAAGTTAGCCAGGTAAAGGCAAGAGTGCAAAACAAAGTGTTCTGCATAGAGAAAAATAATTCACAAAGACCCAGAGGAAAAGAGCATGGCACATCTGGGAATTGAAAGAGGAGAAATATGGCTGTCACATAAAAAAAGAAAAACAAAAAAAAGCAGGAGAAGGGCAAGGCATGAGGCCAAAAACAGGACTACATCCAGAAAACAAATGCTAGGTAAGCTGTGTTGCCCTTTTTATCTGATCCTAAAGGCCCGCTGAGCCCTGTTGCAGAGTTGAGAACATACTACAAGTTCTCTAAACCCTGCAATGTGGCTTATCAGGTGAGTGGCATGATTAGATATACATTTGGTAAAGATTATCCTATCTGCATTGCAGAGAATGGTTTGAAGAGGAGCAAGACTTGAGGCAGGAAGACTCAACAGGAGGTCCATGACATCAAAAGCAAATTAAGGGGAGGCAGCTGGGTAGTGCCTGGGGTGTCCATCTATGAAGGGAAATGAATTCTCACTAAATTTCTAAAATATCAATGGAATTGAACAAGAAGGTGACAATTGTATATTCCGGATGTCTTGCCAAGCAGAAACATTGCATGTGATTGGAAAAAATGCTTGATAAGCCACTGTGGTTGTGTGGGACACCTTCCTGCCTCAACCACCCTGCCAACTCTACCAAGGGGCATGGTAGACCTACAGCAGATGATTTCTAAATTATTTAATGAGGAAGGATGCAAGTGCAAAGCCAGAGCTGAGTTGCTCAGGGCAATATAACAGAGGTCAGCAAGCTTTTTAAATAAAGAGCCAGATAGTAAATAGGTTTTGTAGGCCAGATTCTGTTTGTCACAACTACTCTACTCTGCCATTATTGCATGAAAGCAGCCAAGTACAATGCAGGAACAAATGGGTATGGCCGTGTTCCAAAAAAACTTTATTTATAAAACAGGTGGTCAGCTCACCGGCCTTCATTTGCCAACCTCTGCAATAAAAGATAATTTGATTGCTCCTTCCATGGATGTTGCTTTTCTACAATTTCCCTCTAAATAAATGATGAATATACACTTAAACAATGTTGTGAAGGTGTGTCAAGAAACTAGTAAGCCAGGAGAGCCCACACATCTTGCATCCCTGCCCATTGAATGATAGATGGCTGTCATCTTGATTGAGGCAGTGGGAAACAGAAGTGAACGGAGCTGAGGTCTATGTAGATGTCGGCGTTATTAGGACTCAGTGATTGGTTGGATGTGGCATTAGGTAGAGGATGGAGTTAAGAAAGACTTCTGCATTTCTGGTCTTGCCAGCTGGTAGACTATGGGGGCAAGAGAGGAGAGGGAGCTGTTTTGGGGAGTGGGAATGAATAGAGCACTTTAGATGTTTTCTATTTAAAGTATCCGCATGACATACAGATGGAGTGATCTCTCTAGTAAGAAGTGGGATTTCTGAGCCTGGAGCTCAAGACACACTTCCTGGCTGGAAATATAGGTTTGAAAGTCATCAGTAAGGATATGAGTGAAAGAGTCCAGAAAGAAAGAACAGCAGAGGGCTAAGAACAAGCTCTGAGAGATGCCAGCATTTAAGGGACAGGTAGACTAACACAGAAACAGAAAACCAAACACTGTGTGTTCTCACTTATCAGTGGGAGCTAAACAATGGGTACACATGGACATAAAGATAAAAAGAATGTACAGTGTGGACTCAAAAAGTGTGGAGGTGCAGGGATGGGGCTGAGCTGAAAAACTACCTATTGGATATTATGTTCGCTCTTTTGGTAATGGGCTCACTGAAAGCCCAGGCCCCATCATTATGCAATATACTCATGTAACAAACCTGCCCATCTACCCACTGAACCTATAATAATAATAAAATAAATAGGAGAATTCCCTTTTCCTGCTAGGACCCCTCAGCCTATCCATCCTCTTCTTTCTTTCTGGGGGCACAGGGCATCATGGCAAGCCCAGGCTGGTGTCTCTGCTGCCCCCACATGCATCCTACAATTCCTTGCCATCTCCTCCTCCAACACCTCTTCTAGGCTACCACCATCTCCAAAATCACCAAAGATGGGCATGTCAAGGCAGACCAACAAGAACCATCTAGTGCATCAGAGAATCAGGAAAATAACTCTAATTCCATCCCCTGTAAGGTGAAGAAAAGGAAAGTTTGTGTTGAGTAGGCCCTGGCTGAGCAGCCCTCCTTGTCCTGGAAGACAGGTAGTGCTAATTGGAGCAGTGAGCCCCTACTGAGACCCAGCAGGATGAACATAACTGACTTCCCATCCTGCCAAGACTCTTCTCTCCCTGTGTCCATGAGGAAAAATGATAGAAATCCTTGGTGCCCATTCACTCCAGAAAATCAGCTCATAGCGAACACCCTCTTGGGACTGTGCAGACTGGGCAGCTCAGTGAGATATCCTGGGAATGAAGACAAAGCCCATCGCCCCAGAAGAATGTGACAGAGGCCACTGGGAATTGACTATGATAGAGATCTTTGTGGGTCTGCAGCTTCTGGTGCTGATCTAGATGTGAAGGCAAGACATGAAAAGGGTTCTTCCCTCTAAGCTGCCTGCAAAGCAGCTCTTTCACTGAGGGAGTTCTGTTATTGCCCTTGGAGCACTCTCAGACTTCAGTGATTTATGGTCCCCAGGGCTCATTGTCAAACATCAGATTTAATCACAGAACATTCACGGTTAGACCATTTAGAACTACCCCTGGCTCCAAGTCTATAAACTGGGGAAGCTACAGGACTGTGTTTTACCTATGTTGTCATGGTAATCAGCATGCAGCCTGAGAGTAATCCTGGCCAAGTTCCCAAGCATCTGGTGGGCAGAGGATGTGTGAATCTGTATGTAACCAGTTTATTGAGCAGTCTGAACTTGGTGGGGTGTATGCATAAAATAATTGTATTTTTTTCCATCATGGCTTTCATCTCTGTTCTGTAGAACCTCCCTTTCCTAATACGTAGCACATTGCTCAATAAGATCTTGGGCAGATTCCATAACTTTCTGGTCATGCTTAGCTCTTCAAGTGCAGCCCAGGTTAAAGTTTTGATCTGTAATGCACTTAAATCACTTCTCCCTCTCTTCCCTCCTGCACAGCTTTGAGCTATGTATTCGTCTTCTCAGGCTGCCATAACAAAGTACAACACATTGGGGAGCTTAAGACAACAAAATTTATCATCTGAGTTCTGGAGAAAAGAAGTTCAAAATCAGGGCTGTGATCCCTCTGAAAGCAGTAGGGAAGGATCCTTCCTTGCCTCTGCCAGCTCCTGGTGGCCCCAGACACCCCTTGGCTTGTGGCAGCATAATTCCAATCTTCATATGAAGTTCTCCTGATGTCTATTCTCGTGTCTTCCCTCTGTATATGACTCTTCCCAAATTTCCCCCTTTTATAAGGACACCAGTCACAATGGATTAGGGCCCACCCTAATGATCACATTTTAACCCTCTACAAGGCCTTCTTTCCAAATAAGATCACATTCTGATGTACTGGGGATTAGAAAGCCAATCTATCATTTTGTGGAGGACACATTCAACCCCTAACAAGCTGAAATCCGGGACTTTGATCTGACTCTGAGCCACTTCCTGCACCCTAACCCCGCCAATCCTGATTCTCCCAGTGATGTTGGTGGGGGACGGGAGGGATGGTGGACACATGCCTCTGCGTGGCTGGCCACTGTCCATCCTCTCTCTCTCTCTCTCTGCTGACTATGGCTGCATCTCTAGTTTACCCAGACTGGCCATTGGAACCCTCCATGCAGCAGGCCTCCATTGTGGGCTGTCTCTCCTCAGATACACATGTGAGTTCTTTAGAGTACCTGTGAGCCTCCCTGCAGCACAACCCTTTGATGTAAAGGATTCACCTCCAGCTCGACCTTTTCCACCCGTCTGTCCTCCAGCTCCCAGACCTGTAAACCACCTCCCAGCTGTCCAGCCTCCTGCTGCAGAGGTCCTGACACTTGGCAGGCTTTGTGCCCCAGTTACCAATCCCAGGGCAACAGGAAACATTTCACTCACCATCCTGTGTGTGTGTATATGTGTATGTCTATGTACATGCCCACCCACACATACACACATACACATACATCATACAACAGAGACATCGCTCACACAAACCAACAGCAAGCGAGTTAATGTCTTGAACAATGTAGAAAACTTAATAAGTTGATTATCAAGTTGAATATCAGCCCAGAATTATTGATACTATCTATGGAACAAATTGTGCTTGCCTTTACTTTTTTTCCTAAGGTTAATGATTGGTTTTAAACACCATTTTCATAAACTCTCTCTCACAGAGATAGTTAAAGAAATAATAGTTACAATTTGCTGATTACCGACGGACATCAGTAAAAAGGAGAACACATAATGATTGCTACTGCTTATTGATTACTTTCCATATGCCCGGCATTGAGTTAAATGCTTTTATATGCATAATCTAATTTCTCTCCAAGACCTGTGAACTAGAAACTATTATTACCTCTATTTTATAGGAAACTGCTCAGAGCTGTTAAGGGCCATGCCCCAGATTAGGCTGCTAGTGAGATCTGGAGCTGGCAGTTGAACACCAGCAGCTAGCCTGACACAAGTTCCGACCCTGACTGCTGTACCCTCCTACCTTCCCTGGATTCCACACCATACACCCACCGCCACTGAATCCTGCTGACTTAGGGGACTCCCCTAGATCGTTTCTCAAATTCGCCCCCTCTCCCACCCATGTAACTCTACCCCAAGTACACAAGACGTTCATATAAATGCTCAGTGTCATCTGTCCTCACTATATGATCCTCCGCACCTCACTGCCTCTGGCCTCTCAGGAACCCTGTGGATTTGCACCCACCTGTACTGAACTGAGCTGTAGCGCTCCTAATAAATGCTGAGCTTAAGGTGGAGCTCATCAATATTTTAGGTTTAAATAAGGGTGCAGGGGACAGGGAATAAAAATAGGCACAGACAGGGAGGGGAAGAATGTTCCCCTCAATAGAAACTGAAGAGAGAGGGGGAAGGGAGGGAACTGTGATCACATCCATTCTTTTTACCTCTCAGAGGTCAATTTGAAATATTCAGGCTAGAAGAAATCTATGTAATATAACAAAATTCTTGTGCAATTATAATTACCTCTGGCAGTATTTTTGTTGTGTTCAAAGCATCTTTGAATATGAAATTGGGAAAGGCAATGGAATGGAAAAGAGAGAACAGGAAGCCGACAGAAGGGAAGAAGGAGAAAGTCCAGATTGAGGCCAAGTGGGAGGAGGGTGAGAATATGTGTTCAAGTTCCTCTGGCATTTTTCTCAGCAGAGTGTCACCTGTCAAGTGAGGATAGCCATTGTCAAAGGCTCCAGCAAAGCCTCTAGTAAATGTCTGACCACAGTGCAAGGTGATTTATAAATGAGCAAAAACAAATAGTAGAGAGTAAGACAAGAGAGAGTTGGCAAAGTGAAATATAATGTACTCAAGTCCATGGTTTCCATTCCTGGTGTATTTGGATGGAAAAGATAACTCATAATTCACAATAAGCAATGAAGCCAGGTCCTCTTGTAAGGAAGAGTGAGGAAGCACATTTTCCCATGAATGGAAAGAGGGCTGACATAACCACAGGAAATGCACACATACCATCTCCTCTCACTCACTCTCATTGCTTACTGCTAGTGGCACCTCATTCCCTGACATTCACAGTTTAATGTTCACTGAAGATACACTGAGTCATTTGCCACGGGGAATGCGGGAGGCATAATAGATTGAGTTTGTGCCCTAAGAATGGTCAATAGGTGGTTAGTGTCAAAGCTCCAAGAAATAGAAGATTCACTCGAGTCATGTTACAAGGAGAGAAATTTTATATGGAGGCCTGGATCACTGTATTAGGGAAGGGAAAGGAAAAGGAATAAAATCTCCAACATAGATTGCTTTCATTTTTCAAGCACTTTCAGACCTCTACCACTCACATCTTTTTGACAATCTTAGTTCAGGATCTATCAGCGTTTATTGCCAAAACAGCTTTCTCATATCCAATCTAAGTCCACCTTATCAGAGCCTAAATATATGTCCCAATAATGCAGTGACCATTCACAGATATGAAGGCTATTTCAAAAGTCACCCCCTTACATTTTACCTCTATTTTTCAATCTCTTAATCATCTTCATGACTAGATACTGAAAAAGTTTTCCTGCTCCATCATAACTTTACTGCACTACCAAAGGCCTCCATCAGTTTATTTATTACTTACCAGTGTATCAGACCTTGTAAGGGATACACACGCAGGGGTACAATACACCATCCCTACCCTTCAGAAGCTCCTAACCTATGACCTCTAATTGTTAAATCACAGTATTATAAAAATATTGAGTTACAAGAGAACCTGTAGTGTGCTTAACACACCATGACCATACACATTATTGCTAATGATATTCATATGAGCCACAGATGTTGGTGGGCATGCCATGGGCTGGGAGTTATGTCCAATTGCAAGGTAAGGTACCTTTCAGGTAAATTACCTTTCTCACTCCGTGAACCATGTCTAAATGCAAGTCATCAAATACAAAATTACTATTCTGATAAATCTGATGTTCTTTGATATATTAGTATAAAAAAGGCAAATAGTTTATAAACTTCTATACTTTGTTTCCATTAGTAATGCTTTTCTTGAAAACACCACAGTTGAACAACCCTTTATCTGACCCAATTTTTCACCAAGTTTATGGGGTTTTCTGTGACATACCTGACATGGTCATCCACTCTGGTGACAAAGTCCCAGGAACAGAGGGTTCCTTGACTGCGTAGACACCCCGCTTCACGATCTTTTCTTAATCCTTCCCACCTCGACCTCTGCAACTCAATCCCCCCTCAACCACCAACACTGTTGAATAAAGCCTCTCCTTCCTTTGAGTAATACACCCTGTCCCAACTCTGCTCTGATTGTGTTTATCCCATCTTAGTTGATCTAATTTGCCAACTCTAAATGTGATTGTAGCCTAAGGTTTGAATTTCTGCCTCTGTCTCTTCTCTCTTGATACTTTCTCTTTTGAGGACATCTACTTTCACTAAGCCCTCTTGAACCTGCATTCCCCTCCCTGGGCTTTAATTCTACATTTGCCTTTGTCCTCTGTACATTTCCATGTGGAAGTCTCTCTGTGACCCTGAGTTCCTTGCCCATAAGTTGAAGTTATACTTCCCTTCCCATACAAATGAATGTAAAGTACCCTCTTCCGATTCCTAAACTTCTGTATATAATGTTGTCTATTATCTCTAGAAGATACTGGGCACTCTAAAATTGCTTACTGAATATTGTTATCCCACTTTGACTGTAAAAATTTAAAGTCATGGGTCCTGTCTTACGTATTTTGTATTTTTAACATCTAAGGCAGTCTCTGACTAATATAGCAAGTACTCAATAAATGAACGTGTGTGTGTGTGCAGGTAAGTAGGTGTCACTGAATTCTTTTGCAATCCAGGCTGGAAACATTCAAAACCCTTGTTTGACCCATTTCTCTCTTCAATTCCATCTTCACCCAGCCACAAACACTTGTGATTGTTCCTTTGCAGTTTACCTCTATGTGTCTACCTACGTCCAACTGGGAATGGCCACCACTTCCGATAACAGTTCCTTCTATCCTGTGCTTGCACCTCCGAAGTAGCCTCTCACATAACCACTCTTTTCAAAGCTTTTCTTTTTTATTCTTTTTTTTTTTTTTAGATGGAGTTTCATTCTTGTTGCCCAGGCTGGAGTGCAATGGCATGATCTCGGCTCGCCACAACCTCGGCTCACCGCAACCTCCACCTCCCAGGTTCAAGCGATTCTCCTGCCTCAGCCTCCTGAATTAGCTGGGATTACAGGCACGTGCCAACACGCCCGGCTAATTTTTTGTGTTTTTAGTAGAGACGGGGTTTCTCCATGTTAGTCAAAGCTTTTCTTTACCCTGCTGCCAGACAAATTATAAAACATCATGCCCGCATGCAAAATATTTAGTGGTTCTTCATTGCAGGAACGGTGATATATAAACTCAATAGTCTAGCTTTCATTGTCTTCATGACCTGGTCTTAATCCTTCTCCCCAGTTTTATTTCTAACCATTCAGTTTTCTAATTTTCTATCTGTTCTTAGCCAGCCTGGCTCACTTATTTTCCTCGGACACATTTTCCTCTCTGTCCTGCCCTACCTGTACTCTTTTGTTTATGCCAATCTCCATTCTGCCTCCCTGATAATGTCTCCCATCATCTTCTTAGCCAATCCCATCCATCCTTCTAACTCACGTAGAGGTCCTGTGTCTTCTGAGAAGCCTTCCCAACCCACCTCCTTGGAGCTCCTAGAGCCATGATCATCAATATCATTCATCCGGTAATTAATCACATAATGTCTATAACATCTCCTGTGCTGCTGTCATCTTAAGCTGCTATTTATCCCTCATAACATTATTTAACTTTTCACTAATTTCTATCATGTTTCTACAACAAGATTATAAACTTGGCAGGGGTAGGCACCTTGTCTTATAATCTTTGTATCCCCCATAGTATTTAGTAAGATATCTTATGCACAGTAGGCACTCAATAAATATGCTGATTTATTCTCCCCCATCCTTCAAAGACTAGTTAAATTCCACCTCATCTAGGAACCCTTCCCTTAAAACTCCAGCACACATTTATTTTCCTCTCCTACCCGCCAAGTTCCATTGTACTTACTGTCTGTCCTTCTCAATACACACAGTAGGGAGTATAATCCTGTTTATGGTATCTTGTTTATAAATTGTGTTCATCCCATTAAACAGTCTGTTTCTTAAGAAAAAAAGCCCATTGTCTTTAAACAGTCTTTTTCTTAAGAACAAGGCCATTATCTTTATATTCTTCTCAGGGTTAGGGACTGGATAAATTCTAAATAAATATTTATTCATTAATCTAGAATAATTTTCAAATTGTTGTTAGGTATAATCTAACAAGATAGAAATTAAGCAAGATACCTCAGTAAGACTTGATTTGGATATGAATATTTGTCATCACAGCTCGCTATACATTACTTATAAATAAGGCCCTACAATATGGCATGTGATTTCTGTGTCTGGGTTTCAACTGTGATAAAGAAATATCATGTCACTTGCCTGAAATCTACATGACAAGTTAGAACTAGACCAAAGCAAACATACACAATCATAGATGCCTCACTCAACCTGTGGTTGGCTTGTGGGGCTTTTTACTTGCTGGCAGTTGTTTTTTTAGACGTGGTATATTCAAACAGCAGCTATAATGGCTATTATGAAAAAATGTCTAATCCTCAAGTCCTTTGCATTTTATTTGATAATAGACTTATTCATTAATTCATCCACTACAGAGACTATGTTAGCATTGATTGTACAAAAGTGAACAAAGAAGAAATGGCCCTTGCTTTATAGGAAGAGAATTGACTAAATAAGAAATCACAAGCAAATAATGACAAATATTCTGAATAAAATGACCAAAACTTTTCGTGTGGGTAATGTCAGTCTGTTCAAGCTCTATAACGAAATACCATAAACTGGGTAGCTTATAAATAATGAAAATTTATTTTTCACAGTTCTGGGCCGGGAAGTCCAAGATTTGGTGTCTGGTGAGAGCCCAACCATTTCCTGGTTCATAGATGGTGACTTCTTGCTGTGTCCTCACATGGTTGAAAGGACAAACAAACTCTTTCTGGTGTATTTTACAAGGGCACTAATCCCATTAGTGACCTAATCACGTCCCCAAGGCCTCACCTCTTAAGACTATCACACTGGGGATTAGGTTTCAACATAAGAATTTGAGGGACACAGACATTCAGACATGGCAGATAGGAAGGGATGGATTCTCAAGAAGGCATATTTAAGCTGAGGCTTGAAGGATGGAAGGGAGTCAGTCAAGGGAAGAACTGGGCAAAAAGCATTTCAGAGAATCACATGTGCAAAATCCCTGAGATAGATTTGAAGAACTGAAGGAAGGGCAGTATACCTACAGTATAGCAAATGAAGTGGCTTTCATAAGTGTATACATTTAAGACATTAAAGACATTACTCCATTTCATCCTTGCTAATGCCAGACTCCAAGCCTTCCCCAGCTACACTCTAGGAGGGCAGAGCACTGTGGATTGTGGTTGATAATGCAGGAAGCTGGGGCAGAGGAAAGACACCGAGCTGTGTGATGGAAACCCAAGTCAACTTACCAGTTCTACTCCTAAATAACTGTGTGACCTTGGACAATTCCTTTCACCTCTCTGGCCCTTTCTGTTGTCTGAAATAAGTTACACATTCATTCATTCAACTCGACAACTATATACCTGTTATGTACCAGGGCATATTCTAAATACAGGGAACATATAGTGAGAAAGGCAAAGGACAAAATCCCTACTGTCATGGAGTTGTACATTCTAGTGGGAGCAGGCAAACTGTATTTTCTTGCACACACACTCTCTGTCACACACACACACACACACACACACACCACACACACACACTGTTAACAGCCAGTAAAGCAAGGAAGAAGTCAGTGGGACTGGGGAATAGTCAGTGAAGAGACTCATGAAGATGACCTTTGAGCAAAAACTTGAAATAGATGAGGGTGCAGGCCAAGTGAAAATCTGGGAGGAGAGTGTTCCAGGCATAGGAAAGAGCAGCAAAGTCCGGCAGCAGGAGTGTCCCCATTGCATTCATGGAACAGCACAGAAGCGGCATGGCTGAAGCAGTGTGAGGAAGAAAATGAGAGCAATTATAATTGATCTTCAAGTTATCTTTCCCTACAAAATTCAGGGGTTCATGCTAATCTGCCAAGGGGATTGTCCACAGATGAATGATTGAAACTGACATACGGAAGTAACACATACAACAAGGTGAGAGTCACAGGTTCCCTCGGTTCCAATGAGCAATTAGTCTAACCCAGGAGCAGGTGGTAAAGGGGTACTAGAGTGTGATGATGAGATGTGGACCTAAGCCATCAGTAGTGTGAGGATCCAGAGCAGGAACATCGGAGACACAGAGGGAGTGACAGCAGAGGAGAGCAAGGCACAGGGCGGGGTGGGGGTTAAAATGTACAACGCATGGAAGAGAGGTGGCCCAGGGGAGACCACCATTAAGGCCCAGAGTGTCAACTCCTTGCAAACAGTGAAAATAACTGACTTCAGCCAGTGTGACTTCAAGGAAGAAAGTTTAGAGACTTCATAAATGTTTTCTAAAGTGAAACAAATGAAGAGAAGTAAAGACGTTCTCGACAAAGAAAACTTGCCAGGAAAATGAACCAACATGGAGACTAAGTCTAGGCCTAACTGAGGTTCCCTAAACACTGCCTGAGTGCCCAAGACTCTGCTTGCTGGTTTAAAGATATGATTTCATTTAATCTTAAGACAGACCTGTGAAATAGGCATTATTTCCGCCCTTTTACAGGTGAGAATGTCTTCCTGGTCTGCGTGCAATGGCACGTGGTATGCATTGGGTAGATTCAGGATATAGTAAAATGTTGCCCCTTCAGCTATGGGGAAGCCAGGGCCCTGGGAAGTGTCCCAGCCATGGGCAGCATCTTCAGTCTGTCATTATCACTTTTTACATGTAACATGAAAAAGGCTGGGATTTGTTTTAAGGTTCTTTTAAAAGGAGAGAAAAGGTGTAGTTAATATGACATAATATTAAGATTGGTGCAAAAGCAATTGCGGTTTTTCCCATTAAAAGTAATTACTTTTAAATTTTGCCATTAAAAAGAAATTACTTTTTTTTTTTTTTTTTTTTTTTTTGAGACGGAGTCTTGCTCAGTCGCCCAGGCTGGAGTGCAGTGGCGTGATCTTGGCTCACTGCAAGCTCTGCCTCCCGGGTTCACGCCATTCTCCTGCCTCAGCCTCCTGAGTAGCTGGGACTACAGGTGCCTGCCACCACGCCCAGCTAATTGTTTTTTTTTTTGTATTTTTAGTAGAGATGGGTTTTCACCATGTTAGCCAGGATGGTCTCGATCTCCTGACCTCTTGATCCACCTGCCTAGGCCTCCCAAAGTGCTGGGATTACAGGCATGAGCCACCGTGCCCAGCCAAAAAGAAATTATTTTTAAACCATAATTGCCTTTGCACCAACCTAAATAACAAATTGCTGAATTGCTTGTGTTTTCCAAGGTAAGGAGCCAGGATGAGGGGGAGAGAAGTTTCCTTGTTTTCAGAGTACCTGATGGCTTCAGGTTTACAAGTTTGGAGGACCTAAGTCCAAGCAAGGAGGAAGTGGACAGTGTTTAGGGGCCTGCAGGGAAGGGGGAGATATGGAAAGTGAGGAAGACAGAAGTTCATCCAGTGAGTGAGCCTGCGAACTGTGAAGCAAAGAGAGGAAGAAGAGAAGCTGTCAATCAGCAGGGAGATGGAAAGACTTGGGAGAGGGGATCTATTCATGGGAGCTCAGCAGGTTTTACTGTGGAGGTCTACAGTGTAAAACCCTCCTGCATTTCTGTACAAAATCTTTAGTAAACTCGACATGGCTCTAGAATACTTGTGGCATGAGTGGCCCCACTGGAAGGGCAGAAAGAGGTGCTGAATCCTACTGGATGGGTTGAGAAAATGTCAGCCTACACAGACAAGTGGAACTAGGAATCTGCCTTCTTACAGATGGGAAAACAGGCTCGAAGCCTGTAGGCTGCTTCCCAGGGCCACATGGCAGCAAGTTGCTGAGATCTTTCAGCTTCCAAAGCCAGAGTTCTTCCCACTCCAGTGTCCTTGGTCCATTTTGGTTGGCATCTCAGCAGCGACTTCAAAAATTTCAGCCTTAAAATGTTTTGTGTGTTTTTTCCACCAAATGGACCACTAGATAAATGTTTCATCTTCACATCTTTTTTTTTCTCTGTTCAAACACAAAATGAGTTGAAAACAACATAAGAGGGAATAAAAGAAACAAGCAAACGGAAAGTTCCGTAAGAATGAATATAATTGGAGCTAGGTCAAACACCGATGAAATCATGGACAAATGAAAAAGACAGGATGCTCGATTTTACTAGAAATCACAGGAGAGTGAGCAAATGCAGCCTTCCTTAGTCTTTCAGTTTAATAATGAGGAAAGCAGAAGTGGTTCTCCATGATAGTTCTGAGGAGTTGGGAAAGAACAACCATGGTAAATCAGAAAACATGTACTTCCAGGGTAGCATACTTAGTGATATAAACAAATTGTTGTTGTTGTTGTTGTTTTAAAGTTGGCTTCCCTAAAATAATGCCTGAAGGCTGGGGAGGGAGAGAAATGAATCAGAACCTAGAGACCGAATGCTTTTTGGTGTGCTCCTATTCTCGAGCTTCGGCTCAGACAGGGCATATGCATCATTTGAGGAGCAAATAGCTCACCTAGGGGAGCAGTTTCTGCAGCTCCCTGCCAATGCTGTTTTTCTGAATTGCTTATGTAGAAGTGCAAGAAAGTATTAGGATTGATCAGAAGAGCTGGTATCTTCGGCAGTGTCTCTTAACTTTTTTCTGGACTGAAAGATCTAAAATAAGCAAAAGACCTTCCTTATCATGTAATGGCACAGAGGCACATACAGATAAAGTTTGCATTTAAGTTGTCAGGGAGCAGAGATGGAAGGATGGGGATGGCAGGGCATGGAACTCCTAAAACCTCCTAGGCAGGGTTTCTCAGAGTGAGGTCCCTAGACCACCCTCATTCAAGAGACCCAGGATGCAAATTAAAAACACAGACAGGCTCTGGGACTTCCAGATTCCAGTATCTGCGTTTTATCCCACTCTTCAGGTGATTCTTATGTACACTAAAGTTTGAGAACCTTGTCCTAGCATGTCTGTGAAGCCAGGTTTAAAACTCCTGATTTAGAACCACCTAAGAGTGCTTATTTAAAATGCAGATTTATACTCAGAAACTGTGGTGGAGTAGGTCTAAAATGGGATCGAGAAATCTACATCTTAATCACCTGGGTGATTCTGGTGCGGGAATTCCAACACCATACTTGGAGCAATGGCCTGAAAGAACAACTCAGGAGAAGTTAGCATGGGAGTTTTTTGCCTGGTCTTGGTGTCCTCCATGAGCCTAGTGGTAGAGCCAACTCTCCATTACCCAGGCTTCTTCCATTATAGCTTCCCATTTTTTTTTAGAGCTAGCAATTACTTTTTTATTAGAAAAATTAGACTAGACTCATTTTAAAACATTTAATCCATATGTTGTCACGAATATGCAAAAGTACAAGTTGCTTATGCAAAAGGTATAAATTTTGTTACTCCTGTCACCAAAAATAAAGATGGGCTCAAAAGCAGAAAGTTACTTTTCTCAACTTTCAGAAGTACATTCTGTTTGTATTCCTGAAGGATTGAGTTTACCAGGTGGACTGATTTTGCATGCTTTGGAGTAGTATTATTCTGAACACAATGCGTTTCATTTTCATAATACTTTGTCACCAGCATTGCAACTGAAATTATTGTCTCTCCAGTTATTTGTGCAGTATCTTAAATTATTCGCTGCATATTTCGCTGCATATTATTTGCTGCATATTTCGCTTCACTTAAATTATTCGCTGCATATTTAAGAAACCCACAACTAAATGTAGAATTTCAAACATCTACTTGAGTGTAGATTACTCTCAATTGTGCAATTTGATGAATTCTAAACTGCCCTAGTCAATTTTTGCATTTCTCTGAAGATCTTAAAGTGGCATCCTTTTGCAGAAAACAAAATATATGACTTCACCTTCTATGAAATTAGAGAACTACAGTGTGGTCCTTCAGGCATTGAGGGTATGGCTTGAATGTGTGTGCTTACCACTTATTTTCCTGATAGGCTAACAAATACTTAGAGAAATCAAGAGACTTGACAAGAGCCCCACACACAGAACATGCTTCAGTGATGTTTATGCTCTTTGTTGCTAAAAGAGTCATGATGTGAAGATCTTCACTGTGAATTGCACTGTAGAGCCTATCTTCATTCCCTAGGCTTTAAATACCATCTATATGCTAATGACTTCCAAATTTATATCTCTCACACCACCCTCTTCCCTGAGCTCGACACTTATACATCCAGCTTGCTATTAACAGCTCCCTTCAGAAATCTCATTGGCATCTCAATACTGGCATGCCCCAGCCTTCGCCATCTAAGTCAAAGAAACCACAAGGCACCCAGTTGCTGATGCAAAAATCCCAAAGGCCTCTTCCCTTTCTCTGACCCCCACATCTCATAAAGAACCCCATGAATTATCCAGTAGGATATATTTTAAATTTAAAACTGAAGTTATTTCATTGCTAACTTTAAGACCTATCCTAAATCTAACTTCCCACCACAGTCCAAATGACTAACATCTCTCACTTTCACCACTGCAATTGCCTCTGGGCTGGGCTTTCTATTGACTATATGGCAGAATATTCTGTATTTTCCCCCTTTTATATGAAGTTTTTAATTTAATTTTTAATCAATCCATAACAGATGCACATAGTTTCAAAGTACATGTGATACTCTAATATAATCATATACTTTGTAAAAATCAAAACCGTGTACTTGGGATATTCATCACCCTAAATATTTGTCTTTTCTTTATGTTAGAACCATTCCAATTCTTCTCTTCTAGCTATTTTGAAATATACAATAAATTGTTGTAAACTAGAGTCACCCAACTGATCTAATACTGGGTCTGAATTCCTCTATCAAACTGTATATTTGTATCCACTAATCAAATTCTCTTCTTCCCCCACTCTTTCCTAGACTCTGGTAATCACCAGCTTACTCTATATTTGGGAGAAAAACTTTTTTAGTTTCACATATGAGTTAGAAGATGTAATATTTGTCTTTCTGTGCCTGGTTTATTTCACTTAATATAATGACCTCCAGTTTCATCCATGTTATTGCAAATGACAAGATTTCAATCTTTTTGTGGCTTAATAATATTCCATTGTATACGTATACCATATTTTCTTCCATTCATCCATTGATGGGCACTTAAGTTGATTCCATATTTTGGCTATGGTTAATAGTGCTGCAATAAACATGAAAGTGCAGATGTCTTTTCAGTATACCAATTTCCTTTCTTTTGGATATATACCCAGTAGTAGAATTGCTAGATCATATGATAGTTCTACTTTTTGTTTTTTGAGGAACCTCTATACTGTTCTCCATAGTAGCTATACCAATTTATATTCCCACCAACAATGTACCAAGGCTCCCCTTTCTCCACATCCTTGCCAGCATCCATTATTGCCTATCTTTTTGGTAAAAGCCGTTTTAACTGGGTGAGATGATATTTCATTGTAGTTTTCATTTGTATTTGTCTGATGATTCGTGATGTTGAGCATTTCTTTTTATAAACCTGCTGGTCATATGTATATCTTCTTTTGAGAATGCTCCTTCAGATCTTTTGCCCATTTTAATCAGATTGTTTTGGAGGTTTGCTATTGAGTTGTTTCGCCTTTTCATATATTCTGGTTATTAAGCCCTTGTCAGATGGATGGTTTGCAAATACTTTCTCACATTCTGGGGGTTGTCCCTTCACTTTGTTGATTGATTCCTTTGTTGTGCAGAAGACTTTTAGCTTGATGTAATTCCAATTGTCTATTTTTGCTCTAGTTGCCTGTGCTTTTGAGGTCTTACACAAAAAATCCTTGCCCAGACCAATGTCCTGGAGCATTTCTCCAACGTTTTTGTCTGGTAGTTTCATAGTTTCAGGTATTAGATTTAAGTCTTTAATCCATTTGACTTCATTTTTATATACAGTGAGAGAGAAGAATCTAGTGTTATTCTTCTATATATGGTTATCCAGTTTTCTCAGCAACATGTATTGAAGAGGTTGTCCTTTCCCCAGTGTATGTTCTTGGTGCCTTTGTCAAAGATGAGTTGGTTGTATGTGCATGGGTTTATATCTGGGTTCTGTATTCTGTTCCATTGGTCTATATGTCTGTTTTTATGCCCTACTATGCTTATTTGATTACTATAGCTTTGTAGTAAATTTTGAATTCAGGTGGTGTGATACCTCCAGCTTTGTTCTTTTTGCTCAGGATAGCTTTGGCAACTTGGGGTCTTTCACGGGTCCACATAAATTTTAGGATTATTTTTCTATTTCTGTGGTGAATTGTCATTTTGATAGGAATTACATTGAATCTGCACATTGCTTTGAGTAGTATTGTCATTTTAATGGTATTAATTCTTACAAGTCCATGAGCATGAAATATCATGGTTTCCATTTTTTGTGTTCTCTTCAATTGCTTTAATAAGTGTTTTATAGTTTTCCTTGTACAGATCTTTCAATTCTTTGGTTAAACTGATTCCTATGTATTTTGTATTCTTTATAGCTATTGTAAATGGAATGCTTTCTTGATTTCTTTTTCAGATTGTTTGCTATTGGTGTATATTAATGCTACTGATTTTTGTATGTTGATTTTGTATCCTGCAACTTTATTGAACTTATTTATCAGTTCTAACTTTTTTGGTGGAGTCTTTAGGTTTTTCTAAGCAAAAGATCATGTCATCCGCAAATAAGACTAATTTGACTGCTTCCTTTCCGATTTGGATGCCCTTTCTTTCTCTTGTCTCAAGAACTTCCAGAACTATATTGAATAAAACTGGTGAAAGTGGGCATCCGTGTCTTGTTCCAGCTCTTAAAAGAAAGGCCTTCAAATTTTCCCCATTCAGTATGATGTTACTGTGGGTTTGTCACACATGGCCTTTATTATTTTGGGATATATTCCTTCTATACCCAGTTTGATAGAGGATTCTTTATCATAAAGAGATGTTAAATTTTTTTAAATGCTATTTTGGCATATATTGAAATAATCATATGGGTTTTGTTCTTGGTTCTGTCAATATGATATATCACATTTATTGATTTGCATATATTGAACCATCCTTGCGTCCCTGAGATGAATTCCACTTGATCATGGTAAATGATTTTTTTAATCTATTGTTGAATTCAATTTGCTAGTATTTTGTTGGGAATTTTGGCCTCTATGTTCATCTATGATACTGGCCTGTAGTTTTCTTTTTTGTTGTGTCTTTGTCTTATTTTGGTATTAGAGTAATGCTGGCCTTGTGGAATGAGTTTGGAAATATTCCCTCTTCTTCAATTTTTTTGAAGAGTTTCAGTAGAATTGGTATTAGTTCTTTAAATGTTCAGTAGAACTCAGAAGTGAAGCCACCAAGTCCTGGGCTTTCCTTTGATAAGAGATTTTTTTATTACAGCTTCAGTCTCATTACTTGTTATTGGTTTTTGGAGGTGTTCTATTTCTTCATGGCTCACTCTTGGTAGGCTGTGTCTAGGAATTTATCCATTTTGTCTAGGTTTTTCAGTTTGTTGACATATAGTTGTTCATTGTAGTCTTTAATTATTCTTTTTATTTCTGTGGTCTCATTTGTTATGTCTCTTTTTTTTGTTTCTAATTTATTTATTTAGGTCTTCTCTCTTTTTTTCTTAGTTAGTCTAACCAAAGGTTAGTCAATTTTATCTTTTCAAAAAACCACCTCTTCATTTCCTTGATCTTCTGTTATTCTTTTAGCTTCAATTATATTTCTTTTTGCTCTGACTTTTATTATTTCTTTCATTCTACTAGTTTTGGGTTTGGTTTATTTTTGCTTTTCTAGTTTCTTGAGGTGCATCATTAGGTTGTTTATTTTAAGTCTTTCTGCTTTTTGATACTCATGTTTATTGCTATAAACTTTCCTTTTGCTGTATCCCATAGATTTTAGTGTGTTTTATTCCAATTTTCATTCATTTTAATAAATTTTTAAATTTCCTTCTTAATTTCTTCATTGACCCATTGGTCATTCAGGAGAATGTTGTTTAATTTCCAAGTGTTTGTGAAGTTTCCAAGGTTTCTCTTTTATTGATTTCTAGTTTTATTCCCTTGTGGTCAGAAAAGATAGTTGGTATGATTTCTACTTTTTTTGAATTAGTTCAGAGTTTAAGATATGGTCTATTCTGGAGAATGTTCCATGTGCTTATGAAAAGAATGCATATTCTGTAGCAATTGGATGAAATGTTCTGTAAATGTCAGTTAGGCCTAATAGGTCTCGTGTGTATTTTAACTCTGCTGCTTCTTTGTTGATCTTCTGTCTGGATGATCTGTCCATTTCTGACAGTGCAGTATTGAAGTCCCCCACAATTATTGTATTGCAGTCTGTCTCTTCATCATATTTATTAATGTTTGCTTTCTATACTTGGGAGCTCCAGTATTGAGTGCATAGATATTTATAATTGTTTCCTCTTGACAAATTCACCCCTTTATCATTATACAGTGATTTTCTTTATCTCTTTTTATGAGTTTTGATTTGTAGTCTGTTTTATCTGTTGTAAGTGTAGCTACTCTTGCTCTTTTTTGATTTCCAGTTGCATGGAATATCTTTATCCATCCCTTCACTTTCAGTCAATATATGTCTTTATAGGTGAAGTGTTTTATAGGTGAAGAGGCTGCATATAGTTGGGTCTTATTTCTTTATCCAGTCTGCCACATTATGCTTTTTAAATGGATAATTGAGTATATTAACATTCAGTTTTATTATTGATGAGTAAAGACTTACTACTGCCATTTTGTTGTTTGTTTTCTGGTTGTTTCATAACTCCTCTCTTTCTTCCTTTTTTACTGCCTTCCTTTGTGGTTAAGTGATTTTTTCTGGTAATATGTTTTAATTCATGAGTTTTTTTTAAAATTTTCAGTGACTCTATTGTATGTTTTTGCATTGTGGTTACCATGAGGATTGCAAAAAACGTCTTATAGATATAACACTTTATTTTAAAGACACGACAGATCACAAAGAAAAGAATAAACAAAAAATGAAAAAAAAAACTAGGGTTTAACTTTCTCCCCCTCACACACATTTTGACTTTTATTTGTCTCAATTTACACATTTTTATATTACGTATTTCTTAAAAAGTTGTAGGTATCATTGTTTTGACAGATTTGTTATTCGAGCTTCATACTAGAGATATGAGTGGATTGCATACCACAATTACAGTATTAGAGTATTCTGGGTCTGTCCATGTACTTAATTTTTACTGTGGGTTTTATACCTTCAAATGTTTTTGTTTGTTTGTTTTTGTTTTTGTTTTCATGTTAGTGTTTCTTTCTTTCAGATTGAAGAGCTTCCTTTAACATTTCTCATAAGACAGGTCTGGTAGTGGTAAATTCTCTCAGCTCTTGTTTGTCTGGGAAAGATTGTATCTCTCCTTCATATGCGAAGGATAACTTTGCTGGATATAATATTCTTGGATGGCAGTTTTTTTCTTGGATGGCAGTTTTTTTCTTTCAGTGCTTTGAAAAATGTCATTCTATTCCCTCCTGGCCTATACGGTTTCCATCAAGAAATCTGTTGCCAGATTAATTAGAGTTTTTTGATGTGTTATTTGTTTTTTATTTTTATTTTTCTCTTGCTGCTTTTAGAATTCTCTCTTTGTCCTTGACCTTTGAGAGTTTGGTTCTTATATGCC
The DNA here is from genome assembly GCF_000001405.40 of Homo sapiens. Classification (NCBI taxonomy): domain Eukaryota; kingdom Metazoa; phylum Chordata; class Mammalia; order Primates; family Hominidae; genus Homo; species Homo sapiens. The sequence goes on along the minus strand of NC_000012.12, from coordinate 13,411,244 downwards.
TTGGAGTAGTCTCATTTGTGTCAAATCTGCTGGGTGTTCTCTGACCTTCCTCTACCTGGATATTTATATCTTTCTCACATTTTGGAAAATGTTGTTATTATTTATTTGAAAACATTTTCTACCCTTGCTCTTGCTCAAATCCTTCTTGAAAACCAATGATTCTTAGATTTGGTATTTTGAGGTAATTTTACATATATTGTAGATATTCTTCTTTGCTTTTCATTCTTTTTACTTTTCTTTCCTCTAACCATGTAATTTCAAATAGCTTGTCTTTGAGCTCACTGACCTCCTTGTTAAATTTCTCTGTTAAATTCTGAATTGCTCATCTATGTTAATGTAGAAACTGCTAAGTTTCTTTAAAACTACTATTTTTGCATTCCTGGTCAGAAAGTTCACATGTCACCATTTAGTTAGGGTCAGTTATTGTTTCCTTGCTTTGTCTGTTTGGGGAGACTATGGTTGCCTGTTTGCTGTTGCTTCTTGTGGATGTACATCTATGTCTTTGCACTAAAGGATTACTTATTCCAGTCTTCTTTGGTGTGTTTTGGTTTTTATTGGATATATTTGCTTAGAGGTTCTTTACTGCTTGTTTACTGCCTCCTTTTTGGCTCCGGGTGGTGCCTTAAGCTTCACCTTAGCTCTAGTAAACAATCAGAGTGCTGCCCTTCCTGAATGTGGGGAATCCCAAAGGGGATACCTTGGCGGTATAAGAAGGCTGGCTAGGGGTTCATGCCCAGGGGACCTCTAGGATGAACCTCCTACAGCATGGTGCTGCTAAACAGCCACTCTGATTTGGCATTTCCTTTGGCCAAGTTACAGAGCAGAGTTTCCAGGGCTGGGAATGGTAGTCCCACCTCCCTCCTTTGTCTCTGCCCTTCCTCAGAAATATTTCTCTTTTCCAGAGCTCTCCATACTTCTCATGGGTTAAGGCAGAGACAGGTCTCTTGCCAGAGAACCCAAGATGGTGGGGAAGCTGGTTATCCATCTCCATCTCACTTTTTCTAGTATAGAAACAGTGAGTTGCAGGAATATTTTCTATGCACTGGTGCTGGGCAGAATGGGGGAAGAGGCATTGAAGATATGGAAGTCTGATTCTTTTACCATCTACTCAGAGCTTTTTCACTTCTCTGTGCCCACCCCCTCCCCCCAAGAACTGTCTTACTTTCTTTTTCTTTCTTTTTTTTTTTCTTTTTTTGAGACGGGGTCTTATTCTGTCACCCTATGGCCTAATCATAGCTCACTTCAGCCTTGTACTCTTGGGCTCAAGAGATCCTCCTGCCTCAGCCTCTCAAGTTGCTAGGACTGCAGGCATGTACCACCATGCATGGCTAATTTTTCTTTTATTGTTTGTAGAGATGGGGTCTCACAATGTTGTCCAAACTGGTCTTGAAATCCTGGCTTCAAGCAATTATCCTGCTTCAGCCTCCCAAAGCACTGGGATTACAGATGTGAGCCACAGCCACAAAGCCCAGCCTGTCTCATTTTCATATTTGAGATCTGTGTATTCACAGTAATAACCTTGGTGTTGTATATTTGTTTTTGCTTTTCTGTGAGGCCTGAGTCAACCCAGCTTGATTCTACGCCATCATTTTAGAACCAAAATTGTATATCTTCTCACTTAAATAACCTACCCAGGAAAAGTACCTGTTTCTTATGTCATTCTCTGATAGTCCAACCCAGCCAAGGGTAATACTGACTTGAAAAAGGTTAAAGTTTTGTCATGCCAGGTAATTTAATTTCAAATACATTTATATTTCTCAGGGTCCTCTGATATCTCAAGTCCTAGTAGGGACCAACAGTGAGGGGTTGTTTTATTTGTTTATTTATTTTTTTTTTTTTTTGAGAGAACAAAGATGGATGATCTGTCTGTTAAGTCCTACAGTTCCACCAGCAGCAGCCTTGAAACCATCTGAGGGTGCAGGCTATGGCTCCTTTAGCTTTAAGTGGGCATCTCTGACATAAGCCTTTGAACATAATCATAGCTCAATAATTGTGATTTCATCCTCAGATTCATTGAACATGAGTGGGTACCCACCCATGCCATTGGCCTACTTTTGTTAGACCCTTCTATAGAGTTCTGCACTTGGCTATGTCTGGGGAAGAAGATCTGGGTGATCAAAATCTTGCTCAAAGTAGACCTTATGCTTTTTTCCAAACCCAGGCAACAATTTAGTCTCTGGTGTTACAGAAGGGAGCAGTTCTCAATGATGTAGTTCTCTTTCTACTTCTTTCCCTCAAGGAAAGGAAGATTGTTGAAAGTAAAAAGATATAAATGCTACCACCATGAACAATTCTAAGAACCAAATAAATGATCTGACAAGTTTGTGTGCTCCAAACCGAGTAGCTGGAAGGACTGCAATAGAGAAGACAGTTTCAGAAAAGCGATTGGTCTCAAGAAAGTTTCCTTGAAAACTTAGTTTAAATTGGCTTGGATAGGAACCCGGCCTCATTGATTAAACAATGACTGAAAGACCATAGGGTAATGATAAATTGCCAAGGGGCCTATTTGAGGGTAAGTGTCTAATTGGTGCCATGGGGTTTAGGGTAAGAACCTGTCTTCCTTCACGGCTTTATTAATGACCCAGAAGTGGCTTAAAATGGTATATTCATGCTCAGTTGGGAGCTTATATAAGCAAGAGAACAGTAGAATAATGATACAAATAGACCAAGCAAAGTGGAAAATAGCCCCATGACATTCAACTTAGAAAAATAAACTTTAATATTTTTTAATAGGGGGATAAAGGGAGCCAAGAGGATTGGAAAGAAAATACTTAACGGATATAGCAAAGCTAGAAATACTCAGGTACAATAGCAAGTGTGCAAGCCCTTTGGAGTGTTGGACAGCCAGAGGTCAGGAAGAGTCCATGAAGGAAGGAAGAAACAGGTCAAAGCCACCCTCTACCCACATAGTACCAAAGCTGGCCCTAGCAATACTGTGCACTCTTGGTGGAACTTCTGTGTGTGCTCCAGAAGAAGCAATGTGAAGACAGTTTTGTGGCTGGGATGTGAGTTCCTGATATTCACAAGTTAAGGGACAGGAGAACTGGGAGATCAATACCTGGTTGGTGCTCAAGGAAGACACTCTAGCTGAAGCCAAAGTGTCCTGGACATAGTGAGAAAACGGAGCTGGACATGGCACCCATGTGTCATGGAAGGGACCTGGTGGGAAGTAATTGACTCATGGGGGCTGGTTTTTCCCATGCTGTTTTCATAATAATGAATAAGTCTCATGAGATCTGATGGTTTTATAAAGAGCAGTTCCCCTGCACATGCTCTCTTGCCGGCTACCATGTAAGATGTGACTTTGTTCCTTCTTCGCCTTCCACCATGATTGTGAGGCCTCCCCAGCCATGTGGAACTGTGAGTCCATTAAACATCTTTTTCTTTATAAATTACCCAGTCTTGGGCATTTCTTCATAGCAGTATAAAAATTGAATAATACAGTGACCATATTTGGAAATAGGGTTTTTGCAGATATAATTAGTTAAGATTAGGTCAAAATGGATTATAGGGAGCCCCAATCCAATGACTGGTGACCTATTAAGAAGAGAAAACAGAGACACAGACACACAGGGAGAATACCTTGTGAAGACAGAGGCAGAGACTGGACGGATATATCTCCAGGCAAAGGATTGCCAAAAATTGCTGACAACCACCAGAAACTAGAAAAGGCAAGAAAGGATTCTTTCCTAGAGCCTTCAGAGAAAGCATGCCCCTGCTTCATCTTGACTTCAGGCTTTTAATCTCCAGAACTGTGAGAGGATAAATTTCTGTTGTTTAAACCATCCAGTTCGTGGTACTTTGAGATGGCAGCACTAGCAAATAAATGCAGAAGGTGATCAATTGCATCCATACCAACGGTACTTGAGACTAAAGACAGTGAAGAATGCTCCCTCCTGGCAGACCAACAGGTCATGGGGAAGGTCCAAACTGGAAACTTGGGTTTGTGACTGTGAACACTGCTTCTGCTAGAGGCGAGAAAACTCAGAGAAGAGGGAAACTCTTAGTCAAAGACATTTATGTTAGCAGCAGAATAGAAGTAATAATGTTTTATTAAACTCTAAATAAACCCTAATTGGTAAATTCCCAAATCACAAACACATAGTCTGACATTAATTTTTTTTAATTTGGGAATTATTTAAATGAAAGCCTTCAGTGATATAAATTAAATTATACATTTTCATTAAATATATATTTAATCCTCTCTGTCAAAATAATAGTTATATTAACACATAGTGGTCCAAGAAAGTCTAGGTGTTGGAAATCAATCTTTCTGTGGTCCAAGGCATTGAATCACGTTAAGTACCTACTATGTGACAGGTACCCTGATAAGGGTGGAATACAATTGTTGAAGCCATCGGGTGGGACGTAACAATCTTTCCTGAATTCCAACACACTCTCCTAAAATTCTACCACATAGTAAAGTTTTGCCTCCCAGCAGTTCCCTGCTAAAACATAAACACTGTGTCCCTGAAGAGTTACTATAAGTCATTAAAATCTTAGCAGCTGGTCTTGAAAGCAAGTGGGCAAGGGATGAACTGAGGAGTGAGAGTAAGGGTGGGAGGAGGATTTAGGGGTGAAGGCAGATGGACTATTGTGAAGGTATCCATGGTGAGAAGCTCTGAGTATCTGGATCCCAGATAAGGACACAAACATCTGAGAGAGGCAACACAAAGAGAGGAGAAGAAGTAAAGGAGAAGTTTGAGGATATCAAAGCACACTTCGCCAGCTGCACAATTCTGCCATCTGGAGCTCTGAAATTTCAGGTGCATGTAATTTTGAGAATCACAGCAAAGCTAGAGTGTTGTCACCAGAATGTCTGTCTTGCCTTGGTTTACTTACTAAGCTATTTGTCTCAGAACAACAGCAGGCTGTGAACACTGCAAGTTATTTATATATTTTTTAATTACTTTTCCCCTGTTACCTGCAGTCTGTTCTTCTCTCATTTTTGTTTAAAAATCCAACAAGAACAACAACCCTCTCCCTATCTTGCCATGGCAGATGCACCCCTGGTCACACCTTCTCCCAGCCCAGAGTTGGGTGGTCTGTTGTAGATGAGCTTAAACTGCCTGGTTGTTGGAATTCTGAAAGAGCCTTTGGGTTTGGATCCCAGTTCCAGAGCCCAGTCGGGATGGACTCAAACGATCAAGGCTCAGAGATGCAGCTCAGCCGTCCAGATACAAAGCAGAGAGGTGGGCAGGGTCCACCATGCGAGACAGTTCAGTGTCACACTATAGACAGTGCTTTCCACACTGATCATCATTCCCAGTCATGAGCTTCCACCAAGATATTTATTTACATGGTAAATTCTAGGGCTGCATCCCCAACCTGCTGAATTAGGGGCCTATGCATCTGGCAACCATGTCAGCTGAGTTGTTGCTCAGGGAAGCCCTGAGACCACTTCCATGGGCAACTGGGTGCCAGGGAGGATTTTAGGCAGCTGTGAAAAGAGATCAGGTTTGTGATTTCTAAGCATCATTCTGGAGGGTGGGAGGAGATGGATTGGAAGGTGATGAGACCACAGGTGGGGAGACCATTTAGGGGGCTGTTTCAATAATGCAGGAGGAAAAAAGATGAGAGTCTGAACGAAGGCAAAAACCAGTAGGAGCTGGAGGCACATACAGGCATTAGAATCAACAGAACTTAGTAAATGAGCAGGCAGCTCTCGGAGGTCCACCGACTCACGCTGAGCACTCCTCAAGGAAAAGTCTTGATTGACTGGGTTCATTAAAATAAGAACCTGTGGGAAGCAGGAGGTTTCATGGTACTCTGCTGAATGTCTAAATGTGCTGAAACATGTTATTTAACTTTCTGACCCATTTCCTGTCAGCCACTCTCTTTGGTTTTCATTCAGAATGGTGTTTTCTCCATAGTAACCCCTGCAAGTTTCCAAGCTTCCTTTGACTCCAGCCTTAAGCTCCCTCATGCTGCCTTACAGGCTGCTATTTCTGCTCCTCCATACAACATCCCTAATCTCCAGGATCAGGGCTCTGGGTGGACCAGGGCATAAGGTTGTGAGAATTCATTGGTGCTCCCCTGGTGCCCAGAGGCTGCTCTGAGGATATATGCAGGTCCCATTCTTCAGCCCACCCATTCCCTCTGTTCAGGGACACTCATGCTTCCTGACAGCTTCTTCCTTGTGCTCTCTCATCAACTCCTGCACTTTCCAGTCGTCCCATGCATTTCTTTTCTCCGGTGCCCACGCCTCATAATTTTTTGTTGCTTCTGTTGTTGACTTTGTGACTGAATGTTTTAATTAAATCACCTCAAAATGCCTTTGTGAAGTTGTTTTCCTTAAATTTCACATTCATTGGCCACCACCTGTCACTTAACCCTCGCAGCACTCCATGCAGCCTCTAAAGGTAGCTCGACCGAGGGAATGCAGGTTTCACTTTGGCTCGCTCTGCTATGATCCTGCCAGGCGGGGTTATCTCGGGTGCGTACCCGGCTTCTGCACAGAAGGCAGAGAGGTGTGAACTCCATCTCACATCACAGAGGTGGAGTATGGAGAGAGGGGACAGCGGAGACTCTTTCTCCAACTGCCTCTTCTCTGTAACTTGCTTTTCTCACCCTTGTTGCTTTTGCTGTTGTTCTCCCTTTTCTGTTAACTCCGATCTGACAGCTGTGTGGAGAATGCATGGGGGACTATTTCAGTGTTTGGAGAGCATGAACAAGGATTAACTTCCCAGTACTTGGAAAAGAACGGGGTGGGATGGTGTCGGGGGCAGTCTGGGCAGGGGACAGTGGACTGTAGCAGGAAGGCAGGACAGAAAAGGGAGGTGTCCTCTCTATTCCCTCTGGAGGATGGGAGCAAAGCAGCTGTGTTGTTAGTCCCACGGCAGGAAACCTGTCCTAGAAGGTGGAATCTAAGAGCGCATTCCACGCCATGGTGTGGCCACTGAGGTGCATCCCATTGCTGCCTCATTTTGGAGCTGTGCCTGGCTTTCCTGGAACCCACCAAGGCACTGAGAGCTGTCACACCCACGTGCCAGGTCCCTCCCAGCACACTCAGGCCTCCTTTTGCTATGGACAAAATTTGGCAGTGACTTTTTTTCCTATAAACTAAACTAAACAAAAAGTCTCTTTTTTTTCATTTACAAAATGAGAGATAAGGGCTTTCTCCCTGTGTCATCTTCCCATTCATCTTCTTTCCGTGTCTCAGATAAGGGAGGAGGAGTTGTTTTAATTATGTTTGCAGTGTGAGAATACAGACTCTTCCTTTATGCAATGCCCAGAGTTCCCTTTGGGGCTGCTGGGCTTTTCTCATGGGTCTGTTTTCTTGGAAAGAAAAGAGGCAGCTTCTCTGTCACTGGGAATGATGCATCCAGCCTCATTCAAAGGTCTGCATCGAAGCCTAAGGGATCCCAGGAATGAGGCAAGGGCTAGCGGTTAGTGCCCAATGCTATTTCTGAAAGAAGATTCTTAATTGCTTATGGAAATTCTGATCTCCTAAAACTCAAACCTGAGGCCGAGCGTGGTGGCTCACGTCTGTAATTCCTGCACTTTGGGAGGCTGAGGCAGGTGGATCACCTGAGGTCGGGAGTTCGAGACCAGGCTGGTCAACATGGTGAAACCCTGTCTCTGCTAAAAATACAAAAATTATCCAGGCGTGGTAGCACACACCTGTAGTCCCACCTACTCAGGAGACTGAGGCAGGAGAATCGCTTGAACCCAGGAGGCAGAGGTTGCAGTGAGCCAAGATCACACCACTGCACTCCAGCCAGGGCGACAGAGCCAGATTACATCAAAAAGAAAAGCAAAAAACAAAACCTCAAACCTGAGCCTGTGTCCAAATAAATATTAATAGGATGAAACTCCATTGTGGAGCGTCTATGGGCCCTAGGACTGCTGGTCTTGCCAGCATGATACTAATCACTATGCTGTATTTGTACAACCTTCTCACCTGTCAAAGCACCTTCATACCCACGATCTCCAGTGAGCCTCCTTGCGCATTTCTGTGAGATAGGAGGGCAAGCATAGTTACCCCTGTTTTACAGGGGGTCACAGAGAGATAAAGTGACACCCCCACCCCCCACACACATATGCACATGCACACACACTCACCAAGGAACAGTGAGTAACCCACTAAACAGGGCCTGACTCAAACCTAGCCTTCCAAGTCCCTGCCCGCTCAGCAGCCACTACATCTGAGGGCTACATACCAAGTCTTTGGCTTGAAATCTTTGAGTTTCTCCTCCTGCTTCTCTTTCTTCCCCACTGTCAGGTCCTGCCGATGTTACCTTTGTACTGTCTTTCTCACTCTTCAATTGGTTATATCAGGTAAGGGAGGCAGAGTTGTTGTCTAGACCCCCAGTACCTCAACATTTGGGATAATGTCCTAATTGCTTTGTCTACATCTGGGATCCCCTTGTCTTGAATTTGTCCACAGCACAGCTGCCAGATTCATATTCCTGCTTGCTTATGTTCAATGGCTTTTCCTTCCTTCAAGAGTAAATGCCCAAATCCCATCACCCACTGTTCAAGGCGGTCACTGCTTGGCCCTTCTGCCTTCCCAGCCTGGTTCCCAGTTAGTTGCTCCGTTAGACCAAACTTCCCTTCCATTGAACCACCTGCCTGTCTTGATTTCCTTCCAACATGTGCTCCTCCCTGCTTCTGGGCCATTGTTCTAATGTGCTCATTAAAAGTACAAGAACCTGGGTTTGCATCCCAGCTCTGCCTCTTGATTGTCATGTAAGTTGGGTTACTTAGTGTATCAGTCTGTTTTTGTATTGCTGTAAAGAAATGCCTGATACTGGATAATTTATAAAGAAAAGAGGTTTCGTTGGCTTATGGTTCCACAGGCTGTACAGGAAGCATAGCAGCATCTACTGGGCTTCTAGGGAGGCCTCAGGAAACTTAACAATCGTGGTGGAAGGCAAATGAGGGGCCAGCATTTCACATGGCTGGAGAAGGTGGAAGAGAGAGGCAGGGAGGTGCTACAGACTTTTAAACAACCAGATCTCTTGAGAACTCACTATACAGTACCAAGTGAGGATGGTGCTAAACCATTCAGGCGAACTCCACCCCCATGATGCAATCACTTCCCATCAGGCCCCTCCTCCAACACTGGGGATTACAATTCAACATGAGATTGGACAGGGACAAAGATCCAGGCTGGAGTGCAGTGGCGTGATCTCGGCTCACGGCAAGTTCCCCCTCCAAGGTTCATGCCATTCTCCTGCCTCAGCCTCCCAAGCAGCTGGGACTACAGGCACCCGCCACCACACCCGGCTAATATTTTGTATTTTTAGTAGAGACGGGGTTTCACTGTGTTAGCCAGGATGGTCTCGATCTCCTGACCTCGTGACCCACCCGCCTCGGCCTCCCAATGTGCTGGGATTACAGGCATGAGCCACCACGCCCGGCCTAGCACTTAGCCTTTCTAAGCCTCAGTGTCTGCACTTATAAAGTGGGGCTAATATTACTACTTGCTCACAGTGTTACAAAAGCAGGTGCTTATCACAATGCTTACCTGTAGGAAGTGCTTCATAACTATTAGTTATTTTTATAATCCTCTCTAACTTTCCTTCCTCAAAGCCCACTTTGCTTCTGAAATCCTCCCTGAAAGTTCAGTAATATCAATAACAGTACAGATGATAGACAATAACTAACACATAGATGGCCTTTTTCTTCTGCCAGGCATTATGATGTGCTTTGCAAATATTAACTCATTCATTCTTCACATCAACCTTGATGTTATTATATCCATTGTAATGTAAGGAAATGGGAGTTCAGAAATTAAATAACTTTCCCAGTTGACCCAAGTATGAAATGACAGAGGCTGGGTAGGCTCCATCCTGGGAACTCCAGACCCTTGCTAAGCACCTGACTCACACCATATCTTCCTGGACTTATGGAGGGCAAGGACCCGCCCCCAGCACATCACCTTTTACCTGGCAGGTGCTCAGGGATGTTTTTGATGGGGATGATGGTGTGACTCCCAGCATCTTTCCCCTCCCCCACTCTAGGCAGGATCTGGATTCATTTCCAACTCCTGCTGTGACAAATTACCACAAACTTAGTGGTGTAAAACAATACAGATTTATTATCTACATTCTGTACATCTGAAGTCCAATTGGACCTCACTGGCGAAGATCAAGGTGTCAGCAGGGCTATATTTCTTCCTGGAGGCTCTAGGGGAGCACCCACTTCTTGCCTTTTCCAGCTTCCAGAGGCTGCTGCCTTCCTTGGCTCAGCGCCCCTTTCTCTGTCTTCAAAGCCAGCAAGGACAGGCTGAGCCCTCATACCGCATTGCTCTGACCTTGTCTCCTGCCCTTCTCTTTCACTTTTGAGAACATATGTGATTACATTGCGCTCACCTGGAGGATTCGGGGGCATCTCCCTACTTTAAGGTTAGCTGATCTGCAGCCCTAATTCTATTTGCGCTTTAATTACCCTTTACTACAACACATTCACAGGTTCCAGGGATTAGGATGTGGACATCTTTGGAGGGCCATTTTCCTGTCTACCACAATCTCATGTGGAATTCAAAATAAAAGCAATATCTCATCATAAAATAAGTATAAAGAAATCAAGGCAAGCCACGGTGGCTCACGCCTGTAATCCTAACACTTTGGGAAGCTGAGGTGGGTGTATCACTTGAGGTCAGGAGTTTGAGACCAGCCTGGCCAACATGCTGAAACCCCATCTCTACTAAAAAGACAAAACTTAGCAAGTCATGGTGCTGCACGTCTGTAACGGCAGCTACTCAGGAGGCTGAGGTGGATGGATCGCTTGAACCTGAGAGGCAGAGGTTGCAGTGAGCCAACATCATACCACTGCATTCCAGCCTGGGCAACAGAGTGAGACTCTATCTAAAAAAAAAAAAAAACATCTCCCAAGACTAAACCAGGAAGAAGTTGAATCTCTGAATAGACCAATAACAGGCTCTGAAATTGTGGCAATAATCAATAGCTTACCAACCAAAAAGAGTCCAGGACCAGATGGATTCACAGCCGAATTCTACCAGAGGTACAAGGAGGAACTGGTACCATTCCTTCTGAAACTATTCCAATCAATAGAAAAAGAGGGAATCCTCCCTAACTCATTTTATGAGGCCAGCATCATCCTGATACCAAAGCCAGGCAAAGATACAACCAAAAAACAGAATTTTAGACCAATATCCTTGATGAATATTGATGCAAAAATCCTCAATAAAATACTGGCAAACCGAATCCAGCAGCACATCAAAAAGCTTATCCACCATGATCGAGTGGGCTTCATCCCTGGGATGCAAGGCTGGTTCAATATATGCAAATCAATAAATGTAATCCAGCATATAAACAGAACCAAAGACAAAAACCACATGATTATCTCAATAAATGCAGAAAAGGCCTTTGACAAAATTCAACAACCCTTCATGCTAAAAACTCTCAATAAATTAGGTATTGATGGGACGTATCTCAAAATAATAAGAGCTGTCTATGACAAACCCACAGCCAATATCATACTGAATGGGCAAAAACTGGAAGCATTCCCTTTGAAAATGGGCACAAGACAGGGATGCCCTCTCTTACCACTCCTATTCAACATAGTGTTGGAAGTTCTGGCTAGGGCAATTAGGCAGGAGAAGGAAATAAAGGGTATTCAATTAGGAAAAGAGGAAGTCAAATTGTCCCTGTTTGCAGATGACATGATTGTATATCTAGAAAACCCCATTGTCTCAGCCCAAAATCTCCTTAAGCTGATAAGCAACTTCAGCAAAGTCTCAGGATACAAAATCAATGTACAAAAATCACAAGCATTCTTATACACCAATAACAGACAAACAGAGAGCCAAATCATGAGTGAACTCCCATTCACAATTGCTTCAAAGAGAATAAAATACTTAGGAATCCAACTTACAAGGGACGTGAAGGACCTCTTCAAGGAGAACTACAAACCACTGCTCAATGAAATAAAAGAGGATACAAACAAATGGAAGAACATTCCATGCTCATGGGTAGGAAGAATCAATATCATGAAAATGGCCATACTGCCCAAGGTAATTTATAGATTCAATGCCATCCCCATCAAGCTACCAATGACTTTCTTCACAGAATTGGAAAAAACTACTTTAAAGTTCATATGGAACCAAAAAAGAGCCCGCATCACCAAGTCAATCCTAAGCCAAAAGAACAAAGCTGGAGGCATCATGCTACCTGACTTCAAACTATACTACAAGGGTACAGTAACCAAAAGAGCATGGTACTGGTACCAAAACAGAGATATAGATCAAAGGAACAGAACATAGTCCTCAGAAATAACGCCGCATATCTACAACTATCTGATCTTTGACAAACCTGAGAAAAACAAGCAATGGGGAAAGGATTCCCTATTTAATAAATGATGCTGGAAAACTGGCTAGCCATATGTAGAAAGCTGAAACTGGATCCCTTCCTTACACCTTATACAAAAATCAATTCAAGATGGATAAAAGACTTAAATGTTAGACCTAAAACCATAAAAACCCTAGAAGAAAACCTAGGCATTACCATTCAGGACATAGGCATGGGCAAGGACTTCATGTCTAAAACACCAAAAGCAATGGCAACAAAAGCCAAAATTGACAAATGGGATCTTTTTTTGTTTTGTTTTGTTTTGTTTTGTTTTGTTTTGTTTTATTATACTCTAAGTTTTAGGGTACATGTGCACATTGTGCAGGTTAGTTACATATGTATACATGTGCCATGCTGGTGCGCTGCACTCACTAACGTGTCATCTAGCATTAGGTATATCTCCCAATGCTATCCCTCCCCCCTCCCCCGACCCCACCACAGTCCCCAGAGTGTGATATTCCCCTTCCTGTGTCCATGTGATCTCATTGTTCAATTCCCACCTATGAGTGAGAATATGCGGTGTTTGGTTTTTTGTTCTTGCGATAGTTTACTGAGAATGATGGTTTCCAATTTCATCCATGTCCCTACAAAGGACATGAACTCATCATTTTTTATGGCTGCATAGTATTCCATGGTGTATATGTGACACATTTTCTTAATCCAGTCTATCGTTGTTGGACATTTGGGTTGGTTCCAAGTCTTTGCTATTGTGAATAGTGCCGCAATAAACATACGTGTGCATGTGTCTTTATAGCAGCATGATTTATAGTCCTTTGGGTATATACCCAGTAATGGGATGGCTGGGTCAAATGGTATTTCTAGTTCTAGATCCCTGAGGAATCGCCACACTGACTTCCACAATGGTTGAACTAGTTTACAGTCCCACCAACAGTGTAAAAGTGTTCCTATTTCTCCACATCCTCTCCAGCACCTGTTGTTTCCTGACTTTTTAATCATTGCCATTCTAACTGGTGTGAGATGGTATCTCATTGTGGTTTTGATTTGCATTTCTCTGATGGCCAGTGATGATGAGCATTTTTTCATGTGTCTTTTGGCTGCATAAATGTCTTCTTTTGAGAAGTGTCTGTTCATATCCTTTGCCCACTTTTTGATGGGGTTGTTTGTTTTTTTCTTGTAAATTTGTTTGAGTTCATTGTAGATTCTGGATATTAGCCCTTTCTCAGATGAGTAGGTTGCGAAAATTTTCTCCCATGTTGTAGGTTGCCTGTTCACTCTGATGGTAGTTTCTTTTGCTGTGCAGAAGCTCTTTAGTTTAATTAGATCCCATTTGTCGTGGAGGAGCCAAGATGGCCGAATAGGAACAGCTCCGGTCTACAGCTCCCAGCGTGAGCGACGCAGAAGACGGGTGATTTCTGCATTTCCATCTGAGGTACCGGGTTCGTCTCACTAGGGAGTGCCAGACAGTGGGCGCAGGCCAGTGTGTGCGCGCACCGTGCGCGAGCCAAAGCAGGGCGAGGCATTGCCTCACCTGGGAAGCGCAAGGGGTCAGGGAGTTCCCTTTCCGAGTCAAAGAAAGGGGTGACGGACGCACCTGGAAAATCGGGTCACTCCCACCCGAATATTGCGCTTTTCAGACCGGCTTAAGAAACGGCGCACCACGAGACTATATCCCACACCTGGCTCAGAGGGTCCTACGCCCACGGAGTCTCGCTGATTGCTAGCACAGCAGTCTGAGATCAAACTGCAAGGCGGCAACGAGGCTGGGGGAGGGGCGCCCGCCATTGCCCAGGCTTGCTTAGGTAAACAAAGCAGCCGGGAAGCTCGAACTGGGTGGAGCCCACCACAACTCAAGGAGGCCTGCCTGCCTCTGTAGGCTCCACCTCTGGGGGCAGGGCACAGACAAACAAAAAGACAGCAGTAACCTCTGCAGACTTAAGTGTCCCTGTCTGACAGCTTTGAAGAGAGCAGTGGTTCTCCCAGCACGCAGCTGGAGATCTGAGAACGGGCAGACTGCCTCCTCAAGTGGGTCCCTGAACCCTGACCCCCGAGCAGCCTAACTGGGAGGCACCCCTCAGCAGGGGCACACTGACACCTCACACGGCAGGGTATTCCAACAGACCTGCAGCTGAGGGTCCTGTCTGTTAGAAGGAAAACTAACAACCAGAAAGGACATCTACACCGAAAACCCATCTGTACATCACCATCATCAAAGACCAAAAGTAGATAAAACCACAAAGATGGGGAAAAAACAGAACAGAAAAACTGGAAACTCTAAAACGCAGAGCGCCTCTCCTCCTCCAAAGGAACGCAGTTCCTCACCAGCAACGGAACAAAGCTGGATGGAGAATGATTTTGACGAGCTGAGAGAAGAAGGCTTCAGACGATCAAATTACTCTGAGCTACGGGAGGACATTCAAACCAAAGGCAAAGAAGTTGAAAACTTTGAAAAAAATTTAGAAGAATGTATAACTAGAATAACCAATACAGAGAAGTGCTTAAAGGAGCTGATGGAGCTGAAAACCAAGGCTCGAGAACTACGTGAAGAATGCAGAAGCCTCAGGAGCCGATGCGATCAACTGGAAGAAAGGGTATCAGCAATGGAAGATGAAATGAATGAAATGAAGAGAGAAGGGAAGTTTAGAGAAAAAAGAATAAAAAGAAATGAGCAAAGCCTCCAAGAAATATGGGACTATGTGAAAAGACCAAATCTACGTCTGATTGGTGTACCTGAAAGTGATGTGGAGAATGGAACCAAGTTGGAAAACACTCTGCAGGATATTATCCAGGAGAACTTCCCCAATCTAGCAAGGCAGGCCAACGTTCAGATTCAGGAAATACAGAGAACGCCACAAAGATACTCCTCGAGAAGAGCAACTCCAAGACACATAATTGTCAGATTCACCAAAGTTGAAATGAAGGAAAAAATGTTAAGGGCAGCCAGAGAGAAAGGTCGGGTTACCCTCAAAGGAAAGCCCATCAGACTAACAGCGGATCTCTCGGCAGAAACCCTACAAGCCAGAAGAGAGTGGGGGCCAATATTCAACATTCTTAAAGAAAAGAATTTTCAACCCAGAATTTCATATCCAGCCAAACTAAGCTTCATAAGTGAAGGAGAAATAAAATACTTTATAGACAAGCAAATGCTGAGAGATTTTGTCACCACCAGGCCTGCCCTAAAAGAGCTCCTGAAGGAAGCACTAAACATGGAAAGGAACAACCGGTACCAGCCGCTGCAAAATCATGCCAAAATGTAAAGACCATCGAGACTAGGAAGAAACTGCATCAACTAATGAGCAAAATCACCAGCTAACATCATAATGACAGGATCAAATTCACACATAACAATATTAACTTCAAATATAAATGGACTAAATTCTGCAATTAAAAGACACAGACTGGCAAGTTGGATAAAGAGTCAAGACCCATCAGTGTGCTGTATTCAGGAAACCCATCTCACGTGCAGAGACACACATAGGCTCAAAATAAAAGGATGGAGGAAGATCTACCAAGCCAATGGAAAACAAAAAAAGGCAGGGGTTGCAATCCTAGTCTCTGATAAAACAGACTTTAAACCAACAAAGATCAAAAGAGACAAAGAAGGCCATTACATAATGGTAAAGGGATCAATTCAACAAGAGGAGCTAACTATCCTAAATATTTATGCACCCAATACCGGAGCACCCAGATTCATAAAGCAAGTCCTGAGTGACCTACAAAGAGACTTAGACTCCCACACATTAATAATGGGAGACTTTAACACCCCACTGTCAACATTAGACAGATCAACGAGACAGAAAGTCAACAAGGATACCCAGGAATTGAACTCAGTTCTGCACCAAGCGGACCTAATAGACATCTACAGAACTCTCCACCCCAAATCAACAGAATATACATTTTTTTCAGCACCACACCACACCTATTCCAAAATTGACCACATAGTTGGAAGTAAAGCTCTCCTCAGCAAATGTAAAAGAACAGAAATTATAACAAACTATCTCTCAGACCACAATGCAATCAAACTAGAACTCAGGATTAAGAATCTCACTCAAAGCCACTCAACTACATGGAAACTGAACAACCTGCTCCTGAATGACTACTGGGTACATAACGAAATGAAGGCAGAAATAAAGATGTTCTTTGAAACCAACGAGAACAAAGACACCACATACCAGAATCTCTGGGACGCATTCAAAGCAGTGTGTAGAGGGAAATTTATAGCACTAAACGCCTACAAGAGAAAGCAGGAAAGATCCAAAATTGACACCCTAACATCACAATTAAAAGAACTAGAAAAGCAAGAGCAAACACATTCAAAAGCTGGCAGAAGGCAAGAAATAACTAAAATCAGAGCAGAACTGAAGGAAATAGAGACACAAAAAACCCTTCAAAAAATCAATGAATCCAGGAGCTGGTTTTTTGAAAGGATCAACAAAATTGATAGACCGCTAGCAAGACTAATAAAGAAAAAAAGAGAGAAGAATCAAATAGACACAATAAAAAATGATAAAGGGGATATCACCACCGATCCCACAGAAATACAAACTACCATCAGAGAATACTACAAACACCTCTACGCAAATAAACTAGAAAATCTAGAAGAAATGGATACATTCCTCGACACATACACTCTCCCAAGACTAAACCAGGAAGAAGTTGAATCTCTGAATAGACCAATAACAGGCTCTGAAATTGTGGCAATAATCAATAGTTTACCAACCAAAAAGAGTCCAGGACCAGATGGATTCACAGCCGAATTCTACCAGAGGTACAAGGAGGAACTGGTACCATTCCTTCTGAAACTATTCCAATCAATAGAAAAAGAGGGAATCCTCCCTAACTCATTTTAT
The DNA here is from genome assembly GCF_000001405.40 of Homo sapiens. Classification (NCBI taxonomy): domain Eukaryota; kingdom Metazoa; phylum Chordata; class Mammalia; order Primates; family Hominidae; genus Homo; species Homo sapiens. The sequence continues at coordinate 13,394,119 of NC_000012.12, read as the reverse complement.
GAGGCCAGCATCATTCTGATACCAAAGCCGGGCAGAGACACAACCAAAAAAGAGAATTTTAGACCAATATCCTTGATGAACATTGATGCAAAAATCCTCAATAAAATACTGGCAAACCGAATCCACCAGCACATCAAAAAGCTTATCCACCATGATCAAGTGGGCTTCATCCCTGGGATGCAAGGCTGGTTCAATATACGCAAATCAATAAATGTAATCCAGCATATAAACAGAACCAAAGACAAAAACCACATGATTATCTCAATAGATGCAGAAAAAGCCTTTGACAAAATTCAACAACCCTTCATGCTAAAAACTCTCAATAAATTAGGTATTGATGGGACGTATTTCAAAATAATAAGAGCTATCTATGACAAACCCACAGCCAATATCATACTGAATGGGCAAAAACTGGAAGCATTCCCTTTGAAAACTGGCACAAGACAGGGATGCCCTCTCTCACCGCTCCTATTCAACATAGTGTTGGAAGTTCTGGCTAGGGCAATCAGGCAGGAGAAGGAAATAAAGGGTATTCAATTAGGAAAAGAGGAAGTCAAATTGTCCCTGTTTGCAGACGACATGATTGTTTATCTAGAAAACCCCATCGTCTCAGCCCAAAATCTCCTTAAGCTGATAAGCAACTTCAGCAAAGTCTCAGGATACAAAATCAATGTACAAAAATCACAAGCATTCTTATACACCAACAACAGACAAACAGAGAGCCAAATCATGAGTGAACTCCCATTCACAATTGCTTCAAAGAGAATAAAATACCTAGGAATCCAACTTACAAGGGATGTGAAGGACCTCTTCAAGGAGAACTACAAACCACTGCTCAAGGAAATAAAAGAGGACACAAACAAATGGAAGAACATTCCATGCTCATGGGTAGGAAGAATCAATATCGTGAAAATGGCCATACTGCCCAAGGTAATTTACAGATTCAATGCCATCCCCATCAAGCTACCAATGACTTTCTTCACAGAATTGGAAAAAACTACTTTAAAGTTCATATGGAACCAAAAAAGAGCCCGCATCGCCAAGTCAATCCTAAGCCAAAAGAAGAAAGCTGGAGGCATCACACTACCTGACTTCAAACTATACTACAAGGCTACAGTAACCAAAACAGCATGGTACTGGTACCAAAACAGAGATATAGATCAATGGAACAGAACAGAGCCCTCAGAAATAATGCCTCATATCTACAACTATCTGATCTTTGACAAACCTGAGAAAAACAAGCAATGGGGAAAGGATTCCCTATTTAATAAATGGTGCTGGGAAAACTGGCTAGCCATATGTAGAAAGCTGAAACTGGATCCCTTCCTTACACCTTATACAAAAATCAATTCAAGATGGATTAAAGATTTAAACGTTAGACCTAAAACCATAAAAAACCCTAGAAGAAAACCTAGGCATTACCATTCAGGACATAGGCGTGGGCAAGGACTTCATGTCCAAAACACCAAAAACAATGGCAACAAAAGCCAAAATTGACAAATGGGATCTAATTAAACTCAAGAGCTTCTGCACAGCAAAAGAAACTACCATCAGAGTGAACAGGCAACCTACAACATGGGAGAAAATTTTCACAACCTACTCATCTGACAAAGGGCTAATATCCAGAATCTACAATGAACTCAAACAAATTTACAAGAAAAAAACAAACAACCCCATCAAAAAGTGGGCGAAGGACATGAACAGACACTTCTCAAAAGAAGACATTTATGCAGCCAAAAAACACATGAAGAAATGCTCATCATCACTGGCCATCAGAGAAATGCAAATCAAAACCACTATGAGATATCATCTCACACCAGTTAGAATGGCAATCATTAAAAAGTCAGGAAACAACAGGTGCTGGAGAGGATGTGGAGAAATAGGAACACTTTTACACTGTTGGTGGGACTGTAAACTAGTTCAACCATTGTGGAAGTCAGTGTGGCGATTCCTCAGGGATCTAGAACTAGAAATACCATTTGACCCAGCCATCCCATTACTGGGTATATACCCAAAGGACTATAAATCATGCTGCTATAAAGACACATGCACACGTATGTTTATTGCGGCACTATTCACAATAGCAAAGACTTGGAACCAACCCAAATGTCCAACAACGATAGACTGGATTAAGAAAATGTGTCACATATACACCATGGAATACTATGCAGCCATAAAAAATGATGAGTTCATGTCCTTTGTAGGGACATGGATGAAATTGGAAATCATCATTCTCAGTAAACTATCGCAAGGACAAAAAACCAAACACCGCATGTTCTCACTCATAGGTGGGAATTGAACAATGAGAACACATGGACACAGGAAGGGGAACATCACACTCTGGGGACTGTTGTGGGGTGGGGGGAGGGGAGAGGGATAGCATTAGGAGATATACCTAATGCTAGATGACGAGTTAATGGGTGCAGCACACCAGCATGGCACATGTATACATATGTAACTAACCTGCACATTGTGCACATGTACCCTAAAACTTAAAGTATAATAAAAATAAACATAAATAAATAAATAAATAAAATAAATCAATTTAAAAAAACAATTAAAAAATCAAAAGAAATCTAACAACATGCTTTGTTTTTCCTAAAATTACCACATCATTGACTTTTAAAATAATAAAACATATTTGTTTCCAAAACTACCTCTTTGGCCAGCCCCCATTTTGTGGAGGCCTATGTGTGTGTCTCCTCGGGCTGCTAGATACCCATCCCTGACAGTAGAGATAGTGGCTGAATGTAGGAGGACATGGCCACATCTTGCCTTGACCCCCTCTCTCCCACCTCCCATGGCTGGCCCTCGAGGAAAAGAGGAGGAGATATTCAAAGTAAAGTGGAGGAGAAAAATAATGCAATGACCATCCAGAAAGGAATGGATGGATTTCTGCTGGCAAAAAAAGGTGGTGAGTGGACTTCACACCTCCATGTGGGCTGATGCGGCAGTGGAGCCCAGGCTCGTGGGAACCATCGGAGCCAGGGCGCGGAGTTGTAATAAGCCAGTGACAGCCGGGAGAGAGTGATTGCTGGGATGAGCACATGGAGGAGATGAAGCCAGGGTCCTACTCATAGTAAATGCTTTTCAGTTTTTATCATAATTAAATGTTTTAAAAATGTTAATGGAATAAATTGAACTTGACTTCCCCATTTTCTCCAGATCCTGCAATTATGCTCAAGGCCTGTCTTGAAAGGATGCCAGAGGGTGATGGATTAACTCTAAAATAAATCAAATTTCCCCTGCTACAGAGTTAGGGCGATACAATAAGTGTTTCATGCTGCCTCTGATGATGGAGGAGTTGCATCGCCTTTTCCCTGGCCATTCCATTCGGCTAGGAATAGCCTGAGGCATAAGCTTACTAATGTAGTGTCATAAACCAAACTCTATCAGAGCAATCACCCTCTGTTGCCACAGCGCAGTGGGTGAAAGGGCCTGGGCAGCATTTCTGCCGAGCTGCCACCTCCTTGCCAAGGCTCCCTCCCTGCAAATATCTAGCTAGCAAGCTCTTGGAAATGAGCTGGGCGTGATGCCAGCCAGACTTCCAGCTTGCCAGCATGGGCGGTGCAGAGGGCCAGGCACCTGCTCCCTCTGCTCTTGCTGGTGGGGCTTTCGTGCAGGGCTTTGCTGACAAGGGGATCTCTGGGAGGGATCCAGGAGGGCCAGCGCTCCAACAGCTCCCAGGACTGAGTCAGCAGCAGAAACTCCCGCCTATGCCTGGAAATACTAAATCCAGGACCTGGGCAGGGAAAGAGGCCAAATGGAGCACTGGGCCTCTCCTTAGGATCACTAAGTGTGGGATCATCTGAGTTTACTGAAAGTGGGAATCTTCCTTCCACCTCCCGAATTTGGGGCAGGCAAGTAGAAATGAATACGGGTTTCCCACACTTAAAATTCCCAATTGACATTCATCCTCCTGTCTTCACACCCTCTATCTTCTTCTAAAAACTTTTCGCTTCCATCCTTCATTCACATTTATGGATAATTTACTGCTATCACTTCCAGAGGCATTTGAATAGGACAGGAATCAAAGCCTTAGGCTATAGGGACAAAGAGTTAATGGTAACGTTTCAGGCAAAGGCCAGGAAAGATTTTTCTAATCATTAAGGCCGTTCAGGAGTTTCTGAAACCAAACTGAGCATAGAGTTTCCTATTCCAGCTACAAATGAGGGCCTTTCTGACAATATCCACATTTGCTATGTGTTCTTTTGACTTTTCTTTGGTTCCATTGTGGTGTTGGGATTAGTCTGAAGCCAGCATTCCATCTCTAGTGAGTTTCCTTTATATGGAGCCCTAACCAGGTCCTCTAGAGCAGCCATCCCCAACCTTTCTGGCAGCAGGTACTGGTTTCACGGAAGACAATTTTTCCACGGACCAGGGTGGTGAGATGGTTTCAGGATGATTCAAGCACATTACATTTATTGTGTACTTTATTTCTATTATTATTACATTGTAATATATAATGAAATAATTATACAACTCATGATAATGTAGAATCAGTGGGAGTCCTGAGCTTATTTTCCTGCAATTAGACAGACCCATCTGGGGGTGATGGGAGACGGTGATAGATCATCAAGCATTAGATTCTCTTTTTTTGTTTTTTTTGTTTTTTTGAGACAGAGTCTTGCTCTGTATGCCCAGGCTGGAACGCAATGGCGCGATCTTGGCTCACTGCAACCTCTGCCTTCCGGGTTCAAGTGATTCTCCTGTCTCAGCCTCCCTAGTAGCTGGGATTATGGGCATGCACCACCACGCCCGGCTATTTTGTATTTTTAGTAGAGACATTTCTCCATGTTGATCAGGCTGGTCTCGAACACCTGATCTCAGGTGATCCACCTGCCTTGGCCTCCCAAAGTGCTGGGATTACAGGCATGAGCCACCGCGCCTGGCCCTAGATGCTCATAAGGAGAGCATAACCTAGATCCCGCACATGCGCAGTTCACAGTAGGGTTCGAGCTCTTATGAGAATCTAATGCCACGCTGATCTGACAAGAGGTGGATCTCAGGTGGTAACGCGAGTGATGGGGAGCAGCGGTCAATACAGATGACACTTCGCTGGCTTGTCTGCTGCTCAACTCCTGCTGTGCAGCCCTGTTCCAATACTGGGGACCACTGGGCTAGAGCTTTCTCACATATATTCTCATTCCATCTGTGAGGATGCTGTGGCAGTCTAAGACAGACTGTAGACATTAAAGCTGTCTCTCTTGTGACTCCTGAAATTACTCATCTCCATTTCTTCCATCTTCCTCTTTGAGAATGTTTTAGGTTATTTTTATTAAACAGCTTCTCACCTCCATTCCAGCCTGTTCCAGAGTCTTAATGTGATGTCCAAAACTAGGAAGTCAAAATTCCTAATGATAGAAGTACACTGTAGAATGGAAGATCACCTCCTCAGTTGCAGACTTTACTTCTATTATTATAACCCATGATCCAAGTAGCATTACAGGAGACCTCACAACACAATTGTATATTTTGTTGATGCAGACTACTAAGCCTTTTCACATGAGCTACTGCTAAGCCACATTCTCTTTCTTATAGCATGCAAAGAGGCACATTTTGTTGAATATTATCTTGTGCAATTCCACTCTTGAATCCAGCCTTTCAAAAATCTATCTGTGTGTGTATAGAGAAAGACAGTTTTACTCAGTTCCTATCTTCTGAAAATCTATATTTCCATTCAAGTCATAGATAAAACATTTGAATAAAGCAGAAGAAAAGGAGAGATTCTAAGCCAGACAACTACAGATCATTTTTCTCCACGTTCATTAAGCAATACCTCTGACGCCCAAATGTTCACCTTGTTACCAATATGCCTATACATCTCTGCATCCAATCCATGTGTTTCTCTTATCCACAACTAGATATCGAGTCCATGTCATTCAGCAGGTGATGTCCACATGTTCCATGTGATATAACTGTTCTTGATTTACCGGTCTAATGTGACCTTGTCAGAGAAAGAACTGTGGTTAGCCTGTTCCAATTTGCCCTCAGCAGATTCATGCTGGATCCAAGTGACCCTAGTGTCTTTTTCTAGATGCTTCTAAACAAAGCCTTCAATAACCTGGTGGAATTTTGACTGTGTTTTAACATTGAGCTCACAGTCTGTAGTTTGTAGAATCTGCCTTTTTGGACACTTTGAAAATCAGAGTCCTGTCTAGTGACAGAGGTTACTGAAAGGACTGGTGCATGCTCCCATCACTCGAAGCTGCTGCCTGTGCTATGGTTAATTGGAGACTGACAGACACATTTCGAGCAGACTGTTGATTGTTTCTTATCCTCTTTACTTTGAAGCCCACTGCCTTTTCCAGCATACGTCTGATCTTTCCTTGGGAGTCAACACTAACTCCAAGTTGTATGTTAGCCTTCAGCTGCTTAAATGAGCCCCCTAAACCCCAACAAGCTTCAGTGAGGCACATGCTATGGGGAAAGGTAAGGTTGTGCCCATCAGTTGTCCTCAGGGGTCCCAGGGCTTACCCCTGGACTTTGGTATGCTTGGTGCAATGGGTGAAAGGCAAAGTGGAATCCCAGAAGCCTGCAGGGTAGCATTTTCCATCCCCTGTGGGAGAGTTCTGCCATCTTCTCTGTCTTGAACCAATGCTCACCTTGGCTCCCTCTTCTGAGGGCTTGAGTTAATGTCCCCAGCAATATCCTTGCTTATTCAGGTCACATGTTAGGAACGTGAACCCCTAAGACGGGAGTGAGGTGGGGCAAAGCTCATGAAATAATGAGGAAAAGATAAAAGGAACTGTTACCCCAGAAACAAACAACTCTTGAACCTTACTAGGTTCGGGCTCAGATGGGGACAATAATACCTGTTCTACCCCCCTCATAGAAAAATGAGTCAATGTTTGTGCACAAGAAAGTGAGGGCTATTATCGGATGGGTGGGGGAGAGTAGGGAGAGTCATTCCTAGAGTTTTAAAGCAATGGAGCAATTATCTTACTGCTTTAGAGAAACAGCTTAGGGAGAAAGAGGCAGAGGACAAAGGAACTCGCCAGTTGCTTCTGCAAAAAACGAAAAAACAGAAAAAAATCTAAATGAGTTCTCCTGCAGGTAGGAAAATCTGTCCCTGTTACTCTTTTCTGCACTTCCGTTTGTGGGACCAACTGGTGTATTTCCTGACCCTTTGTGGTCAGAAGAAACCTTGGGGGCTTGTGTTAAAAGCAGAGGTCCATAGGCAGGGTTTCTCTACCTTGGTGGTACAGTAGAATCACCCAGGGAGCTTTTAAAACTCTGATTCCTAAGCCACACCCAGGCCAATTAAACCAGACTCTCTGGGGCTGAGACCCAGGTATTAGTAATTTTAAAGCTCCCCAGGTGACTTCAGTGTTCAGCCAAGGCTGAGAAGCACTGTTCCTGCATCTCCACCCAACCAAAAGAATCAGGCTCTCCAGGCATAGGGCCTAGAAATTAGTATTTTTCACAAGTGCCCCAGTGATTACAATAATTAAGTAAGCTGAGGAACACAGTCCTTTGAAACCTCTTTCTCCTTTTAAGGCTGCTCACCCTTTGTTTCATTTGCCAAAAAATAGGGGTAGAAAGGGCTGAGTGCCTCTCTCTACATATTGGGAGGGGCTGTGACGACTGTGGCTGATGGACGCCTCTGGAATTCTGTAAGGGTAATTACTTGGGAGTCTGACAAACTGACAAATGAAGCAATTTCCATTTCAAACAGAAAATGGAGAGAGATCAGATGCATTTCCTGGCTACTGGAGTAGGCAGCACAATTACAGCTGCTCCAAGGACCAAACCATTGGCCTATCCCTGAGAATTGCAGGGCCTGGGGAGAAGGAACAAGGAAGGTTGTAGGCCCGTGGCCCACACTTCTCTTCCTGCCCCCATGGTCCACCCTATACCATGCAGGGCCACAGACATGTGGCTGTGGTTTTAAAGCCAGGGAGTCATTATCTTACCATTTTAAGTGACACCCCGGCCCTCAAACAGCCATGTCTCCAGCCCAGATGCACACTCCAGTAGCACGGTCTACCATTGAGAGGACACACCCCTGAAAGAGGTCAGCAAAAGCTCTGGAATGGGTATGAGACCATTTGAGCCACAAATTCTGGGTCTTGGGTATACAACATGACAGAGCACGGTGGTCTAGAAAAGGGTGGTAGGTGTTGGCTCCAGGTGGGAACATCCTTCAGCCCAGTGAAAGATGGGCTGAAGTCCATGAGGAAAGACAAAACTAGAGGAGGGCTAGAGTAGGGCCTTGGAAATCACAGGGCCCAGGACAAGAACCCAGTGGTTCAGGTCATAGGACGACCCTGCCAATGCATGCAAAGAAAGGAAGTCTCTGTGTCCAAAGACTCAACTCACTCTCCTGGAGGGGCCAGAGCTTTCCACCAAGTACTTGAACTTCTTTCTGGTAGACCCATTCTCTGGCAGGAGGTCCATGCAATACCTGCAAGTCCTTACCAACCCAAGCCTCAGAAGGGACCAAGACCCAGCTCCTCTTGTCTTCTCCTTGCCAATGGATGGATCAAGTTTTCTTCCTCTCATTCTGAACTCTCTTGACAATATCCTCTAGATGCTTCTAATCCCCTGCTGTGCCCTGATCCAGGTGGCCCCACACCCCACCTGATTTCCTTTGCAAACTGCCTGTCTCCTCCTCAGCTGGGCTATTTCCTACAACAGACCTCTTCCTGCCTGATAGTGTCCTTCATCCTTCAAAGGTAACTATGCGCTGGGCACAGTGGCTCATGCTTGTAATCCCAGCACTTTGGGAGGCCAAGGTGGGCAGATCACCTGAAGTCAGGAGTTCAAGACCAGCCTGGCCAACATGGTGAAACCCCATCTCTACTAAAAATACAAAAATTAGCCAGGCATGGTGGTGTGCACCTGTAATCTCAGCTGCTCGAGAGGCTGAGGCATGAGAATCACTTGAACCCAGAGGCAGAGGTTGCAGTGAGCCAAGATCATGCCACTGCACTCCAGCCTGGGCGACAGAGTGAGACTCCATCTCAAAAGAAAAAAAAAAAAAAAGTAAATATGCACCTCAAGCTTCTTAGACAAGCCTACTCTCCCTTAATCATTTTTTTACTAATATAAGGGCCTCATCTCCACTGCCTTGACCTTCTCACTTTACCTTTCTTCTCATCAAGTAAGAAGAGGCTACTAGACAATGTGCCTGATGTCTCTTATAAACAAAACCAGAACTCACACTTTCAGATAATTGCTATTTTCAAGCTAGTGACGTGGGAAAAGGGTGCGCTTATTTCAATAACACTCTTATTGCTCCAGTTGTCACCGCAATTCTCTTTTGAAATTGCCTCTGGAGATGGCAATATGTACTTTTGATTATGCTAGTCCTAACCAGGCTCCATTCTCTGCTCTCGGGTCCACTGTTTGGAAGCAGCCCTCTCTTTCCTTTGGAGGAGAGTTGGTAAATGAAGGATGCTCTGGGTAATCAAATTAAGAATTTTTAAAATGAAGGATGAGTTCTAGGAATTCCTAGGGAAATGATCGTCAATGTATGAAAAAAATTTAGTAAAGCGAATCTCCAGAATAGTTTTTAAAAAGATGCATCCAACATACAATGGAATATGTGTAGCCATCCATGTGATATTGGGAAAGACCATGTAAAGCCATGGGAATGTAAAGGAGAGGGTGGGTAGACTGGAGGGCATGGTTCCAAAAGGAAACACGGGGATCCTGATGGAGCTGCTCAGTGTATGAATGTGGTGGTAGATACACGATCTACATATGTGATAAAAGTATAGACCACTAATTATAGACCACTTGCACCCACAAGTGAATACAAATAAAACTAGGAAAATCAGAAAAAAAAACTATGGATTTTCTCAATGTCAATATTCTGGTTTTTATATTATCCTACAGTTTTGCAAAATGTTACCATTGGAGGAAACTGAGTAAAAAATAAAGGAGTCTTTCTGTACCATTTTATAAAACTGTATGTAACTTATAATTATGTCAGTAAAAATTGCACTTAAAAAAACACATTTAGACCAACAGAGCATGATTTAACTGTCATTATATAAACACCATTTCTTCAATTTCAGGAAAAAATCAAATAAACTCATCCATAGAGAGATACAAATAAATGATTTAATATAATAAGTTTTAGGGACTCATTTATATTTTCATAGCAATTAGACCCTCATTTTTCTAAAGCTGACAGCATAAGTTTCTTTTGAAGCAGAGGCAGGACTAGGATAAGGCCAGGGAAGCGGGGTGCAGGACCCTGAGAGTGAGTGGCTCCTTGAATTTTGTACCCTAGGAGCCTCTCTTCCCTTACCATAGTGTAAATGCCCAACAGGTTTGTCCTGCCCACTGCACAGACAAAACCAATTCACTGTGACTGTGCTATTGCAATAGAGAAAGAGTTTCATTAATACATGGCCGCCAAGTGGAAGGACTGGAGTTATCACTCAAATCAGCCTCCCTGATAACTCAGAGGCTAGCATTTTTATGGATAATCTGGTGGGCAGGGGTCTGGGGAATGGGTGCTGCTAATTGATTGGGGATGAAGTCATAGGGGTGTGGAAAATGGTTCTCATGCACTGAGTTTGCTTCTGGGTGGAGCCCCAGGACGAGATGAGTCATGAGTCATGGGTCCAGGTGAGGCCAGACAGTTGCCAGAATGCAAAGGTCTGAAACATATCTCAAAAGACTAATCTTAGGTTCTACAATAGTGACGTTATCTATAGAAGCAATTGGGGAAGTCACAATCCTGTGACCTCTGGCCACATAGCTCCTGAGCAGTAAGTGATTACTGAAACTATGCCTACATTTTAGCAGAATTCAGGCCCTAATCTCATGGCCATTCATTAGTTTTCAGTCCCTGAGCAAGGAGAGTTAGTTTTGGGGAAGGATTTTTATCATCCTTGCCTTTAAGTTAAATTATAAACTAAATTTATCCCATGGTTGGCTTGGTCTACACGCGAGAAGGAGTGAACACAGCCAGCCTGTGAGGCTAGAAGCAAGATGGAGTCAGCCATGTCAGATTTCTCTCACCATCACAATCTTTGCAAAGGCAGTTTCACTAGTCCCAGCCCTGTTTCAAAATTTCACTTTTTAGTGAGCTAGGGATACAGAGTGTAAAAGGAATATACACTCTCCTCACCCCAAACTCACTAAGCCTAAAGGAAAAGTTAAGCTTGGAAACTGAGTCATGCAAAAAAACTGCCTTTGTATGTGTTCCTAAACAGGTATCTCCCCACCACGTAAATTAACAGCTTATCTTCTGGGTATGGGACAAAAGGAAAGCAGAAATCATTCCTCCACCCACCCCAAGGCAATACATATTTGACTTCTCCCTCTACTCTACGTTTATCTTATGTAAGGGACAGGTTTACTGAGAGCAAGATGAATACATAATGGATGGTTCCTCTACCCTCCTTTCACATGCAACATGTGGACTCAGTGAGCACTAATCAAAGCCTCAAAAGAATGTAGCCGCCGTCCTATTTGTGTACCCTGCTCTTTTTTTTCCTCTTTCCTCTTTTCCCTCTTGCTCACTTTTTCCACTTTAAAACAGAAGCCCTCAAAACCTGCTCTGAAAAAAGTGTGGGCCACAGATCCTACTGTGGCTTGTGTCTCTTTTGCCTGAGCATGTCCTCAACCTTCACAAAATAAACCTCAAAATTGAGACCTGTCTTAGATACTTTTCTGATTTATATAGAGGCTGCTTGGGGAAGCAGGCAGCTCCTGGCCTCTGACTCTGAAGGTCACATAGACTCTGCTATGGATTTTCTCATTGGGTTTATAGAGGAGAAGTTATCCCTGGTATAGGTATGTTTCAAGAGAGTAACATTTCTGTTTCTACCATTCATGGTATTCTTTATGTGCCAGGAATTTGCTAGATGTGGGGAAGACAGCAGGGAACAACAGTCTCTTCCCTCATGAAGCTTGAATCTCTTCATTTTGAGACTCTGTAATTCAATACAGAAAGTCCCTAACCTAAATGAGTTGTAGGCTGAAACAAAGCTTCTGACTTTAGGCAATTGTTTAATATCTGCTTTTTAATCTCATTTTGTCCAAGTTGACAGGCTTTGATGTGTGGACCATCAGCAGGATTGCAAAGTGTTAACAGATGGAGAGGAAGGACAGGAGTGGACAGAGCTTCCCTCCCAGATGGAGTGATTGATTGATATTTACCACACGGAGTGATAGAGCAGTAGATCACCATGGGATGACAGCCTAGAGCTTTAGCAGCAGGTCGACTTTGGTGTAAGTCCTGGCTCTGCCTCTTAACAGTTTCCGTAGGATTTAGTTTTCTCATATGTAACCTGGGCATAAGACTACACACCACCCGAGGTAGTTGTGACAGTCAAATCACAGGTGTACAGGTAAATCACAGACCAAAGCATTCAGCACAGTTATGGCCATGGTAGGCGGTAAATGGACCATAGCTGTTATCATTATTACACTGAATCCCCTTAGGGTTGCAAAGCACCCTTTCACAATTGATATCCTGATACCATTGAGGAGCACAGAACTCGTGTATTTGTCCATGATTATGCACAGTTAGGTGGTAAAATAATTGGAAGGACCTTAAAGATAAGTACAACTCTTAAATCTCTGATATTTTTCCCAAGTACCTCCTTCTAGGGTCTAAGCAGAACAGGGAGCTCAATAAACACTTGTGAACTTAAATTCAATTCAAAGAGTATTCACAGACCCCAAGCCTGTGCACTGAGCTACTGGGGCAGAGGGTTGGGAGTTCTCTGGACCCAAAGAGAACTGTATTGCTTTACAGTTCTCTTTGAGTCCAAAAGAATTAGACTGTGAACAACTAACAGTCCCTCATAGAATAATAAAATACATGTCAATATAGATCCATGAAATGAGTTGTGAAAACCATCACCAATTTTCTAATCCACCAATTAAACACACACTAGAGTAGTAGTAGCTTATTGAATGTGTATGATGTACCAGGCACTGCACTAGACAATGGGCTTTCAAAAATAAACATTGATATAGTATATTACTTCACAGAACAGCAAGAGAGACAAATGAATCATATAAGTCTAGTATAAATAGGTACAGTGAGAGAAATACATATAAGGCACATGAGTAAGAGGAATGAGTTAGGAAGACTTCATACATGAGGTTTAAAAGATAAGTAGGAGTTTCACAGATGAAGAGAGCAGGGGCACAGCGGGCAGACATAGCTGCATGTGCTAAGTGAGAGGTGCGCCCAACAGCTTAGACCTTTGGAAGAGGGGCAGGCAGATCACTACAGCTTCAGCTCAGTCTGAAAAGCAGAGAATGGTGGAATATGAGGTGGAGATGGAGGGAGGATGGAGATCATGGGCCCCCTATCGTGCCATGCTTAGGAACTTATGCTTTATCCTGTGAGCAATAGGGATCACTGAAGGGCTTTAAGGAGTGACAATCAAATTTGCCTTTTAAAAAGACATGGAGGGTTATTTGGACATGGGAAAGGAGACGAACTAGAGACGGAGAGACCAGGTTTCTGACTCTCCTGGAGCTATTGCCATGGTGATGGCAAGAGCTTGAACCAAGGCAATCGTAGTAAAGAAGGAAGGAAACAAGAGAGGAAGGGAGGGAGGGAAGGGAAAGAAAGGCAGGGCAAGGAAGAAGAAAGAAAGGAAAGTAAGAAGAAATGGAGAAAGGAAAGGGAATGGAAGGGAAGAGAAAATAAGGGAAGGGAAGGAAGGAAAGGGAAAGGAAGAGATGAAATTAAGAGATGTTTAAAAGATGGGATTCCAAGGGCTCAGTGACTGATAGGATGTGGGCAGTGGGAAACTTGAGAATGATCTCGATTGAAAGTGTGAAAGAAGGCCAAAGACAAGCTAGCATGGATTATAGAAGGCAGTGGAGCAGAGAAGGAGAAAATGGCTGTGGGGCAAAGAAGCACATGTGTTGTATGGAGGGTAAAAAGACCTGGGAGAGAGGTGTGCAGGTGTTTGGGATGAATGCTATCTCCATCATGGGTGGATAAACTGCCCCAGAACCTGTTTTGTGCAGTCACATGAGTGTGGACAGCTGTAAGAGCTTATCTTGGGTACAGGCAGGGCACAGTCACACTGTGTGTGCATGGCTCTCTTCCCCCTCTCTGTCACGCTTTCTAAAGACTCTCATAAGAACCCACTGTTGGCAGAGCCACATTCAGAAGTCAAACTTGGTAATTGATACCGTAATCCCCTGGATTCCCTCATTAGCAGCTGCTAATGGCTGGTGTGTTAACCATTCAATTAGGGCTCTAATAGGCCCATTATAAACTGCATCCATTCGAAGGGAACAGAAGAGCTGGGAGAGAAGACTGAAGCTGGCAGTGAAGATCCCTGACAACACCAGAGGCCTCCCACTGTCTCTGACTGGGGTGCCCTAGGTCTGGATTAAGCCAGAAGGCCTCTCCAGAAGGCCAGCCCAATGGCCAGATATTGGACTTCACAGAGAAAACAGTGGGCCTGGGATGGCCTCCAGCCAAAAATCTGGAGACTTTCTCTGCTGCAAAAAGAGCCTCCCTAGGTCTGGACATCCTCTGGTGATTTACCCTCTCCCAAACCTGTACCTGTAAATTCTGCTTTTACCTCTACTCTACCCAGCAACCCAAACTCAAAGGAATATTCAGAGCATCTGATTCAGAGAGATTGCCAGTGCAGCCACCTCCTCCAGCATCTGCCCTAGAGTCCTGGCCCATTTCCATCTCTCCAGCACGTTTTCCCTCCAAGATATTCTTTTTGGAGAAGAGAAAGTTTGAGATATGGACCTTGCAGAGTTATTTAGTCGGGTGAGGGTGTTGCCAATGCTGACCTTACACAATTCAAGAGACCCTGGGGAAAGTTCTACATGTGGCCCCCTTCTTGTGGTTTATGTCTCTATCTCCAGAGAGATCTGACTTATTAGAAACAAATTCCTCATCAGCAAAACTGGGATATCACTGGTAGCAGGTATCCCTCACTAGAGGCCAGCATATATTTTCCAGGACTCACTGGAATAGAAGTAATTGCAAAGATTCTTAACCAGCCCCTTAGTTGGTCAGAGGAAATGCAGGGAGGTGGGATTTACTCAAAAAATTGGTTCTGCATCAACCTCAAGACCACCAGGCTGCTCTATGTGTCACGTTATTTCTTTTATCCTTTATTGTTTTAATTCTCACTTCTGAAAAAATAATCAGATAACGTATATGCAAATATTCCATAAAGCATAAAATATCCTCTCTCTTATCTACCTGCCTTTTCAGGTCCTGCCCCCAGAAACCTCCCACAAGCCTTGGAGCCTCCAGTCTCACATACAGACCTTGATCTGACCTTGGGATCCACATTGCAAAGCCAAACCCATTTTCACACACACACACACACACACACACACACACACACACACACACACACCAAAAAAACAGAAACCAGGGAACTTAACCATACCACTTGCTGCTCTCCAACATCTTTTCAAGCCCTGCCTGTCTTCTTACCTCTGTTGTCTTCTATAGCTAGTGGGAGGCAGCTTCTCTGGGGTACTCTGTCAGACTCTGTCAGCATGATGCCTTAACTAGGCAATTTCTTATGCTTCCTAGGCCTAGATAACATAGCCAGCAATCCTACCTGCTGGGCCAGGGTCAGGAAACAAACTGAAGACACTGTGGAAGGCTTTTCTGAGATCACCTAGAAGCCAGGGCAAAGAATCAACAGAGAAACCAGCTGACTCTAGTATTGACTGTGAGTAGCAGAAAGAACACCAAACTAAGAGCTCCAACTAGTTCTGCTAGTTAGCTTTGGTTAAATCCTGTCTCCCCTCTGGAGTCATCTACAAAGGGAGAAGATTATTCTGATCGTCGTTTTGTGAGTGCCACCAGAGGAACAGAGAACTCCCCGCTGCCGCCCCACCTTTTCTGATAGCCCCAGGATTTCAGGCCTGCCTCCTGCCTTCCTATGTGTGGACAGAAATAGGCTGTAGGGAGGGCTAAGGCTGGGAACACACCCTACAGAGTCTAATACCTGCTTTGCCTCACAAACCATGTTAAATTAGAAATAATGCATAATCAGGCTGTTTTATCCTACCCAGAAGCTAGCAGAAAGAATTTGGCAAAAGCTGTTAGGAGGTCATAGGAGAGAACCATGTTACCATTGTTCTCAGAGGCCTCAAGAGAAGGTGGTGTGTTCTAGAGTTAGTTGTAACTATGCAAATGTGGTAGGCAGATTTCTAAGCAGGCCCCCATGCCGTTAACCCTATGATGTCATTCCTATGATTATGCTATACTGCATGTCAAAAGGGATTTGCAGGTGTAATTAAGGTTACTAATCAGTTGACTTTGCAATAGGGAGATTGTCCAGATGGGTGTAACCTAACAAGCTATAGAGCTTTCTTTAGCTAGTGGCAGAAGGGGAAGTGAGAGATAAATAAAATATGAGAGGGATTTGATGAGAAAGAGGTTCTCTATTGGTAGCATGGAGGGAGTTATAGGGAATGACCTCAAGAGAGCAGTGTCCAGAAGCCAGGAGTGACCAAGAGTCAATAACCAGCAAAAATCAGGAATTGCAGTCCTTCAACCACAAGGAACTGAACTGAACTCTGCTAACAACTTGAATAAGCTTGGAAGTGGATTCTTCCCGGAGCCTCCAGACTATAACCTAGCTCAGCCAACACCTTGATTTCAGCCCTGTGAGACACTGAGCAAAGAACCCAGCATGAGCCCACCCAGACTACAGACATCTGAGATCATAATAAGTAGGTGTTGTTTTAGCCATGATGTTTGTGGTAATTGTTAGGCTCCCTAAGTGTGGCTGCACTATCGCCAGGCCATTATGAACTCTGTGACCAACATGTACACCTCCAGAAGTGAACTCTGTGACTAGCACGTATACCTCCAGATAGCTCCCTGGAACAAAGAGGCCCAAAGCAACAAAAGAATGACCGCAAAGAAGAAAAACAGCAAGTTCCTGTTCCAGCCGGTTAACCATCCCTCCAAATCTATAACGACCAACCCCCAGCTGTAACCTTCTGTAACTTTCCACTTGCTACCCCAGCCTATAAAACCCCCTCTTCCTCATTCCTCAATGCTGACTCTCTTTTCGGACTCAGCCGGCTCACACCCAAGTGAATAAACAAGCCTTGTTGCTCACACTTAGCCTGCTTGGGTTGTCTTCTCAATTAAACACGTGCTTAACAGTTATTTGTTACACAGAAATCAAAATGTTAATATAACAAGTAACTCTGACCCTTCTGCCATTCTGCCTTTGCTGGGCATCTTGAATCTGCAGCTGGTTCAAGGGCTGGTATCTCAAAAGAGGAAATCCAGTTGTGATGGTTAATCTTTTGTGTCAACTTGACTGGGCTAAGGGAAGCCCAGGTACCTGGTAAAACATTATTTCTAGGTGTGGCTGTGAGGGTGTTTCCAAAAGAGATTAGCATTTGAATCAATGTGCTTAGTAAAGAGATCATCCTCACCAATGTGGGTGGGCCTCATTCAATCCATTGCAGACTTGAATAGAACTAAAAGGAAGAGGAAGGGCAAATTTGTTGGCTGCTTGAGCTGGGATATTCATCTTTCTCCTGATCTTGGACATCAGAACTCCTGATTCTCAAGCCTTTGGGTTTGGACTGGAGGCACCAGCTTTCCTGGGCCTCCAGCTTGCAGATGGCATATCATGGAACTTCTCAGCCTCCAAATTCATGTGAGCCAATCCTTTATTATTTGTATAATTATGGTATATTCATTGTATTATATCTATCTAATCTCCTATTGGTTCTGTTTCTCTACAGAACTCTAATACACCAGTACAATGGAAAGATTCCTAAATTCAAAAGCCAGAAGGCTGGGTTCCTGTTCCCACCCTGCCTTTTACCTTCTGTGTGTTCCTGATGAAGACACTTCATGCTCCACTATTTACTTACCTCTGAAACGAAGGGCTGACCCAGATCAGTTGTTCTCTGACCTGCTTGGAGGGACTCAGAGGCTGTGGAGGTGAGTGGGAAACAGGCCAGGTTCCAGGCCCACACTTCAAAGAGACAAGGTCTGCTTTGGACTGTTTTACACACAGGGCTTCTGAGTTTTAGATTTCATTAGAAGTGTTTCTTCTGCCAAATGAAATTTGAAAACCACTGAGCTGGGTGATTATTAGGACCCATTCCAGCTGTCATATTCTTCCAGCATGAAGATCAAGTTCAGCAGTGCAGCAGCTGGAGCTGTGGAAAGAGGTGGTATGAGTTTGGGCTTGAGTTAGTGGACATGGTAGCCAAATCAGAGATCCCTCTCTCATTCAAGTCATCTGTTGCTACCTGTTTGCTCTGGAGGTCTGAACTTCTGGGAGATAAATGTTTAAACTGACAGACTTCAGTTCAAATAATGACTCCACATTCGTATCCTGATATTGGGTAAATAAATAAATCTCTTAAATTCCCAGAGCTGCAGGTTCTTAGCCTATAAAATGATGACATCACCTACTTTGCCCAGTTATTGTATATACTAGTTAACATGGTCTAAACTGTGCCAATTGGAAGACCCAAAATGCAATGCCTTGAGAAGAGTAAAAGGTTTTTTCTCTTTCATGTAAATAGTCTAGAACAGGCCAGGTGGTGGGCCTTCTACTCCAAGCATCCTTCAAGGAACCCAGGAGATGCTAGTTCTATTATTTTCAGCACGTTGCTCACAAGGTTACTGCAAGGTTTGTATTCCAGCCAAGCAGGAAGGTGGGGCGGAGGTGGGGTGGTATGGAGGAGCCTATGAGCCAAGTTTCATGGTCAGGTCTGAGAGTGGCTCACATCACTTCCACTCACATTCTGTTGGTGAGAGCTTAGCCATACAACCACACTGAGTTCCAAAAGAAGCCAGAAACTAGTCCCTGGCTGGATAATTCCCTCCCAGTTAAAATTCTATTGCTTTGGGTGCGCTGAAAAGTCTAGGGTGGTTTCCACCACATTACACATAGAAAAGTGCTTAACACCTAGGAGCCTCCGGCTCAGCATCTCCACATAGGCCCAGCTCTGCTGATTAAGTGTGTTTCCATGTGGGCATATGCGGAGGTGGCCAGCACTATTCCATATCCTCATTTCAGGATTTTTCACAGCTGCTTTCAATCTGCTTCTCCTAAATGACTCTCTTTGGCTACACCTCGTTTTCCTAGAGTGAATATTTCCATCAGCTGATGCCCTTCTCAGGCCTCAATCTCCCCTGGTTTGCAGACTGTGGCCCTCCTTGGCCTCTGTGGAATCTGGCCATTTGAATCCTGTCAGCCCTGTTCTCCATCACCAAAGGACTCCGGAGGAACTGTGCCAAGCAGGCTGTCAGCCACGGGCAAGCTTTCTGAAAAAGACGTGCCAACTGCAGCCACAGAAAGTCCATTCCCTTGAATAACTTTGCTAATATTTGAAAATTAGTTCCCTTGCTCCTGATCATGCTACTGGGTATTTGGATATAAGAGCAAGGATGAGGGCAATAGAAAATTAAAATCATGTTCTACTCATATAAACTGCACAGATATGGAAGGGTAGGTCCTATTACCTATAATCCTGGGATTTTTAGACTCTCACTTTCATTGGACCAGAGTTGCCTTAGGGACAGTAAAAACACAAAATGCTGGGTATTGTTTTCATCAAGCAACTACTGATAGTGCACATTTAAATCAAAATTCTTCTAATCCCAAACTCAGTAAACAGATGCTGTGAGCTTAGTTCTGCCCCTCTGGCTTCAGATTTTACCCCACTGGATGTGCCCAATTCTGAGATGACAAGACGCTTCCAGCTTCCACATGGTTGCAATTTGGCTGTGGAACTGGCATGAAAGCACGTCACTGTGTCAGCACCTGGGCCACCAGATGAATAACCTATGAACAACAGCTTTGGACTAAAATATGAAGGGGTTGTTTTCCTTCAATCTCCCCCTACCTTCCTCAGAACCTGCTACAAGGAAAGATTTATAGACTCGAAAGCGTCAATGACTGATTAGACCCATATGATTGCTCCTGCTGTTTCTGATATTTTAAAAAATTGTCTTATAAAGAGATAAAAATAAATAATCAATGGAAAAACTTTTGGCATGGGAGAGACATTTAGGGAAAGAAGTCATTTCAGCCTCCCCCAACACACACATGCACACACACATACAGCCTATATCACACAATGGAGGTGAGGACCCACTCAATCTAGGCTCAGGACTGGCTCCATGGGACAGATGGGTGGGACAAGTCATCCTGCTGCAGTCAGGTAGCAGAGAGCACCGAGGAGACTAAGATGACAGAGACAAAATAACTAGAGAAAAGATACAGGAGCTAGGGGGAGAGGGTTGAGGTTTGACGAAGCTCTCTCTTCCCAGTAGGGGAGAGTTGGAAGCCACAGATGTAGTTACAGCCCCTTGTTTTCCAGATGAGGAAACAGGTGCTGTGATGTTAAGAGCCCCCAGTAGTGGTCCATGTAGCCAGTGGCCTATGTCAGCTGGGCTCTTACTCTCATGGGAGAGGTGCCACCTTCAAATGTCTGAGATCCACTGACCTTCTTTGAACAATAGCAGCTGAAGTAAGAAAACACCATGAAAAGCCCATGCCTCTTTAGCGCCATTTTCATATTGATGTTCCGTCTTCCTCCATGCAGTCAAAGGGCAACATTTTCTCTGCAACTTCCCAATTTTGCCTGATGCAAATAAAATGTGCTGCTCTTGTCCTTCTCTCCTTTTCCCCTTAGTATTCTTGATTTTCCCCTAGATACTCAAGTAATGCCCAGGTCTCAGGAATGTATAATCTCTTGCTTATCTCTAGCAACAGATTTGGGAATGAGGAATCGTTCCCTGGAAGAGTCAGAGCGCTCGTAGACACATTCTGCTGGATTGCACGAGCTCCTCCCCTGGGAAATCCACTAAGACTAGAGGAAAGAATTGCTTGGAGGATTCAGAGGCTGAAGAGTGGACAGACGGCTTTAATTGAGAAAAAGAAGCAGAAAATTGAGGAAGATGTGAGGCATCAATGCCAGCAGACGACATGTGACAGGTGCTAGCCACATGGATCACACTAAATTTCTGTCATTTATATAGATAAAAAAGAATTTCCAAAGAGCTCCTCCATAATTCAGCATTAACCAGCTTTAAATCATCACCTTTCTTTACCTTTTCAAAGCACTTTTATCTAGCTAGCTTTCACTTTCAGAGTGGCCAATTCAGGTGAGGATTCTCAATCCTGTTCTGCAGCTGAGGAACTCATGCTCAAAAGGGCTAAGAGTTTATTCTCTTACATCCAAACACCTTGCTTTTCCAAATCTTGTGCTCACTTTACCTACACATTTTGATTTTTCCAGGCTGATGACAAGTTAGACATGCAGACTCCTCAGGCTCATTCATAATCTGTATAGACATTACAGGTCATGCAAATTTAAGAAAAGGCTAAAAGGTGCCCGTTTGCACCCAACATGTTGGATAATGCCCCGGTAAAGTGGAAAATCAGTTTCCACAGCCTCGCTCTGTAGGTTTCCTTGGAATTGTAAAAGCATAGGACTCTGCCTCATATTTATTTCTATACGGCAATGAGGATATAAAGGAGCAGACCGAAAAGAGAAAGGAATTTTAAAAGCCATGGAAAGCTGCCCTAAATGTGGTTGGATATAGAGAGGAGAGTGCTGAAGGCAAACAGCTGTGCCCTCTTTGCCTTTTTGCTGAGGAAGGGGATTTAAGCCAAAAGAACACACGTAAACGTGGATTTCTTAAAGTTCTCACTGTAATTATGTAGCCTTGGGAGATGAGGAATTGTAAAGTAGATGCTGGCTTAAACAAATGATAAATCCTTGAGGTGATGGGCACCCCATTTTCCCTGATGTGATTATTACACATAGCATTCCTGTATCAAAATATCCCATGTAACCCATAAATATATATACCTACCAGTATATTTCTGTGGCTAATCTGAAAGCCACCTGCACCCTTGTGAAGACACCCACAGAGACTTCTGCCTCCCCTCCTACCCTCTGGCCTCAAGAGCTCCCTGGGCTCTCCTGTTGCAGGAGGGAGAGGGAGAGCTTCTTTAGGTTCCTGGTAAGGATCTCTGAAGACAATTCCTTAGGCTTGGATAATTCCCAGACATTTGCTAAAAAGCAGCATCCTCCAAAGCTTTAATTTGGATCACAGGAAAATGATGCTCCCGCCTCAGATTCAAACACAGTTTTATCTCACACTGCAAGCTCCCTGGCATGGGCAAAGTCCTCGATGCCTTTCCTGGTGGTTTCCAACATCAAGGACATACTTGTTCCTCCTCCTAGCTCTCTCCCTCAGCCAAGTCCTTCCTTACAATGAATTGTCCTGCAGAACTCCCTCTTAAGCTTGGCTTCTGGGACAGAAAACCTACTTTCTGAAAGGGTATGGGGACTGTCAGAGCATGAACTGGACTCAAGCTCCCAATTACAGAGCAGACACAAGGCTCTGCCTGCACCAGGCCATCCCTGGATTTCTGCAGCTCCAGGACTCTCTTCCAGCATCTAGATGCAGCTACTCTCATTCCAGCTTTGTGTCCTGTTTGATGCAAAATCTTTATTCCTTCCTGTTTCAATCCCTGTTGCATATTCTGTGTGACAAAGCAAGAAGCTGGAAATCGAGTTCTGAGCTTTATACCCAGCTCTGCCACAAATGTGCCATGACCTTGAATAAGTCACATGACTTATCTGGACCTGGATTCTCTCATCTGTAAAAGAGGAAGCTGAGCTATACTACTTTTAAAATGTCTCCAGCTTTAATTTTATTAGAATATCAGCTGCTTCCTCCTCTGGTTTCTCATGGCAGGTTGTGCATTCTTCTCTGGAGACACCAAATTTCATTGGAGTATCTCTCCTTACAAATGTATTTCCCCACTAGATTGGCCCCTCAAGAACAAGGATTGTATTTTAGTTACCTCTGTTATCTCTGTACCTGGGGAGGAGTGAGAAAAGGAGAGCAGGAAAGGCAATGGTATAGTACCAACATTTGTTGAGCTTCTATTATGAGGAATTGTCTATGCTACACATTGTACATAAAGTATGTATGATTCACAGTATAAACATTATAATCTGGAATCAACCTAAATGTTCATTAGCAGATGAATGGATAAAGAAAATGTGGTATATAGACGCAACACAATACTATACAGCCATAAAAAAAAAAAAGAATGAAATCTTGTCATTCATGGCAGCATGGATGAGCCTGGAGGACATTACGTTAAGTGAAAAAAGTCAGGAACGGAAACACAAATGCCACATGTCCTCTTTCATATATGGGAAAATTTAAAAAGTTACTCTCATAGAAGTAGAGAGTAAAATAGAGGCTACTAGAGGCTGGGAAGGGTAGAGGGGCAAGGGTCATAGGGAAAAGAGAGTTAACGGATACAAATTACAGCTAGAAAGATGGGAAGAGTGAATTCCAGTGTTCTAAAGCAGGGTAGGTGACTACAGTTAATGATTATTTATTGTCTACTTATTGTATATTATTGTATATTTTCAAATATTGTATATTTTCAAAGAGGATTCTGAATGTTCCCAACACAACAAAATAATAAATATTTGAGGTGATGGATATGCTAAGGACCTTGATTTGATCATTACACATTGAATACATGTATTAAAATATCACTCTGTACCCCATAGATATGCTCAATTATTTTGTGTCAATTAAAATGATAAAAAAATTATAATCTCATATCTGCTGATGAAGCAACTGGGAAATTAATTTAGCCAGGTCACACAGCTGGATCAGAAATAAAATCCAGGTTTGCCTGGCTTTGCCTACTGTCCCAAGGACCTGGCCTGAAGCAATAGGGCTCTACCAAAATTCTCCAAATATCTAGTAGGTGCTCAATAAATACTCATTAAACAGATGTGACATATATTCTCTTATTTGGCTTTTGGTCAGACTAGGATTTGTCTTTGATCCTTATCTACACTGAGATGGGAGAGGAGCAGAACTGGGGCAGGAGATGAGAGTCCCAAACATAATTTTATTTCAAGGACTTCTGAATTCTTTAATTAAGAAGGGGCAGGACAGAGCTCTTACTGAGTAATAGGAAATAATGATGAAATATTATCAAGGTAACTCAAGGTCTCAGGTGCTTCACCCTGAAGAAAAAGCTAAAGCCCTAATTTGCCTCATCACTCAACCTACAAATTCATAGAGGACACAATTGTTTTCACAGCCCCTGAAGGTCACATTATTCTTTCTTGCTCTAATGCCCCTCACAATTATATACAGGTGAGCAGGCAGAGAAATCTATATTAAAGCCTCAAAGTGTGAGGGGCTCCCAGCTCCAGAAGCCTGCAAGGTACTTGGCCCGAGTACCGTGGCAAACTCTGTGGGCTCCCAGCATGTGGCCTGAAAGGCAGTGATATTGGAATTGAAATGGATTGCTGTCTTCAGGGCACTCTAGCCTGGTACCAACACCTGAGAAAGGCTCTTTGGTTCTTGTTAATTTATCTTAAGCACAAATAAATTCTAAGAGCCAGCTGAGTTAATATTTGCCTAAGGGAGAAAGGAAAAAGAAAAGTGATCATCTGTCTCTAAGGGTGCCTCAGGATTGTGCCTGGAGCTCCTGACCCATTCAGGGTCCACATAAATCTCTCACTGGAGTGTCTGATATTGTTTCAGCAAGGAATGCAGTCCAGTAGAGAGAAGAATGTTCATTTCTGTCTAGTGGTGAGTTAATGCCCATCTGCAGGCAAAGATTCAAATAAACAGCACACTGCATGTATTTCTTTTTAAATAGAGTATTGCTTTAATAGCTGTTGGAGGTGGGATGTTTGATATTCCTTTATGAAACAAACATATCCTAACACTTCAGAGAGGTAGACTATTCTGTAAGGTGTCCTATCATTCCAAAACACCATACAGTGGCCCTAAACTCTGACTGACCTTTTCTGCTTAATCATACATTGTGGTTTGAATGTGTCCCCTCCAAACTTTAGGCATTAAAACTTAATGGCCATTGTGATGGTATTAAGAGGTAAGGACTTTAAGAAGTGATTAGGCCAAGAGGGCTTCTCCCTGGTGAATGGGATTAAGGTTCTTTTATAAGTGGTTTCATGAAGCATTCAGGGAGCTTGACCTCCTGCTGTGTGAGGACACAGCGCTCCTCCCTCCAGAGGACACAACAGCAGGTGCCATCTTGGAAACAGAGATCAGGCCCTCGCCTGCCAGTGCCTTCACCCTGGACTCTCAGCCTCCAGAATGTGAGGAATCCATTTTAGTTCTTCATAGATTACCCAGTCTTGGGTAATTTTGTTATGACAGCACAAAATTGACTAAAACACTGCATAATGGATTTAGGACATTCATTCACTCAAAAAATCCTTATTGAGTGCTTACCATTAGAGAGAGAACAACAGATTAGTTTAGCCACTTATTAACTACATGACTTTGGGCAACTTGCTTACATTCTCTGTGCTTCATTTACCTTATCTGTGAAATGGAGATAATAATAGTGCTAATGTCAGAGTTGTGAGGATTAAATTAACTAATGTGTGAAGCACTTAGAGCACCTCTCAGACATAGCAAGTGCTGTGTAAGTGTTACTACTGCCTGCCAAGTACTGGAGCCAAACCTCTCACCCAGGCTATTAACACCCATAGGATGAAGAGACACTTACTGACTAGAGTGGATTTCTTGTCTGGGTGGAAAGGGCAAGAGGCACCTACACAGGCTGCCCACCTGCCTCACGCCCTTGGCTGCCCCTCCCTGCACCCAGTCCCTGGCAAGGCCAGAGAGGCTGCCACCACCACCCAGTGAAAATGGGGTGAAGGGAAGCTGAAAAGTGGATCCTGAGGAAGAGCTCACAGTGCTCTCAAGGGAAGTGGCAACAAGATAGTGGCACCAAGGGTGAGATGGAGGCCGATTCACTCTGCTTGTCACAGAAGGCCAGGCCGCTGCCTTTCTAAAGTGACCGTTCAGCACTTGACCCTCACCTTCATGATGGCTTTCACCACTTCAGGCCTGCTGCTCACAAAGACCATGGTGTCCCAGCGAGCGGAGTCCCGGCCATCCTGGCATCCTGTCTTCTTGGAAGGAGCAGGCCCAAGCACTGGAGCGCAGTGTAAATATGCCTGCCAGGGAACAGGATTCTGCGTTGGGCACTCATCCCAGCAGCTTCAGGCTCTCGGTTGTCACTGTTTTTACACCTGTGACAAATGACATGGCCAGTCACGCTACAGTGTCTGAAGAAACCTCTGTAGAGGAGTAGGACGCAGCAGATATGCTGTGGCCCAGACAGCAACTGCCAAGCAGATGGAGCCTGCACCCCCACAATTTGGCCAAAGACATACCGATACTCTCCATGAAAAAGATTTCCAGAAGCTGTGTGTCTATAACAAAGTCTTAACAAAAGAAACAACAACCACAAAAACAACACAAAGTCACCAACACTAAAGATTATTCTTGAGTCTGATTTGAAAACTAGGGTCAAATTCTGCAGAGGCATTCAACTGGCAGGATACCACCCTAACAGCCAGATCTATAGGTCCTCTCATCATGCCGGGGAAAACGCTCTATTCACCACTCCTCAGCTTCCGGTTCTGGCTTCAGAGTTCTCTCTATACTGGAGGAGTTTTAAAGCCAGAGGTGTCTTTACCTACTTACTCTTATTCACAGATCTAAATATGGAAGTCAAGAGAGGAAAGTGACATGTCCTTAGAGAAGAGTCCACAAGAAAACAAGACAAACAGCGACTGCGCCCCTAGTGTATACTGGGCATTGGCGAGCTACTGGGGACAGGGAGACAAAGAAAGCCTAGTTCCTTTTTTAAGGAGCTTAATCTAGGAAGGGAGACAGACTCTTTGCAGACTGGACCAGGCTTCCCTGCAGCAGAAGGAAACTTGAAATCAGGGTAATGAGCCTCAGCAGGGACGGGCCAGCACGCTGCTCTGAGAGGATCGTGTGTGGACACAGGGCTATGGCATGGCCCTGCGTCGACCTGCTAGCTGTGCTGTAGGGCCAGGTGGGGCCTGGAGTGGCCTGAGCTAGGGGCTGCTGTGAACTCTTTCCACTCCCCCAAGGCATCATATAAGTAATGACACTTTCTATTTGCCCAGCAAAATCAAGGACACAGTTTTCTAGAACACGGGATGGGGTGCTTCCCCTTCCCCCAGTCCAATGGACAGTCTAATCCGGTTGGTGGGCCTTTGTTCATGACTCACGAGCCACTAGCAACTGCAGGTAGAACTGCAAAGCCCCCAGGAGCCTCAGAGGGCCTGCTGCCTGCCACGACATGCCTACTCAGCTGCTGCTGGCCCACCTGTGGGCAGCAGCCCTAGTGATGTACAGAAGCCCGGGACTAGTGCCAGCAAATCTATGGATACCCTGCGTGATCTGGGCGTGCACTGTTGTGGTGGCCTCTACGGTCAGGAGGCAACATGTGGGGAGAAGGCCGGGCGCGATGGCTCACGCCTGTAATTCCAGCACTTTGGGAGGCGGAGGCGGGCAGATCACGAGGTCAGGAGATCGAGACCACGGTGAAACCCCGTCTCTACTAAAAATACAAAAAGTTAGCCGGGCATAGTGGCGGGCGCCTGTAGTCCCAGCTACTCGGGAGGCTGAGGCAGGAGAATGGCGTGAACCCGGGAGGCGGAGCTTGCAGTGAGCCGAGATCGTGCCACTGCACTCCAGCCTGGGTGACAGAGCAAGACTCCGTCTCAAAAAAAAAAAACAAAAAAAACATGTAGGCAGAGGAAGGGAGGAGCCGACCCAAAAGGATTTGGTCCAGGGTGAGGTCCACAGAAAGGCCAGAGCCAAGATGCGGCCAGCAAACACCTCAGGCCAGTGGTGGCCTCATGTTGCCCATGCCGGAGGCCAGTCCTTGATCGCTCCGAACCCTCTGCTTGAGGGTTCTAAATGAAA
This sequence comes from Homo sapiens, assembly GCF_000001405.40. Classification (NCBI taxonomy): domain Eukaryota; kingdom Metazoa; phylum Chordata; class Mammalia; order Primates; family Hominidae; genus Homo; species Homo sapiens. The sequence continues at coordinate 13,366,365 of NC_000012.12, read as the reverse complement.
TGAGCAGGTCATCCCGTCAGGATCTAAGTGAACTTCTGAAAAAAGCACAAAAAAGCAAGCCTCTTGAGCTTCCCCCAGTGACCGATACAAGGCACATCCCACACGCTTCACAGCACAGTGGAGAAGAACTGCACCAGGAACATGTGATGGGGCCTCAGCGGGAGCCCGCGGAGGAGGACGCCTACTGCCTGGATCTCGGCCAGAGAATTTGCAAGGTCCACAACAACTGGAACCGTGTGTGTCAGACCCGCGACCGCTACAAGATGTCCCAAGACTTGGCCCAGGAATTAAAGAAAGAGACTTCCAGTTTTCAGAGGGAAATCCTCTTCCATGAGAAAGCGGCCCAGATAGGCTGGATGGCTGCTTGCTGTGTCCACTGAGAGAGTGCTCCAGGCACTCCGAAAAGAATGACTACAACAGGCAGAAGCCAGCTGATTGTGAGGCCAAGTTCCAGCCTTTCCTGAGGGGCCCTTTGGCTCCTGAGGCTTGGCCCTCAGCCTACAGGGCCCCAGAAGTGCTAGGAGGACTGTGAGACACCAGGGTCCCCAGGAGACATGAGGGTCATGATGTGAGGGCTTGGGTCCAAGCACCTGTCAGGTTCTGTTTTCCCGGTAGCCGGGTGCTAAATGCCCAGAGACCCGGCAGAACATCAGCCGGTGCTGCTCCCTTTAAGGCACTTCTGACTGATCTCTTGTTAGTTGAGCTACTGTTCATCAGCTGACCCTGAAATTGCTCTAATTGAAGTTTGATAGATAATGTTAGGATTGTAAGGTACTATTTTTCAAATAAAGATTGTTTAATCTAAAAAAAGAAAAATATATCTAACACATTAAATCTTTTATTTAGGGATATTTTTACTTGGGGCCCAGTAAAGAAAGAAAAAAGAAATGCTTAAGTTGATTTAAAAAGAGAACTTCTACATTTCCATAAGATAATGGCAGTTGCCTGAATCTAAATTTCTCATACACCCTCCAAAACCAAATAGACAAGTGGAACAAATACAGCTAAAACCTGTGCCCACAGTAGCATAACTAGGAGACAGATTATAGTATATTAAATGATTAATGTTCAGCAACTATTCACTCTCTCCTTCCCCCCTAAGAATCTCAACCATCACCTCTGATATTAAGAGTGGGGATGTGAATTGCTTTGGCCAGTGGCATATTGAGAACTCATGCAGGCAAAAACTTGAAATGTGCCTGCATAGCTGAGCAAGTTCTTTTGTGCTCCTGTCTTTTGCCATGAGAAGAGTATGGTATGCCTCATTTAGCACCTGGTTCATAAAGGATAAGAGACATTTGAAGAGGACCCAAGTACAACCTGAGCTTGTAAGCAAACCTTACGAGCTAGATGAGCTAAATCCCAGTCAACGTGCAAAAACGTAAGTGAAAGATGAAGGTTTATTGTTTTATGCACCTGAGTTTTAGGGTTATTTGTTTTGCAGCAACGGCTGACAGATACAGAAATTAGTACCAGAAGTGAGATGCTGCCATAAAACTTAAACTATTTGGTATTAATTTGGGGGCTGAGAAGTTTGCAATAAGGAGATTGTCATATAAGAATGAAAAATAGCGATCTGTCTTATGCAGTGCCAAATGATTTGGGAAAATATGGCCTGCAATATCTTACAAGTCAGAATATTTACCTAATAAACATTAGTGTTGATTGAGGAAGTTTTGAGGCAAATCATTGAAAGTGTGAGCTGATCGCTAGTAGCTGCATTTGATAAGGTACTACATGAAAGAGATTCAATCAGAAAAATACTAACTGGTTTGCAAGCAATATTTAAAGGAATATTATAGGCTTGGAAAATAAAAGTGCTAATTAATAAATCAAAGGTGTTGCCATTATGACCACAACCTCAGTCAGAGAAAAGGCCAAACCCAGGGTGCTTCCAATAAAACATGACTCAGGATAAAGATCAAATAAAAGGTATGGCTATAATACTTGCTTATACCTCTAAAGAGATGAAGGTAACATCTGCAGACCTTTTTAACTAAATAAAGGGACAACTAGAAAGCTTGAACATGATTCCATAAAAGCATATTTTGTTCAAATTTGCTGCAATTTAAGTCTAGAAAGACACAGACATGTATCAAAAAGTATGTGTATGTGACTTTTGGCACTGGTGTTGATAGAAATCAAATAAAAAACCAAGAAGGAACTTTCAAAGGGTAGAGCCAAAAACAGTGAGGAATGATGGATTTAGGATTACTTCCACAGACATCACCAGAGCCTAATGAAGAAACATTTTTACCACCAGTGTAGTGGAATCTGGTATTTGCCCACCAGGATTTCATAATTTCTAAGAACCAGTATCTATGTGCTATGTGATGGCAGTTCTTGCCCTTTTTAAATTAGAATGTTTATTGAGGCCGAGAGCCATGGCTCACGCCTGTAATCCCAGAATTTGGGGAGGCTAAGGCGGGTGTATCACCTGACGTCAGGAGTTCCAGACCAGCCTGACCAACATGGAGAAACTCTGTCTCTACTAAAAATACAAAATTAGCCGGGCATGGTGGCGCATGCCTATAATCCCAGCTACTCAGGAGGCTGAGGCAAGAGAATTGCTTGAACCCGGGAGGCAGAGGTTGCAGTGAGCCGAGATCGCGCCATTGCACTCCAGCCTGGGCAACAAGAGTGAAACTCCGTCTCAAAAACAAACAAACAAAAAAAAACAAAACAAAGAATTTTTACTGAAGTTAACCTGTTTCTCTTCCACCATTATATATTTGGATATGTGCAGAGTGGCGGTAGATAACAACTTGCCTTCTCGGTTCAAAAGTCTATGTATCAAGAGGAGTCGCATATTTGATGTAGATCCTAAGATCCTAGATTTCAAGTGTTATGCCATGATTTGATAAGACTTTGAGAACTCTTGGGATGGAAGTGAGAATATTTTGAGTATGGGAGGTATGTAGATATTTATAGATAGAAAGGAAATCTATGGCAAATTATTGTTCAGCCAATATTCACTTTCTGTCTCTTCCAACTTCTATGGGGAAAACACTTTTCTGTCTCGTTGTTGAACTTGGTCATATGCCTTTGGTCTATGGAATGTTTTGTAAACAGATATTTGAAATGTATTCCTATAGAGGGGCTTATTTTCTTACACTCTTGTCTTTTGCTATGAATATAGCATGCATGGAGTAGGCACTAAAAGGGCAAGATGAGAGGCTTGTAGACTTGGACCCAACCCACAGTTTGTAACCAAGCCCAGCCTAGATCAGCCAAATCTCAGCAGACCCGAAGATGGATAACCAAGAAATGAATGCTTATTTCTACATGCCACTTAAGTGGTGTTTTTGCACAGTAATAGACAAAGAAAGGTACAAACTTTATTTTTCAGATAAGTGGGAAAATACACATCTGAAACCAGCAGAGCCACAACTGTAGTTCATGCCAGAGCAGAGTCAGGGGTTACAATAAGAAAGGGAGAGTACAATGTTTTTGAGATGGCATCATACATACAAATTTACCTCCAGAGAGGATCCCATCCTGAGTTGAGAAATACTGAGAAAATATCTGAGACAGTAAATAAGACTACCGACAACTGGGAATTGAAAAAAAGGGTGCTTGAGAGGATATAGCTTCAAATGTGGCAGCATTGGGAAGGCACTGTTTCTGGGTGAGAAGAAGACAACCTGGAAAGGAAGGACTCTGTACCACTTATCAGCTTATTGTCTCCCAGCTCTGAATCCACCCTTTCCTATGCAGCTTTGTAATACTGAAGCCAGACCCTATAGACGTTTCTCCTTTGCCAGCTGGCACACAAGGCTTTATCAACAGAGGGTGCTGACATTACACTTCAAGGTGATCACCACATGAACACACTTCTCTTCCAGGTTCTAGCCTGCCATTTTTTATTCATCATTGCAGCCTAGTGGCCCTCATGAACCAGCTCTGGCTGTGCCCTCAGGCTACTCTGTCCCCACCTAGTGACCACTTGTGACACAGGCAATGGGCTCCTTCCTTGGAAACTCCAGCTGCGCCTTCAACGTTCTACCTGCCTGGCAGCTGATTGTTGGTGGCTTCCATGAGCCACAGCAGCTCCAGCTATAGCAGGCAACTAGATCGCCACTTGACCCAGGCCTTCCAGCAAGCTTTGTCATTATAGGTAGGCTGTATGTTCCTCTTTACAAAAGTCTAAATCTCAGGCTTGTGAGGATAAAGGTGCTTTTCCAAGTTCTTTGTTTCTTTGCTGCCACTTTCCCTCAGCCCAGAAGTAGTAGCTGGGTTTTTTTTTGAACATACTACTTTTCGATCTCTGAGAGTCCTGTTTAATCTTTTTAAATCTTCAACTATTACTAGTTAAGAATTCTTTATATTAGGCTTTCCATTTCTAATCACTGTTGCATTCTTTAGTTTTCTGACTGGACCCTGACCGATGTAGTGTCCTTTAGAGTGGCTTGGGAGTAAAGGGAAAGCAGGAAGGAAGTAGTTTAAAATAAAATTTCTACTGAAGTAATAGAAGACACAATCAGAAAACCAGGACCCTTCCTCTCCCCAAAGAGAGATCATTTATTCAAGAAAGTATACTGCACTGTAGAAAAGAAAAGAGACTTATCTCCTCTCACACCTTTATATAAACGTCTGTGGTTGCTTCTCTGGAAAAATTCCAAGGCATTTTAATGTAAATGGAAAATATCAGGAGACATCCAAGCAAAGCTAATATAAGAAGAAAATGGAAAGTGAACATAAAAACATCTCATTAAAAAAAAAAAAAACCCTTCCGAAATATCAACCAGGAAGCAGAGGAAAACTGTATGTAACACAATGCTCCAACATGAATTAAATATCATTAAAGTAGCATTTGTAGGAGAAAGGTACCCTTCAGCCAGAAATTTAAAACTTGTAATAGAAATTGGCAAAACTGAAAATGACATAAGATGAGAATCGGCTGAACTTGGGGAAAGAAAAGCGAAAAAAAGGACAGTCTTCTCAGAAATGAAGACTAGATTAGAAAGCACTCAAGTGAAAATAGATTTTTTTAATATATCACATAAAATTGAGATGGGAAAACAACCAAGAAAATGAAAATAAAATAAAGAATTAGGTAAAAGATATTAGAGAGAAAGTGATACGTAGAAGATAATAAAGGAAGACCCAATGTGTGTGTAATGGAGGCTTCAAAGAAGAAAAACAAGACAGTAAACCAGAATAAAATTTTAAAACTATAATGCAAGAAAACTTTCTAGAAATAGGAAAGAATTAAATTTATATATTGAAGAAACCTACGGTGTACCTTGAAAATTTTGACCCCAAATGGCTAGCACTAGGACAAACCTAGTAGAATTATTAAAACACTGAATTTAATTTTTTAAAACATCTGGAACTCCAGACAAAAAGATGTGGTCATTTAAAATTAATAGATACCAGATTAGCTTCCAACTTCTCAAAAGCAATATACAAACTAACTCAACAGCGAAACAGCATTTCAGATTACTCAAGAAACATAACATTGGTGAATTCTATTACAAGTAAACTTTATCTCAAGACACCAAATTTTCTCCCCCACCCCCAAAAAAATATAATTAAAAGGAAAGGTTAGTAAAAGATTCTGGGAGGATCAGAAGACAACAGCATGTTGTTTCAATCTTCCTGAATCTTCACACTAAAAGAAAACAAATAGATAGTAAAGCCAAACATTAATGGAGAACATGAGGAGAACCCCAAATAACCACAAGCATTAATCAGAAAGCTTGGCAGACCAATTTGAGAACAACAGCTAAAACTAGGAGTGATTTTCCCCTCCCTAATCATGGATGAGTACAAGTGAACTACAGTAAGATCCCAAGAGAACTGAAAAGGCTACCTTTTATAAATTCTCAAAACTGGCTAGGTAGGAATCCCTTCCAGGAGAGGACCTCAAACTAAAGATAAACTCCTGGAATGGAAGTAAAATTGAGCAGAATGGAAGCAAATAGGGAAAAAAATATCTAGATGAAATTAGAAAACATTAACAGCCAGGAGACCTCAGAAAGCAAACTGCTGTTTTTTTTAACACTATACAAAAGCACAGAAGAGGGAGCTTTGTGAATTTAGAAAACCTATCTTGACTCGAGCACAGCTTTTTCTAAAATTTCTGGGAAATGAATTTTATATAAATAAGAGTATGAGAAAAAGACAGAGGTTAAATCCCACGCAAAGTAATTATTAGAAAAAATAAGAATAAAAAAACAGAATAACACCTTTTCCAGAAAAACATGCCCATAAACAGATAAAAACTTGTAACCCACTATTTCTAAACTAACTAAAAGACACTTAAAACATGAAAAAGGAAATGAAAGAATAACATAAATGAAAACTACAAAAAACTTAGAAATCAGGTCACAGAACACAGGAAAAAAATTACACATAAAAAAATCTCAGAAATGAGAACTAAACAAGAAAGAACACATGGGTGAATAAATACAACAGATAATTCTTCAAGAGAAAGTGAAAATAAGGAGAATGTTTAAAACAGAAATGAAGAAAGACAAAAAAATGAGATAAAGAGAGAAATACTGAAAATAAACAAAGAAAATACAGCACACAGATAATAGGCATCCCTGAAGAAGGAAACCAAAGCAAACAAAGGGAACATAAAAAATACAAAATAAATTATAATCTAAGGAACCTTCCCTGTAATTAAAAAATACTAACTACATATCAAAGGAACACAATGCATATCTGAAAATAGCAATTCAGCATAACCACAGACAACACATATTCATACAATTACTTGACTTTAAAAGAGAAAAAATTATTTGAGCATTAAGTAGGCGGAAAAAGCAAATAACTTGTAAAGGAAAGAAAATTAGATTGTCAACTTTTTGCAAGCAATGCTGTATGACAGACAAAAAGACCATATCACTTACAATGAATGGATTCCAAGTTACCCTCCATCTTCTCACATAAAACAACATACAAAGTGACACAATAATGAAGCAACCTTTCCAATACATTCAAGAAGCTGGAAACTGATGGATTTTATTGCACATATGTTATATCTCAATAAATCTATTTTTTAACTTGTTTTTAAGTTAGTAGAAGACAATGGAGAAACACTAATAATACACTCAAAGAAAGAAAACATAACCCAAAGACTTCATATCAAACAAAACTAACCTCTAAGTGCTCTAACTAGAGCACGAATATTTAGCAACATACAAGAACTCAGGGAATATTGTTCTGATGAACATTTCCTGAGAAATCTACAAAACAAATTTTAGACCACTAAAATGTCTAGAGATACTTCTGTACACAGATTGGAATAGTAAATATATAATTACTTGAATGCCTATGACTAAATAAGTCCTGAAAAAGAAAAAATAGAGTATGAAATGGCTTTAACTCTGACAATATAGATATAACTACAGAAAAATGAAGGGGCAAGAACAGGGAGTACATACACAAAACAACTTCAACCCCTCTTAGAAATTATTTTGATGGTAACATTTATATTAAGTGTTTAGGTCACCCTTTAGAGATGGGATGGATCCCCCTCCCAATTAATAGGTCAAATGTTGAGATGGGTGTTGCCACACACACATCAAATCGGTATGAAACGGTTTCTTACATCATGAGGCTTTCTGTGCTATGCGAGGCAGGCTCCCAGCAGGTCCAAAACTGTCCTGAGGAAGGAAGGGGGGGAACTAGCTTGGAGTTTTATTGTGGTTGGGGGTGAGGCTGAGATGAGGATTCCCATGTGTGGTCTGGGGCTTGCATGGTTTGAACTCTCCACTAGTGTCAAGAGAGGGAGTATGCAAGCTTTGTTATCAGTTTGCCCAGAAGAGAGGCAAGAGGAAAAGACAGAAGAAAGGGCTTAAAAGCTGTCTGCAGCCAAACATCAAAAGTAGAGTCACGCTCATTATTGCACTGAGATTGGTGTATGTGTAATGTGAGAAAAAGAAAATAAGTAACATGGGATTTTCTAATTCTGGTATTTCCTATGTCCTTAGGAAACAAAATTATCAGTGTAGAAGAAAGGAGATCTGTAACATAGACAAGGTTAAGCAGACTCTATAGTCCTGAATTTGAATTGGAAGTATCAGTATGAATTCATGTGATATTTGTAAATTTATATTTTTAAACATGTAACAGAATTTATTTATTTCCTAACTCTATCCACAGAAAATGCCTGCAAACTATGACCAATACTGCAATAATAAACCTCCTTAATGCCCAGATTATGGTCTTAAAATATCACTTTTCACTTAGAGGAACAGAGCTTTTGGAGAAATAGTAGATTCTAAGTCTGAGGCAGGAAATCACAAGATAATCTTGTAATATTTTTCATTCCAGATAGCAAGAAAACTATCAAACACTACTAGGGTCATAGCAAAAGAACTCAGGAGCCAAACCAAGTAAGTTCCAGTGGGCCAAAGATAGAACATTTTGAGTTTTATTAAATGTAATAATTGTAATAGATGTAAATCCTTCAAATATGTTTAAATCTATGAATTTATCGTAGTAAGAAGAAATTAGTTACTTGCAAAGAATGAAATAATAGAATTAGAATATCATCACTGTAGAATGGCTAATGAATGAATGGATTTAAGCTTTGAGGTCGACAGATACTACGTGCCTCCTCTCACTGAAAGAATTCAACCACACTTAATAGTTTTGTCAAATGGATTGAGCCTGTGTCTATCAAGCCTCTGGATCCAATTGCTAATTTACAGAAAATATGGAGGACAGAAGAACATGTTGAACTGTACTGTGAGCATACGATCAGCAAAATCCAGACTGAGCAAACCTCCACAAGACAAACAGCCAAGATCTATAGCAAGTAAATTGCAAGTAAAAAAGACAGAGGGAGATCCTGTAGATCAAAAAATACTTAAAAGACATATATTTTTATAAGGAACAACTCTAAACTACAGGATTCAGAAATGTACATTGGGGTAATAAAACTAAAATGAAATGCAAGGGAAAAAACTAAAATGACATATCCAAAAATCAAAAGAGTGGTTGCTTGTAGGAGAAGGGAGGGGTTCTGATTGATAGAGGGCACATGAACAGGGTTCAGAGGTGGGTAGCAAAGTTCAGTTTCTTGCCCCGGCTGGTGATCACCAAGGTGTTTGCCTCCATTCATCCCTATGTGTGTTTCTGGAGTTTTCTGTATCTCTGTTTTATCTTTTAATAAAATGTTTTTTTTAAGGGGGGGCAGGGTGAGTTAAACAGATATTTAATAAATAATTACTCAGGTGGCAGCTGAATTTGGCAAAAGTTACGAAGGTACTTGGCTGACCAGGATTCAAAAAAACACTAGAATAATGTTGAAGAGCTTGGGCTCTGGAAAGCCACAGAGGTCTGTTCGCATTCCCATTCTATTGACTATCAGCTGTGTGATCTCTAAGCCTCAGTGTCCTTATCTATAGAATCAATATCATGATAGTAACACCCTCAGGGTGGTTGTGTAGCATAAATGAGATAATCCATATAAAGCACTCCACAAGGTGCATGTCACATAGTAATCACTCAGTACCTGTTGTTGTTAGGAATATTAGAGGCTTCTAATTGTCTAGACATCTTTTTCATGGACCACTAGGGACTTCTGCGAGGCCTCTTTCCACTTCCATTACAGCTCTCTGAGTTATTTTTCTTTGCTGCTCCAATTATAGTCCTGAGAAAATTCTGACTTCATTTCTTTAAACACTAAGTGCTTTGGGATACATAGGGAAATGAAAAGTGTTATAGATTTCCAAATTATATTAAACCAATTTAACTTGCTGCCCAGCTGCCACAGGGACCAGCATGGCAGTAACTGCTAGGGACCAGAGAATTTTTGAGAACTCAGTTAGCCTGTGGCTGGTACACCTACCACTTCCCCAGGTATTCAGAGACGATAGTTATGCTAATCCTCCAGCTTGAGTGCATATTTGGAGATGTAGCCTCTGAAGCAATTATCCTTCTCAGCATACTTCCCACTGATACATGTGTCCATATATATATATACACACGTATATATATGTAAACTTTATGGTCTGTCTGAATTCATCAGCCAGCAGCTCCAATGAATGCCAATTTCTTACTGACCTGTCCCGCATCATTGCCTTTTACGCAATTCTAGCAGCAGGTAGGGAGATGCCCTCTGGAATGGAGTGCTTCAAATTAGTTTTAGTGCCCTTTAGCCTAAGGTATATGTTGAGCAGGGAGTAGAAATGTTCCTCTACTTTCCAAGCATCTCCTCCCTCCATGCCCCCACCATTCGGGGCTTAAACATTCTATTCACATTTCTCTTACCTGAATTTTCACAACCAATGAAACTCACCCGTTCTATTTCAGACATCTTGCTTTGCTTTTAAAATCTGCATAGTGCTTTCATCCTCATCATTTCAACCGTCAGACAAGTGTTATTAACCTCTTTTGGTTTTTACAAGGAACCTGATCTCCTAGTGAGATCACATGTAGTACAACTTGCCCAGAGCCTCACGTGTCCGAGCTGAGACAGGAACAGACTTCTCCCCATTACATGTGCCATGTCTGCAGTTTCTTTCCATGATGTCCTAAAGACACTGCCTTCTCCTATGGGAAAGGCATATTTGTGATATGTGATATATTTTGCTTATATATAAAAAATGCGTGATATATTTTACTAATGTATTTGTCTGCTTATGAATCTATGTATGTTTTTGTTGGTTTATTTTATATAAATTAGGATGCTATTTCTTATATGTGTTTGAGAGAGAATAAGTATATAATTAAATACAACAGTCTAAAATAATTATGAGTTAGTCACATTTTTAACAAGTGATACAATGAGATTTGCAAGAAAACGTCATTACAGAAAAAAATGGAGATTTACCTCTAAAATCTACTATCAAGTATGCTTTTTTCATCTCTTCTTAGGACAGCTTTCATTCCATTTTTAAATCCATTTGTAATGACATATTTTTACATTTATTTCAAATGTTCAGAAAAGTATGAAGGCTAATATCATGAACATTTGTGTACTGGCTATCCAAATGTTAACTTTTTCTTCATATTTGCTTCAGAAGTTTTTCTTTTTTGAAATAAAATATTTCAGAAAAGATTGGAGTTTCCTGGTTTCTTTTGTCTCATTCCTCTCCTTCTAACCCCAGAACAGAGCAAACCACTATCCTGAAGGTGTTTTTGTTTTGTTTTGTTGAGACAGGATCTTGCTCTGTCTCCCAGGCTGGAGTACAGTGGTGTGAGCATAGCCCACTGTAGCCTCAAACTTCTGGGCTCAAGCAGTCCTCCTGCCTCAGCCTCCCAGTAGCAGGGACTACAGGTGTGCACCACAGTGCATGGCTAGTCTTTTGCTTTTTTTGTAGAGATGGGGTCTCCTCATATTGCCCAAGCTGGTCTCAAACTCCTGGCCTCAAGCAATCCTCCTGCCTCAGCCTCCCAAATCATGGGGATTACAGAAGTAAGCCACTGCACCTGGCTCTATCTTTTCTTTTAATGTTTTAAAATATTCACTGTACATGTATTTATCTGTAATCAACATTCATTCAAAAATAAATAATACACAAATATATGTAATAATGGATAATGTTTTAATCTTTACACAAATGATGTTATTATCCTATATATATATATTACTATACATCTTGCTTTTTTTGCCCAACATCATGTTTTTGAGATCAATAATAGATGAGTTTAATATGTTTTCATGTGTTGTGTTTACTGACATATTTGAACTTATTTCTATTTTATTTTGTGTCTTTTGTTTTCCATACTTTTCTGCTTAATTTTATTCCTTTCCTTGACTTTCATCAAACTAATATATTTGTCTATAGTCCTACTTTTCTTCATTTGCTGGTTTGGAACTGTAGATTAGTTTTCTACTCTTCTGATATTCCAAAAATTTTAACAATCATATTTAATTGTACATTTTTAATAAAGTCTAAAGTTATTATTTTTATCCTAGATTATTTGTCTACTCTTCTGATATTCCAAAAATTTTAACAATCATATTTAATTGTATATTTTTAATAAACTCTAAAGTTATTATGTTTATCCTTTTTAATAAGACAAAGATTTTTACCGTGCTTTAACTAACTACTAAAAATCCTCCACCACCACCAATTAGTCACAGATATAAAATTTCAGTTACACAAAATGGGAAATTTCAGGTCAAAGTGGCATTGAAAATTGATTCTTTGAATGCACACCATGCAGCACACTAGCATGGCACATGTATACATATGTAACTAACCTGCACATTGTGCACATGTACCCTAAAACTTAAAGTATAATAATAATAAATATTTTTAAAAAAGAAAGAAAATTGATTCTTTGAAGCCTCCCTTTTCTACACATGGGAAATTCTAAAAAGAGAGAATTTCAAAAGCAAAGCAATTTCAAATTAAAGTCCTAGAGATTTATTGTACAACAGAGTACCTATAACTAACACAAAGTACCATATTGTATCTTAAAAATTTGCCAAGAGTGAGGAATACTTGTGTTTTTATCACGCAAATTAATAATAATAAAGAGGACAGGAGGAAACTTTTGGAAGTGATGAATATGTTCATGGCATAAATTGTGGTGTTGGTTTCATGGCTATATACTGATCTCCAAACTCACTATATTGTATACATTAAATATGTACAGCTTTTTGTATGTCCAACATACCTCAAGCAGATTTTACAAAAATATCCCCATTGCCAAATTTATTTCCACCTTTTTTACAAGCATTATTAATGTTTTGTAATAACTCATAGTCAATTTGACTAACCAATATATTGTACCAGTTTCTGAGTTTATATTGTTTCTTGTCTTTTAGCTAAGAGTTTCTCAACAGTGACACTATTCACATTTTAAACGAGATAATTCTTATGGTGGAGTGTCCTGTGCACTGTAGGATTTTAGTGGTATCCCTCACCTCTACCCACTAGACAAAAATAACATCTCCCAAATCATGACAATCAGAAATGTCAAGTGTCTCCTGAGGGAGAATTTTTTCCCAGTTAAGAACCACAATTCTGGCCAGGTGCAGTGGCTCACGCCTGTAATCCCAGCACTTTGGGAGGCTGAGGCAGGTGGATCACCTGAGATCAAGAGTTCGAGACCAGTCTGGCCAACATGGTAAAACCCCGTCTCTACTAAAAATACAAAAAATTAGCCAGGTGTCATGGCGTGCACCTGTAATCTCAGCTACTCGGGAGGCTAAGGCAGGAGAATCACTTGAATCCGGGAGGCAGAGGTTGCAGTGAGCCAAAATCGCACCACTGTACTTCAGCCTAAGCAACAAGAGCGAAACTCCATCTCCAAAAAAAAAAAAAAAAAAAAAAAAACCCAAGTTCTAGATGGCATAGGCCTTTGGTAGTAGTTCTACTAGCAAGGACCGGGGACTGGGGGCAGGTATGAGTAGCATAAGCTCAGTTAGTTGCCCTCAATGTTGAACATTTTTATACCTAGATTTTTAAAAATTTATTGAATCTTCATTTTTTTTCTCAGAACGTTGAAGATATTATTACTTCACTGACTTTTTTATTGTTAATGAGTGGTCTGCTAACCATGTAAGAATATTCCTTCTTTGTGAAGGGATCTGGATTTTTTTTTTCATCTCTGGTAGATCTAAAGGCATCCCTTATATGCCCATTATGCGCATTTTCAGTGTGAGGACCCATGTTTTCTCAATTCTGGAAAATTTTTAGCTATCTCATCTCTCTCAATATGGGTTCTCTGTTATTTCCTCTGCTGCCTTTTGGAATTCCTATTACAAATGCTATTATCCACAGCTCTTAACTACACTTTTATATTTTTATTTGCTCTAATTTGGATGTCTTCCTTCCTAATATCTTCTAATTGACTAATTCTCTCTTTGTGTCCAGTATAGGATTTATCCTGTCTGTTAAGATTTCTCCATTTCAATTATCATTTTTTTACTTCTAGGAGTTCTGATTTTGTCATTTTTTTGCTCTTTTTGCTTTATTTCTGGCTCTATTGTGCCATAATTTACTGTTTTTCTAAGGATATTTTCTTTTTATCTCTCTAAAGATTCTGAGCACACATGCCTTAAAGTTGTCCTTAGATCACTCTATTGTATTTATTTCATTGGGATAAATTTATCTCCAAATTGTGGATTTTGTTGTCTCCTTTTCTTAGCATTACTTTCCCTTTATGTTTTGGAAATTTCAGTTCCCAGTGTTTTTTGGGTTTTTTCTTTTTTAATTCCTATAGATGAATTAAAACCACTTTACATAATCACTTATTAAATAACTTCTAAATTTTGTAAACCTGACCAGTCACATTTATCCCACATATATCATAGGGCATTATGACTGTAGGAACCAGAAATAAGAATGGAACAGCATATATAAAATCAAAGCACACAATCTTTATTTAATATATGTCTTAAAAACTTCCTCTTAAAAAGAGGCTATAACTCAAATGTCCACAGGGATTAAGGAAGCTGACGCTGCTCAGCTTCAATAGACCAGCACTGTCATCAAAGGGGCAGGCTGGTAGATCTACTAAGTTTTCAAGAAAGGCAGCCAGGTGCGGTGGCTCACACCTGTAATCCTAACACTTTGGGAGGTTGAGGTGGGAAGATCGCTTGAGGCCAGGAGGTTAAGACCAGCCTGAGCAACACAGCAAGACCCCATATCTACTAATTTTAAAAAGAAAAAAAAGTTTTATATATATATGTATATATATATATATATATATATATATATATATATATATATATATATATGGGCTACAAAGTCTTAATTCTTAAATGTTGGCAACCCATTTACTTTTTTTGGTAAAAAAATAGTAATAATAATAATCATAAACCGGACACTGTGGCTCACACCTGTAATCCCAGCATTTTGGGAGGCCAAGGCAGGCAGATCACTTGCGGTCAAGAGTTCGATACCAACCTGGCTAACATGGCAAAACCCCGTCTCTACCAAAAATACAAAAAAATGTGCTGGACTTTGTGATGCATGCCTGTAGTCCCAGCTACTCAGGAGACTGAGGCATGAGAATCACTTGAATTGAGGAGGTAGAGGTTGTAGTGAGTGGAGATTGTGCCACTGCCAATTTGCAATCTTATATTGATAATTTATTCTCTCTCTCTCTCTTCCTCCTTTTCTCCTCCTTCCTACTTTCTTCTCCCAGCATCCTAGCAGTCTTGTGGTTGCCTCCATGCAACCTTCTGAGGCTCCCAGTATAAAACTAGAACTCCTTTTGCAGGTCCTGGCCCAGACATTCCTGGCTTCGGCCCAGGTGAAGGTCTGGGTTAGTTCCTCCCACCTTGATATAAACCAGAGCCCCAGTAAACAGTCAATTGACATCTTGTTAGCCTCTTTTGTGAGTGATGTTCCCCACCCCCACCCCCCACAGTTTCTGACTCCTTACCTGGAATGCGGCCCTTTTTTGTCTATGTTACCCTGCAATACCCAAAACTCCTGGCTATCTCTGCCTATTTCTAGACCCAAAGCTCAGCAAGTCCCAGTTTCAACCCAGCTCAAAATTTTTTTGTTTTATTTATGCTGTACAGAAGTGTTTATTTTGTGTTTTAACATAGCTTTGCCTTTGAATTTGTCTCTTTTTAAAATGTCCTATGTGTAGAAAAGGAAGGCATCAAAGAGTCAACTTTCAATGGCATCTTGTCCAGAAATTTCCTAAACCCCTTTCTAGCCTAGATCAACTTATCAGCTTTATCTTGGGTCTTATTGCCCAGAATGAATATAACTAGCCTTTCCATGTAGGTTAAGCCCTCCTATTTATTTATCTCTGAACACCGTCAGCTTCTCTGCTCTGCTAGATTCTATGGGGCGAGTTGAATAGCTAACTTTCCCCACTGTTAGCTAGTGGGGAAAGTCAGACTAATGTGCTGACTAATGAACTTCTTAACAGTTCTACCCATGAAATAATCCATTCTGCTTGTCAAACCCTTGCTCTTTAGTGTCCCTTTTCCATTGAGATTCCCAGCTCCACCCTAGACACAGTTGCACCTTTGAAACCATGCCCCCAAAGAGCTAGAGAAGCCAATGATGAATAGGAATTCTTGAGTTTGCAGGATGGCAGATTTGAACAGAAGAAACAACTTGTTGAAACATTGAAACTCCCTCTGCTTCTGAGACAAAAAAAAAATAAAAAATAAAAAAACTGGCTGAAATAGGTTGGAACCAATATGGCCTACTGCAGTCTCCACAGAACAAGTTTGCTGAAGTCACAGCCAGAATTTCCACAGCATGTTTCCTGCTAACTCCCCTTAATTTGCACATGGGACCCATGAGATAGCATGAAGAGATAACTACGCATGCCCAAGGGCTTTCCAAACCTCCTCTTTCCTTCCACCAATCACCTGCTAATTTCAGAATCCACCACCTGGTGGATCCAAATTTCCTAATAAAAATACTGCTTTGAAGCCAGCCCAGGGAGACAGATTTGAACTTGACATTCTTGTCTCCTTGGGAGTTGACTTTCAATATAAAGCTTTTCTTTTCTCTAAAAGCTAGTGTCATAGTATTGACTTCTAGCTCATCGGGCAGATAGCCCCTTTTACTCAATAGCATCTTCTTAGTTCACTAACGCCCCTGAAGGATCTTTTTCTTTTTTACTTGGGTCTACACTACATTCTTGATGGCCTCCAAATCCTCACTGAAATTTCTTAGAATCTTGACTTTAAGGTGCTTTTTCCTGATGGCATCACAGACTTTTATGAACCCCAGCATGATCCAATCACAATGCTCTGTTTCATCATGGGGCTCCAACACCTCCCCACCCTAGATAGGCTTCATGATTATCCCTTTCCATGAAGCAGAGACTCCTTTCTAGCATTCCAGATTCCTCTCCTCCCTCTTTGCCTATCCTCATCCCCATGTCCTACTCAAAACTTGTTTTCTTTGTTGTGTGTATTTTCATTGATTCAACAGTTCATTAATTTAATACACATAAAAATCCTGATATGTTCTAGGTTTACATTAGGCTCTAGGATAATAAAAATACAGCAATGATTCAGATGCCAAGCATATTCTGAAAACACTTCTAACCTAAAATAGGAGATGATGCATATACAGAAATAATTATAATACCCTCTAGGGAGTTGGAGGAGGGAGAAGCTTCATGAAAGAGGCATTATTGGAAAAGAGTCTTGAAGACCCTCTTGAATACTTCTTGAAGAATCTAGATGAGGAGATTAGGGGAAGAGAATCCAGGTCAAGGGAAGAACATTAAATTATCATTTGCCTTCTCAACTACAGTTTCTGTTCCTTAGGGATAGGAACCATATGTTTTATTTTTGTAGCCTTCACAGTGCTTCGCACAGGTCTATGTATAAAAGAGCTTGATATATACTGAGTGAATAATGTTATTAAACATGGTATGAAATGTTTTTCCACAGCTTGATCTCTGTCTTGCTGCTCAGTGAATGAGTTACCATTTATTAGTTTATTGAGGAACCGTTATTAGTGCCTACTGTGTGTCAAGGGTAATGGTGGAGAGATGAGCAAGCTGGGCATTCCCAGCAAAGACTCAATCTTTGGCAGCCCCTCTGCCTTGGAGCCAGAAGAGCACCAGAGATTCAGCATTCAGGTCCTTCCATGTATAGCAAGTAAGGGCTTCAATCAAGCAATTCCATGAGTCTGAGTTCACAGTCCCCACAGCCCTGGTGCTTCCCACTTACTCTGAAGAGCCTTTGTTACAAAACAAGGGATTCTCCAATGAGAAAACAGCCTGGGTGCACATTCACGCCAGGCCTTCTCCTAGTAGACCTCACTCAAGGAGCTGATGGGATGAACTCCTTCTGGAGAAAGAGCCTGGGGGCAGCCCTGGAGCCAGGGGCTTTGTCTGGAATCAACAACCACCTATGCTTTCCTGACACTCTCTCTTTTCCTTTGTTTGAACCCTCTGTTCTCAGAGGTCATCTTGCTCCCAGGCAGCCAAATAGGTTATTCAGTTACAAAGAGTGTGTGTGTGTGTGTGTGTGTGTATGTATGTGTGTCTCTGTGTGTGTTTTTGTTGTTGTTTCTCTAGTCTAAATTCAAAAAAAAAATAGCACCATCTATAAACATCACTCCCCCTGTTTTCTACTAAAACTTAGCTACATATATTCACAAGTTCTTAGCTTAGAAGAATTCCTTGTCCATTGACTACATCATATTTTAATTCTGAACATACCCCACCAAAATTAGATTGTATTAAACCTTTTGGCAACCCACCATAATCACCAAAAAGCAAGCTTAGGGTCAAGAATGGTAAGTTTTTGTAGAACAGAGAAGTGAAGGCACAATTAGGAATCAAGCAACCAAGTCTGAATTCTGACTGTGCAACTTTTAGCAACTGTATAACCTAAATGCAGACTTAAACTCTCTGGACTTGTGTCTGCATCTATAAAATAGGAATAATGATGCCACAATGCTTATGGGATCATTGTGAGGGTGAAACCTATGCCTGGCAAGCCCTCACTAATGGGTGACAATTTTATTTTTATTATGATAATTACTACAAACGTCCAGTGCCCAGACTCAGTGGCTGTCTGAGCTGTTTGTTCACTCCCACTCTCCATCTGCTTCCATCAGGAGCAGGGAAGGAGAGCCCCAGGAAAGACAGCCTCAGGGCTGGGGTACAGTCAGTGGTGGTGATGAAGCAACACAGCCTTGTCTGCCCCTAATTGATGCATTGGCTCTGTCAGCCAAAAGGCACATGCAGGGCACAAATTTGGGCTATGATATCTACCTCACCACACCAGATACCTTCAGCAGTACAGGGTGATTTTGATCAGCAAGCTGTAATGTAACCAAATTACTGCAGTAAGATCTTCAGTTTCACAGTTTAGAAAAGCTCTCCCTGGGTCTATGTACGAGTGATGCAACAGTGACTCACCCAGAAGCTCACAGTCCCCACTTCCAGACAACTGTGTGTCATGTCACTGTGGAACCCACCACCCTCCCACCCTATGGGGGTGGAATATGCTCACCAGGCAGTGGGAGGGCACCCAGGGAAGGAGTGGTTCTCTCTTAACCAGCCCCTCCCTAGGGGGAGCTAGTCACAGATGGGGTGCACCTTCTGTCTGCCGCAGTCTGGACACCACGTTCTCAACAAACTCAGTGTTAATTAACAACAGGCTTGGCTTACATGACTCTTCTTTGGAAAATGTGTGCTCATTCATTGCTCTAACCATCTTTCCACTCCCACACTCAACCCCTGTCTCCCCATCTCAGGCATCTTCACAGCCTGCCAGATTTGAGTGAGAAAAACCCACAAGATGGCCATGTGAGCACCTGAAAAACATCTGTCTGCCATCACATAATGATTGCAGGTGGTGCTGGGGGGAGAGACTTAATAATACTAATGAATATGCCTAATTAATTATTAAGCACTATTAGCCTGGCAATAATACCACCTTGGAATTCTGCCAATCCCTAGGACTTAGTTACAGGGAATTCTTATTTCTTATTTTACTGGGAAACAGGGAATGCAGGACAGATCAGAGTGTCTGAACCAGAAAACTTCAGGAGACTCAGGATACCAACAGTGATGTATGTGTGGAATACAGATATTTAAAATCTATAAACCAATTACATTCCCAAGGATTCTGAAGTACCTAGGCAGACTGAACTTTATCATGAAGTAAACTTATCCTCCAAACTTCATAGTAATAACCATCAACCACTACTCCAAGGGGTGGGAAGCTGGGTGATAGACAAGGAATTGTAGTTTGGACCTGAAACAAACTCCAATGATTGGCCCTCAATTTCTCTCATAAAAGTAGAAATTCAGAAAATAAATATCAAAGAAAAACAATCAGACTAAGGAGTATATGCTATGAATATGCGAAGGGTACTCTGGTAGTGTTTTGAGGGAGGAAAGCATTATTATATCATATATTCTTTTAACAAATATTTTTTGAGGGTCTATTACTATCCAGGCACTATGCTAGGTACTGGAGATAGGCATATTTTGTTTCTCAAAGAGCTCACAGTCTAGGAAGGGGAGACACATACATGTAAAACCCAATTTTCTGCAATATGCCTGTTTAGATACACTGAAAGCTCCCTTCTGCTACCAAACAACTAGGAACTAGACACAAAACACTTCATATTGTATTACTGGACTCACAAGAAGTCTCCAAGACTTATTCACACTCACTCTCCCCAACATCCCCAAAAAGTGAGCTGGGTGCAGAGAGGGAAGAGCTATAAGCAAATGGGAAGCTGGGGAGGCCTTAAGGGAAAATCTTAATAGTACAGTGCTATTAGGAAGTTGATACTAGGCCAGCAGCAATGGAGGAAATTAAACCTGAGACACCTGCAGGTCCTTGAAGGGAGCTAACATGGTCACAGGTCACTAGGAGATCCTGCCTCCCAGCAGAAGTAGATGCAGATTCTCTCTGGAGAGAAATATCCCTGATTGAAGGCTTCAGGATTTACACTGATTAAGAGCAAGCAAAAGTGAGCTCACAAAGCAGCCACCATGACTGAGAATCAGAGTCACATAGTACAAGAGTCAAGCACACCCTTTTGCTGTCATCCATACAAGCTGAAACTATTGATACAAGGGCAGCAAGAGCATGAGCTCCCCAGGCTCTTGACATTCCAAAGACAAGCATGCTTGGGCCAAGGCAAAGCTAGATTCACTGCAGGTTTGCAATAGTATTTGCTGTTTTCTCTTTTTTTGCAGGGAAGGGGTGAGTATTCAAAAAAAAAAAAAAAGCCTTATCCATAGTGGTATAAGAATTTTGGGAAAGAATGGAATTGGAATGTTCCTAACACAAAGAAATTATCAGTGCTTGAGATAATAGATGCCCCAATTACCACGATTTGATCAATACACACTGTGTGCTTGTGTGGAAATATCGTATGTACCCTGCAAATACGTAAACTATTATATATCCATAATAATTTAAGATAAATTTAAAAGAAGAATTTTGGACTCAAGTGCCAAGCAGTCAAGTGGTGAATTAAGGAGCTATCTGTTTAGGGCAGTGCTGAGAAATGTCAGTACCTAGTACCTGCAAACCTGAGGGCTCATCAGTTTCTGAAAAGTTCAATTTCAGTGGAACATCTCTGGATTGAGAACATCTCAGGGGAAGAAGTAACCCCTGGTCCCAAGGGAAGCTGTAGCCCTTCTGGCCAGGAGAAGGGGAGTCACTGGTCCCTGCTACCTCATTGCTGGACAAATCAGAGAATCTAGGGTCATTCACAGGCAATCCTACTTGTCATTCTACCTTTAGCTGAAACAAAAAATAACAGATTTAGACCCCAGAGACGTCCAATACAGAATTGTCAGATACTGAATGTGAAATAGTTATGCATGAAATGTTTATAGAAATAAAGGATGGGATCACAGAAGAATCAAATAGGACTTCAGACATGAAAAATACCATTGTTGAAAAAAATTCTTAAAAGGCTCATAGGATATGATATACAGTAGATTATACACCTCTAAGTACAGAATAAGTAAACTATAAATAAGAAAGGATTATCCGTAAAATACCATATAGAGTTAAGGAAATGAAAAATATGAGAGGTTCAGTGATGTAGACGAGAGATGAGAACATTTACTGTCTGCCTGATCAGAGCCCCAAAGAAAGAGAATAGAGAGAATGAAAGAGAGGCATTATTTGAAGAGCTGATGCCTGGAGATTTTCCGGAACTGTTAAAAAACATAAATCCACAGATTCAGGAAGTAAAATGCACCCTAAACAAGATAAACAAAAATAAATCCACATTCTACATGTCCTAATGAAACTGCAGAACACCAAAGACAAATTTTAAAATCTTAGATATTATAATATAAGTGTTCATAATAGTGAATTCTTATTTTAGTTTCTTTTGGACCTTAGGTACAAAGTCTCTACTTGTTATTATCCCAGTCCTTGCAAGGGCTTGCCATCAATTGGTTGATTGCTTTGTCCATTTTTTCATGTATTTATCCTCTATATCTCTATACCACATTTGCCATTCTTCTCTCTGCCTCATAGACAACCATTTTAAAGTGTATGCTTTTCCTTTATGTATGTTCCTGCAAAATGTGTGTTGTTACTCTGTGTGCATGTATTTTTAATTCAAATAAATGGTACTGAATTACAAATCACAATCTACTTCGTACCTTTTTTTTTTTTTTTTTTTTTTTTTTTTTTTACCAAGGACTATGTTCTTAAAATCTAGCCATGTTTTATAGCCATGATTTTCAAACTGTGGGTCATGACCCATTAGTGATTCATGAAACCAATTTGGTAGGACCTAGCAGCATTTCTGAATAAAATAAAACAATGAAAAGTAAAATTTATCATAAGTTATAAAGGTTGATATTATTTCCTAATACTCATACCTCTATATATGTGTATACATATAAACATACATACATATACACATTTATACATATAAGGTATGTATGTTATTTGGGCTCTGGGTTGTGATGTCAACTTTATCCCTTGGACACAATCAAAAAGAATTTTTAAGTTGCTATTCTGTAAGATGCAGCAGAGGCACAAAGAAGGCAGCTGTCAGGACTTGGGTAATATGACCCTGACATTGGGGAATACAGGATGACAGCCAAAGTTTTGTAGTGTAGGTGATATAGGTGTCAATTGTTCTATGGCAGGGAAGGCTTTTCTAGGCTAATAACAGGAAGAGTAGACCAGGTTTTGAGGGAAGAACGACAAAAATGGGCATGAAGCCATGAACATGGGATTTTTGAAGACAGTCTTAGGTTATTTAGATTTGATGCAGCATAGGGTGTAGTAAGGAAGTCATAGCTGGAGATAAAAGTTTGGCAGAAGCCCCGCTATGAAGAACTACATAGGCCATCCTGAGGAGCTGGGACTGAATCCCGTGAGCAAGGGACAGGTACTAAAGGGTTTTAGGCAAGGATATTCTATGAGTCATTGTATGAATCAGAGAGACAATTCTGGCAGCATCCTGGGGAAAATGTGATTGAGTGGATGCTGGTGATGTTCACCCAAATCAGAGTGAAGGTAGAGATAGCTTGGAGGAGGAAGAGGATGAGTTATTTAGGAATAGTTTAAGTTTCCAATATGTGATAGATTGTATTACAACCAAATTATTTGCTGTTTCTCACCCAGGATGTCCACCAGGTTTGGTCATGTGCCTTTGTTTTGGCTAATGAAACGTGAGCGAACATGGGGGAAGTTTCAACAGCTGGCTTATGCTTTGCCAAGATCTCTCTTTTCTTTACTCTGAGGTTTTCAGTGTTCCACCCAGAGGCTTCTCTGTTGGCTTGGGCCCTAGAGTGGAGATGGTTTGGAGCATATCATCGTCAATCTGTGGTGAGCAAGTAGAATGAGTAAGAAAGAAACCTTTGCTACTGTAAGCCACTGAGATTTGGGGAGGGTTTGCCACCACAACATAACCTAGCCCATTCTGACTGAGTCAAGATGCCTGTGGGGACATTATATTTACATGAAGTTTACCAATAGATCATTTTTTAAAGGATTAGCCATCTTTCTCTACTCCTATCTGAAAACTTCTGGAGTAACTATTCATAGCTCTATGTCTTGAGAAAAGTCATGTGTCCATTTTTACAGCCGAGATGGGGCTATAAAACTGTGTCCTGCTCTCAGTATAGGATCTCCACAGTGTAGGGTGGGTGACCACAGTGATAAGGGGCCTCACAGGTGTATAGGAAGGCACAGTGTCAGAGTAGGGATGTGCATAGTCAACTTTTAAGAAATGGTGGGTGACAGAGCTCAGTTAAAAGGATCAGCAGATATGGATTTTATCTCAGTATGGACCTTGCCGATGAAGAAGGATTATTGACCCAAGAATCGGGAGAGAAAACCGAAGAGAGGGTTCAAAGAAGGTCTGAAGTTGAGAAGGGAGACTAGCAAGCCCCTGGAGGCTGCAGAGAAGTCTGAGACTGGAGAAAGGAGGCTCGGACAGAATTCTGCTTCTGTGTGTCCCAGGGTCTGGGGGTGGCACTGTGGCTCTGTGGGCCACTCCACATGGCTATGTGCTGTCATGCACATGTACCCATGAGATTTCCCATCTGGGGGGACATGTGAGTCTCTGTGTGTGAATATCATGTTTGTCTTCTCTGAGCCTTTTGGAGAAACAGAAATTCATGAGATTCTGTTACATGAGAGTAGTGTGGCTCTGCCCCACCTTGGTTGTGAGTATACTATTGTGTGTGATAATGAGGACTATCTGATCCTTACAAAATAAGAGGGAAAGAGCAACAGGAGACACCACTCTTTCCCCCAGAAAGGCTGACAGTTTGCTTTCGACTGGAGAAAAATAAGAAATCTCCCAGGAAGCAAATGTCATGAGGGGAAAGGACAATGACGAGAAAATGAGACACAAGGGAAGGGGAAAGAAGGTGAACTTGATAAAAAGTCTGCAAGGGAATATAAGTGAGAATTCTACTAGTGAAGATGGAAGAGCATTTTGAGAAAAGGAGACAATTTTAGATGAACCAAAACCAAATAATATCAAAGGCATTTCTCTACATTCTTGTGCAGCCAATACCATAACATTCTGCTTCATACATACATTCATTCATTCACAAGCATTATTGAGAACACATGTGTGCCAAGCATGTGCTAAGTACCAGGGACATAAAGATGAATAAGATCCTGCTTTAGTCCATTTGGGTTGCTATAACAAAATACCTTAGAATGGGTAATTTATAAACAACAGAAATGTACTTCTTGCAGTTCTGGAGGCTGGGAAGTCCAAGATCAAGATGCCAACAGATTTGATGGGAGCCCACTCTGCTTCATAGATGGTGCTTTCTTGCTGTGCCCTCACAAAATGGAAAGGGTAAGAAAGCTCCCTCAGGCCTCCTTTATAAGGGCACCAATCCCATTCATCTGGTATTCACCGTCATGACCTAATCACCCCCCAAAGACCCCCCCTCTTAATGACATTACATTGGGAATTAGGTTTCAGCATATGAACTTTGGGGAAGCACAAACATTTGGACCATAGCAGATCACCCCTGACCCAAAATGTTCAGTCTATGGTGCCTTATAAATTTATTACGTGCCATTTTTGCTAAAATATTAGCTCCTTAAAGACTAGGACTGTGTTTTCTCAATGCCTAGCACATAGTACATCCTCAACAAATATTAATTGAAAGAACAAATGAAGGAATGGATGTCCAAGGGGAGAGATACACTAAAAAACAATGACCCTCCAGTATGGTAAGTGCTCTAGCAACATAAATTGCTATGTGAAGCTTGAAAAGGGGATTCCTAGAAAATGAAAAGCCTGCCTCTAAGAGCTCAAGCTGTGTGATGATGGGGAAGAGGATGTGGGTCCCTCTGAGGACTTCAGCAAAGTGACGGAAAAGGAGACTTGAAGAATGAATAGGAATCTCACAGCACAGCGGGGTAAGCCAAGCTCAAGCTCTGAAGACTCAAGCAGCTTCATCCAAATGGGGAGCAGCAAGAACTCCACATCTAGGATGAAGTTCCCGTTGGGGTTGTCTAATGAAGAGAAGACAATAGAGGCAATAGAGGACCATTAAATGCTTTTAAAAAAAAAAAAAGAGGAACATTATTAGAATTGCATTTTCTACAAAAGCATTCTGCTACCAGCATGGCCGACAGATTTCAGTTGGGGCAGTGCTGAGACAGAGGAACAAATAGGAGACTATTGTGGGCAGTGTCTGTGGGAATGGCCAGGAAAATATGCATATGGGAGAGACTTAGAAGCTGGAATCAAGGATCTGACAGCCCATTGGTACAATCTAAAGTGGTTATAATAGCACTCAAAAATCTGGCTTGAGTGGGCGGTACTACACAAGTGACTTTTTGGGAAGGAGGACAGTCAGAGTGACAGGAGGAAGCTGTCTTCCTACCAGCATTCTGAATTCTAAAGGGATGAGAGAAGATCAAGCAACCATGCAGTGACCAACAGGCCATGGCTGAAACTACCTATGTGATGCCATCTGCGTTTATTACTGACTGGAGCTAAGTTGTGCTAAGATTGGAAGGAGAAAATGAAGAGCCTGCCTCTGACAGCTTGAGCTGTGTGATGGTGGAAGAGAGAGTGTAGGTTCCTTTAAGGCCCATGTACAGGGTGAATGGGATGACCACTGCCTTTCCAATGACAGCCAGGCCCAGAGGGAGACTTCTGGCTCCAGGAGGGCTGAGATCACGCCAGGCTTGTTCTCCAGGGTATCCCCAGGGAAGGCAGTGTCTGGCACATGTTGGAAATAAATGTTTGTTTAATACATAGAGGGAGATCAAAGTATGATTCAGATGGGGGTGGACATATATGGAGAGAACTTTATTTTCCACTTTTAAGACTCTATTCCTGGTGATGGAGGTGTGGGGAGAGGGTGGGGGAATTTAAATTTATCGACTGACAGTAATTCAGCATCCTTTGGTTTAAAAGTCTCTTTTAGTTAAATTTCATCCCTTTAGGGTAAAGATCATCTGACAGTCAGTATTTCTTCCTCCTTCCCCTTTTCCGTTCCTATTCCCAAGGTGGGTAGGGGGGACCTAAGTTTTCAAATATTTAAAAAAGCACTGTGATGTTAGTCGCCAGAGGGTGAGGCCACACTCCCAGTCCATACCTTGTCCTCTGACTCTGGCTAGAGGCATTGCTAGAGTCCACAGATGATGAACTCCACATTCTCTCCCTGGGAAACTAACACACCCTTCCTTTGAGTTGTCTACCTATCCTATTAGTCATACTCTCTGTCAGGGGTTATGGGAACTATCAAGTCCCGGGCATGTCACACACAAATCATGCCTGCCAAAGAACTACCATACCCAGCTCCCCAATCCCAGTGCTGGCTCCACCCTTTCTCTTGTCATGCATGCCCCTTACTCATTATGGGCTCCTCTGATAGGCTGGCAGCCTCTGTGGGCTGGGGAAGCAGGGCTCCACCCACAAGAGTCCCAGAGGCCTGCACATCTATCTTGGTGTGTTTACCACACACTGAATTCCAAGGTTGACCCTGGTGGTGGCAGGAACATGGGAACATGAAAGTTGTAATTGACCTATTTTCCTAGCTCCTCCTCTCTAAACCAGACACTCATGATTTTTACCTTTGTCTAGAAGGCATCTCAACCTACGAGTCTTGCAATTCACTCTGTTTTAACTCACCTCTTCATGTGGGAAACCCATGTAGAGAATTGAACTGTAATCTCCACAGACTATTGATCTTTTAACTAGGAACCCCTGGATGTGTAAGCCTCAACCTGCAGAAACAAGTATCTCTGGTAGGATTTCATGTTCTTCCTGTTAGACGGAATGAGAAGAACTTTTGAGTTGTCAGCTCCTCTCAAACTCGCTTGACCTATATAAATGTGTTAAGAGCCACAAACTTAACTGCCATGGTCCCACTTAGCTTAACCTTTGGTAAGTGCCATGGTGCTTAGAGAATTTTTTTTTTATTTCGCTGTAAAGCATGGGCCAGCAAACTAAGGCTTATAAGACCAAATCTAGCCCAAGGCCTGTTCTTTTTTTTTTTTTTTTTTGGGACAGAGTCTTGCTCTGTTGCCCAGGCTAGAGTGCAGTGGCACGATCTCGGCTCACTGCAAGCTCCGCCTCCTGGGTTCACGCCATTCTCCTACCTCAGCCACCCGAGTAGCTGGGACTACAGGCACCCGCCACCATGCCCGGGTAATTTTTTGTATTTTTAGTAGAGACGGGTTTTCACTGTGTTCGCCAGGATGGTCTCGATCTCCTGACCTCGTGATCCATCCGTCTCGGCCTCCCAAAGTGCTGGGATTACAGGCGTGAGCCACCGCGCCAGGCCCCAAGGCCTGTTCTGGATGATCCTTGAGCTAAGAATGGTTTTCACATTTTCAATAGATCAGAAGAAGATAAGGTGCTAGAGAAGGAAATAAGAGGAAGAGAAGGAGAAAGAAGAAGAAAAGAAGGAGGAGGAATGCACACGGAGGCCGTATGTGGTTGACAAAGCCTAAAAAATTTACTATCTTACTCTTTTCAGAAAAAGTAAAGAAGGAGCTATTGTATCAAATTCATAAATTAGTTTGGGATGAGAGTCTCTATTATCCCCAAGGGCTCATTCAAAGCAAATCAATTTAACAAAATTATCCTTCTTCAGAAGAAATTGAAACCCTCATTTTCTTCTAAGATCCTGAGAGCTCATCAAGTTAGGAAGTTAACATTGCTTTTGTTGCAACAGGTAGGATTTTGTAGGTGACCCCTCAGTCACAGGTTGCTGTTCTCCAATGATCTAATGTCCATTTAGTATCTTTACTCTCTGACCATAAGGAATACGAAAAGGAAGCCACTCAGGAGTTAGCCCAAGCAGCCCGGCCAAGCCTGTTGGATGAAAGATGGGGGATACTGCCCCAGGGACACATGCCCCCATTCTCAGGTTGCAGACTCCCAGCGCCCTCGGACCCAGCTTGGGAAAACTGGTTGGAAGAAAATCACTACACACATCTCTTTGTGCACCGCCTTGATCCTCTTACCACCCTAAACAGTTCCCATGCACTTCAGATTGCCACTTCAGATGCCATGATTAGCCAACCCCTGAGAGGTGCACAGCAGACCTGTGTGCAGACAGACAAGCTACTTACACCGGTGAAGCCTGCAGCCCCTGGTAGCAGCAAAAGATGACCATAAATTGCCCGATCTTTCAGTCTAGGGTAGCCCCAGATTTCTCCTCTCAGAGAAAAGGCCATGCGTTATTTGTCCCATGTATGCCAACCCCACCACAAACATAACCAAAGGGAGACAGCTTGGCTCCTGTGCCTCACTTCAGGTTTACACTCTGCACACAGCAGAGTGATGCTGTTCTTTCTCCCAAGACACAGGTTTTTGTCAGTCTTATTGCGTACATACCCATGGTCATGCACTAATCTTTTTGTCTACAGCAGCACAACAAAGATAGAAATCACTGCCAGATGCTGGAACATGAAGGACAATGATGAATGAGTAGTATACCAAATTATAGCCCGTTTGTTACCCATCTTGTTCTTGTGACTTTTGTGGCCACTGTAGATATGATCTAGCAGTCATCCAGTGACTTAGCTGTCTTCTAAATTTGCAGCTATATTATTTGATTTTGTGGCCTTTACTCCAGGCCCAGAAACTTGGCATTGGCATTGCTACTTTGGAAATCAGAGTATCTCATTCCAGGAGCGTTTCTAAGGGTGTCTAGTCACACAGAGCCAGGGTCCTGTATTCAGATTTCACCACTGACTTTCCTCAATGTTTGGAGTATAATCTGGGAGCCTTGGTGCTCTTCTGGGGCTGTGCTCTGCTCATCACTTGGAAGGGTTGTGTTGCTTGCCCACCTTTTCCCTGCCTCTCCCTTAGACTTGAACACAAGGGGCTGGACTGGTTGTATTCCCAAAATTCATCAGTGAGGCTCAAAATACAGTTACTTGAGCTTGTGTCTCCTAGCAGGACTGGGTAAGTCATCAGGGTGTCTCTCTCTTTTTTTGGAGACGGAGTCTCGCTCTGTCGCCCAGGCTGGAGTGCAGTGGCGTGATCTCAGCTCACTGCCAGCTCCGCCTCCCAGGTTCACGCCATTCTCCTGCCTCAGCCTCCCAAGTAGCTGAGACTACAGGCCCCTGCCACCATGCCCTGCTAATTTTTTGTATTTTTAGTAGAGACGGGGTTTTACCGTGTTAGCCAGGATGTTCTCAATCTCCTGATCTCGTGATCCGCCCACCTCGGCCTCCCAAAGTGCTGGCAAGGTGTCTTTCTAACTATTTTAGAAGAGCACCATAGGTATGGAGCTCAGATCCTGAAGCCAAGTTTAAAAATATGAAAGGTGTATAGACTTTTACGGTCACAGGTGTGGGGGGATTCTTCTTTTAGGAAAAAGTCTTTGTCCTTTCACTTATTAACTTACCCAACAGGCATCTACTGAGAGTCTATTCCATGCCAGGCATTGTGCAAGGCCCTTGGAATAGAGAGATGCAAACAGTATATCTTGTCCTCCAGGAGCTCACAGACCAGTGTGAAACCCCAAAAGATGAGGACTTAACTGGAGACTCTTACAACACTGCTAGTTTTAGGGATATTCACAGAAATTCCAATTCTTCTCTCTTTCCCAACACATGGTAGAATTATACTTCCCTGCTCTCTTGAAAGTTAGACATGACCATGGGACTTGCTTTAGGCAATGAAATGTGAGTGGGAGTGTAGTAAATGACTTACAGGTGGAAGTCTTTAAGAAACAGCATGCGGGGCCAGGCACAGTGGCTCATGCCTGTAATCCCAGCACTCTGGGAGGCCAAGGCGAGCAGATCACAAGGTCAGGAGATCGAGACCATCCTGGCTAACATGGCGAAACCCCATCTCTACTAAAAATACAGAAAAAATTAGCTGGTCGTGGTGGTGAGCGCCTTTATTCCCAGCTACTCAGGAGGCTGAGGCAGGAGAATGGCGTGAACCCGGGAGGCAGAGCTTGCAGTAAGCTGAGATGGTGCCACTGCACTCCAGCCTGGGTGACAGAGCCAGACTCCATCTCAAAAAAAAAAAAAAAAAAAGAAACAACATGTGTTACCATATCCCATTTTTCTCTCTTTGGGAATTTTGGAAGAATGTGTAGAGGTGAAGCATCTATCAGCCTCAGTCCCTGAGTGACTATAATGAGCGTAACTCTGACCAGCCCACATGAGATAAACTTCTGCTGTGTTAA
The DNA here is from genome assembly GCF_000001405.40 of Homo sapiens. Classification (NCBI taxonomy): domain Eukaryota; kingdom Metazoa; phylum Chordata; class Mammalia; order Primates; family Hominidae; genus Homo; species Homo sapiens. The sequence goes on along the minus strand of NC_000012.12, from coordinate 13,335,867 downwards.
CCCACTGATATCTGGGGAGTTGTTTGTTACCACAGCATAACCTAGCCTATTTTGACTGATACACACTGACTCCAGAGAATGAGGTTTTCCAGCCTTCGGTGATCAAAGAAGAACCTTTTGCATGTCAGAACCACCCTGTTATTTGAGGAACACCTATACACACGGAATGGGGGGCCTCTTGGAGCTGTCCGGACAGCATCATGATAGCAGCCATGAGTCACAAAAGGTCTTTCCATCTACCTTCTTCTCTGCTCACCACTTGTGGGCTTCCTCACAAAGTTGCTGCAAGTCAATTAAAAAATCTCCCAGCTTATGGCATCTCCTGAGAGAGATGCCCAGAAATTCAGCATTTCCTGCAGCCTGTGCTTCCCTTTATCACGGCCCTTTTCACATTGTTTATTTTTCTATCTCACTAGACTGTGAGCCCAGGTGATGACCTGGCATGATACTCAAATCAGAACAGATAACCAATTCCTACTTTTCTAAATGAACACATGTTGAGTGAATAAGTGAACCCCTCTGCTGCTACCTTTGTACACTATATCTTTGACATGGGAGACAGTAAGTTCTTTCAGTGAGGCATGAGAAGGTACCACAGATAGTGAAGCATGTGTCTTTCCATTTCCATTCCTTCTCTGTAAGGTAATGATAATGAGAAGAGTTCTGGAGCCGTCGTTGGAGAGCTTGGCTTTAGCACATGCTGTGCTTCTCATCTCTTAGCTGTGTGGTCTTAAGCAAGTCATGAAACCTTAAGTCCAAATGGTTGTGAGCTCTTAAATGAGATAAGGGACGTTGCTCACAGAATATCAGAGATGAAAGGACTTCTGGATACCTTCCAGTTCACTGTACTCTAACTCAGCTAGCTAGTGGCAGAATGGCAGAACTAGGAATAGAGGAATAGAGTCCACATTTCCTAAAACCTAAAACCCTGGTTGAAGTATTAATACTGTTGATAAAAGGAATATGAGAATCAATGATATTATAGATATGAATGTAAGTGCATTAAATAAATAACACCTTGATGCATCACTCCATGTTTTCATGCTATTTAATCCTCCCATTCTGGTTATAATGGGGAGAGAGGATGTGAGGGAATTGTATACACACATTCTTGCCTTACTCACTAGTTAAGTGCTGGTGGAGGATAAAGCCTGTTTATAATTCTGGTGGGCAGCTAACCCTGGGCAGCAATTTCCAAGGCTGTATAACTCTCATTT